>NC_000020.11:22579147-23207350 GCF_000001405.40 Homo sapiens | reverse complement strand
GGATCTAGTATGTGGCCTGGACATGGGGAGCCACCTGTTAGAACTCTCGGCCATGGGTAGGGTTGTTTTTGTTTTTGTTAATAGATAACATCGAACTGATGGTGAAACCTTCTCCAGGCAACAACTTCTGACCCCTGTGGATAGCTTTGGCTTAATGCACCAGGGAGACAAGAAACTGCCCAAGGCCTCTCAGTCCTCAGCGGCCCCCACCTAGCAGCCTCCTCTTCATCCATGCAATGGGGCTTCAGGTCAGACGAGTTGGAGTCCTTTGGTCCCTACAGGGGCAATTCTGAGGACAGTGGGTTTTGGAAGCCTTTTTCCTGCTGGGTTCTAAGGTGATTAATTAAACACGTTTCAGGCTTTCACACTGTCTGAGGAAGGGAGTCCAGGGCAGCTGTCATTGGGGATCAGAGTTCACACTGAGTGTTCCTAGCAGAGCATTTGGGACAGAGAAAAACAGCTCTTCCTTTAAGTCAGTGGTTCTCCAACACTAGCTGAATTAGAAGCATCACAAGTGTGTTTAGGACATAGATACTTGCATTCTCAACCCAGAGTTTCTGGTTCAGGGGACCTGGAATGGGGTTGAGAGCTTGCATTTCTGCCAAGTTCCAAGGGGATATGGGTGCTTCTGGGCAGGATCTCATTCTGGAGAACCTCTGCTCGAGCTGAAATGGGACACACGATTACCAGGTTTTCAAAGAGTGAAATTCCAATATGTGACGATGGCCTTTTGCCCTGTGTGTGCTGTCAGCCTTGGCAAGGCAGGAGGCACTCTGCTTCAAAATCATGGCATCCTGGCATGTGAGAGCTACGTGGGATCTTAGAAACATCCACCCAGTGCCTCTCAGCCCTAGTGCCATATAGAGTTACCTGGCAGAGCTTTTGAAAAATGGAGACTTGCTTAAGTAAGAACCTCAGGGGAGGCCTAGGGAAAGAGTCTGTCTCAGGAGCTCTACAGAGCAGACTGGCTGAGAAACTGGATTTACTACAGAGCTTCCCAAAGTGAGGTCCCTGGGCCATCAGCCTCACCAGAAGCCTTGTTGGAAATGCGCATTCTTAGGCTTCATCCCAAACTGTGGAATCAGAAACTCTGGGCATGGGGCCTTGCCATGTGCACTGTCCCCATGTTCTTGGGGGGAGGCTGATGGATGATCAGGTTTTGAGCCACTTCTTTAGAATATTTCCCCATTTTACAGGTGTGACAACTGAAGGCCAGAGGTTAGAGGGCTCTGATGGCATCATGCAATCTGCCCATGGCAGAGGTGGATTCGGAATCAGGCTCCTGCACCTGGTCAGGGCTCTCGCACTGCTTCCCTGCTTCCCTTTATCACAGTTCTGCTCAGGGCCCAGGCCCCGGGCCACCCCGGGAGGTGCTGGGACAGTCAGGGTGGCCATTTCCTCTACAGCTTCTCCACGCAGTCAGGCACGGATCCTCTTGCTTAGTGAGCTGGCGAGCACAGAACGGAAAGCAAACAGGCAGCTCAGCCAAGTGAATAAAATGAGGCCCGGGGACTGGGGATTGTTCATTTACAGGATGACAAGTCTGGGCTGCCAGAGCCTGGGCGTCACTCTCAGCTGTGAGAGCAATGCCCAGAGCCGGAGCTCAATGTTGCCAAATCCCATGGTCGCAACTTCAATATGAGGAGCAGCTGGGCCATGCATTTTGAATGCTTTGGAAATCCAAGTTTCTCCTGCAAGGAGGCAAGGAAGTTGCAGAGAATAAGTAAAGTTGTCTAAGAATGACCTAGTGACCATCTTTCATAAAAAGAAAATGAGAATTGTGCCTGCAAAAGGCTTGCTGTTTAATCTAGGAGGTTTATTAGCATATAAAAGGAGGTTTATGCGATGTTTGTATTCAGACTTAGCTCTGCCTCTGTAAGCACCCAGGAGCCCAGAGAACAGCACCTGGCAGGCACCAGCTGTGCTGGAAAGGCCTTCCATTTGAGACAAACTGCTCTTGGATACAGAGCCCCGGGAGAGCAAGGATTTAGGGCGGCCTGTGCCAGTGTGCCCTGCAGCAGTGCTTCTCACGCCTGCATGTACACATGCTTCGCCCTGAGGTCTTGTTAAAATGCAGATTCTGATTCTGGGAGTCTGGGGTGGAGCGTGAGATTCTGAATTCTAACTAACTGACGTGTGTCCTTGATGTTTTGCTCCCTGAACCACATTTTGGGGAAAAAGACTCTATAGAAAACCACTTAGGACACTTATCAGGCACATGGCTAGTAGCTTGAGTATCAAGTAGTCCCGGGTCTGGATTCCTAGGAGGGGCAGGGAGGAGAGGAAAAGCAGGTTGCCGTGAAAGCACTGGGTTGGGTCCTTTCTCTTTGCAGTGTCAGAATAGGGTCAAATAAGAACAAATCAGGACTTAGCTATAGAGACTTTACTGGAAAAGATCACTGCTGCGCCGAAAGACCATTTCAATATGGGAAAGGCACAGACGACAGGATCTGCAAGTGTCTCCCAAATCAGGCAGGGAGAAAAGAGTTTTCTTTGAAAGGGAAGAGTAAAGCAAGGCTGGAAAGAATTGGTGTGGGGAAGTGGGACCCGCAGGTGGTCTAGAAGGACAATTGATGAGGAAACTGACAGCCAGTTCTCTTCATGTCGGGAGGGAACATCAAGGAGGGGCCGTCCACATTCTGATGCTGGCTTAGGCTGAGGGTGCGTCTGGGGGAAGGAGAGAAACTTAACCAAAGTTTGGTTAATTCAAATGAGAAGATATCTTGTCCAGATTGGTCACTGTGGCAGGCAATTCAGCTAATCATTTATGAGGCAAAGAATGGAAATGGTGGTGAGTCTGTGACTGTGTGTTACGGGTAAACGAGGAGTCATCCATGCGTCTTATCCGAGCCACATGGGGAAGGGTAGGCTTCGGCAGTAAGCCATTTCCAGGAACAGGAGGGTGGGGGTTTTCTTACGTGTCCGTGTTTTCCAAGGTCTCAGGCTTAGGTAAAGTTGAACATTGCTGCTGCCTGTCATATGCCACCACTTTTGTTATTTGTCATTCCTGTCAATGTACAGTTTTCAACAAGTTAAAAAAGACTCATACAAATATAGAATGAACCCAAGTCAGATATTTCACTCAGCTCATCAGTGAAGAAATAAGATGATAAAGTTGATTCAGAAAGAAATAGAACAGGTTTTAGTCTACCAGAAAAGACTTCTTGAAGTGTTTGCTGACTTACAGGTAACACTGGTTGGTTAATGTCCTGCAGGGCAATAAAACTGTAATCTTTAGCATTATTTTCCTACAGGACAGAAATGATATGCATTTCTCCTAGACAAGTTCTCTAAAATATCATGTGATCTCAGTGTATAGCCTCAAATAATAGTAACTGGCAGGTCAAACACAGGTGCATTTCCCTAGATAATTAAATAATCCTTATGTGGCCTTAGTAAATATGGCCCCAGTATTGTAATAAAACATTGCGCCACCCACTTTGGGGCCTTATTTCCATATTTTAAATACTTTTTCTTAACATCCCTAAGAATTTATATAAGGCCTGATTATGAGTCGGCCTGTTGAAGGCATATTCAGGTCATAACCTTATTCCAGACAAGCATTCCAATCAGGAGAACAGAACTTAGGGGATGGTCTTTTTATAACCATTGGCAGGAGGGTAGTGATAATGTTTTGTTGTTTGGTATCCCAGGATTTTCCATTATTTTGGCAAACTTTAAAAGATTAAGAGGGAGGAAAAGAACCTGTTTCTATTAACATCACCCCACAGACCAAAAACAGTTTAGTAAGTTTCAAAACAAAAATATTTTCCTGAGGGATGAACAATGCAAGCTACCAGCAACCTAGTGTGTCAAGGCTCTGCTGCAAAGTGTTGCCAAACAGCTATTATTAGTTCTTCCAGACCCAGAGCCCTTGTTTGCACGCCCAGATGAGGCCACATTTCCTAAAACCATCAAAACCTGCTTTAATTAGCCTGTTAATAGAAACTTGTTGTGAGCCCAGTTACTCCTTGCATCCAATCTTTGCCTCCAATCTCAGTTAATTCAGTTGAACATCACGTATCAGGAGGAACCCAGTGATTCTGTTAATAAAAATAAGCTGACTTATCAAGGTTTTAACAATCAGAGTGAAAAACAGGAATCATTTAGTAATCCTTCCAGCTCAAATGTGAACAACATGATGTTTGTTCTCTGCAAACCCTTGGTGCTCTAAACAATTTAATTGCCCATGTTATTTATAGAGAAAGTGTTTTTTGGAAATGGATGCCAGATAAGCATGCTCCCCTGAGTAGCTGAGTTCAGCACTCCTCTAGGGATGGAGGATGTACACGCAGGGTTCCATTACCCAAAGAAGACCAGTGCAGCAAAGGTGAACCAAGAATGCAGGCTTTGCATGGTAACGGGACAGAGGAAGATGAGGTGGGTGGGGAGGGAGGAAGAGAGTGTTTTTAGCTGCATCTTTTGCTTGTTAATCCTCACTAGTGCATTATTTTTTTCTTCATGACACTGATCATTATCTGACATTCAATATATTTTGCTTTCTGTTTATTTGCTGTCTGTCTCTCCTTACCCCACCCTCCACCCCCAACTAGAATGTCACCTCCCTCCATCAGGGCACTTTTTTTTGTTAGAACCGTGCCTGACACATAGCAGGCACTGTTAAAGGTAGAATAAAACTGTAGAGATGGATGTCTTAAATGTAACATTTTATTTGGGATGTGAGAATTGCAATGCAAGGCATACATGTAGATGGGGTAGTCTTCAGTATGATGTCCAAAGACAAAGAGGAGGTAGGAGGCTTTATAAAAAGGTAAAATGTTAGATTTTTTTTCTAGAATGTTCTTTGACAAGAGTAAAGTTTTGGGGAGCTGGCAGGCTCTGCTTGGTGAGTGATGGCAGTGGGTAAAACTAGTCTTAGAGTCATGTCAGGGTGTTTTAGTAGCCATGAGATATAGGTTATAGGCAGTTTCCGCAGCCAGGCTTGCAGACAATTACATTTTTGGAGCAATGTTTTGTGCCCTGAGTGCATTCCCCTAGGCCTCTTGAGTCTGTTTAAGTCAGATGTGACAAGAATGATCCAATTTTTATGATCAACTCCCACAGCCTCAATACATACTGGCTGAATAATAATGATGAATGAGAAGAAAGGATGAGTGAAGCCAAGTGCTCAGGAGAGGAGCTTAGAGTGGCAGTCACCAGGAAATCACAGATGTCAGGGATGGACAGAAATCCTGGGGAAGCTGCGGGACTTGGGGTTTGAGTTGATATCTGGGCTGTACATTTAGGGAGCTGCTTTATTGAAAAGGGAAACTATTTATATGCCTAAGACCAGCACCCCCCAGTTCTCCCCACATGCATCCAGAGGCCTGTCCTGTCTTCTCTGTTCCACTCTGGTTAGAAGCCCACCGCTCACCCCTCTGTCTCCTACATCGGAGAGCCGGGAGCTCTCTGAAGTTCCACGCTGCTGTTACTTGGCCTTCATGCCTTCCCCTGCCTGTAGCAACCTTCCCCCCGCCTCATCTGCTTTAGAGGAACTCCTAAAGTTCAACTAAGGCTGAACTCTTTAAGCCTCCAAAGCCCGACTGGGAGTCACCCTTTGACCCCTCCTGAGCAGCTAGCACATCCCCTTCATGCTGACCTACAGTTTGTGTCTTTGTCTATTGTTACTACTCTGAGCTGGAACAGTTCCACCAAACTACTCAAGAAAACCCTGGATGCCACTTATTGAGCACCTGATCTGTTCTAAGTCCTTGAAATTCGGTCTCATTTGATTTTCAGAACAGCCCCAAGAGATAGCAGCTTATCATTCAACAGATGGAGAAAATGGAGTTCAAGGGAGATTGAAATTTACCTATGACAGTGACACAACTCACATGTAGCACAGTGGGATCAGAGGGTGTGTCTGACCCCAAAGACCATGCCAGTTAACAACACAACAGCACTAAGTTACACTTCCATCCATCTCGCCAACTGTTGGGATCATTGTCATAAAGAGCAGCCCCTATTCCATGATTCCATGGCTTCTTCCCCCACCTATTCTTGTCGGATGTTGGCTCTGTAAAATTCCCTCCAGAATTTCTGGCAGGTTTAGGAGGGAAGCTCACATGTGCTCATGGACTTGTCAAATTCCATGGGCTGTCACTGCTTCCTGCCACACCCCCACTGGGTAGACGGGGTCCCTGAGGCTGCTCCGAGCTCCCTGTGGCATGTCCGGGTTGGGTCCTGGCTGTCGGGTCCTTGCTCTCCACCAGGTGTCATGCTTCTCCTTCCAGGTGCTGTTCCGATACCCAGCCTGCCATCTCTGGAGGAAGCCCGCCACTCCTCAGCCTCCCTGGGAGGCCAGATCTCAAACTGTGATTGCTACACCCTAATGATTTATAGTAAAGCAGCCTTTTCTCTTCTATCACCTTGCTGCAGACATCCATAGGGCTTAGACATGAATCACTGGGGGCTGTACTGGACCATCCCAGTGTTGATGTTGTGTTGAACTGGGAGCTCCTTTCCCCTCCAATGGCTGAGGTTTGGTCCCTGAGTATGTTCATGGGGACCAGATGCCCTGCCCTTGAGAACGGCCCCCATTGTGCACCTGGCTGCTCGGACTTACATCATCGTGGCTTCAGTGCACGGCAGAAGGGGCTTTTCACTGTGTACGTCGGTATCGGGTAGATTTCTATCATGGGGTGGCTGGCCTGGCCACCAAATTCCACAGCCTCAAGCGCAGCCACCACTGCGCACTTACTCCACCCTGTTGCCCTGCACGCGGCTGTGGACCAGTCCTCCCATCATCTTAGTACGTTGCACAGCACCATCCTCACCACACATTTGCTGAGCAGAAGTGTGAATGAAGGCAGAAGTGTGAATGAAGGCAGAAGTGTGAATGAAAGCAGAAGTGTGAATGAAGACGTCTAAATTGCATGCCTGGTAGTTTTTTTTACTGGGTCTAAAATTGAGGTTTATTTTACTTTCAATGTGTTTTTTATTTAAAAAAAGATTCTGCTCAATTTTTCTGTGAAACTAAAACTCCTCTAAAATAGTCTATAAAAATGTAGAGATTGTGTGTAGATGATGAATTAAAAACAAACAAACAAACCGGTGCTTTGCTGAGCTGCTCTGCAGTCTAAGCAGAGGTCATAACATGGCTACAGGTTTCACTCCAACAAATACAAACAAGCAAAAACATCAATTTGTTAGTCAATCAATAACCATTCAATCAGGGGTTCACCCAGAACCTTTGGGGTTGGGTCCTGGGACTGTACAAACCTCATGTGGTCACACAACTGTCTATATCAAAAGGAACATACATTTATTTTCAATTGATTTCTAACTTAATTGCAGAGTGATCAGAGAGCATAGGAAACCTGTTCTTTGGTGTTTGTGAAGCTCTGCTCTGGGGCCTCACAGGTAGTCCATTTGTATTAGACTTCTGGGCTGGCTTTGAGGAAGCAGACAAGGTATCCCAATGCTCTCAGGTTGTTGTTTGGAAACTCACACCTTTCTCTGGGACTCCTTGCCCACGGAGATCCTCAGCATCCTCCCCTCTCGTATTCCCTTTCCCCTTGCAAGCACAACCTTGGGAAGGACTCAGCTTGCAGGTCATGCATAGCTTCTTTGAAGTCATATGGTAGACAGAGTTATCCCCAGATCAAACTGCTGTGAAGAAAACCATTATCAAGACAAAATTTAAAATGCCCCGGTGGGGCTGTCGGTGTCCTGTGCCATGCTGGATTGAGAAGCAGCCTGCTTGGAATTGTCAGCCCAGTTGGGTGGCAGTGGTCTGGTAGGTAAGAACAGTTGTTGTAAATTCCTGGGGTTTGTGCTGCTTCTTACTCTTCACAAAGCATTCTGCATTCATCTGCTTCTTGGTTCCTCATGACAAGTCTGTGAAGTCTGCATTATCTTGCCTTAGGAATCAGGGATTTCCACCCCTGTGGCCTCTGTTCCATTCACCAGCATCCTTCTGTGACCCAGATGTAAAAGTATCACACAGAGGTGCAAGAGATCGGGGTTCTGATCACAGGCTGCATGTTAAACTTCCTGCCTGACCCTGGGTAAGTCTTTTACAGATTTTTCTTCTTCATCTGAAAATTGCAGCGGTTGGATCAAATCCATGATTTTTCAGATGAAATCTTCTTCACATATAAAATAAACGGCTTTGACTGAAGGAGGAATGGGCCTGGAGTCCTCTCTGTCTTCCCTCTGGCCTCCCTGTCTTCTGTAAAATCCTCTCAGCCACTGCTATAACCCCTAGGGCTCACTGGAAATGTTGACCTCATGATATGTAGGTGTTTGTTTACCTTAGCATTATGTGACATTTTATTTATCTGTAAAAGCAAAAAGATTGGATTCAGTTGTCTCCAAGGATGAGCTGTGATTTAACCCCAGGTTTGCAGGGATGAATGAATGATCTGCCACCTCTTGCTGATTAAAGGCTTTATCTTCTCCATCCAGTGGAAGCAGTTTCCTGCATGGGAACTAAGAGAGGTCACATATGGGTGGTGAGCTTTTTTGAACATTGGGGCTGCCTCCTCTGGTTCTTGGGGAGATTCTGCTTCCTGCAGCATCAACTTAGAGATAGCTTTGCTTTCATGCCACAGATCCTCTCCTCGGGTACCAAGCAGAGATAGAGTTCCCCATGAGGAGATCCCGTTACATGCTTGGCCACACATTTCTTTTGAAATGTCGCTGGGGAAGAAAAGCTCTCACCAAAATTACTTCCTTTCCTTAGGAAAGATTGTTTTTAATCATAATTTAAAGATTCATGGGCAGAACTCTGTTTCTGTGCAAGATGGAGTAACAGGGACTGGATTTATATTCCCACCTGAAAACAAAACAAAACAAAACAAAACCAAAAAGCTAGACCAAATACATAAAATGACAGTTTCAAGACAAGGAGCATCAGGCAATGGAGGACAGGGAGCCCTGAGAGACAGGGAAGAAATGAGGCAACTCATATGATTGCCCCAGTTACTGCTTTGAGAGTTTCCAGGCAAGAGTAAGGACAGTCTGTTTAACAAATGGCACTGGAAAGGTGGGTTTTTGTTTACCTTAGCATTATGTGACACTTTATTTCTCTGTAAAAGCAAAAAGAATACATACAAGGAAGGAGAAGCCAGCTGGAGCCTGGCAGACTCTGAGTTGAAGACACAGAGTGGAGAGTCCAGGGAGAACCCACTGACTAGAACTGATAGGATGAGTACCAAAGAGGAGACACGTGCATGGAGACAGTGGGCAAGAGAGCTCTGAAGATATGCCGAGGGTCCCCCTCAAATATTCAGCAAATTGTTAATGGGTTCTGTTGAAGGCTGGGGAAAGAAGCATCTGAAAGATTTAGATTGAGCAATGCCCCAAGCTTACTCAGAGCTGTGAATAGTGCCTGTTCTTACCAAGATGGAAAAATCCCATAAAGTTAATTGGTATATATTTTTTGGAGAAATGTCTGCTCAAGTCCTTTGCTAATGTTTTAATCCGGTTGTTTTCGTTTTCATTTTTTTCAGTTGTGAAATCTGTAGAAATTCTGGCTATTAATCTCTTATTGGATATATGGATTTGCAAATATTTTCTTCCATTTTGTGGATTGCTTTTACTCTGTTGACAGTGTCCTTTGGTGCACAACATTTTTAAATTTTGAAGTATTCCAATTTATCGATTTTTTCTTTTGTCGTTTGTGCTTTTACTGCTATATCCATAAATCATTGCCAAATCCAATGATGTGAAGGTTTCCTCTATGTTTTCTTCTAAGAGTTTTATAGTTTTAGTAATTACATTTAGGTCTTTAATCCATTTTGAGTTAATTTTTGTATATAGTTAAGGTAGGGGTTCAACTTCGTTCTTTTACATGTGAATATTGTGTTTTTCCAGTGCCATTTGTTAAAAAGACTGTCCTTACCCTTGTTGAATGGTTTTGGTACCCTCATTCAAAATTATTTGACCATATATGTGAGAATTTAAACCTGAACTCTGTATTCTATCCCATTATTCTGTATGTCTGTCTTTATGTAAGTACAATGTTTTGATTACTGTAGTTTGTTTTTTCAACTTTTATTTTAGATTCAGGGGTACATGTACAGATTTTTTACCTGGTTCTATTGTGTGATGCTGAGGTTTGGGGTATGGTAAATGATCCCATCACCCAGGTACTGAGAATAGCACTCATAAGTTACTTTCTTAACCCGTACCCACCTCTCCCCTTTCTCTAGTAGTCCCCAGTGTCTATTGTTGCTGTCTTTATATCCATGAGGTCCTGATATTTACATCCCACTTATAAATGAAAACATGCAGTATTTGGTTTTCAGTGTCTGTGTTAATTTACTTAGGATAATGGCCTCCAGCTGCATCCATATTGCTGCAAAGGACATGATTTCATTCTTTTTACTGGCTGTGTAGTATTCTATGATGTATATGTACCATATTTTCTTTATCCAATCCACTGTTGATTGGAACCTAGGTTGATTCTATATCTTTGCTCTTGTGCATAGTGCTCCAATGAACAAGTGTGTGTGTGTGTGTGTGTGTGTGTGCGTGTGTCTCTTATTGGTGGAACAATTAGCTTTCTTTTGGGTATATACCCAGTAATGGGATTGCTGGGTCCAATGGCAGTTCTATTTTAAGTTCTTTGAGAAATCTCTAGACTGCTTTCCACAGTGGCTGAACTAATTGACATCCCCACCAACAGTGTATAGGTGCTCCCTTTTCTCTGTAGCCTCACCAGCATCTGATATTTTTTTTGACTTTTTTTTTTTTAGAAAGAGTTTTGCTCTGTTGCCCAGGCTGGCATGCAGTGGCACAATCTCAGCTTACTGCAGCCTCTGCCTCCCAGGTTCAAATGATTCTCGTGCCTCAGCCTCTCTGGTGGCTGAGAGATTACAGATGCCTGCCACCAGCCCTGGCTAATTTTTGTATTTTTAGTAGAGACAGGGTTTCACCATGTTGGCCAGGCTGCTCTTTAACTCCTGGCCTCAGGTGATCCACCCATCTTGGCATCTCAAAGTGTTGGGATTATAGGCGTGAGCCACCTTGCCCAGTGTTTTTTGACTTTTTAACAAAAGTCATTCTGACTGGTGTGAGATAGTATCTCATTATGGTTTGATTTCCATTTCTCTGATTATTAGTGACAATGACCATCTTTTTCATATGTTTATTGGCTGCTTATATGTCTTTGTTTAAAATTTGCCTGTTCATGTTTTTTGCCCACCTCTTAATGGGGTCTTTTTTTGCTTGTTCAATTGCTTAAATTCTTTATAGATTCTAGATACTAGACCTTTGTCAGATGCATAGTTTGTGAATATATCCTCCCACTGTGGAGGCTGTCTGTTGACAGTTTCTTTTGCTATGCAGAAGTTCTTTAGTTTAATTAGGTCCCACTTGTCATTTTTTGTTTTTGTTGCAATTGCTTTTGAGGACTTAGTCACAAATTCTTTCCCAAGGCCGATGTCCAAAATGGTGTTTCCTAGGTTTTCTTCTAGGATTCTTCTAGTTTGAGGTCTTACATGTACATCTTCTCTCCATCTTGAGTTGGTGACTGTATATGGTGAAAGGTAGAGGTCCTGATTACTGCAGTTTTGTAGTAAGTTTTGAAATCAAGAAGTGAAAGACTTTCAGTTTTGTTCCTCTTTTTAAAGATTGCTCTGGTTATTTGAGGTCCTTTGAGATTCATATAATTTTAGAATAGATTTTTGTACTTGTGCACAAAAAGTCACTAGGATCTTTACAGGGATTTTATTGAATTGGTAGATCATTTTGGGTAGTACTGACTTCTTAGCAATATTAAGTTTTCCAATTCATGAACACAGAACTTTTCTTTCATTTACTTATACTTTAAATATCTTTCAGCAATTTTTTTTTAGCTTTCAGTGTACAAATCTTTTACCTCCTTATGTTTGCTTCTAAGTATTTTATTCTTAGAATAAAATATTTATTCTGATGCTATTGTCAATGGGATTGTTTTCTTAATTTCCTTTTCAGATTATTCATTGTTAATGTATAGAAATGGAACTAATTTTTGCATGTTAATTTTGAATCCTGCAACTTTCTGAATTTTCTATCCTGCTGAATTCATTTTTTTATTTTTAACTTAAAAACATTTATAGCTGTTAACACATTAAAACAGAAGATCTGACATCAACAACCTAACTTTATTTGAAGGAACTGGAAACACTTCAAGGTACTAAAGTGTGAGTGTGTGTGTGTGTGTGTTTGTGTGTATGTATGTGATCTAAAGGATTTTCTACATAAAAGATCATGTCATCTGTGAGCAGAGATAATTTTACTTCTATTTTGCCATTTGGATGTCTTTTTATTTATTTTTCTTGATTCATTGCTCTGGCTCAGTCTTCCCATACAATGTTGAGAAAAAGTGGTGAAAATGGGCATCCTTTTCTTCTACCTGATCTTACAGGAAAATATTTCAGTCTTTCACCATTGAATATGATGTTAACTGTGGGTTTTTTATATATAACCTTTATTATGTTGAGCTAGTTTTCTATAACATGACTATAACAACAATCCCCACAATACCAATATAATAAGTATTATATTGCATATCATTTTTCCAATGTGCTTGCATAGGTCTCACAGGTATGGGAATCGAATATTTTTTAGGAGCTGCCTCTGCCTCTTTAAAAGACATTTCCCTGGTATTTTGAAAGTTCCTGGGTTCTGTCTATCCTCTAAATTGTGTGGGTCTAGAATACAATCTTGTCTTCAATGATGTTATTTGGAGCCTTAAATGAGATGAATTATGTAAAGTGCTTAAAAGAAAGCTGGATACAGCCTAAGCCTTTTATCCACTTAGATTTGAGTGTGTCTTTATTATTATTATCTCATTGATGGCAGTCTCCACAAACTCCACAGCCATGGCCCAGTGCTGGTGGGGCTCTCCCAGCTTCATGGAAGGCACCTCTCTCAGGTTCCAGCCTCCTCTTAGTGAAGATCCCAGTCATGCTTGATTGCATGGTCTGGAGGTCATGGACCTGGGCTTGCCTCCAAAGCCAGGCCCCAGGAAAAAGAGCCACAGGAATTGACCAGAAAACAGGAAAAACAAACCAAATCAAAGCATAAGACAACAGTACCTTCGGTCTGGCCTGAATGTTTACCCCCAATAGTCTTCTGGGTAAGAATGACTTTTGGAGAAAGCCACTTCTCCATTTTCTCCTAAGAGGACGTTAACATCTTCATTTTGGGAATGGGGGTGGAGACAGTTTCAAAGTCTTGGGTAATGAACTTGTAAATACACGTCTACATCTGATGACATCACCTGATGTGGCCCAGGAGATAAGTAGCTTAAGGGTTATGCAGGAAGGGGTTTGAAGGGATTCTACTGGCTCCTGCCAGAAGCTAGTGAATGACAAGTGTTCCTGGTGTAACGTTCACATTCTTCAGTGTTTATCACCCAGAAGCAGGGGTCCAGCAGCTGGTGCCAGTTGGCAATGAGATGTGCTGATTGTGTGGGCTACTCTGCCAACAGCCCAGGGAGGGACAAGATTTTAGTTTATCCCATAAGCGTTGCTTAATGTCTGAACATAAATGACACCAAATTAACACCACTGAGTACACCCAGCCCAGATCTTTGATGAGTGGAGGTTGGGAGTGGTAAGAGTTGCGTGAACAAATTGAAACTGAGTTTAGGAGCTAATTATCGCTGCATGAAGTCAGAGGTGTGTGAGCTGCCTACATATGCACGACGACTTCTCTGGACCGTCTTGGGATCTAGAGCCCTTCACACTCAGTCTACTGAGTGAGCTCAACAATCATAGAAATGCTTTTACAGTTCAGCCTGACCCCAGGCAGGGCTATGCCAAAGCCTATTTTGAAAACTTTTTTCCCCACCACAAATAACAAACAAACAAATCCCCCCAAACCCCAAGTTCCATGTTCCATCAATGATCAATGATCAGTTTTAACAAAGAAGAGAAAGGGGCCATCTCCACCTTGGCTTTGTTCTTTATCCATAAAATGATTTGATTTTTTTTTCTTTTTTTGCCAAGTCTTGCTTGAGCTCTTGTGAATTAAGTGTTCAGTGTTTTCACCATGCCAGAGCCTCTATACTCAAGAAAATGGGTCTTGATTCACAAGATGATAAACCAGTGGTGTTTTGTAAACCTGCATGCTTGAAGAGAACTACTAAATACTGATAGCATTAATTATGAATAACTGACAAAACTGTTGGTTCCTATCATTCAAGGTTTGTTTCCCCATCAATTAAAAAATTATAGATTTTTTCTTCTTATTCTAGAGAAGTAGATTTTTACAGTCAAGAATTTGAAAATACAGAAGAGTACTGAGACGTGAATAAAAATCTCCTATAACCCACCACAGAGCATGTTGATGTTAATAGCATTGTTTATATACAGACTTACACAATTAAACGGAATCATACAGAAAATGTCATAGAGCCTTAAAAGATCTTTATCATACAGTATTTTCTCGTGGCACACAATACTTTTTTCAAATGCAGGTTTTATGCATTCTACTGCATATGGCATCAAAGTTTATTTATTCCATCCCCTACCATAGTCCATGGTAGTTGTTTCCAAATTTTCATGATTCTATGTTAAACAGTGATAAACACTTTTGGATATTCATATTTGCAATTAACTCATTATCTTCTTAGGATAAATTCCTAGAATTGGAGTGGCTGGGAGGCAGTGTGTGCACATGTTAAAGGTTGGCAAGCCTTGTTGATGTTTGCCCTCCAGAAAGATTGCAGGAGTTCATTTTCCCACAGCAGTGCTGAGCGCCTGTTGCCCTGCCCAGCAGCACTGGGCATGTCTATTCTCATTGGCTTTAAAGATCAGAAACAGAAACAGTAATGTTTTGTGTTTCTTTATGAGATAATCAGTCAGATGCCACCACCAAGGAGACGTGAGAAAGACAAAGTTGACTACACGCACAGTTCCAGAGAGGAGGCCACCACATACAACTCAGGGCCACATTGGAAGCACCAAGCTTTGGTCAGATGGCAGAAGACAGGAGCTAGGGACAGCTTGGACCTCAGTCCTTATTTTGGTTTCGATGGAAAAGGCAAAACAGGGCAGTGTGAACAATTTAGAATTGGCCAATTGGAATAATTTTAGGGGGCTTTTGGTGGTCTCTAGTTGCCTGGTAGCTGGCCCTGGGCTTGTCAAGGTAGAGGAATATTGCCTTTTGAGATGTACAGGCCAGATAGAAGGGAATGGCTCTGGATGGGTTAGTTGGTGCATCAAAGGCATGCTCCCAGCTGAGTCTTCTGCTGTCTCTAAGAACTGGCTAACCCCAGAAGCCATCCTCAGCTAAAAAGTTTTTTTTTTTTTATATCAAATATCATACTCAACAGAAAATAAAAAATATATGCAAAACAGATAAGTAAACAAGTGAGACCTTTTTTTTATATCTGAACTGCAAATTTAAGAGCCTGCCTGGACAGGGGGCAAATCTCCATTCTCTGATGATTTCACATGCAGGGTTGACTATTCTTGAAACCATAAGGCTGAATTTTGTACCCTTTGAGTAGTTTTAGCTGTCAGTCAACATCCTCTGAGTAGATGATAAAAAAGGAAAGCACTTTTCCCCTGAAATTCATTGCAGGTCCTAGGTCTGGAACTGAAATCTCCCTGATGGTCACTGGTTATATTGTTTCTCTGGTTTGGGATACTTTGAAGAGGGCACCTGGAGAAGGGGACCAGGACAGGGCAGGTATGTAAGGGCTGGTGGTGGTCACTGAGGTATGTTTTAACTCTTGTTCTTCTTTCTCCATGCTTGGCTCTTTATATTTGCACATCAACAATCATAGACATGCTTTTTATCAAAAATGAGAGCATATTTGCTTGTGTTCTTGCTGAGGCTATAGGAGCAACAAGAGTTATTGGTCACACTTGGTTGGAGTTTAGATAACCTGAATCCCTACCCGGAACAGAAGTGCCTGCAGGCTGAAGAACTTCCTGAGGTGTCCATAGTGGGTCCCTTTTTGTCAATGGTGGGTAAAGCTTATACACAGTGGCACCAAATATTCTAAAGCCAGAGGTAAAAATCAGCCTCATCTCTTGGCTTCTAATAGCTCTCTCATTTTAATAACATTCACAGAGTCCCTACCATGTAGGAGTTTTATTCTGGAGAAGTGACAAAGTTTGTGGTTGAGATTTATAAACAAAGAGCCATATCTAACAGCTCCATCTATCCACCCACCCATCCACTGATCCATCCATCCATCCATCCATTCATCCATCTATTTATTAATTTATTCATCTGTTTATTGGATTTTTGCTATTGGTCAGCTAAGAAACAAACTCATCTTGTGTCAATTAAGATAAGTATAGTTGTGCTATGTAATTCACACTTAGTGAATTTAAACAACAGTTGATTTCATCTACATGTTACATGTTCAATACAGCTTACCTGGGGGGCTCTACTCCATGTCATTCTTACTCTGAGATTCAAGGTGATGGAAGGACTGCTACCTGGACATTGTAGGTCACTGTTGCAGAGGGAAGGAGAGCTCTGGAGGCAATTAAACTCTTTGGCCTGCAAGAGCAGATGCCATTTCCATCATGACCATTGTCCAGAGCCAGCACATGGCCCCATCTTCCTAGGGGACCAGGGTGGCCAATCCCTCCTTGAGCCTGGAGGTCAGGAATGGCAAGTATTTGCTGAACAGCGTCACTGACCACAGGTCTCCTCTCTGGTCTCAAGACAGATGGTTTCTAGTCACCTCGTGTTAAGATAGTTATTCACTTTGGTCAAGACAAGAGCTGCTCTTTGGTCTGGAGCTGCTGTTAGCGTGGGGAATTGGGCATGGTTTTTTAGAATGTGAATATAGATCTCAGGCCACAGTTTGGTAAACTTCACTGTTTGGAAAAAGTTTCCCTCTTACAGCTTAAATTTTTCTTTGCTACATATTTCAGATGAGGGAGATATAAAAGGGAAAAACAAGACATGCGCACATGTAATCCCAAAGCAAATACACCCAGAACCTCCCTCTCTTCTCTGTCCTGGTTTCATTTTTTATCTTCCTCCTTCCTTCTCAGTCCATGAGGCACTTGTTTCATTTTGGTCATTTTAATACTTGACTATTTCCTACATTAAAAAGAAAATGAGACTACCAATGGCAGAGACATTTTAAAACTACTTTTATTTTGAGTAAGTTTTTTGGCTCCTTGTCTTTTGAAAGCCTTGGCTTTGTTCTCGGTGCCTGCTGCTTTATTTCTTCAGACCTGGCCAAAGGAAATTCCCCTGCGCCACAAGGTATCTGCAAAATCTGCTGTCTTACGTGCTTGCAAAGGGCAGAGGGAGATCCACGGCCCACTTGCCATGTGGCCTCACATCGAGGGACGCCGTGTGATATGGCTTGGAGACATGCACTTGACGGCAGTGACAACAGCTCTCAGCCATGTCTGGCAGCCACTTACTTTCCCCAAGCACATCATATCATCACCTGGGAACAGCAGCTCGCCTCCTTGGGAACACAGGTTTGAGGTCTCATGGCTTCCCAGGGATAGGGGAAAAATGCAGCAGAAGGATTTGGGGCCAAAACCCATTTCTTCTCCCCAGAAGGACCACCTGGAGGTCTCTCATGGTCTTCGGCTCATCTTTGCAGCAGCACTAACCAGCGTGGGCATACTCTGCTAGGACTTCTGCCTAAGGGAGAGAAGGGGTCTCTTACCTTGGTCACGCCCTTGCCTTGAGCACACGGGCGCCAAGCTTCAGAAGGGAGACAAACCCCACACGGCTATAATTAGGGGCTTTCTTAAGTCCCTGTCACGCATGATCAAGTGTGCCAGGATTCGGGATCATACTTCCTCCCAGGACTTCCAAGCTCTTGCGTGTGATCTTCTCTAAGTCTGGGGGCTGAGGAAAAGCCAGCCCTCCCCTCCCACCAGCACCCACCCAGTGCATCTCCACCCATAGCTCTCTCTCCCAGCCAGGTCTGGACCAGAGATGCCTCAAGACAGGCGACATTGGTGACATCAACGGGACCCCAGAGGGTCTTCATCTCACTCTCAGAAGCAGGCAGCATTCTGAAAATCACCCTCACGGGCCTGCCTCTGCTCCACAGGACACCCGATGGCCCGAGGAGCTCAGATTCACCTCTCCCACCAGGGTTCTCTGTTCCTTTAAAATCCCACCTTTCCTGTCCTTCTGATTCAGAGGAAGGAGTTCTCAGGACTGTGTCTCCTCCTCCACGGCCCTGGGATCTTTGCCTATAGAGCTCCTTCTCCTCCATCTGTGAGCAAACCTCCTCCCATAGGCAGAAACCACATCCACACACACAAACCCACACAACACACCAACATCACACAGACACCATGCACACTCATAAACCCACACACAACACACCAATATCACACAAACACATATAAACCCACACACAACACACTGACATTACACACACCAACATCACATACACATAAACCTACACAACACACTGACATCATACACACAGACACCACACACATAAACCCACACAACACACCAACATCACACACAGTCACCACACACACATAAACCCATACACAACACACCAAAATCAGACACACACATAAACCCACACACAACACACTGACATCACACACACTGACATGATGCACAAATATACACCCACACACAACACACTGACATCACACACACAGACACCACACACACATAAATGCACACACAACACACCAACATCACACATACACATATCAACCCACACACAACACACTGACATCACACACACCGACATCACACACATAAACCCACACACAACACACTGACATCACACACACAGACACCACACACACACACACAATCCCACACAAAACACACCATCAGACACAGACATCACACACACACACATAAACCCACACACAACACACTGATATCACACACACCAACATCACACACAAACATAGACCCACACACAACACACCAACATCACAAACACAGACACCACACACACACATAAATCCTTACACAACACGCTGACATCACACACACAGACACTATATACACACACAAACCCACACAACACACCGACATCACACACACAGACACTATGTACACAAACATCACCCACAGACACCAGATGCACACACCACACACACTCAAACTTCTCTCTTACACACACTCTTCCATCACACCCTCACAGAGTCATGACACATGAGCATACTACACACATATCACACAAATATTCACAGACACACAGACAACCCCCCCCACACACACAATGCACACACCACACAACTGTCTCCCCGGGCCCACACCCTGTCCATATACAGACCATGGAGAGCAAGAAGGGCTGAAGCTGGTCTTGCCCCTGCCTCCTGGAGGAGGAGGGTGCACCTGAAAACAGACCCAGCAAGAGATGGGAGCCCCGGGAGCAGCCCAACTCCAGGTCCTCTGCAGAAGTGTCCTAGCCGCCACCAGGCTGCCCTGCATGGCTCAGCAGTTTCCAGTGCCAGGCTGCAGGGAGGTGTGTGGGGCTGGAATGCGAAGGCAGCAGAAACCGCCCTGCTCACTCTGACGTCAAAGAAGGGAGGGAGCCATGGGCAGTTGTGGCAGCTGTGGTTCTATACCGGTCCCAGATCTCACTGCCCATCTGCTTCCCTGCACCCGTAGGGCCTGCTGAGCTGGGCAGGGCAGCCTGGTGGCAGCTGGGTCACTCCTGCAGAGGACCTGGAGTGGGGCTGCTCCCAGGGCTTCCATCTCTTGCTGGGTCTGGTTTCAGGTGCACCCTCCTGCTCCTGAGGGTCATCCTCTCTCTCTAGAGCCCTGCCCTGGGGTTCCCTCCTTCCCTACCTGGTTATCTCCTCCTTCCGGGGATCGCCCTTAATAAACACGTGCCCCCAGTCCTCATGTCAGGGTCTGCTTCAGGAGACACAGGATGCTCGGCAGGGTCTTCCATGGTGGGGACTCCCACAGCTTCTTTCTGGCTGCCCTGCCTTCAGGCTCTGCCAGTGGTGGCTCCCATTTCCCTCTCTCCCCTAAAGAAGAGCCTCCACCAGGTCCTGTTCTGGGCCTGTCACCCAGGGTCTTTGGCTCTGTCCTTGGTGGTTCAGGTTAAACGGTGGCCCCCTCAAAATTCAAATGTCAAAGTCTTCACATGCAGTACCTCAGCAAGTGACCTGATTTGGAGTTAGGGTCTGTGAGAGGTACTCAAGTAAAAGTGAAGTCACACGGGTGGGCCCTGATCCAGTAGGACTGGTGTCTTTACAGGAAGGGGAGATCTGGAGAGAGACAGGCACAAGGGGAAGGTGATATGGAGAGCCAGGGAGCAGATGGCTGTCCACCAGCCAAGGTGGGAGGCCTGCACTGGACCTGCCAGCCACCCTCAGGAAGAGCCAGGCTGTCCAGCACCTTGATCTCAGACTTGTGACCTCCAGCCCTATGCAAGAATAAACGTCTGTGGTTTAAGCTGCCCGGGGTGTGTTCCTTGGTGACATCAGCACCAGCAGACACCCAGTGAGAAAGGCTCTGCTTTGCCTGGGCCCTTGTGGTGTCCCTTTGGTGGGCAGAGACTTGCCTGTACCCGACAGAGCCACGTGCACCTGGGTGGGGTCACCTGGTGCTCACCAATCTCTTCACCTGGAACATCAGGCCTGGCAGATGGGACCACCCGAGCATAGACTCCACCTGCCAGCCTAACCTGCTGTGAGTTCTAAGAGAAGTCTTTTGGGCAGTTGACTTTTTTTTTACTTGCGAACCTGGAGATGGAATCAGCCTAGAGTACCTGCCTGAGGCCCTGGGAGACTCTGTGGAACCGAGCCCCACCCCTTCTCGGCCTAGGGGCGAGTGTGGCTGCTGAGCAGGCCCATCCAGGCTGATGGGATGGTGGGGCCTCAGGCAAGGAGGTGACCCTGGCTGTTCCCTAGTGAAATGTAATTCCTACCTTCCTCACAGGACCCAGGGCAGCTCAGAAAACCCCTCTGAGGAGGGAAACAGTATCCAAGGAAGTAGTGCTGTGTTCTTGCCCTCTTCGCTGGTACCTGCAGGGAAGTTCTCAACATTTCAGAGCCCTTGGAGCCTCCAGTGGCCTCCTGCTGTGGTGGGAAGAGCACGGACATGAGCCAGCCAGCCAGAGCTCCAATTCCAAACCCACTGCTTACCCACTTTAAACTAACCTCACCTCAGTTTCCCCACCTGAGTGATGGGGACGAGACTATTCCCCTCAGAGTTCAGTACAATGTGGGCACTCTATCAACGTGCTTGCCAATGTTCTAGAAAACAACAGTGGCTCTGGATAATTTGAGGAGGCAGCAAGGGTAGTGATAAGGACAAAACAAAACAAAACAAAACAAAACTGGCAGGGCCACAGAAGGAGAAGGGGAAATTTAGGTAAGAACTCAGAAAAGCATCAGAGTTAGCCAGAGAAAGTCCTTTGTGAGGGGGGCTCTGTTCCAAGAAGGCTGAGTAGGAACAGCTCCAGTCTGCCGCTCCCAGCATGATTGACAGAGAAGATGGGTAATTTCCACATTTCCAACTGAGGTACCTGGTTCATCTCATTGGGACTGGTTGGACAGTGGGTGCAGCCCACGGGGGGCAAGCTGAAGCAGGCCGGGTGTTGCCTCACCTGGGAAACACAAGGGGTTGGGTGATTTCCCTTTCCTAGCCAAGGGAAGCTGTGACAGATGGTACCTGGAAAAACAGTACACTCCCACCCAAATACTGCACTTTTCCCAAGGTCTTAGCAACCAACAGACAAGGAGATTCTCTCCCGTGCCTGACTTGGCAAGTCCCATGCCCACAGAGCCTTGCTCACTGCTAGCACAGCAGTCTGAGATTGAACTGTGAGGTGGCAGCTTGGCTGGGGGAGGGGCATCCACAATTGCTGAGACTTGAGCAGGTAAACAAAGTGGCCAGGAAGCTTGAACTGGGTAGAGCCCACCAGAGGTCAGGAAGGCCTACTGCCTCTAGGCTCCAGCTCTGTGGGCAGGGCATAGCTGAACAAAAGGCAGCAGAAACTTCTGCAGACTTAAACGTCCCAGTCTGACAGCTCTGAAGAGAGCAGTGGTTCTCCCAGCATGGCATTTGAGCTCTGAGAATGAACAGACTGCCTCCTCAAGAGGGTCCCTAACCCCCATGTAGCCTAACTGGGAGACACCTTCCAGTAGGGGCTGACAGACACCCCATATAGGTGGGTGCCCCTCTGGGGCAAAGCTTCCAGAGGAAGGATCAGGCAGCAATATTTACCACCTGCAATATTTGCTGTTCTGCAGCCTCCGCTGGTGATACCCAGGCAAGTAGGGTCTGGAGTGGACCTCCAGCAAACTCCAACAGACCTGCAGCTGAGGGACCTGACTGTTAGAAGGAAAACTAATGAACAAAAAAGAATAACATCAACATCAACAAAAAGGACATCTACACCAAAACCCAATCTGTAGGTCACCAACATCAAAGACCAAAGGTAGATAAAACCACAAAGATGGGGAGACACTAGAGCAGAAAAGCTGAAAATTCTAAAAATCAGAGTGCCTCTTCTCCTCCAAAGGATCACAGCTCCTCGTCAGCAACAGAACAAAGCCAGATGGAGAAGGAATTTGACGAGTTGACAGAAATATGCTTCAGAAGGTTGGTAATAACAAACTTCTTTGAGCTAAAGGAGCATGTTTGAACCCATTGCAATGAAGCTAAAAACGTTGAAAAAAGGTTAGAAGAATGGCTAACTAGAAAAAACAATGTAGAGAAGACCTTAAATGACCCGATGGAGCTGAAAACCACAGCACGAGAACTTCATGACACATGCAAAAGCTTCAATAACTGATTCGATCAAGTGGAAGAAAGGGTATTAGTGATTGAATATCAAACTAATGAAATAAAGTGAGAAGATAAGGTTAGAGAAAAAAGAGTAAAAAGAAACAAACAAAGCCTCCAAAAAATATGGGACTATGTGAAAAGACCAAATCTACGTTTGATGGGTGTACCTGAAAGTGATGTGGAGAATGGAACCAAGTTGGAAAACAACCTTCAGGGTATTGTCCAGGAGAACTTCCCCAATCTAGCAGGGCAGGCCAACATTCAAATTCAGGAAATACAGAGAGCACCACAAAGATAGTCCTGGAGATGAGCAACCTCAACACACAAAATTGTCAGATTCACCAAGGTTGAAATGAAGGAAAATATATTAAGGGCAGCCAGAGAGAAAGGTCGGGTTACCCACAAAGGGAAGCCCAACAGACTAACAGTGAATCTCTCAGCAGAAATCCGACAAGCCAGAAGAGAGTGAGGGCCAATATTCAACATTGTTAAAGAAAAGAATTTTCAACCCAGAATTTCATATCCAGCCAAACTAAGCTACATAAGTGAAGGAGAAATCAAATCCTTTACAGACAAGCAAATGTTGAGAGATTTTGTTACCACCAGGCCTGCTTTACAAGAGCTCCTGAAGGAAGCACTAAACATGGAAAGAAACAACTGGTACCAGCCACTGCAAAAACATGCCATATTGTAAAGACCATCGATGCTAGAAAGAAACTGCATCAATTAACGGGCAAAATAACCAGCCAACTTCATAATGACAGGATCAAATTCACACATAACAATATTAACCTGAAATGTAAATAGGTAGTATGCCCCAATTAAAAGACACAGACTGGCAAATTGTATAGAGTCAAGACCCATCAGTGTGCTGTATTCAGGAAACCCATCTCACGTGCAAAGACACACATAGGCTCAAAATAAAGGGATGGAGGAAGAGCTACCAAGCAAATAGAAAGCAAAAAAAAGCAGAGGTTGCAATGCTACTCTCTGATAAAACAGACTTTAAACCAACAAAGATCAAAAGAGACAAGGCCATTACATAATGGTAAAGGGATATATTCAACAAGAAGAGCTAACTATCCTAAATATATATCCAGTGAATACAGGAGCACCCAGATTCATAAAGCAAGTCCTTAGAGACCTACAAAGAGACTTAGACTCCCACACAATAATAATGGGAGACTTTAACACCCCACTGTCAACATTAGACAGATCAACGAGACAGAAGGTTAACAAGGATATCCAGGACTTGAACTCAGCTCTGCACCAAGCAGACCTAATAGACATCTACAGAACTCTCCACCCCAAATCAACAAAATATACATTCTTCCCAGTGCCACATCACACTTATTGTAAAATTGACCACATTTTAAAGTAAAGCATGCCTCAATAAATGTAAAAGAACAGAAATCACAACAAACTGTCTCTCAGACCACAGTGCAATCAAATTAGAACTCAGGATTAAGAAACTCACTCAAAAACACACAACTACATGGAAACTGAACAACTTACTCCTGAATGACTACTGGGTAAATAACAAAATGAACAACTTCAGCAAAGTCTCAGGATACAAAATCAATGTGCAAAAATCACAAGCATTCCTATACACTGATAACAGACAAACAGAGAGCCAAATAATGAGTGAACTCCCACTCACAATTGCTACAAGGAGAGTAAAATACCTAGGAATCCAACTTACAAGGGGTGTGAAGTTGGAGAACTACAAACCACTGTTCAACAAAATAAAAGAGGACACAAACAAATGGAAGACCATTCCATGCTCGTGGATAGGAAGAATCAATATTGTGAAAAAGGCCTTACTGCCCAAGGTAATTTATAGATTCAATGCCATCCCTGTCAAGCTACCAATGACTTTCTTCACAGAATTGGAAAAAACTACTTTAAAGTTCATATGGAACCAAAAAAGAGCCCACATTGCCAAGACAATCCTAAGCAAAAATAACAAAGCTGGAGGCATCAAGCTACCTGACTTCAAACTATACTACAAGGCTACAGTAACCAAAACAGCATGGTACTGGTACCAAAACAGATATATAGACCAATGGAACAGAACGGAGCCCTTAGAAATAACGCCACATATCTCCAACCATCTGATTTTTGACAAACCTGACAAAAACAAGAAATAGGGAAAGGATTCCCTATGTAATAAATGGTGCTGGGAAAACTGGCTAGCCATATACAGAAAGCTGAAACTGGATCCTTTCCTTACACCTTATACAAAAATTAATTCAAGATGGATTAAAGACTTAAATGTTAGGCCTAAAACCATCAAAACCCTAGAAGAAAAGCTAGGCAATACCATTCAGGACACAGGCATGGGCAAGGACTTCATGACTAAAACACCAAAAGCAATGGCAACAAAAGCCAAAATAGACAAGTGGGATCTAATTAAACGAAATAGCTTCTGCAAGGCAAAAGAAACTTCCATCAGAGTGAACAGGCAACCTACAGAATGGGAGAAAATTTTTGCAATCTACCCATCTGACAAAGGGCTAATATCCAGAATCTACAAATAACTCAATCAATTTTACAAGAAAAAAACAAACAACCCCATCAAAAAGTAGGCAAAGGATATGAACAGACACTTCTCAAAAGAAGACATCTATGCAGCCAACAGACACATGAAAAAATGCTCATCGTCACTGGTCATCAGAGAAATACAAATCAAAACCACAATGAGATACTATCTCATGCCAGTTAGAATGGCAGTCATTAAAAAGTCAGGAAACTACAGATACTGGAGAGGATGTGGAGAAATAGGAACACTTTTACACTGTTAGTGGGAGTGTAAATTAGTTCAACCATTGTGGAGGACACTGTGGCAATTCCTCAAGGATCTAGAACTAGAAATACCATTTGACCCAGCCATCCCATTACTGGGTATATACCCAAAGGATTATAAATCATGCTACTATAAAGACACATTCACATGTATGTTTATTGTGGCACTATTCACAATAGCAAAGAGCTGGAACCAACCCAAATGTTCATCAATGATACTGGATTAAGAAA
Organism: Homo sapiens; assembly: GCF_000001405.40. Classification (NCBI taxonomy): domain Eukaryota; kingdom Metazoa; phylum Chordata; class Mammalia; order Primates; family Hominidae; genus Homo; species Homo sapiens. The sequence continues at coordinate 23,181,649 of NC_000020.11, read as the reverse complement.
ATGTGGTACATATACACCATGGAATACTATGCAGCCATAAAAAGTATGAGTTCATGTCCTTTGTAGGGACATGGATGAAGCTGGAAACCATCATTCTCAGCAAACTATCACAAGGACAGAAAACCAAACACCGCATGTTCTCACCTACAGGTGGGAATTTAACAATGAGATCACTTGGACACAGGGTGGGGAACATCACACACCAGGGCCTGTCAGGGGTTTGGGGGCTGGGGGAAGGATAGCATTAGGAGAAATACCAAATGTAAATGACGAGTTGATGGGTGCAGCAAACCAACATGGCACATGCATACCTATGTATCAAACCTGTACGTTGTGCACATGTACCCTAGAACTTAAAGTATAATAATATTAAAAAAAGAAAGTCTTTGGGGATGAAAAAAATTCTAGGCCCTCAACCAACACATCTTCCCACCTTCTGGCAAGGAGGGGACAGAAGGGCTAATTCCCAGTGTCTCTTTGCTGCAGTGGGGCCTGGGTCACAGTGAGGATACCGGAGCTCAGGAGCAGGAGGCAGGTGCATGGCCTCCACCTTGCAGAGGGGATCGCATGTTGGCCCAGTCTTCCTAGATAGGCCCAAGGCTTCTAGCAATCTTCCCAGTGCTGAGTTGAGCACTGTCTGCCTGACCTCAGGTACAATCCTGGTTTCTTTTTCTTTCTTTTTTTCTTTAACAACAACACTTGGTGAATGCTCGCCCGCCTCTAGGGTTAGGGAAAGAATGCTCCCTCCCATCATCTGTCTGCAGCTGCTGTGACTGTCCCCAGCCATGGGGAGGGCCTCCTTCTCTAGAACAGTGAAGGCGTCCTCAGGCAACCTCAGGGAAGGGGAGGGGCTGACCTGGGCCCCAGTGTCCCATCAGCTGCCTGGAGTTCTTCAGGTTCCAAGGAGAGGCTGGGCTGGGTCTCCTGGGCAGGCCTCCTGGGTGGCTGTCAGCTGGACAGTCCTCCACCCCTCACCCAGCACAGCGATGGAGCCTCAGCACGCAGTGTGTGGTCCAGGATTCGGAGCAATAGACTGAGGAAGGGGGCTGGGCGGGGAGAGAACGTCACTTCCTGAGTCCCACGCACCATCCACTCAGCAGCTGCTGAGGCCCGTGGCTCACCTTTGACCCTCACTGTGACCTGGCTGATCTTTCGGAAAGGTTGGTCCAGGCAGCTGGCAATATCCAGGAAGTGGGCTCTGGGGACAGCAACTGCAGAGATGCTTACATGCTGTTTTATCTAGAAAGCAAAGAATAACATTAGAAAAATAAAGTAGATTTCCTGCTCTTAGCTGATTATAACTCCTATTACTGTGCTTTCAGCAGGGCCACCCTCAGACTCAGGCCCTGCTCATCTCCAGCTAGAGTTCCCTATGTCCCAGCAGGGAGGCTGCACAGCTCACAAATGCCCTGTCTCTCTCCTTGGGGTTGTTTCCCAGAACCTCTGCTCTTCCTGCTCTGGGAGGGATGACTCAATGAGGACAGCTTTTGGTATTTGCAGCGGCAGACTGAACCCCAGCCACCATCCTTGAGCTCTTGTTTGTGTCATAAAGGGTGCTCCACATGCTCTCAGAGAGGTCTGGGCTCATGGCAACTGTCCAACAGCAGCCCAGGTCAAAGCATAGATGTGGTGCAAAACCCACCTGCAGGTGAGGATGGTGCTGGGAGAGCCTTCCTGGAAGACTTGATGGCAGAGCTGGGGTTTTGAGGGATGAATAGGAGTTTACTGGGGTGGAGGTGAGCATGGGAGGGGAGAAGGAAGACATTACAGGCAGGCCATAGAACATGTTCAGTGACACAAGACAGGCCATTGTGTTGAGGAAATGGAGCCATAGGAGGGTGTTTCATAAAACAGTAGATGGGTCTGAGCAGAATACACTCAGGACAGTGTCTTCCCTTTTTCTAGGAATGCCCTCCTCAGCCCACCATTCAGATAACAGGTTCTTCCTGTTATCTTCCTCTCTTCCCAGCCACTGTATTGTTTGTCAGTTTGAGCTCCTCTACCTGTCCTGATCAGGTAAATTTACTTATCAGCATAACCAAATCCTTCTTACATTTTACACCGTGGACTTCGAATCAGCCAATGCTTGCTGGGGGTGTCAAGACCTCTTATATGAGTTATTTCACCAGATTCTCAAGTTTGTCTATCCATGAGAAATGAGTTTGTGAGAAAATGGAGGCTCAAATATATGACTTGTTTAAAGCTAGATAGCCAGGAAGTAGAGAAGCTTGGTCTTGCAACCTGACTCTTGGATAAAGTCTAACATTTTCTCACCATGCATACCTACAGCTATTTTAGTGTCAACAGAAGGTCACTGTAAATGGGGAGAAATTTGCCACAGTACCTGCAAGTGAGGCCAGTCCTGCAAGTCCAAGTTCAAAGAGCTGAGACAGTGGTGGCCACAGCTGATATTTTTTGAATGCCATCACTGTGTGTGTGCGTTCTATAATTTACTCCTCATAATCCAATGATGTGATGTGTCTTTATTTCCCCTCTCCAGGTGGAAACACAAGGTTATCTGAGGGAAGCAACTTCATGGGCTTTGCCATGCCTGCCCCAGCACAGGAGGGCAGTGCTGAGCTAAGGGCTCTCCCCCACTGCCCCTGCAGGATCCAGACACCCAGCAGCTTGCTAGATAAGCAGGCAGATAAGCAACTGGATCCTGCCATTGTTTCCCTTAGCGGAGGAAGAGGAAGACGGACAGCCCACAGCCCCTCTGCCTGCCAACAGTGCTGCCTTCTTCAACATTCAGCCCAAAGCAAGCAGTCTAGATTTGCTCTGGCTGGGAGAAAAAATAAACACAGAAACTGTGAACCGATATGTTAGGTTGCTAAGGAAAGAGCTGCTTACAGCTTGGGGAGCTGAAAGGACACTCACTTTTTGTCTCATCTTTTAACTCTTTCTTCTTCAGCATCATTAAGGGTGCTCCTGGGATCACTGCTAGGAAGGGACGAGAAAGACACAGAGCAATGTAGAGGGAGTGGCAGGCTGTGATGCTGACTCTGCTGAGACCCCTTCCCATTCTATGGGGACTTTGAAGGCTGAGACAACCCTTCAGAGTTGTCTTGGAGGGACAAGGGGCCCAGACCCTCATGGGCCACATTGAGCAGTCTGTGGATGCCATCCCCAGAAGAAGGCGTAACTTTGGATGGGGGCTCTCTCCAGGCCAGGCAATCATGGAGGAACTGACCATGCAGCTGAGGGCTCTGGAGCTGGGGCTATGCTCTTCATTCCTGAAGGGGGTTTGAGGGATGCATCAGTTACAGGGTCCTCTGCACACCTCCCCTGATATCTCGACATCTCTTAAGGTTTGAGTCATGTCTATTAGGAATTGGAAGCTCTCTGCTTCTCTGCAGATGCCCTGGTGGCCTCCCTAGACATCGTTCTTTGGTAGCATCACCACCTTTGTCCACCCAGGGTCACAGAATTTTGCACGGAAGCTCCACTGGCTGAAATTCTCCAGGATGACTGTGTGCCTGATCCCACTGGGGAAGCAGAGGTGGATGGGTCAGGCAGCAGCAACCAGTCAAGGTAGGAGGAGTTGCTTCTGGTCTGGTCCAATTAGTAGAACTGGACAGTGCCTTTTGCAGTGTCCAGACAGAAGTACCTAAGGTTCTGTTTGGCCCCAGGCAGGGATGGGAGCATGATGCACCACATGGCATATGGTTCCATGGGCAGTTCTCAGGCATGAGCACTGGTTACCACTGAGTTGAAGCTTTTCTGGCATCTATCTTTGGTCCTAGGAGCATCCTGTGGGCGTAAAGGGAAGTCTGGTCCATTTTTGGGGCAAGCCTTTTTTAAGACTACCATAATAGTCTTCAGATACACAAATACTGAATCTCTGATTCCATCTTGTTCTGTCGTCAGAATCTATAAAGTGGGAGTATGCTATAGTAAGGAAGAGGAGAGGGGAGTTGGAAAGATAACTAAGGACTTATTGGATACCATTTGGATTCTTTTCTCTCAAAATGTGATGAAAACGGCTTTGTTTTTGTTTTCTTTCTTTCTCTTCTTTTCCTTGTTATTCACATATAATGTACATACATAAAGTGTGCAAATTAATAGATCTATAGATCACTTTGTGTGTATTGCCATCTCAACAATATTAAGTCTTCCAATCCATGAACATGGGATGTCTTTCATTTGTTTAGGTATTCTTCAATTTATTTCAGTAAAGTTTTCTAGTTTTCAGTGTACAAGTGTTGCTCCTCTTGGTTAAATTTATTACTAAGCATACTATTTTTTGATACTATAGTAAATTGCATTGTTTCTAAATTTTCATTTCAGGTTATTTATTAATAATGTGTAGAAATAAAACTTTTTTGTTGATTTGGTATTCTGCAACTTTGCTGAATGCTTTTATTAGCTTTAATAGTTTTTTAATGGCTTCTTTGGTATTTTTCTATTTATCAGATTATTTTACCTGTGAATAGAAATGATTTACTTTTTGTTTTTTAATCTGAATGCTGTTGTGAGCTGAATTGTATTCCTCCAAATTCATATTCCTCCAGCACTTCAGAATGTGATTATATTTGAAAACAGATCCTTTAAAGAGGTAAAATGATGCTATATGGGTGGATCCTAATCTAATCTGACTGGTGTCCTTGTAAGAAGAGAAAATTTGAACACACAAGGAGACACCCGGGGTGCACATGCACAGGAGATGACCATGTGAAAAGACAGAAATAAGGTAGTAATCTGCAAGCCAAGGAGAGAGGCCTCAACCTCAAGAGAAACCAACCCTGATGACACATTGATCTTGTACTTCTGGCCTCCAGAACTATGAGAAAATAAATGTTTGTTATTTAAGCCACCCAGTCTTTGCTACTTCGTTGCTGAACAAACTAGCTAAACTAATACAGATACCCTTGTTTTATTTTTGAATAATAACAACAACACTCCAGGAAATTGTGCATTGTCTATTTTGTGCCCCAGGGACCCAAGCCAAGTAACAGAGGACTTTGAAGATATTGTGAAAAAATGGAATTAAAGATAAACATTTATTTCTCAACATAAGCAAGATGAAGAAACTTTTGAAACCAGTGATAAAACCTGTTCAGTCCATCCCTAAAAAAACTGAGGGTCCTGGGAATTTAACCACGTTAATCAGGTTTTTTAAACATTATTCACTGAAAAAAATGAGTGCCCTTTAAAGATTTTTTAATATTAGAGAGAAAAAGACGTAATAAGGAGCCAAACCAGGGCTGTGAGGTGAATGCCTAATGATTTCCCACTGAAAGTGTGGAAATTGCCCTTGTTTAATGAGAGAAATGAGTAGGGGCATTGTCGTGGTGGACAAAGGCTCTCTCATGAAGTTTTTTAAGGCATTTTTCTGCTAAAGCTTTGGCTAATTTTCTCAAAATACTCTTATAATAAGTAGATGTTATAATTCTCTGGCCCTCCAGAAAGTCAACAAGCAAAATGCCTTGAGCATCTCAAAAACTATTGCCACGACCTTTGCTCTCCATTGGTCCACTTTTGCTTTGACTGGATCCTCACCATCTCTTGGTAGCCTTTGCTTTGATTGTGATTTATCTTCAAGATTGTACTGGTAGAGCCATATTTCATCTCCTGTAATAACCCTTTGAAGAAATGCTTCAGGATGGAGATACCATTTGATTAAAATTTCCGTGAAAAGTTCTGTTCTTGTCTGCCGCTGATCTGGGAGCAAGAGTTTTGGCACCCATCGAGTAGAAAATTTACTCAACTTTAATTTTTCAGTCAGAATTGTGTAAGCTAAACTAATTGAGGTGTCTAATATGTTGACTATTTTTGTGCAGTTAATCATTGGTCCTTTTCAATTAGGACATGAACAAGATGAATATTTTTCTCGCAAATTAATGTTGGATGCTCTACTGTCATGGGCTTCATTTTCAGCATTGTCTCATCTGTTCTTAAATGAGTTATCCATTTGCAAACTGCTGATTTCTTTGGGTCATTGTCCCCATGAAATTTTCACAAAGCATCAATGTTTCACCATTCTTCCACTCAAGCTTCACCATAAATTTGATGTGTTTTGGGTCTTTTCTGCTCAGAGACCCTTCTCTCTCTATATAGAGAGCTGTTCCTCTTTCTCTTCTCTTCTGCCTATTAAACTTCTGCTCCTAAACTCCTCGTATGTGTCTATCTCCTAAATTTTCCTGGTGGACAATGATGAACCCCAGAGTATATCCCCCAGACAATGCAGCTGCTTCATATTGGGGACCTCATCTGGGATATCACGGTACAACATTAATCAAAACATGATAAAAGTTACAGGTATCAACTTCTGGACACATCATACTCGAGTCAAACCTAGAAAGCTGATAGAGCAACCTTTGACAGCCCGGATAAACGTCCTGGATACCAATGTGAAGAAATAGGAGATCTTAAGGTGAAAATCATAAAGGATAAATAAATGAGCAAGGGCTGCTCATCCTACTCAGTCCTACTTTTACTTTCCGTCATTTCTACTTTTCCCCTCTAGATGTACTGCCAGATATTAAAACTTACTTTTGATGCATATTTGCAGGAAGGTTTTAATTATCCATGGGATTGCATTTGTAACTTCATAGACCTCCAAAAGGGAAATGTTATATCTTGGCAATTTAGATGAAAATTATCTACTACACCACACTTGCAGGAATTGCGATACTCACTCTATTTGCAATGAGACAAAAGCTGTAACACCTTCTAACTGGAATATCAGACAGAGAGTTTCCATTGCTATAGTATTTTGCTTAATTATTATCCTTACAGCAGAAATAATAGTTACCAACAAAAAGGAAGCATGAAAGTTTTACTATCACTGAGCCCGCAAGGACTTTTTATTGGGTTTGGTAATATGTCATATCCTGGCTATGAAAAGAAGGTTGTAAGGGAAAGAGATTTTATATAAGAAAGGATCTTGGGTGGTAAATACTTGTCTAAAAGAAAATAGTTCGTTGTTTAAAAGAGATGTTTAGGACAAGTCAGAAAGTTTAAGCATGTTGTAGATAGTTTGTGGAAATCTTGAAAAAATTATAAGGATGGATGGTAAATACTTGCCCTAAAAAGAATGGTTGATTGTTTAAAAAGAAGAATATTCAGGACAAGCCAGAAAGTTTTAGCATGTCATAGGTGGTTTGTGGAGGCCATGAAGGAATTAATTGCAGGAAAGATTTAGCTAAGATTAACACTAAAATTACACTAGCCACTCAATTACATATTTCTCCCAATCATATTGCAAGTTATAAAAGATTGCCTTGACCTGAAATTATTCCCTAATGGCAAATCAAGGGGAGAATATATGCTTTTCTCAAATAAAAAAATGTTAAAAAGATAAATAAAATTGATAGACCATCAGCAAGATTAACCAAGAAGAGAGAACATTCAAATAACCTCAATAAGAAACGAAATGAGAGATATTACAACTGATACCACAGAAATACAAAAGATCATTCAAAGCTACTATGAACACCTTTACACACATAAACTAGAAAAACTGGAAGAGATGTATAAATTCCTGGAAAAATACAACCCTCCTAGCTTAAATCAGGAAGAATTAGATACCCTTATCCGACCATTTACAAGCAGCAAGATTGAAATGGTAATTAAAAAATTACCAACACATAAAAATTCAGGACCAGATGGATTTACAGCAGAAATCTACCAGACATTCAAAGAAGAATTGATATCAATCCTTTTGACACTATTCCACAAGATAAAGAGGGAACCCCCAAATTAATTCTATGAATCCAGCATCACCCTAATATCAAAACCAAGAAAAGACATAACCAAAAAAGAAAACTAGTTTTGGGTTGATGAACATGGATGCTAAAATCTTTATCAAAATACTAGCTAACCAAATCCAACAACATATCCAAAAGATAATCCACAATCGTCAAGTGAGTTTCATACCAGGGATGCAGATATGGCTTAACATATGCAAGTCAATAAATGTGATACGCCACATAAACAGAATTAAAAACAATAATCACATGATCATCTCAATAGATGCAGAAAAGACATTTGACAAAATCTAGCATCCCTTTATGATTAAAACCTCAGCAAAACTGGCATACGAGGGACACACCTCAATGTAATAAAAGCCATCTATGACAAACCCAAAGGCAAAATCATACTGAAAGGGGAAGAGTTGAAAGCATTCCCTCTGAAAACTAGAACAGACAAGAATGCCCACTCTCACTCCTCCTCTTCAACATAGTACTGGAAGTCCTAACCAGAGCAATCAGACAAGAGAAAGAAGTAAAGGGCATCCAAATCGGTAAAGAAGAAGTCAAACTGTCACTGTTTTATGACGATATGATCGTTTACCTTGAAAACCCTAAAGACTCCTCCAGAAAGCCCCTAGAACTGATAAAAAGAATTCAGCAAAGTTTAGGATACAAGATTAATGTAAACAAATCAGTAGATCTTATATACACCAACAGTGACAAAGCAGAGAATCAAATCAAGAAATCAATCCCTTTTACAATAGCTGAAAAAAAACACAAAAACCTTAGGAATATACCTAACCAAGGAGGTGAAAGACCTCTACAAGGAAAACTAGAAAACACTGCTAAAAAAAATCAAGGATGACACAAACAAATGGAAACACATTCCATGCTCATGGATGGGTAGAATCAATATTTTGAAAATGACCACACTGCCAAAAGTAATTTACAAATTAAGTACTATACCCCTCAAAATACCACTATCATTCTTCACAGAATTAGAAAAAACAATTCTAAAATTCATATGGAACCAAAAAAAGAGCCTGCATACACAAAGCAAGACTAAGAAAAAAGAATAAATCTGGAGGCATCACACTACCTGATTTCAAACTATACTATAAGGTCATAGTCACAGAAACAGTGGGATACTGGTATAAAAATAGGCACATAGACTAATGGAACAGAATAGAGAACCCAGAAATAAACCCAAATACTTAATGATCTTGGACAAAGCAAACAAAAACATAAAGTGGGGAAAGAACACCATTTTCAACAAATGGTGCTAGGGTAATTGGCTAGCCACACGTAAGAGAATAAAACTAGATCCTCATCTCTCACTTTATACAAAAATCAACTAAAGATTAATTAAGGACTTAAATCTAAGACCTGAAGCTACAAAAATTATAGAAGATAACATTGGAAAAACCCTTCTAGACATTGGCTTAGGCAAGGATTTCATGACCAAGAACCCAAAAGCAAATGCAATAAAAACAAAGATAATCCTGGCTAACATGGTGAAACCCTGTCTCTACTAAAAATACAAAAAATTAGCCATGTGTGGTGGCAGGCACCTGTAGTCCCAGCTACTCGGGAGGCTGAGGCAGGAGAATGGCATGAACCCAGGAGGAGGAACTTGCAGTGAGCCAAGATTGTGCCACTACACTCCAGCCTGGGAGACAGAGCTAGACTTCGTCTGGAAAAACAAACAAACAAACAAACAACAACAACAACAAAAAGATAAATAGCTGGGACCTAATTTAAAGAGCTTTTGCACGGCAACAGGAACCATCAGTAAAGTCAACAGACAACCCATAGAGTCAGAGAAAACCTTCACAATCTATACATCTGACAAAGGACTAATATCCAGAATCTACAGTGAGCTTAAACAAATCAGCAAGGAAAAAACCAAAAATCCCATAAAAAAAGTGGGCTAAGGACATGAATAGACAATTCTCCAAAGAAGATATACAAATGGCCAACAAACATATGAAAAAATGCTCAACATCACTAATGATCAGGGAAATGCAAATCAAAACCACAATGAGATACCACATTACTCTTGAAAGAATGGCCATAATCAAAAAATAAAAATAAAAAAATCATAGATGTTGGCATGGATGCAGTGATCAGGGAACATTCTACACTGCTGTTGGGAATGTAAATTAGTACAGCCACTGTGGAAAACAGTGTGGAGATTTCTTAAAGAACTAAAAGTAGAACTACTATTTGATCCAGCAATCATACTACTGGGTATCCACCCACAGGAAAGGAAGTCATCATATGAAAAAGACATTTGCACATGCATGTTTATAGCAGCACAATTCACAATTGCAAAATCGTGGAACCAACCCAAATGCCCATCAATCAATGAGTGGATAAAGAAACTATGGTATAGATATATGATGGAACACTTCTCAGTCATAAAAAAGAAAGAATTAACGGCATTCACAGCCACCTGGATGAGACTGGAGACTATTACTCTAAGTGAAGTAACTCAGGAATGGAAAAGTAGACATCATATGTTCTCACCAATACGTCAGAGCTAAGCTATGAGGATGCAAAGGCATGAGAATGATACAATGGACTTTGGGGACTTGGGGGGAAGGGAAGGAGGGGGGCAAGGGATAAAAGACTACAAATAGGGTGCAGTGCACACTGCTCGGGTGATGGATGCATCAAAATTTCAGAAATCACCACTAAAGAACTTACTCATGTAACCAAACACCACTTGTTCCTCAAAAACCTATGGAAATCAATTTTAGCAGAATTTTTGTTGTCCTGATAGGGCTCTTTTCAAACTGATGTCTTATCCTTCTTAGCGCCTCAAACTAGATTCTGTTCAAAGATATTTTAAAAAGTCCGTATAAGTTCATCGGTGCAAAAATTTTGAAAATCCAAGCATAGCTGTTTTCATAATACACATTGTCAACAACCTTTCAAAGTCCCGTTGTATAAGACGTGAGTCTTTATGGCCTAATGAGGCCTCAGATCAGGCATGGACTGGGGTGTGGCTAATTTTAAGTAAATATTAGATGAATTTTGTGTGGGCTGCAGGGGAATTGCTTCCCTTGAGCTGTGACTTCTCCCTGTCTTCCCACATCAGCATTTCATCCTGTTCCCCTAACCCCATCTCCAGTCAAAGCTTACACATCCAGACTCCAGAATGTAGAGAAAAGAATATGAATTTGCGAGAGGCACGTGCCAGAGCGGAACGGTGCTTGGTTGTTTTATAAACCCTGTGATCTTTATGGGTCACTTGCCAAGTCTTTTTGGACACTTATCTGCAGAACCTGGAAAGCCTCATCAGAAAATGCCAGCCAGCATCCTGGCCTATCTGGAGGATGGGTGTTTCTGGCAGGGCTGGCCAGCTTAGGAAATAACCTGAGGAAACAGAGTCCTCTCCTCTTTTCCTTCTGTTGGTCCCAGAGCCAGGTCGCCTTTGCTGTTTTAGGGCAGCTTTGCCCCCTTCTCTTCTGTGACCTTCGCTATCCCAGGATCTGTGATGGAGAGTTACCTTCACAGTGGGGCTCTTTCTTTATACCCTGCTTTTCAGCAATGATGGCAAGATGGGGCTTCCCCTCCCCCTTCTTTTCTGTTATTGTCTGGTTCCAGTAGTGGCTGTCCTCAGCAAGGGTGACCCTACTCCCTCTCAGGTTCCCAGATCCCCAGGGCTCCTGCCTTACCCTCTCCCATGACTGAGAGTCAGGTTCCAGGAGGTTCCAGCCCCGACCCATCTTGTGTGATATTGAATGTAAGACCCAGAAAGGGGGTGGGCATCCCACTCTCTGCTGAAGTTGATTTCACTTTTAGGCACAAAAAGTCCTTCTTTTTGTTCCTCCTATGACATCACCCACGTCCCTTGGAAGGCCACTGGGTTATGTCTCCAGTGCCATTTTCCTTTCTGTGAAATGGAAAGAATCATATGGCCACCTGTTCCCCAGGGGGATCCAGAGGAGGGCAAGCCAGAAGGTTAAAAATGCAGCAGTAAGAAAGGCTAGTGCAGGGGAGGCACCTTCCATAGATGCTGTCCCTTTCTAGGGTGCTTTGGATTGAGAAGCCATTTCCTAGCGTGGAGAAAACTCCTCCATGAGATATCACTAACTGGAGAAAGAGACAGGAAGAACCTCTGTGTATAAATCTGAAGGCCAAATCTTTCTCATTTTCTGCTGCACCAAGCATTGACACCCATTTCCCTTTAGCCTGAGTCGGGCCTCCATCTGGCTGCAGCACAGCTCGCCCATCCATGGCTTATTTTCAGACCCAGGATCTTTCTCTGACTCCTACTCAGGTTTGAATGCCAGTTCTCTCGCTCCCCAGGTGTTTAAATGTAAGAGCTGTGTCTACTTTTACATTACTTCAGTTTTTATGTCTGTAAAGTAGGGGTGCTAATACCTATATCAAGGTGTTATTGTGAAGCTAAAATTAAATAATGCCACTGGATATTGGTTCTATCATGGTCTAGAGAATTTATCCTAAGAAAAATAAAATATTTATGTACAAAAATGTTCATCAAGGTATAGTTTATTAGAGGGAATAATTGAAGGTGATCTAAGTGTTTAGCAGTAGAGGATTTGTCAAGTCAGTATTGGCACATCACGTTAGAGGATACCAGGCTATGGTCCCTCCAAATGGCAGTGCAGGCATATTTTCAATGTCATGGAAGGGTATTCACAAGATATCACTACATTTTCAGAAAGCAGATGTAGAGCGTATTCTTTAGCAAGGCATTTGGTGGAGGCGCCATGTTAGCCACACTTGCCAGTTTTCCTACTCACGACTCTCCCCGGGAATGTCTACTCCTGCTCACTTCCCTAGTGGCCAGGTTTGTGTCAGGGACCCTGTTCGAGCCACATTGATAAAACCAGGAATGGAGAGCTGAGCAGAGCTGGGCCAGTTAGATTCTTTCTTTTGAGAATAGAAACAAAGGGTCCCGGCACACAGCCAGTGCTGTGCACAAATGCTTTTGCATTAGGACAACTCAGGGAGGGAGGCCACGCTGTGCCATGAACCAGCAAGAGATGTTCTGCAGCAGGGACACTAGAATAGGGGCAGTGGAGAGAAAAGGCCCAGCAGCCCAGGGAGAGGCAGAGTGAGAGATGAGAGAGAATGAGAATGGCCACGTGGGGATCAGTCATTACCATGAAGCTCAGCTGCATCTCCTAGCCCTTGTCACCTAGAGACACCTCTGTGTCCCTCTGAGAAAATCCCTTCTTTTTCTTGCTTAACATCATTTCTGTTCTTTGCAATCAAATAAGTATTGACAAGAATATGTTCTCCACAGGTGCTGGAGAGGATGTGGAGAAATAGGAACACTTTTACACTGTTGGTGGGACTGTAAACTAGTTCAACCATTGTGGAATACAGTGTGGTGATTCCTCAAGGATCTAGAACTAGAAATACCATTTGACCCAGACATCCCGTTACTGGGTATATACCCAAAGGATTATAAATCATGCTACTATAAAGACACATGCACACATATGTTTATTGCAGCACTATTCACTATAGCAAAGACTTGGAACCAACCCAAATGTCCATCAATGATAGACTGGATTAAGAAAATGTGGCACATATACACCATGGAATACTATGCAGCCATAAAAAATGATGAGTTCATGATATTTGTAAGGACATGGATGAAGCTGGAAACCATCATTCTCAGCAAACTATGGCAAGGACAAAAAACCAAGCACCACATGTTCTCACTCATAGGTGGGAATTGAACAATGAGAACACTTGGACACAGAAAGGGGAACATCACACACCGGGGCCTGTCGTGGGGTTGGGGGAGCAGGGAGAGATAGCATTAGGAGATATACCTAATGTAAATGATGAGTTAATGGGTACAGCACACCAACATGGCACATGGATACATATGTAACAAACATGCACATTGTGCACATGTACCCTAGAACTTAAGGTATAATTTAAAAAAAGGTTGTTGCTACTTGAAGCTATTTCAGATAATTTAAATTATGTTTTGAAACTTCTTAGTATTTTCTATTCTTTTGATAATGATCATTCAAGTATTGTTGTTTTTAAAAAATATCAATGGTAAGTTCCACCACCATTTGTATTTGTAAATAGATTGGTGGCTTTTTATTTTAGTATATATAAAGTGGAACTTTAACTTACCAGCAATTTCACTCGGAGGTTTTTACCCAAGAGAAAGGACAACATGTCTACAAGAAGACTTGTCCTTATGTGCTTGCAGCAGCTTAATTCAGCCAGCGGCCCTAGACTGAAATCAGCCCCCGTGGCCATTTGAGTGAATAAATAAACTGTGATGCATCCATACAATGGAGTATTACTCATCAATAACAAAGAATGAAGTAGTTATTCACAAAACACTGTAACTGATCCAAAGAAGCCAGACAAAAGAAAAACATCCCAACTGAGCCCATCCAAGGAAGGCCTGGGAAAAATTCTATGGCTGAAGATGGGACCTTCTGCAGGGCTTTTCCTGGGATGACCCAGTTTCGTTGTCTCCTGTGTGCTGCCACATTCACACACTGATGCCAAGATCTGCTTTGTTTTGTCTTTGGTGGGGAAAGGCTGTGATAGCTAGTCATGCCAGATGTTTTCTGCTTATACCTCTCAATTAGTGTTTTTTGTTTGTTTGTTTTTTTGTTTGTTTTTGAGACAGAGTCTTGCTTTGTCACCCAGGCTGGAGTACAGTGGTACGATCTTGGCTTACTGCAACCCCCGCCTTCTGGTTCAAGCGATTCTCCTGCCTCAGCCTCCCAAGTATCTGGGATTACAGGCGCCCATCACCATGCCCGGCTAATTTTTGTAATTTTAGTTGATACAGGGTTTCACCATATTGGCCAGGCTGGTGTTGAACTCCTGACCTCAAGTGATCCACTCGCCTCAGCCTCCCAAAGTGCTGGGATTACAGGCACGAGTCACCGTGCCCGGCCATCAATTAGTGTTTTCTAACATTTAAGTTTCTAAAAATTAAAGCCAGGTAGAATAAATGGTTGTGGAAATCTCACAAGAGTGCTCTCACACACAGATCTTACCTTTCTGCACGATGCCACCTGCCCACCTTCCCTCCTTGGCCCTTTTCTCTCTGTGGCAGACCTGGCCGTGTCCCGCCCATCCTCCCAGGGCTCTGCCCAACTTCCCAGGACCTGCTGGTGTAGTCATTCTGGTTCCTAAAGGCTCTTCCCAGAGCCACTGGGGCTGTGCCACCCACACTGCAGGTGCCTGGAAGTGCAGGAAACAAGCATCCCGGGAGGAGCTCCTGGCCAAGGCCCGAGCCAGCTGCTCAGAGCACACCAGCTCCCTTGCCCTGCCCAGGATGCCTCTGAGGCCCGGGGTTTGCCCAGTCTCCTAGAGCCTCTATGCAAGCATTAAGCTCCGTTGCCCACCTAGTAATGCTGGCTTGACAGAGCTCCATTCCATGGCACCATTATCCCCACTTCCCTCCTGGAGATCCCTGAACCTTCTAAATAGGTGGGAGTCAATGACTTGGATTTGAGTGAACCTAAACCAAAGCAAGCCCTGCATTAATTTTCTAAAGCATGTCTCACTGTGCTATGCCCTGGATCAAACACCTCAAGGGTTTTCTTGCTACTTCTAGGAAAAAGAGGGGACCCTTTGTTTGATGCTAAGACTTTCTTTATCTGTCCCAAGATTCCTTACCAACCTCACCTGTCTTTGATGCCTACATCATATCCACACCCTGTGTGCTCTGGGGCCCCCCGAGCCCCTTGGGCTGCAGCCGGCGCCTGCACTGATGCACACTCAGTCTGTCAACAAAAATGCAGGCTCTCAGCTGAGTGGACCTGGCTCCAGGGCAGATCCTTATGAGGCCTACTCTGATTTCCCAGAATGAAGCTCCTGGTGACTTTGCTGTGCTTCCAGAGCTTTCAGCTCAACCCTATAGAAGGACATGCGTGCATGGGGTATTGTTTGCGGGCTCACATGGGAGTCCCCTCCACCCACTGATGGTGAGCACCGTATTCACTGGGATATGGTCCCGATCTTCACAAATTCCTGTTGATCACTAAACTGGGTTGACTGTCAATAACATTTTGTTAAGGGAAGAAATCAGTAAATGGATGGATTTTGTTAAAGGAAGAATAAGTAAATGGATGGGTTTGTGTCCCCTTTCCTATCCACTCTCCGTGGAGGAGATGGCAAGAACTTTTTGCAAAACAACTCAGTCCTTTCATCGCTTGCTTGGACGTGGCTTGTCACCACACTGGTGCGTCAGCAGCACCTGCGAGGGGTGCTGTGATGTGGCCCCTGGGCAGCTCTCTGCAGGCATCTCCCATGGCACTCCTGGCATTGCCCCTCTTGGCCACACCCACCTTCTCTCTTTTGTTTGCACACTCAGCTTCTCCAGTCTCTAAGGATCTTTGGACTCCCTGCCCTCCTCACCCACAGGGCCGTGCTTGAAGTCTTTGCAGCTGGTCACATGGTAAGGACAGTTCCCAGCACAGAGGTGACTCTCTTTTTTGCCCTGCCTCAACCACCCGCCTACCCCGAGATGCTGAGACCTTCCCTATGTGCTCCTGCACTGGAGCTAAGCTCCTTCCTTGCTGAGGCTCGCGCATTATTCGAATTCCCCACTAGAGCGCATGCTCTGCTGGCCTCTGCCCAAGAGTGGGACCCGCAGCCCCGCTCCCAACGTGGGATCAGCCCAGCCTCCCCCAGGAGATGATTTCTCCTCTCTGGGAAAGGCCACCCCACAATTTGATCTGATGAGAAACCTCACAGTTCTTTCCCCTCAAAGACTCAGAGGGCTATAAAGGCAGTTAAAAGTAATTTTAAAAAGCTTTTTGGCTGGGCGCAGTGGCTCAAGCCTGTAATCCCAGCACTTTGGGAAGCCAAGATGGGTGGATCACCTGAGGTCAGGAGTTTGAGACCAGCCTGACCAACATGGTAAAACCCCATCTCTACTAAAAATACAAAAATTAGCTGGGCGTGGTGGCGTGTGCCTATAATCTCAGCTACTCCAGAGGCTCACTGAGGCAGGAGAATCGCTTGAACTGGGAGGCAGAGCCTGCAGTGAGCTGAGATTGTGCCATTGCACTCCAGCCTGGGCAATGAGAGGAATGCCTCTTTAAAAAAATGCTTTTTGAGGCTGAAAATTACACTGAGGAAAGGTGCAGAGAGAAGGAAAGGCCTGGACACAGAAGTGGAAAATGGAGTGGGACGAGGAGGGGACAGGGCCACATGGCAGGGAGTGTGGGAGGAGGGAGAGCGGCTAGGGTGGCCGCACTTCCTGAGTGAAAGACAAGGCCACAGGTGCTCATTTTGGCCAGTGGGGTGGATAAAGGAATCATCTTTGTTTATCGGATATTTCGGGAATGTGTGTTCTTTTTCTCGCAGCTGATAGAGGCCTTTTCCCTGGACACATCCCAAATGGATATAACCGGCAGAAAACCCTTGGAGCAGCCAGTGTCCCAGGTCCCCCACGGCCGCCACACAGCCCTGAGCTCCATCTGGGAGAGGAGGAGGCTGGCCAGCTCTCAGCCCTGCGGGAGCGTGAATAACCCTGGCAAGGGACACACTTCTGGAAGGCGAAGTGCCCATTCGAGGCCCCCAGCCGCTTTGTTGCATGTCCGGCAGCTCACTGTGCAGTCCCAGCCAGCTGCAGCTCAGCACAGCCTGCGAGCCCAGCCTGCCTATGGCTGCACTGTGTCTCCAGGACGGACTTTGGAATCAACCGGTTTACGTTTCCTTTCCCTCCCTTCTTACTGTTCTGCCACCAGACAGCCCCAGAAAGCTGGAGGCAGAACCAAAAAAGTTATAAATACTGCAGAATCTACGGGTGGGTAGGTGGACCCTGCGGCCCTCAGAGGCCCAGAAACCTAACTGAGCTCCTGCTCCCACAGCCTGCCTGTCATCAGCTGCAACTGCTCTACCTACAGGTGCAACTGAACTAAAGCTAGAGAAAATTTTAGGATTCTCCAAGCCAGGGATCTCCAGCACTGTCACACATTAATGAATCACTTGCATTAAATGAAGATGCCCAGGCTGCACCCCGGGCCCGAGACACCAGAATCTTTGTGCTTGGGGTTTGCACATCAACATTTTGCAAAGCTTGCCGGGTGATTCTGGCATGTGGACAAGGCTGAGGCACATGGCTTTGCAGAGAAGAACTAAAATTGCCATCAAGGTGCAATTTTCAGGACATCCATTCATCCAGCGGTCCCACGCACATCACCTTTCATGTGCCTCTCTGGCCCACCATTCTGCCTCCATCCTTGTCCAGGGCCAGATGCTCTCCCCCAGGCTGCAGAAGGGGTTTCCTCTTTGGTTTTGTACTCTGCTCTGCTGGCCCTCTGTGACCGTCCCATCTCATCCTCACATCTGTCTTCCCAAAGGTAGATGGCAATATCTGACCATGTGGCCACTATGTGTTGAATGAATAAATAGATTTTTGTACCTGCTCTGGTGGGAAGATGCTCCCGAGATGCTCCCACCCTGACCACCCCTGCAGGTCCTCCAGTTTCCAGATATCTCATTTTGAACCCGTCCTGATGCCCACAGGGCTCTGTTTAGCAGTCGTAGCTTTAGCTCCCAGGGGTCTCTTTATGTTCCCTCCCTGGGGCTGCTGGCCTGGGATTGTAGGAAGTGTCACTGTTGCCTCCTTCACAGCTGTCAACCACGGGGTCAGCAGGGGCTGTAACCCTTTTCCAAGGAGGATACTGCCCTCACCACAGTTCCAAAGGTGAAAGCCCAACATGTTCATCCAGATGCTGTTTGTAGCTCACAGGCCTGGGCTGCAGATGAAGCAAGCTCCACTTGGCAAGTGCAGCCACTGAGTGCTGGCCTGTGCAGGCTGCTTGCTATCTGTGTGCACCGTCCCTCTCTGTCCCCGGTGTAGGAGGACACCTGCCCAAGGCTGGCTGGGCCTGCCTCCTGCTCTCCTCAGACAGCTCCTTCCTCATTGGGAGAGATGAGGAGAGAGGAGGTTGGCCAGTCAGGTCTTGGGGAGAGACCCTGCAGAGTGCTTCAGATCCCTGCGGCCCAGTTCCAGGATGTGCGGGACCTGGCCAGCAGAAGGCACGGGACTTACATCTTGGAGTCAGAATGGGACCTTGCTGCTAGAATCTTCCCTTTTTGGGGTATAGGGAGCCAAAGGGAAGGAGGGGCCTGGTGGGAGCCCCTCCAACCCAGGGAAGCAGAAGCTGGGGTGTCCCTAACGGAATTTTATAGCATTGGCTTCCTCCAGGAGAGGGCGTGCCCCCAAGCAGGACCCTCTGAACTGGGTGCCCAGACCAACCCTCTGCTGTGCTTCTACCATCAGTCCTGGCGCAGCCCCAGGCCCCTCTGTCCAGTGCCAACCAGGGTCCATCTGGATGACACATCTATCCATGCATCCTGGAAGCCAGGAGCGCTCTTAGGCCTCGAGAGGAGCCCTCTCTACGGAGCACATGTCTGCAGCGAGCGTAGGGGTGGGGGAGCAGCTGCCCCGGCGTTCTCATTTCCGTGTTGACGCAGTCACTGAGTACCTTACAACACACTGGGCACAGTGCCAGGTACTCAGTGAACCCAAGTGTTAAGGCCCAGCCCTCATGCAGTGTGCTGTCTGGTGGGGAGACAGATATTTAATACGTCATTGCATGACTTACTCTAAATTATATCACAAATGTAATGAGCACAATGAGAAAAAAGGTGCTATGAGGGAGAATACCTGGGGGTCCCTCCTCCTCTGGGGGATTGGGGGCTGCTCCAAGGAGAACCTGCTCCTTTGAATGTGAGATGCCAGGGCTTGGCCTTCCCTGGCTTCAACCACACTCATCCCAAAGTTAACACCTCTGTGTGCCAACTATCCCTGTGGCTAGAGGCGTCTGGCCTCTCTTCTCCCTGGTGGGAAATTGTGTCCATCTCCCAGGGCCTAAGTTGAGACCCTTTTCTGCTGTGGAGCTGCCTTTGCTGTTCCATTCCACACAGCTGCAGCCATTTCAACTCCAGGAGGCTACTTTGAACCCAATTTTTACATTTCCCCTGCTATTTTCTAGTAATGTCATATATGTTACTCTGCTTTCTGCAAATGCGAGGTGAACTGAGGAAGGGGTTCCCCGTTGGAGGGTGTCAGTGCCTCCGGGTTTATCCAGTCACTCAACTCATGTATTGGGTTCCTGCTATGCACCAGCCCAACAGTGTGTCCAGGACTACAGCGGTGAGCCTGTGTGGGAGGAAATGGGGAAGCAGCCAGGAAGGCTGGGGAGCCATCGTCTCAGCCCGGGGCCACAGCCGCTGCACCCCACCCCCAACAGCTAGGAAGGCTGGGGAGCCATCGTTTCAGCCCGGGGCCACAGCCGCTGCGCCCCTCCACAGTGGAGGATCTGCTCCAGGGCCCTGCACTCGCACAGCAGTTTCCTGTGCTCGCATGCTAGTGTGGCTCAAGAACTTTCAGATTGCACACTCATACTTTACTCAGCTCTGTCAGGATCCCTGGGTCTGCACAGAATGTCAGTCCTGACTTGTGAAAAGCAGGCTAGGGGGATGGAGCCTCAGCATGCCTAAGCCAGGCCTCCTGGGGGAGCTGGGGCTGGCTCCTGCGGCCTCCTGGGCTCACCTTGCTGCCTTGTCTTGCCTCAGCCTCTCCCTCTGCCCACACCTCGAGGTGCCAGCCGAGGTTCCTAGAGGCAGGAGTGGCCCAGAGGCGATCCGAAACCCCACGGACGCTTACTTGGTGGCACAGCCTCCTCTGAGAGTTTCCACAAGCAAGGACCCTGGTGTGTTCCACCACCGACCCTGAGGCCTGTGAGGAAACCCAGGGCTGGACTCCAGGCTGCTCAGTGTGGGAGAGTCTCAGAGAACTCCAGAGGGTGACACTCACACCCGACAAGGAGACATTGCCCTGTGTATGTGTTGGGGGCTGGGGGGGAGTTGGGCTGTCAGCGGAGATGCCCTTGGGTGGCACCCGTCCATATGGGCTTTTCTTTTCAGAAGTCTGCAGAGCTGGGTCTGGAAGCTAGGGCAGCAACATGATTTAGCAACACAGAAAATAATATTTCTGCCAAGAGCCATACCACCCTGAACATGCCCCATCTCAGCAGATCTCAGAAGCTCAGCAGGGTCTGGCCTGGTTAGTACCTTGATGGGAGACTGAGACTATCAGGTGCTATAGGCTTAAAAAAAAATTCCAGTTTCTCCCTGCTCTAAACCCCTGCTCTTCATTTCCTGACCATTGCCTAAGGACCCATTCAGAGGACTGGAAACCTCTGAATGAGTCTCAGCCTCTCCCTTGCTTGCTCCTAAGGAGAGCTGGGTGTTAGCCAGCCAAGTCTGGGGTGCAGAAACTGTTGAGAGGACGAAGACAGGCAGGGTGGGCGGAGACAGGAAGGGAAGGAGATTCCTGCTTCTTGGATCAGCTTCTGAGCCCTCTTTTGTTTTGAAGAATTCAGGTAATGGGTAAATAGGGAGAAAACTTTACAGTCCATGTAAAATGCTGATAGAGCACAGACAGAAGATGAAAATAGGAAAGACTCAAAAGCTGGAAGTGATGTGAATGTTTGCCATTTCAAGTGAAAGGCTACCGAGTTTTGGAAGAATAAGAAAATAAATAAAACATAATTTTAAGAAGTGTTGCTCTGGTTTTTAAATTGAATCCCTTTTAGCATTCTTCCAGACACCTGAGTGAAAACTGAAACTAACCATAGATGCCTTTTGTTTTAGCCTGGTGCTGCTTTGACAGTGACTCTGTGTATAGCCTGGACCACATGAAGCCCAATTTATATTTCGGTTACACACACACAGGTGCACGCACACACACTATAGAAATACATCTCAGAAATGTACTCTTAAGGGGACAACTGAAATGATTCATTGCACCATGGAAATGTATTCGTTCATCTGTTAAGCAGCCGTGTCTATCTCACTGATGGATTAAGGTCCAGTTTCATTCTGTATGCTGACTCCTTCATTCCCTCCTCCTTGGCAAAGCATTTTACTTCAGCTAGCTTCAAAGGGTGTCACACCCAGGGTAAAGAAATAAGTCTCCTCTCTGCTTTAAATTTCACAATGAACCCTGCTATAGAAATCATAAAAAGAGTTGCTTTTCTCATCTGCTGCAGCCAGCCCCAAAGTACATCCAGCCATATCAAATTAAAGCTGCTTACCAGAGACCATGTCAGCTCTGGGTGAAAGTAGTGCAGAAGAAGCATTGCTGAACTTCCTGGAACTTGTGGACAGAACATCTGCCAGGGCAGCTGGGAGCTGAAGGACCAAGAAAATTAAAACCCAGTGACAAGATGAATGAGGATCCCTTGCTCCCATGTTGTGTCTAATTACCCAGAGGAAAAGCCAACAATGGGTACTGTAAATTGTCCTTGGAAAACAATCCTGGGAGTGGTTCTGCCCTTCTGTGTCCCCAGCCAAGCTTCCCCACCCACCCCACCCCCAGGCTGGCTCCACCAGCCTCCTTCTAAGGAGCACTTCAAGTGTGCTCCATCCTGCTCCACACCCCCGGGTGCCACTTCCTCTGCTTTTCCTCTCCCTAAATGAGGCCTCACCCCCTTCCTGTTTTCTGGGTCACTAATGACTTCAACTCAGGGAAGGGAAATGTTATCTTGAGCCCTTTCCTTTGTCTTCACCTTCACTATTTGGCTTAGCTGTAGATCTAACGATACATGAGGGGAAGAACCACTTTGGGTGCTTGAAAATGGGGTACAAGGAACCAGTGACTGACTCTGGTGCTTGTTGGGCGGTTCCACCAGGTGCTGGGACCCTTGTCTTCAAGTCCAGCTTGCACCGGTGGCAAGGGGCAGAAATGATGTCCCAGGGCAAAGTACCAGAATAAAAATCACGTGCACACACAGGCTTTGGTCAGTTGTAAGGAGACAGCAGCTTAATAGCTTCCAGCCTTCAATACAAAAATAAAGCTCTGTGAAAAATATAATGAATAAAGTGTGATTCCTATTTTTAGGTTACAATTCTTCTTTAAAACACAAATATGGCCAATGGCAAATGTTGGACACCCATGCAATGTGCTTGTCTTAAATTCTTGGATGCCATGTTTATGTACTTATCCCAAAATGTCAGCACCAGCTCAATGTATGTTTTCTAAAATTGCTTCTGTGTCTTTTAGAGGATTACAATACCTGATTTCTTATCCCATGAAACACAGCTGGGGGTAGCGATCAGAGAAGGGCTCTGGTCCAGTGGCTTGATGTCCTCCATTGAGGAGGGGATGGAGATGGACCCTCCCTCGTCGTGATGCATGGAAGCAAGGTGAATCCCTGCACGGCTGGGTTAGAGGTATTCAAAAGGCCCATAGGAGCACTTGATCTTTTCTCTACTGCTCTCTTGACCTGAGCTTTCCTCCTCAGCATGGAGAAATGGGCTGGAAGAAGTTTCTAAGGGCAAGATGAGGCCATAAAGGACTCCTCCTTCCTGAATCTCTTTGGATCAGCACAAGTGCCTTTCCCCCAGAGCAAATATTTTAGCATATTCTTAAAAGAGAAGATGCTCCCGGATCAGTGGAGGTGCAAGTCAGCAGGGTAGAAGGTGCTTTTCTGGGCATCAGCTGTGATTTTTTGACTATGAATAATGAAAGACACACAATGCAAACCACTTTGCTTTCTCTGAATCTCATTTAATCTGCTTGACGATACTAGGAGGAAGCTGGGAGTTAATCTCCCCACATTTTTGAGACTGAGTCTCAGAGAAGTGAAATGACTTGCCCAAATTAACACTCACTTAGTAAATATTTATGGATTATCTACTGAGTACCAAGCACTTGTTTCAGCCATGGGTTTATGGAGATAAAAAGAAGAGGGGTCCCTTGTCCTCCTGGCACCTACAGCCTGCACCCAGGGCTGCCTGAGAATGGGAAGATGTGAGCTGCTAATCACAGAGTGGAACTGGGAGCAAAAATAACATTTCTCTGGGCATCATGTTTGAGATGAACTGAGTTGCCCTTCAGAGACCTGCTGCCTCATCTGGATGCATATTGGAGAGAAAGATCAGCTCCCCACCCCTGGAGGGGCTCGGTGCTGTGAGTCACAGCCGGCCCAGCTCACCGTGTTGAACAGAATTGCCCTACGTGAGTAGCAGTATTTAGAGAATCAGAGCACAGTGAAATCGGCTCAGCTCCATGACCGGAGGGAAAATTGCCCAACCCTTGGAAGACTCAGAAGACACTAGGAGGCCGGGCGCGGTGGCTCACGCGTGTAATCCCAGCACTTTGGGAGGCGGAGGCGGGCAGATCATGAGGTCAGGAGATCGAGACCATCTGGCTAACACGGTGAAACCCCGTCTCTACTAAAACTACAAAAAAAATTGGCCGGGCGTGGTGGTGGGCGCCTGTAGTCCCAGCTACTTGGGAGGCTGAGGCAGGAGAATGGCGTGAACCTGGGAGGCAGAGCTTGCAGTGAGCCAAGATCGTGCCGCTGGACTCCAGCCTGGGGGACAGAGCCAGACTCGATCATAAAAAAAAAAAAAAAAAAAAAAAAAGGCACTAGGGGAGTTCACAGGGCTTTGGGGAAGATTAAATAATGTATATGAAACAGTTTTTAAAGAGAGGATTAAAACATTCTTCCAGTGCAATTTATATTCTCCTGTTTTCTAAAAAGACTCAAGACAAATTATAATAAAATAAGTAGAAAAAGTAGGATACATAAAGATAAAGATTAAAAGTACATAACATGCCCTGAAGGAGAAGAAAGACAAAGTCATAAGATAAACTCTACTTTAATGAAGGTTGCTGACTCAAGCATGTAGTTCCTATCTGAGCCCCCTGGCAGCCATGGGAAAAGGTGAAGCGCCATGAGTTACATGACTTTTATCCAAGGTTGTAAAGACGTGTACTTCCCTCTGTCCCAGATGCTGGGAGGTGTCCTCCCCTGTATAAATGAAATGAAAATAGACATGGTCCTCAATAGCTTTTGATTTAACTAGAAATAATGTCATGTGGTCATGTATCCTAGCCAAGTATTATTTTTAAGAGCCTTGAATTCCAGTGATTTCTGGGCTTGAGGCCTGCTAAAATTTTGGCTGATAGGCCCTGCAGGGATGTGGAGAAACTGTTTTTGGGCACTATGTGCCACAGCCGGGTCACCCTGACCACAGTCCCCAAAAACAGTCGGGGGATTCCACTGTGGCCAAAGTCCTGAAACGTGGTCTCCATACACCTTTCAGGGCCACTGTCGAAGCTCCTCAACCTCGCCTGTGCCTCGATGTCTTTGGCTATCCTCTCTTTCTGGGATGATTCTGCTGCCCTGCCATGCTGTACACCCTCATGTCACCCTCAGCACCTCCCTGCTGCCCGAGCACCCCCCAGCTTCAGGCATTCCTAAAGTCATAGCTGGGATCCTGGCCTATGTACCCCCTGACCCCCAGCCAGGTGACCCGGGACAAATGCTAAGAAAGGGAAAAACAAAGATGTCATATTAAATGACTGTGAAAGTTTCCTTTCAGCTCTCATGCCCCTGTTAGGATCAGTGACTCCTGACAGGTGGAGAACCACCTCTATGAAAGGTTTTCATTTCGATAAGGATACTTGGTCAGGCTTCTGTCATAGTCCAGTGATGGGGCTGAGACTTTCACATTTTCATCGAACCCTGGCCAATGTGTATTTGGCGATGGCCTTGCTCATGACAAAAGGACCCTGCCTGGCTGCTCCCAACAGTTGGAAAACCACATAGTGTGAGTCATCTCCACCCCGCTATGACTTCTGCAAGGCTCAGCCTGAGTCAAATGACATGCAATCAGGGAGCAAGCTGGGGCCGGGGGACAGGGAAATGATCCAGATGACCCTACTGTGACCCTCACCCCTCAACCCAGAGTGCCCAACTGAACACTCTCCATGCCGTCTGATGAAATCTTTATGGTATTGATGGCAGAGTAGACACTCTCAGGAGCAATCCTGGGCCTTTAAAGGGGAGAGCTCCTTGGAGAAACCCTCCCTTCAGTGGGGGCTTTGCAGGCAGGTTCTTGGCCATGCAGTGCCTGATGGGAAAGTGTACATTAAAGAGCTCTGTCTCCCTAAGGCTGCAAAGTCCAAAGTCCAGGGAAGAGCACAAAAATTACCAAGGTGTTAAGACCTTCCTTCCTTCCTTCCTTTCTCTTTCTTTTTCTTTCTTTCTTTCTTTCTTTCTTTCTTTCTTTCTTTCTTTCTTTCTTTCTTTCTTTCTTTCTTTCTTCTTTCTTTCCTTCTTTTTTCTTTCTTTCCTTCTTTCTTTCTTTTTCCTTTCCTTCTCTCCTTCTTTTCTCTTTCTTTGTTTTTCCTTTTTCTCTCCTTTCTTTCTTTCTTTCTTTCTTTCTCTTTCATTTCTTTCTCTCCTTCCTTTCTTTCTTTTTTCTTTCTTTCTTTTCTTTCTTCCTTCCTTCCTCTTTCCTTCTTTCTTTCTCTCTCTCCTTCCTTCCTTCCTTCCTCTCTTTCTCTCTTTCTCTTTCTCTCTCTTTTCCTTCCCTTCCTCCCCTCCCCTTCCCTTCCCTTGCTTTCCTTCCTCTTTTGTGCTGCAGGGCAAAATTTACTTCTGCAGAAGGGTGCTGCCTGCATCAATCATGACTGCAAAAGCACACAGAACAACGGAGAGTAGCGGTTTTTATTCCTAACGCAGATTCTACCTCTGTGTCTTTCCCCCATTGACTGGGGTTGGACCACACAATCTAAACTAGTCCTGATTGGCTAAACATTCAAACTTTCTTAGATAAGGTAGGCACGTGATAGAAGAGCCAGGAAGAGGAGGAAAGGGTCATCTGAGGGGGGACTAGAAAGCTAACCTATTCCCACATAAGGGAAGGAATGTGGACTGGGGCTTCTCATGTCTAGGCATGTTTAGACAGGTTACTGCACAGCAAAAGCCGGGGCAGGGGGAGGTGGCGGGTTACTCCGAATTTAGAGAATAAAGAACAGGGGAACTGGACAAACTGAAGAAGAACCTAGCTTTATCTAACACCTTCTTTTTCTCTTTTTTTCTTTCTTTCTTTTTCTTTCCTTCCTTCCTTCCTTCCATCCTCCTTCCCTCCCTCCCTTTCTCCCTCCCTCCCTCCCTTCTTTCTTTCTTTCTCTCTCTCTGTCTCTCTTTCTTTTGCTTTCTTTCTTTTTCTTTCTTTCTTTCTTTCTTTCTTTCTTTCTTTCTTTCTTTCTTTCTTTCTTTCTTCCTTTTCTCTCCTTTCTTTCTTTCTTTCTTTCTTTCTTTCTTTCTTTCTTTCTTTCTTTCTTTCTTTCTTTCTTTTCTCTCTTTCTCTCTTTCAGAAACAGGCTGGAGTGCAGTGGCGCAATCATAGCTCACTGTAACCTGGAACTCCTGGGCTCAAGCAACCCTTCTGCCTCGCCTTCTAAAGTGCAAGGTTACAAACATGAGCCACTGTGGCTGGCTGTGAACTTCTTTCACAGAAACACATTCCCAACTATTGTTGTGAAGTGGGCAGGGAGTGTGGAAAGAAAGGGCTGCCTGCTCTCCTCCCTGCTGGGTGTGAAAATCGTAGAGGACCAGGTATCTGATTGGAAACTCTGATCTGGATGCCACCAATGGACTTGTTTTTAAACTTCATTGTCTTTCAGCATCTGGGAGTTTGGCCTTCCAAACCTTGTTAGAGCTGAGTCCAGAGGGAATGGGACTGGCACAATGGACAGATTTCTGTTTTTCATTTCAATTCAGCAAGCTTGTCCTGATACAACAGTCACTCCTCCTTGGGTCTCTTAATTCCCATCCTTACCTGCAGCAGTTCAGATGAGGAGTACACTTTCAAGTCCAAGGGTTTAAATGAGATGACCTCTGTTAGAGACTAAATTCTGTCTCCCCTAAAATTCCTGTGTTGAAGCCTTGACTCCTGGTACCTCAGAATGGGACTGTATTGTAGATAGGGCCTTTAGAGTGGTGACTAAGGTAAAATGAGGTCATTGGGCTGGGTCTTAATCCAATCTCAGTGGTATCTTTAACAATAAGAGGAGATTAGGATCCAGACACACAGGAAGGGCCCTGTGAGGACACAGAGAGAAGATGGACGTTGGCAAGCTGAGGAGGGAGGCCTCAGAAGAAACCCACCCTGCTGGCACCTGGATCTCAGACTTCTGGCCTCCAGAATTGTGAGGAAATCAAGGCCTGTAGTTGAAGCCACACAGTCTACCCAGCAGCCCTAGCAGTCGCACACAACCTCTAACATGAGGAGTGGATGTGGGTGCGTGGCCTGCACTGGGGTTCTGGCCTCTCAGGGCATGGGCTGAGCATGGGAGAGCTGTCCACTGATGGTGAAACTGTTTCTCAGTTAGAGGGCCTTTTTCTCCTCTGGGAAGGGGAGAATGTCAGCCTGCTGTTTCTGAAGACCTCTCCCCTGATCTTGCGGTGCCAGGCTCTGTCTGACTTGCTTTGAGGAGATTTGCTCACCTGTCCTCTGTCAGACCTGGGTGGAAGAAGGAAAGTTCAGAGCTGATGTCAGCACCGATTCACCTAAAGCACTGAGGGGCTTCGCAGATTTCTGTCTGATACCTACTGGGAGTGGACAGAATACAGGCTTGGGGTGGGGGCTCTGCTTGTTTCTCCTAATACGGTGATAGAATAAGGAAGGCATTCTGCTAATGTCTAAGCTGTTCCTAAAAGACCATTTTAACCGCCTTAACACTGAAAATGCTTTGCACCATTCACGTTGAAGGCTAATGGTGAACAGGGTAGCAACAGGTAATATTTTTTTTCACTTTAAAGGAAGAAAGAAACACAATTTCTAGGAGGTAGTTATGTTCATCATTGCATTTTTTTAAGATTATCCATGAAAATTTTAATAGCATTCTAATTCTAACATAGCCTTCAAGATGAACACAATTGACATTTTTCATCTATGGGGAAATGAAAATTATAACACAACCTAGAAAACCAGTGCCGCCGATGGCCCATGATTCTTCTTCTGTCACTTTGAGGTTGGGATGCCACCTTTGGAGATGCCTTGAGAGAGACTGTGGCAGTGCGGTGGATCTGGGGAAGTCTCCTCCCACCCCTCAGATCCAATAAGCTCCCAGGCACATCCTCTTCCCAATCCAACTTCCAAAGAGAAATCCTAGACACTGCCCAAGGCTCTGAGTTTAGTTCTAAGTACATGTCCATTTTACTTTTTTTCCCAAAATAATAATTTACCATTCACTGAAGATTGCTTATATATGAACCAAATGCTTACATTTTATTCTTAATTGAAAACAGAAATTGGCCCAACCATTACTTAAGTGGGATATGATTAATGCTTATCAGCTAAGCATTAATATCCCCCAAAGCTCGATGCTGAAGCTGTTAGTCAGCTCACAGCTCACAAGGTCCTGTGCTTGGAGAAGGTGGCTGGAGCTGGCTCAGTCGGCTCTTCCTCCATCGTGCGGCCCTGTCCCCGGGGAGGCATAGGCGTCAGGGTGAGCCCATGATGCAGAGCCGGTGCTTCTGAGCAACAGTTGCTATTTTTAGCTGGTCTTAGCTAAGTGACCTCGCAGCAGGTCAGGCTGGAGAGTGGACCCTGAGCCCTTCAGATAGGAGAATGACATCAGTGAGTGACACAGTGCAGCTGCAGGCGAGAAATACAGGGTGTTCCTAATGCCAGTGCTTCCTGTATGAGGAGGCACTTGCTTCCTGTAGGAGGAGGCACCAACAGATGCTGTTTGGTGGCACTTGGCACATAAAGAGATACTTCCCAAAGATAAAACCCTGGCCAGGAGCTTTAAGACTATAATAAAACTGTAAGATTGTTAAGTAGTCAAGATGAAAAATGATCTTTTCCTAGTATTTTTATGGTCCCTCAGAACGAGTGGGCCCCTGATAACACCGCTGCCTCCTGCTGCCCGGGCTGGGTCTTCATTGCCTCCTTGATGGAAACTCGGGTGTTGCTGTGGAATTGAGATGCTGTAAACACAGGATCCAGTGATGGCTTTCGGTGTGCATGCTGCCCTGTTGCCTTCCACTGTGTGAGTCAGGGCAGGTCTGTGACCCACATGCTGTGGTGGAAGGGACCTGGGCCTGTGGCTGTAGAAGGCCTGGCCACCTCCTACAGATAGAGCTCCTATTTGTGCTCTGGGAGTGCTGAGCTGCCATGTAATTAAAAAGTCCACATGGAGAGGCCACGAAGAGAGGCAGAGACCCTGAGATGACGCTGAGGGTCCTGGCTGAGTGCAGCCTCCTGGCCGTTCCCCAAAGCACTGGGCCTCTGAATGAGCCATGCTTGGTGTCTCACCCCATTTAAGCCCCCCTGTGACGACGCCACACAGTCACATCAAGCACAGCAGAAGGACCACACACTCAACCCATGGTAGGGAAGAAGAATAAACTGCTGTTTTAAGCCACTAAGTTTTGAGGTGGCTTACTTCACAGCAAGAAAAAATGGAGACTATTACAGATGAAACAAAGTCAAGCCTAGGGCCAAGTCGAGCATCATGGCCAGCACAATCACAGTCAGCCTAACTATCCTGCCTGTTCATGCTGGCTTAGGACATGTGACAGTTCCAACCCCCAGCAAGGGGCGGGTAAGTTCCTGGGTCAAACAAAAGGTGAGGTCAGGTCAGCAGGGGTCTAGGCAGGTAGCTCTCATGAGGGTAACGGATTTCCTCCACCCACCAGGATTCCGGCAGGCACAAAGGCCCAGGGCATGATCCCGCTGGGTAAGGAGTTTCAGGGGAGACCTCCAGAGGCCCAGCCTCCCTGGTCTTGGGAGGCCCCCACAGCAAGGGAGGGCCCTCTCTCATGCCCAGTGCCTAAGAAGCAAGGGTCAATTCCTAAGAGTTCTCAGTGGCCACTGCAGAGAGCAAGGCAGAGGCAGGGTGCCTGGAGTGTGTGTGAGATTCCTCCATGGTCAGCACCATCCTTTTTCTCTAACTGAGCAGCCTTCAAGAGTTGAGCCACAGGAAGCTTCAGGGCTGCCTCTGTCCTCCCTGGCCCCAGCAGGGAGTAGGGAAGACTCTGGCCTGACGGGGAGGAAAGGGCAGCAGCTTCTCTGCACCCCGTGAAGGATGTCTCTTTCACTGTGCAGAAAAGAGAGTGGTTTCACTGTGCTCTACTCACAGGAACGGGCCCCTCTTCCTCCTGGGGCAGCCTATGGGAAGAGGGGCAGGCACCTGCCACCCACTGGCTGTCATGGCACCAGAAGGTCACACTCCAGTGGCAGGAGAACGATGGGCACTGCCCCATCCCTCTCTTAGCTTCAAGGCCTGCCCTGGGTGTGAGGGGCAGTACACTGCTGATGGTGCTGGCCCAGTAGCATTGTGCATCCCATGCAGCCCAGCCCTGGCATACAAGCCTGGCACACAGGCACCAGACCTAGCTGCTTCTCCAGTCACCTGCTTGCCTGCTGTGGGGCCTCAGGGCACACTCTGCCCTCACCCATTTTAGGAGCTGCCTCTTCCTCAAAGCCTTCTGAGTCCTCCCCTTCCCTTATGGGTGAGCCCCTCCCTGCCCCTGAGATCTCTGGGGGCACCTGTGCGACTTCTTCCCGAGGTGCCCTATACAACCCCTTGCCTAGTAGATTCAGCTGTGTTTTCTCAGACACCACAAAAGGCTTGTGCATTCTCTCGGGAGCCAGCCCTGGCGGCCTGGCAGGAGGAGCTTGGAGCTCTGTGTGCTGAGGAATCTGGAGCTCGCCCAGGCTCAGGTGCAGGGTTCCATGACAGGCTAACCATGCCTGCTGGGGAGCAGGGGGCACAGCGGAGGGTCAGGCTTTGGGAATCCATGTCCCAGGCCATCGTCACAGCTACACAGCTTTCTTCTTTCCACTTCTCCCTCAGATTTTCTAGCCTTTAAATAGGGTTCCTACAGATGAAGAGAAATGTCCCAGATAGAAACCCCACTGCGGAAAGTGATCCCCTCCCTCTGGGAAATAGAATCTCTGAAGAGGATCTTAGGCAGGATGGCACGCTGTGAGTTCAATCAGCTTTCTCAAGTGTGGATCTCAGGTGAAAACCAGGCCAATTCTCACCACACATCAGGGTCTAGGCTCCGTTTCCTGGCAGTGAGTCAGAGGGGTGACCCGAGGCTAAAGGCAGGATGGCACCTGGTCTAAAAATGGCCATGGTTAATCCTCAGGGTAGCAGCAATGGCATTTTTTGAAGAGTCAGGCCAGGGTAAATAAACTCTTGAGATGTAAATGTTTAGTCTTCTTTATTTCTGCCCATCTTGAGCAGAGCCGGGCCCTAAGCTCTGAGCAGGTTTAAATTCGCACAAGTGATAGGTCCCCCCTGGAGATCCTGCATCCCAGGTGCACTCAGCCCTGGCCTACAGTTCTCCTACAAAAGGCTTGTTCCTAGAGGACATTCACACATCAGAGGGAGAGTTAAGCAACATCATTTATTTGACTCTTCACTCACTTAGCAAACTTCGACTGAGAGAAGAAATTGAGTTTGTTTGGGAGCTGGTCCCAGGGAGCAGGAGGAAGAGGAAGAGTCAGACAGGGAGGAGGCAACACAGGGTGTGTTTCTGGGCCTTTGAAAGCACGCAGATTGCCTCTCAGAATTGTCCCTCTGAAGGACGAGGCCATATGCACTAGCTCCTACCTTGGGGACACTGGTGCCCTCCCCCAAATACCCTTCAGGTGGTGCCTGCACTCAGGCTGAGGAGGAGGATGTCACGGTGTAGGTGCAGGGAAGGGTGCTATCAGGAAGCACAGCTGTGTCCACCACAGCTGGGGGCCACGGGCCTGCACCTCCACACAGGTGTTGGCTGCTGCAGCCTGGGATGGTCCTCTCTCTCCAGCCCCAGGTCCCTGTGGCTGGGCCATAGGAGTCGCTCAGAAGACTTCATCCCAAACTCACAACTACCATCCTCATCTGAACCTTTGGAAGTCATGAAAATGTGGAAGCACTGGCTGGAAGTTAGCAAGCAGGTTATTATCGAGGCAATGGCTTATGCCGTCTTCCTGGGACCTCCATGTGGAGGAAGCCGGGGCTGCAGCAAGACCTCTGTCTTCGCCCTCGCTGTGGGTCTTGGATCTCACCAGAGCAGGAATCCTTTCAGACCATGGTTTCCTGGCTTATTTGTTTTGTAAAAAATCTGCTAAAGAGGGACTAAGAAGATGTGAAAGCCACATCCACGTATTTTAAAAGTTGCACATATTTTAAAAGTTGCACATAGAACAGGGAGGAGCTTGTCCTGTGTATCCCAGAGGATAAAGCTAGGGACAAGGGTGCTCTGTGTGTGTATGTGTGTGTGTGTGTGTGTGTGTGTGTGTTGTTTTGTTTGTGGTTCTCTGTGTCATCCCCATAGGATTTGAGAATGAGGGGAAGTAAAGGAAAACAAAGGAACACTTTAGATTGTCCTCTTGAAAACTCATGGATTTCCAAGCACTGTGCTAGAAGCTGCCACATCAGCATCTTCTGGGAACTTGTTAGAAAGGGAAATTCTTGGGCCCACCTCAAACCCACTGATTCTCATACATGCTCAGGTATGAGAATCACTCTTCTAAATATAGGAAAAGATCTTTCTAACAGATATCATTGACCAAAGTTGCAGTGCCTTTCCTCATGAGGTGGTGAGTGCTACTCTTCTGGAAGCATTCAAGAGAAGGAGTAACCATTAGTCACGCATGTTGCAAAGGAAGTGAACACAACAGGTACAGAGTTCAACTGAAGTCACTTCCTTGGTTGCTCAGTATTTTAGCAAACATTTACTGACCAGCAGTACTGGGCACTGTTCACAGTGACAGGCGACAGGAATAGAAATCCACAGAAGCTCCCCGTTCTTGCCTGCTCCGAAGACTGAAGTCCAGCAGTCTCTCATGCTGTGGGCCCAGACACTGCTCTCTGTCTTGACTGCCAAACCCTGGCTGGCCAAGTGACGATTCACCATCCTTACAACATACTCCAGTCACTGAAGATTCCCCACGGAACCACCACCTTCCTGCTCAGGCCTCTTCATCTATCCAACAGGAGGAGGGGAAAGAGACCATTGACCCAGGACTGCCCTGGCGTGCATGAAGCCCTGAGTGAGGGCTGTGGCAACTTCCCGGCCTGCACACACTGCTGCTGCTTTCTTGGTGCCTATGAGTCATGCCTTGTCACCCGTGTGACATTAATCACTCAGTGGGACTCAGAAATCCAGCAGATGAATTCTGAAACTGAGTTGGGGAGGAGGCCAAATGTCTCATCGTGAGATGAGTCCCAGGGTACAGTCTCGGACAGATGAATATTCTAGATTACAAGGCTTAGCACTTTAACCAGAGAATAAATACAGACTGTGGTTGTTTCCATGTATTTAAAAAAAGTAAATTATGACACAAGTGATGCACATTTGTTCGGGGAAAGTTACAGTACAGATGGGCAAAACCAAAGAAAAAAGTGCATCAGTTCCCCTAAACTCCACCACCCAGAAACAATTGCTATTAACAGGAGGACGTGGTTTACTTCCAATGCTTTTCTGGGCACATATGTAAGTGTGTGTGTGTGGCAGTGCAACCGTGGAATCGCATTGTAAGACTTGACCCTAACACAGCTTTCCATTTAAAGTATATTGTGAATACGTTTCTACGTCAATACATTTAAATGATCAATTTTAAAGCTATCTAGCCCTCTACTGGCATCAATGCAAATTTTCCTCAGATTGTATCACGTTTAAAAAGTTTTTCTAAGATACACCACACACTCTCCTGCCTTCCCTTCCTGTTTTCTAATCCAAGTACAGAAACATGACATTGCTTGTTTCTAGGTGCCTTGGGGTCGCTGTTATTCAGTGAACCCCTCAGGATGTAAAGTTTCAATAAAGAAGCAGTTTGGTAGAGACAAAAGAGCTCCAGATTAGAAATCAGGATAGCTCTGGGCCCCTGTGCACTCAGGCTCCACATGGTTATGCACAGAACCTTCAGAACCTTCAGATTCATCACTAGCAGGATGGGTCCAGGGCGTGGGTCTTTGCTATGAGATCACCTTAGGTACCTCTGGAGGAGCTGGTCACACCAGTGATAACCCTTTGGAGAGGAGAAAGTCAATGGAGGAGGAGAAGACATGCCTCAGAATCACACCCCAGTTGTTGCTTGAAGTGTGGTCAAGGAGCTGCTTATCTCCACCCACACCTCCTCCTGGACACACAAAGGATATACATTCCTGGGCCCAGTTCAGCTCTTCCAAATTGGAACCTTTGTGGGTGAAGCACAAATAACATGCTTTTAAACAAGTACCCCTGAAGTTTGTCACAGAAAGTTGAGCTCATTGCTCCACTCCTAAAATGTCATTTCTCTTAAACATCTGAAACGGTTCTGCTCGGAGAGGCCACCTGTTGACCACTTGCTTGGCTGCTTGGCCTCGTAGGGCAGGGGGCAAGCAGGAGACAGAGGAAAGATCAGGATCGACATTTTTCTTCAGTGTTCCATAGGAAAACCATTCTTTTATGTTTCTCTTTGGCATTTGCAAATACACACCAAAGATTTGCCTCCTGTGAGTTGTTTTTTTTTTTTTTTTTTTGGCGGGGGGTGGGGGGTGGGTAGAATGTCCTTGCCCAGCCCCTTCCTCACTGATTCTTAACCCTTCCCTCTCCCCGGATCCATAGTGCGCTCAGATCCTGACCCTCTGAGACTGCCCAGCCCCGAGACCCGCCACGTCCCCGCAGAACAGTCCATGCAGCGAAAAGATGAGAAACGTGACTGTGAAGCATGGTGCCCTTGATTCGACTGCTTCATTCATTTCAGCAGATGTCACCAGGGCCCTGTAGGGAAGATTGTGCAGATCTGTGTGGTCTAAACAGACAACTTCATGTAGATTGCACTGGATTTATCTTGGCTCTGCCCAGAGGTGATTTGGCTCTGATAGGGAGCCTTCTCATGGAGTGGTTTTGGCCTCTGAGAAGTGGCAGAATTGCTGAGTTCAGCCTGATTGTCCAGGAAGAGCCACATCTTATAGATTCTAATATTTCCTCAAGATCTTGGAATAGCACTGCTATTCACCAACTGATGCTTACTTATTAATTAAACATCTGTTAAACTCTCGATAGGTGCCAGACAGTGTAGTAGGTGGCCATATATTAGAATGAATAAACAGCTGAATCATTGCAGATGAACTTTGTTGCACTTCAGATAATCAAAAACATAATTCAAACTTGTTTAGGAAAATATAATAAATTTCATATGTCGTTTAAATACATAATTAAATAGATAAGATAATAGCTATTCATTACTCACCAAAGATCTGTTTTTTATAAGCACATTTCTCATTTAAATCAAACCCCCCCATCTCTGTGAGAGCTGTTTTGATGAAAAACTTTCACAAACAAGTGGCACATTTCTCACATCTGCTTTCTTAAGCAAAGTGTTCTTGTCTGGAGTTTGATTTGATTTTCTCTGTTGTGCATTGTGCCGTGTTGGGCAAATGAACCATACAATTGCACACCCCACCAGGGTGCTCCCAGTGACCCTGCCTGGCCAGGCTTCAGGGCACTGTTTCAGCCCTTTCTCTGATTCACTGTTTCCATCAGTGCCCGTCTGGGAGCGGTTGCCATCCTGCGTGACACATACAGCACACGTGCTCTCTCTGTGAGTTCTCGCCTTCCATGCCAAGTCTGCAGACTGACTCCATCTCAACTCTGACCCTCATACCTCACGCCGTCACCCTGGATTGTCCTGCTGCAAAGCCTCCCTACTTGCATCCAGCATCCTCCTCCTGCAGTCCTTCCCCGCAGGCAGGCAGCAAGCTCTTTCTTTGAAAACCACCAGTCAGATGATTTCATGTTCCTGATTCAGACCCAGCAGCCTTGCTCCACAACACTGATAGAAGTCCTGACCTCCCTTTCCTGGCCTCTTACTGCCCGCTGTGGCTGCTCTAATTCCCTCTGCCATGGCTCACAAGACTGCAGCCGTGTCATTCTCCTTCTCTTTATTTGGACAAACCAAGCTTTTGCACAGGCTGCTTTCCCCACCAGGCTGGCTTCTTCTTGCCGTGTGGCTCTTTGTGGAAATGGGCCTTCCTGGGCCTTACCTCAGCCCGCCCGGTCATGCTCTGTCATTCATTCTCCCTGTTTTCATTCTCCACGTAACACTGACTTGGTCCTCTGGCCCATCAGTGCCCGCAGCCTGCCATCTGGCATCCTTGGCTCACTGAGTATGGAGAGCTTGTTGACTTGAGCAGCCCTGCAAGCTGGGGAGAATTGGGTTATCTAAGGGATGTAATTCTGTCCTAAAGGTTTAACTCTTTTCCACCAGCCAGCAGGGTTTCCCCAGCAGCCCACCGAGAGAGCTGCCTACACTTGTCCAGGAGTCTGGGCCTCCTGCCTCCTGCTAACCTGTATAGCTCCTGCTGAGAGAACATCTGGGAGCTGTGAGAGCTGCATCTTTCATGGAGTGCCAGGGAAGAGGGTGACATGGCAGAGGTTCC
Organism: Homo sapiens; assembly: GCF_000001405.40. Taxonomy (NCBI): domain Eukaryota; kingdom Metazoa; phylum Chordata; class Mammalia; order Primates; family Hominidae; genus Homo; species Homo sapiens. The sequence goes on along the minus strand of NC_000020.11, from coordinate 23,144,731 downwards.
CAGGCAAGGCCAGGCTCTCCTTGGAGCCACAGCCATGCTAGAGTGGGTGCCAGACCTCCAAGCCCCGAGAGAGTGTATTTTCCGAAACCCTCCACACATCCCTCAGAGCATCTCAATGGATATCTGTTCTGTGGAGCCAGCTGTGGTCAGCACTGTTTTGAGGAAAGAGAACTGACATGGTGGCTGGGTCACTGTGCTTCCCAGCACATCTCCGGGTAGGTGGAGGCAGATAAGTGACCCACGCTACGTCGTCTAGAGCTGGTGTTGGCCGACTCGGGGAACCCAGGCAGGTGACTCTCACTGGAAAAGACATAGCTCACCTCACTTCTTGCCTGCAGCCCTGCAGAGACAGTCTGTTCTCAGAGCAAGCTCACTGGACCTTGGAGGACCTGAAATCTGACTGATGGTAGGGACAACAGTTCTGTTGAATTAGCCTTGAGAGGGAGAGCAACCTGTCCAGGTGCTGAAATTTGATGAAGGGCTGAGTTGTGTGGTAAGTTCCTGCAAAACCTGCTCTGGGACAGGCAGGACTTCCACAGGGTGAGGAGGCTGGAAATACAATGGACCTCATGTGAACAAGAAGGAGAGATGACTTTGTCAACATCTGACATGAACCTGACAAATCAAATCTCTCTCCATTCTTCAGCCAGCCCTGCAGCTAGGGCCAGCTTCTCACCTGGGAAGGAGGGCAAGTGTGTGTGGTTCAGACTGGAGCAGCAGCAGACTCTCCAGACTTAGAACAGCATCACAAATATACATGCATGCATACAGACACACACACACACACACACACACACACACACACAGGTGCACAATATATGCATACACACACAAATACACATACACAAATACCTGCACACATAAATACCTACACACACAAATAAACACATGCATACACACACATATTATATCTATCTAGACATTTGTATTCCTGCCTTCTTTCTTTCTTCCCTCCTCACCTCACTCTCCCCCTCTTTTTCTTCCTTCTTTCCTTGGAAATAGAAATTTCTCCAGCATCACTAGCTGCTAAGAAACCAAGAGCTTCTAGATTTTTGTTGCCTACCTGTCCTTTGGTTTGGATGGAATTATCCTATCCCCATAAATCATGTGCTTTCTATACAAATTTACAACTTTGTACAAAATCTAAACTTGGTTCTACAACTCATGAAATAAAAGATGTTAGGAGATTGTTTTGTTGTTGTTTTACCAGATAATAGAATCCCAAAGACAAGTGAAACTTTCAGTGATTCAAAATAGTTTTATTGCAAACTTATTATTTTAAGGATTCCCACAAAATGTGATGAATTTCTAGAATTCTCTCCCTTCTGAATGTCTCTTTTCTCTGGCTTCCTGTGTCCTTCATAAAAAATAACTACACAATCCCTAACACTAGCTGACAGACCCGTGTCACCACTCGCTGGATTTGAAGGTCAGCGCAGTCTCCTTTAACACGGCAGGAAGTGGCTTGCTTTCCATGGGGCTGAGTCATCTGAGGTTTCCCTAGTGCTCAGCACAGAGATGACTGCTTTTCCTGCTTTGGGATTATGAAAATCATACTTATGAAAACAGGAGTGTTAGCATTTTGGAAAAGAGCTTCCCTTTTAAACGATACATGTGTAGATATAAAATTCAAACAATGTAGAAAAATACAGGCAAGAAAGAATATTAGACAGCCCATCACCCAGAAAGGCCTGATATTTAACAGGCGACCGAAATGTGGGGCTCATAACCCATGCATTCAAGACTCTAAAGACCCTGATTACCTTCTTACCTTCATGGTGGTCACATTTTATTGGCTCAATTTGCTACCAGAAATCATCAAAAATCACCACTGCACAGAATGCTTAGCTCACGTGGACTTCGCCACCTACTGAAGTGTAAGCTATAGTACAGGAAATATTATGTTATGAGAAGAGAAGAGAATGCCCTGGCACCCTGTTGTCTAGCAAATGTATCTAGGTCCCCCTCTGCACTGAGTTGGGCTGGTGGCAGGAGTGGGCATTCACGGCACCACTAGGCCTCACTCCGTGCACCTGACCTGGATCGAGCCAGCATTTCCAGGAAAGCCGCCTGCTGTACATCCTTCAGCCTGGGGCTGGGGGCTTCCCTGGCCGGGTTGGACCATAGCCCATGCTGGACCAGAGCCTATCCAGGGGCACTGCTCTGGTATGTTTCCTGGACTGCTGTCGGCCGGCCTAAGACCTCTCCTCAAGGATCCATGCAGGCCTGGCCCACCCACTCTCTCTGTGACCAGATACTACACAGGCTGTGATTTGACAAACTTAGTTCCTTCTGCAACGTTTGCTACTTCCTCTAAGTTCTGTCAGAGGCCTTCTTTTGTGGTTGATTAGTCAAACCTACCCCATTACCCTCGACATGTTGGCCACACCTAGTGCTCAAAGGTGAGCTCCTGAGGCCTTCCCAAACCACCGTACCCAAAACATCAGCCTCTGCCCTTGAGCATCTGGCTTTTTGCATTTTTGTTCATAGCATTTACCTACTCGATAGTATACTTGTGTTTAATTTCATGTTGGCTGCCACCCCACTAGAAGGCAAGCCCTGTGCGGGGGAGGACTTGGTCCGGTTTGTTCATCCCTATATCTCCAGCACATCAAAGTGGCCCTTTGATAAATGCACGTTGAATGAATGCACGCATGAATGAATACACTGCTCCAGACAGGGTTCTCCCACTTTGTTTCCAGCTCTTGGGAGCTGCGTGCAGAATCCATTGGCTTTGATGAAAGGAGAATCCAAGCCTTGGCAGATGTCCGAGCTGACCAAGGCCGTGCAAATGCTTTCATCATGTGTCCCGTCTCAAAGGGTTTTAACAGGAGGTACCGGGAAGTGGGAAAAACTGGAGTTGTGAGATGGTGGGCAGGAGGCTGGAGGAATGGCCCCATCCCAACACTGCCTAATCTCTGCTTGCTCAGCCCTCCACCTCCCCTCAGATCACACTCTTCAGTGTCCCCCTGAAAGCAGAGTCACTATCTCTATGTCAGGGTCCCCTGCCTGCACCTGCTGCTGCTCTTTGGAGCTTTGACGTTTTGTCACTTATCTAGGTGTCTGTTCTCAAAACACTGTGAGGCCCAAGAGGCCAGAGGCACCTGTCATTTGTTTTTCTAAGCCTAATGCCCAGGACACAGATGCCCAGGAGACAGATGCTGGGCATTAGGCTTACAAAGTGAACAGCTACAGATACACGCTGTCCCCAGAGATGATGGCACTGATGCCCAGGAGGCTGGACAAAGGACAGAGAGGGTCTCTTGAGGACCTCTACTCCTGGTGAGGACTTCGCAGCCTGTGCCTTACTTATGGAAGCACAGCCCTCGCAAAGAGCTGGGCTTTGGTTTACTGTAGTGTTCCTGGATTCCTCCCTTCAGAGACTCTGAGGGCCATGGGGACAGCTCCAAGACCAAGCTGCGGTCAAAGCCACCAGGACTGGGTGTCAAGTGGTCAGCAGAGGGACATACCCAGGACCGCTGGCTGCAGCCATGTCCACAATGCTTGACACTCAGCTTAGGCCGACTCAGAGTGGGGTGTGGCTGACAGCCCCCAAAGTCACTCTGGTGCGGGGAGGGAAGCTGGGGTAGCACTGCGTCCTGGAAAACCTGACCCTGAGGACCTCTCCCTTGCTTAGCTAAGAACATTAGGTCACTCTGTTTGCATCATAATGTCTCATGCTTCCCTGTTTAACAATTTTTTAAAATACATTTTTGAATGTTTTCCTTTCAAGTAATCTTGAAAGCCCTGGTTATAAGCTGAATACCTCGGACATGCCATACTTGTTCCTAGGGTCCAAAAGGAATCCATTCAAATTGATAAAATCAATTAATATTTAAAGAACAGATGTAAACACCAGAAGAATTTTTAAAAATAACATAACTAAGGTCAGGTGATGGAGGGAAATAGAAAAAGCACAGTGCTTCGAAAATTCTGTCTAAATCACGGGTACATTATCTCATCAAAGGATAGAGTTACAGGAGTAACAACAAAATGAGCTAGAAATGGAACTCACAATGTCCAAATAAGCAGGAGGAACACACACATCCAAAACAACACGCAGAATGTAAGCCAGACACAAAGAGAGAAAGCTTGTGCAAAACATGAAGACAAAACTGAGATTGAGGAGCTCCAGACTTTGTCCAGGATGGACATTTTAATATAGCATTTAAATATATATGGTATAACATAGCATTTAAGTATAATGCTATTTCACCTAAAGGTGAAATCATAAATTTACTGGAAGGAAATGTAGGAGAATTAGAAAAATAAATAATTTTGGGGTAAAGAAGAGAAGTATGAATAAGGGACAAGAAATAAAAACCAAAAAATTAATGCATTAACTGCATATAAAATAGAAATAATCTACATATTAATAAAACAAAACTTAAAAAAATTAAAACATGATACTGTGAAATATATTTGTATCATATATCAAATTCAAAGGGGTTAGTTTTTTTATTTCAAGTTATTATTATTAATCCATGATTAAAAAATCAACAACTCCACAGCAAATGGACAAGGGATAGAGACAGAAACAGAAAAATAACTGCCTCTTTATTTATTTATTTATTTATTTATTTATTTATTTTTATTATTATACTTTAAGTTTTAGGGTACATGTGCACATTGTGCAGGTTAGTTACATATGTATACATGTGCCATGCTGGTGCACTGCACCCACTAACTCGTCATCTAGCATTAGGTATATCTCCCAATGCTATCCCTCCCCCCTCCCCCCACACCACCACAGTCCCCAGAGTGTGATATTCCCCTTCCTGTGTCCATGTGATCTCATTGTTCAAATAACTGCCTCTTATACACAGGGAAAGATGAGAAAAACGCACTCAAAACTGCAGTGAGTTGCTCCTGCTTCACCCGGCAGGTTGGGACCCACCAGGGAGTGTGCCCACACCATGAAGTGAGGATGAGCAGTGTGAACCAGCACCACCTTCACAGAGGGTGATTGGCAGCATCACACAAAGTAAAGAATGCCAACACCACGTGCCTGACGCGTCCCCATGTAAGGACGTTTCCTGTACGTGTCCATACATGCATGTAGGCTCAGATGTTTATCATAGCAAACCCTTTATCCAATGACTGGGGCCAGAGCTGAATAAATCCTACACACACACAAAGCTAACCTCACTCCAAAGCGTTAACAGAACAAGGCAACCCTCTACTCTTGCTCAGAGAGAGAAACTAAGTGTAGAGCTGTGTATATAATATACTATGGTCTCTGTAAAAGCCACAGAGAAAACACCAGTCTGTGCCTCTTTGTGATTAGGTAAGAAACTAGCAATCATCTTTGTAGCTGAGAAGTGCTTTCTAAATTCTAAAATGCCACTTAATCAACCCCTTGTTAAAGGAATTTTTCAGCAGGTAGGGTCTAACATGATCATACACTCAATAGTTTTATTTTCTAGGTCACTTTCAATTTCAAATATCTTGTCTGATGTTAATGTTCATATATTCATCGTTGACTAAACATGTGTCTTAGTTTCTGTGTCTAAGGCCAACAGAAAGAGAATGGGTCCATAAGAGTCAAGGGCCGGAATTTCTTTTCTTGAGAAGCTGCCCTTGCTGGCTTATGCCAGAGCATGTTTTTTGGCCTCCCTCACAGGCCTCACAGTTCTTTGCCTTTCCTCTGCTTATCTTGACTTACATTTCCATATCGTTGCCCTGAAAAAGGGTAGGTAACTTTGACTTCATGCATCTGAAAATCCTTGATCAGACAGCTTTTGGAGAATGAACAATATTTCAGGAGTCAGGCCTTTTTCCCATGCCTTGTCATTCTAGCAGCCCGGCTTCCCTCCTTACCCAGGGGACAGCACAGTGCTTCTGTTTCAGCTGGGTGGTCCCAGAGAGCTTGAGAAGCCCTGCAAATGGATGGGCAAATTGGAGACCTGAGGTAAGCCAGGTGAGGCTGGTGTGTCTGCAACAGCCAGATGCCTTCAGTTGATTGCGGGGGCTGCATGCAATTTTTGTAATGTGAATTTTGCAAGCCTGTTCTGACATTTTCAACATTGATTTTGCAAACCTACCTCTCTGGATTTCTAAGGACTCTTTGGGAATTATTATTATTTGGTCAGATCATTAAAAATGCAAGGGGAGGGTGCTCTAACCAGTCCAACTCGGTGGCAGATGATTTTTTTGGCTACTCTGGAAAGAAATATTAATCTGAGAAACCAAACTCAACATCAGATGCAGGCAAGACAAAAGGGATAAGCAATGAAAAAGGACAGAAAGCCTTCCCCCTCCTCCAGCACCTGTCCTGCCAGGAGCTGTCCCTGGGGATAAAGGGCTTACCATGAATTTCCTCTGCCCTCTTATTAGACCATTGTACAGCCTCATGAAGCAAGTGTTACCCAAAGGACCACCAGGATGGCTGGGTAGTCGAAGAGAGGGCTTTAATGTCAACATCAGTTTGCAAACCAAACTGATGGAGAGAGTTTCCAGCGTGAATCAAAAGTGCTCTCTCTGAAGAACAAATAGAAGGTCAGAGGTTTTATAGAAAGAAGAAATGTTATGCATTGCTCTTTGAGAAATTTCACCAGCACTAGTAAGGTTCTGAGTAGCTGGCAAGCTCTGATTGGGAAGTGACAGCCATGGGCAAAGCTAGTCTGAGAGTTGCAGCAGGTCATTTCAGGAGTCTTAGATAAAACTGGTTTCAGGCTACTGCAGGCAGTTTCAGCTGCTAGGCCTACAGATAATTACATTTTTGGAGCAATGTATTGTGCTCTGGGTGCTATCCCCACTGGATTCTTGACTGTGTTTTAGTTGGGTGTGACAAGAATGGCCCAATCTGTATGATAAGTTTTCACAAAAGGAAAACTTTTCTTGCAAAAAACAAAGCGAAGATAGACTCAGCAGAGCCTTTCCTCAGCCTTCCTGTAGGACAAATTCTTTCCCCAGTGGGAAAGAATTTACAGGACCTGGGATCTGAATGCTTCTGCCTGGCCTTCTAGTCTCAACCTGGGCTTCAGCCCTCAAACCACCTTCCCCCTTAGGCTTCTTGCGTTCCTTCATTTATCCTGTCTTCACCCCCTGCCCCATTAGCCTCCTTCTCTCGGAGACCGTGGGTGGAGTCTTTCCCACTCCCAAAGTCTACCTGGGTGTTTCTTGGGCTCTTTGCCAGGCTGAGGCCCAGGTGCATCCCCAACACCTTCATGTTCCTTGGTTTTGCCCTGAGGGTTGCAGTGCTCCCACCCCCACCTGGGTACTGAGGCCACTGGAGGTTTTCATGTCAAGTGCCCATGAAGCTGGCTGTCCTGTCCTCAGGACAGGGCAATCTTCCTGCTTGAAACCCATTGTGATAAAATAAATGTCAGGCTCAGCGGGCAGGTGGGGTTTGCATGCTGCCTTGACCTTGGAGGGGCCACTTCACTGCCTCCTGGCTGTCTCTTCAGCAGAACAAATGGAGAAAATAATGGGACAAAGACCGAGCTGAGCAGAAGGGCAGCCACTCCCTTCACCGACCCGCGAGCCAGGCAGAGTAAGCGATGGTGCCTGTGGGTGAAGCCCTGGGTGCAGCTTCCCTGTTCCCACAGTCCCAGCCGTAGGCCCCTCTGCTGCCTCAGTGGACTGGTGATTACTGCTCTGAGCTATGGTGTTCAAGGTAATGTTTCTAAAGAGGGTTGGGGAGCCACGCCCCGAGAGTTCACGCCCTGGTGCAGCCCCTCCAGGGTGGAATCTGGGCCAGGCGCTGACTCACGCCTAACCAGCAGAATACCTACCAGTGAACGGTGTCGGTTTCCCGCCTGCCCGCGAGAGGCCACAGCTGCTGCTGCTTCTCACTGGATCACTCATTCCTGGGAACCCTGAGCCACCCTTCTGGAGAGGCCACAAGACAGGACATGTGGAGACAATAAGAGAGGCCCCTCCACCTGGTCTAACCTCCAGATGACCCCCGGCCCCTCCACCATCGAGCTAAAACTACAGGAAAGACCCCAAGAAAAACAGCGGGAGAAGTGTCCAGCTGAGCCCCCACCCTACCCAACCCAGAGAGGTGACAAAATGGGTGTTAAGTCACTGAGATTTAGGGCAGTCTGTTAAATAGCAAGAAACAACCCAAACAGAACCCAACGGCCTGGCTCCGTCCACCTCTGCGGCTTGCTGGTTGTGCGGCCTCTGGCTGGTTTCTTAACCCCTTGAAGTCACAGCTTTCCAGTCTGTACAACAGGCATAGTCCTGCTCAGACTGGAACTCTGCACATCAGAATCAATGCATAATGGCCCTTGCCGTCATTCATGTCCATAGAATTAAGAGACCCTGAACAGGAAGTTAGGAACATTTCTGCCCCTACAAATGGCTTTCCCTTAGATGAACCAGGTCTGGGAAGCTAGAAGTCCAGTGGCCCCCTATAAGGTGAATGTGTTATGTGCATGAGCAACATGCTTTCTCTTCTCCTGAGAGCAGGGAAGCACTCTCTGTCCCACAGTGGGCAGTGGGCCTGTGGCCCAGAGCCTGTCCACTCCCCTTTTTTTCCTCCTCACACTGACACCCTCTGCAGTGATGGGCCACAGAGGGCACAATCCACCCAGGTTTGGGAGCACAGCCCACGTCTGACTCACTGACAATACAGGGCATTTCCTTCAAAAACAGGGTTTCTGTGCAGACATTTTGTGTGTATTTATATTTTTTGAATTAAATTGTGGCAAAATACACATAACAAAATTCATCATCATGACCGTTTTTAAGTGTTCAGTTCAGTAGTGTTACACACATTCACATTGTTGTACAACCCATCTCCAGAACTCATTTCATCTTGCAAAACAGAAACCCTGTGCCCATTAAACAGTGACTTCCGCCCCTCCCCGCAGGCCCTGCCAGCCGCCCTTCTGCTTTCGGTCTCTATGGAGTTGGCAACTCTAGCACCTCATTTAAGAGGAATCCCACATTATTTGTCTTTTCATGACTGGCTTATTTCACTCAGTATAATGTGTTCAAGGTTCACCCTTGTAGCTTGCATCAGAATTTCTTCCCTTACAAAGGCTGAATAATATTCCACGGCATGTTTGTGCCTCATTGTGTTTACCAGTCACATGCTGATGGGCATCTGGGTTGCCTCCACCTTTGGCTATGGTGTTTAGTGCTGCTAGGAACATGGGGTTACCAATGTCTCTTTGAGACACTAATTTCAATTCTTTTGGTTATACACCCAGAAGTGGAATTGCTAGATTAAATGGCAATTCTACTTTTCCTTTTATTCTAATTTTATTTTATTTTTTTAAGAACCACCATATTATTTCCCGTAGTGGCTTCACCATTTTACAGTTCTACCAATGGTGCTCAAGGGTTCCAATTTCCATACATGCTCATTAACACTTATGACTCCTGGGTTTTGTTTGTTTGTCTAATAGTAGCCATCCTAATGGATGTGAGGCGGTATCTCAGTGTGGTTTTGATTTGCTTTTCCCTAATGATTAGTGATGCTGAACATCTTTTCATGTGCTTATTGACCCTTTGTATATCTTCTTTGTAGAAATGTCTATTCGTGTCCTTTGACATTTTTTAATTGTTTTGTTGTTGTTTGTTGTTGTTTAGTTGCAGGAGTTCTTTATATAATCTGGACATTAACCCCTTATTCTATATATGATTTGTAATATTTTCTCCCATTCAATGGGTTGCCTTTTCACTCTGTTTATTATTGTTTATTATCATTTTTTGTCCTTTGATGCACAAAACATTTCAATTTTGATATAGTCCAATTTATCTATTAGTATTTTTACTCTTGCAGCACCTGGTTTTGGTGTTATATCATTGCCAAATCTAATGTTATAAAGATTTTCTTCTATGTTTTTTTCTAGGAGCTTTATAGTTTTATGTCTTATGTTTAGGCATCTGATCAATTTGAATTAATTTTTTTATATGATATGAGGTAAGGTCTAACTTCTTGCTTTTGCATATGTATTTCCAATTTTCCCAAACCATCTGTTGAAAATTTTACCCTTCCTTCATTAAATGGTCTTGACATCCTTGCTGAAAATCAAGGGTGTATTTCTGGGCCCCCTATTTCATTCCATTGGTCTATATATCTGTCTTTATTCCAGTACCACAATGTTTTGCCTACTGTAGCTTTGTAATATGATTTGAAATCAGGAGGTTTGAGTCCTCCAACTTTGTTCTTTTTTTCTCAAGATTGTTTGGCTCTCCAGGGCCCCTTAAAATTCCATATGAATTTTAGGATGAATCCTGCTATTTCTGCAGCAAATCCCTTTGGGATTTTGATAGAGATTGCATTGCATCTGTAGATCACTCTTGTTAGTTTTGACACATTATCAATATTAAGTCTTCCAATTCATGAACAAAGGAAATCTTTTAATTTCTTTATTTCTTCTTTAATTTATTTCATTGGTCTTTTTTTTTTTTGAGACAGAGTCTCACTCTGTCGCCCAGGCTGGAGTGCAGTGATGTGATCTCGGCTCACTGCAAGCTCCGCCTCCCGGGTTCACGCCATTCTCTGGCCTCAGCCTCCCGAGTAGCTGGGACTACAGGCGCCCGCCACCGCGCCCAGCTAATTTTTTTGGATTTTTAGTAGAGACGGGGCTTCACCGTGGTCTCGATCTCCTGACCTTGTGATCTGCCCACCTCGGCCTCCCAAAGTGCTGGGATTACAGGCGTGAGCCACCGCGCCCGGCCGGTATTTTTTTAATGTTTTGGTGTCCAAGTCTTTCTCCTTGCTGGTGAATTTTATTTCCAAATGTTTATTCTTTTTGATGCTGTTGTAAATAGAATTGTTTTCTTAATCCCCTCTTGGACTTGTTCACTGTTAGTGTGTTCTGTTTGCCCTGATTGACATGGGAAGCATGACCTAGCTATGTCTGTAAGATCTTAGGACCCTCCCTCTGAGCAGCTGGAAGAGCCCGGGACAGCCTTGGTTAGGCCGCAGTTTTCCAGAACAGACTCATAGCCAGGGAGATCAGTTGCTCACAGCACCCATCTGATAACCGGTTGATAACCGGCACCACAGGAGCTGGCTGCTGGCTCTGCCTTCCTCCCTCCCTAACCAGTGTCTGTGCCTTCTAGTGAAGGGCGCTAACCTTACTATCTCCACCTGCTGATGCCTGTTGGCATTTAAAGTGAGTTTGCATCGTATCAATGACGCCTACATAATACAGTCACAATAAACTGATACGGATGCTCCCTAAATCCCAGCTAATCTTTTTCTGGCCTTAGCCCAAATAAGTTGAATTGATAGATAAACAAAATTAACAAAGAAAAAAATGTGCCGAGATCCTAATGCAGCTCCTTAGAAAAGAGCCCTAAATACCCCGACCCTGCATCCACTGGGATGATGAAGTTCAGGGAGAAGCCTGTGGGCCTCCCCTTCTGCTCTGGAGGGTGAAGCTTTTACTGCCAACGAATGTGTCTGGGCCCCTCTAGGGCAAAGGCAGCTATTGGGGTGGGAAGTGTAGAGGAGACCCACCCTCCATTGTCAGTGCCATCATCTGGTCTCTCCTGTAAACTTTGCAGCCCCAGAGGGAAGCCATCTGGGCGTTAGAGGCTGGAGAGCCCCAGACCAAGGCGCCTTATCTGTCGGCACACTTCTGGAGCTAGGCCCATGACCTCACTCCACCCATGACCTTCCCCACTGACTTCACAGTTCCAGGAATTGTTAGAAAAACCCTTTTTAAAATTCCAGGAAGCCCCAGTCCCCTCAGTGCTGCTGCTCATGCATTGAGAAAGAGAGAGGCGGAGCCAAGCTGGGGTCTTTGTGATCCTGGAGCCCCCACCTCTGGGGCCTGGGGCTGGGGTTAGTCTCTATCTTTCTCTGCTGGCCCTTGGTTCCACAATGTGGAAGCAAGACCAGGCCCTGCAGATAGAGAAGGTTCTCGTGTTCTTGGCCCCCAGCCCTCCAAAGGAAAACCTTTAGCTTAAGGGACTCTCTACCTCCTTTGAAACTCATCCCTCTTCACACTTCGATATGAAACCCAGAAATTCAGAAAACAGAAAGGAAGAATAAGAGGAATGTTAAAAGCCAACGCTTTTCCAGCTCTCATGGTGTGCCTGACACTGTGCAAAGGGCGTTACCTACAATTACCTCATTTGACTCTGACAGTAGTAACCCATGAGACATACGTTGCTATTACCTCATTTTACAGATGACACACTAAGGCGCAAGGCAGCTGCACATCCACGGCCAGCCTCGTTGTCTTCAGGGATTTGTTCAAAGTTCATTCTGAATTGTAAGGTAACCACTGCAGAACACGAGCCTTTCCTGGGTATGTGTGGTAAGTGCTTCATAAATGCTGTTCTGAGGCTAGGTGCTAATGGAGACGGGGCAGATGAGTGGTAGAGTGAGCCCCGGTCCTAGGCCCAGTTCTGCAGCTGCTGGAGGAGCAATCCATCAGCCTGCTCCAGGCCCCGGCCCTCTCCTGGGAAACAAGTCCTTCTGCCATATGAGCTCCCTGAGGACTAAATGGGACTGCGTTGCGGACTTAGTTGCTGGACACACATGATTTTGTCACCTCTGTACTAGTGTGACTGGGACCCACCTTCCAGGCAGAATAAATCCATGCTGAAATTGACTTGATGTCTGTGCTGCTATTCTTGGAGAAAAAGATAAGAATCAGGAAATAAATAGTGCATAAACCACACAACCAGAAAACACACCGAATAATCGTGCTGACGATATAATGACAAGAAGCGGGGCCTTAACAAATAAGGAAAAGGGCCGCGGTAGGATGATCTGCTGCTGGTCTAAGAGGTCAGCTTCTTGTTTGGGCTGAAGTCTTTGGGATTCTTGGAAAGCCTGGCCAGTCATTTCACGTGCTGAAAGGATTGTGGGCCACGTTTTAATCGTGGTCAGATTATCAGGAGATTCTTGAGGTCTGAGGTCAATTTAAGCTCCTGGTCACCATGTAAGCCTCACAAATATGGTCACTGTCTGTGGCAGCTGACCCGGGTGATGCTTGTGTGGCGGAATTCTTCAGTTATCACAGAAATAAATACCAATTGGTGGAAAAAGAATATTTTGTTATTCTCTAGTGGACTTTAGGAATGGCTGACAGAGATAAAGGACCCTTCAGTAGCACAGGCTACACCATGCCCTTTTTTAAATTATTTTTTTATTTTTCATTATAATTTTTTTTAAAGATAGGGTCTCCCTCTGTTACCCAGGCTGGAGTGCAGTGGTGCAAACATGGCTTATTGCAGCCTCAGCCTCCTAGAATCAAACGATCCTCCCACCTCAGCCTCCTGTGTAGCTGGGACCACAGGCACATGCACCACGCCTGGCTGATTTTTTTTATTTTTTGTAGAGTTGGGATCTCAGGTTGTTGCCTAGGCTGGTCTAAAACTGCTGGGCTCAAGCCATTCTCCTGCCTCAGCCTCCCACATTGCTGGGATGACAGGCCTGAACCACCACACCAGGCCTCCATGCCTCTTGAGATGTCAAACATCTGGATCAAGATACGGAAAATCAGAGTGCTCAAATATAGCTTAAGTCATCCAGAGTGAGCTCTCTACGGATTACACAGGGCACTCAATCCATAGCATGATGCCATGTTTTCCAATGGACAACACTGCTTTTAAGTAAACCAGGTTTCTTTATTTATAGTTGTTTGTGAATTTAATATGCTAATAAATATTTTAATTGCCAAGCCAGGGTAAGTATACAGCTATGCTCAAGCATAATTTGACAAAACATTCAAACTCATTTTGCTTCTTTTTTTGAATGGAATATCTATTGACTTATTGTGGAAAATACGTGATCCAAAAACAGCGGCTTGCCAAATACTGCTTGAAGAAACCTAAAGATAACTGAATCTTTCACACTTAGTCGTGCTGTTTGGAGGTCTGGTTTATTTTGTTCCACTGAAATCCTTGGCAGGGAAGTGGAATAAAAGAAAATCTTGCTGTGACTTAGACCTTCTGAGTTTGCTAACACCTTTGCATCATGTTTAGAAGACTACATTCTTTTCACCCTGTGAAGTGTGAAGTCTGGGATGTTGGGTGACTTGGAGAGTGGCCCTCTTTGGGTTTTATCCTCAGCTCTTATGAAATTTTGGTGCTTCAGGGACAGTGTGTCACAGGCAGCCAAAAGCGCTGGATAAGCAAGAAGAGCCATTTGGAACTTTCTAAGTCTTATGCAAGTTTTGGCAAAAAAAAGAAAAAAGCCTTCCTTGCTACTTTTCAGGGAGGTCGATACTAACATTTGCCCCCCACCCAGGGTGTGAACTGGAGGCATCACTGCCTGGATGAGTGCCGGGGGCTGTGGAGGGTCCTCCGATGTGACTCTCATTCCCAGCATTTTTAGGCCCCATGTCTGTGTGGGGTGCCCAGCCTCATGCATCCCTCCTGTCCACGCCCAACTTCAGAATTACCCAAAACACCCAGCAGAAGGCTGCACTGCTTCGAAACTCTTCTGCTCTTCCACTCCTGGTTCCAGGCCCCCTGCTTCCGCCTGCTGCTATAGTCCACCTCCTCAGAATGCCCACCGTGTCTGTCTCCCTGCAAAGCCCACTCTGTCAGCTCTCAGCAGCCTCAACAGGGCTCAGGCTGCGTGCTGTACCCCAGCTATGCCCCAAACACCTGGAGGGTACCGCTAAAGCCTTCCGTGCCTCTGCCTTCCCACCATACTTGGTGGACTGAGCCTGGGCCAGGAACTGGGAAATGGCTTCCCTTTGGTCCTGGACTAGGGAAGGGAACTGACCCCGGGGGGGCCTATGGGTTGTCCCCTGGAGGCCAAGGTGGAAGGTGTTATCTGCCTTTTATGGACCAGAGTCTCAGGAAAGTTCAACCCCATTGCCCAGGCCACAGTCTGGCTGACATCAAGGCCCTGTGTCTTGCTCACACTCCCGGCTGGCCCTGTCCATGAGTGACACTGTAGGGTGAGATTTGTGGTTTGCAGCCTTTTTGTTTTTTTAAAAGCATTGAAACCCCTCTTATACCTAATACTACCAGAAGCCCCTATAAAAACACATAAACATAACATTGACCTGCCTGGGTTGAGAAGGGGCCTTGCACCCACGCACCTGCTCACCCTCACCTCTTCTCCCAGGGTCATCCCGGCAGGGGTCTTATCCGCACAGTTGGAAACACTGGGCTGGCCAAACTCCACCATTCCTTCCAGTGCTGATGGTCTGAGTCTGTTTCCTGAAGTGTGGCCTGAGACCACTTGCAGAAAAATCTCCTGGAAGTGTGTTACAAAGACCCCTTTCTGGAGTTCCTGCTTTCCCTTACAGTCAGATGGGAAGAGGAAGCAGGGATGGTATGCAGAAGGAAATCTGTGGTTTACAGCCTGTGTAGTGTTTTAGGCCAACTCTGGTTTGAGAACTATTTTCTTCTGACCTCCATGTCTTATCAAAGTAGATAAGAAAAATATTCCATGCGAGACATCAGCATTAGGCAAAGAATGAGAATGGAGTGAGGACACCGTGAGCAGCTGGGTGGCCCCTCTGCAGCCAGGGATGGTGCCACTGAGTCTTCTTGTGGTGCTGCATTCCCTTTATTGGAGGGTAACTGGGGAGAAGGCATGTCTCGGGGCCTCCGAGAAGGACTGTGCCCTGGGAGGCCTTCCCTCCCTCCATTTCTCTATCCTCTGCCTTGTCCCCACTTTTCAGGTTATTTCTGCCCTTCACGGTCCCACTCAAGTCCTGCCTCCCTCAGGGAGACCTCCCAGACCTCACCAAGCCGTGGGCACGTGGACCAGAAGCCGTGGACCCCAGAGGCTCATTTAGGGATCTGCTTTCTGAACCCAGGTCCTAACATCTGCACTGCAGCGAGCATTTCTGGTGCCTCAAGTGAGTCACTCCAACTTCCAGGTCAGTGCCCGGCACACGAGGGGTGCTTTTATTAGAGGTATTAGGTGAGGCCTCCCTGCAGGCAGTCCACACCCTCAGCTCCCAGATTTCCACCAGGGTCACCCAGTGGGAAAGGGCAGCTGCCTCTGCATCCCCATGAGCCCAGCTCGCCCTCTCTAAGGGACAGGGACCACCAGCCTCACAGTGGTGGGTGGCAACACCTGGTCATTTTCTGTCATTCTCCTGTCATGATCAGCTCACTGAGAGGCGATGGAGCACTGAGTGCCAGCATCTTCCAGCACCAGAGGAGCTGACTCTGAATAGACAGCTCGGCAGCGGCCTCAGCACAGAGCAGGGGTAAGGGTGGGGCCCACCTGCACTTCCTGGCCGCCTGTTCCCTAAGTGCATATTGATTGAATAGCGCTGCCTCAGAACTAGGCTGCCTGAGTTTGAATTAGGCGCTGGTGTTAATTAGCTGTGTGATCTTGGGTAAGTGACTCAATATATCTGTGCAAGGGGGATAACCATATGGTCTTCCTTATGGGGTTCTCATGATGATTAGTTCATAATATAAAGTTACCCCCCCACCCCATGCAGAGATGAGGCGGAGGGGCTGCCACCAACCAGGATGACGGAGGAAAGGGGGAGATGCTGAGCAGGCTGAGGGTTTCGTGGCTGTCCCTGCTGCTGGCTTCACAGTCTTCTTCCCGCTGTGCCACTGCCCATGCCAAAACCACATTCACCATCTATCCATGCAGCAGGGTGACCTGCAGTGCATGGAACCCCTGGACCCCTCGGCCTCCCAGGGCCAGCCTGCCCCATCCCTCAGCCCGGTCACTGTTCCCAGGCTTTAGGCCCTGTAACTCTGGCCTGTCCAGCTCATTTCCAGCCTACAGACCTCTCTTGGGTCCCCAAACCCTTACTTAGGCCCCAGCCAAGGCAGAGCCTGGCTGTCTTGGACCCTGCCTCTCCCTGCCCAGTGTCCAATAATCCACAGCACTCCCTTCCACAGCCATGGGCCCACCCTTGACAAGGGCTATGTGCCCTGGAACCCGTGCCTCTCACCTTCACGCCAAACTCCTCCTTTTCCTAGACCCCTGATTCCCAGCGGGCCGAGGTCAAGCTGCCTTGCCTAGTTTCTGTCTCCTGTGGCCCCTCGATGCCAGCTCCTCCCTGGCCAATCCCCATTACCAAAGTCCCCCATTCTAACTTCCAGTGCCCAGGCCCCAGTCCAGGCATCTCCGGGTCCATGTACTAACTGCCATGCCCATGTGACCCGAGTACCAACCTCTGCCCACTCCACCTGGAGTTAAACCTCCTGGCTGTGCTTCGGCCAGGCCAAGGGCCCTGATGTGCTGTCCCCAGCCCTTAGTGGCCCACAGCCCCTGGGTTTCCCTGCGTTTTGTGCCCCCTGCTCACATCCTGCTCCGTGAGGCCTGCTGGCTCTGATCTCCAGCCCAGGCCTGGCCCCGCATCAGGGCCCCTTTTCTTCCCAGGCTCATGGCTCCCACTGGTCCCAACTCAGGAGTGAGATTCCTCAGAATCCTGTGGCCCAGACTCCTTTCTTCTCCCACTCAGGCAGCCCCCTCAGTCCTGACTCCTTGGGGTCCCCTTGGTCCCCACCTCTTCGCTTCCTTTGATGCCTCCTTGCCTCTCAGCTTAACCTCTTTACTTTGCTGCCCTCCAGGAATTCTTGATTGTCCCTGACCCCAGCTCAGTCCCCTCCCCGAACCCCACCAAGGCAACCCCCCAGCACTCCTGCCTGCCCTCCCGCATCAGCCCTGATCCTAGTGCCCAAATCACTCTAAGTCCCCTTGCCTTCTGCTATAGCTGTATCTGGTGTTCTAGAATCTTCTGGTCTCTAGTTTTTCTTCCCTCCAGCCTGGCCCCTCAGGTCCCTGCAAGGCAGGACCTGAGCTCCCTAGGCAGGGGTCCCCTCTGCATGTACTCCTGCCCCCTCATTTCTGAGCCCAGGCCCTCAGGCAGGCCCCTCCTGTTGGAACATCTCAGGTTCAGCCTGTGACCCTGGACCCCCAGCGTCTGCCAGGCCCACGGGAGCTCCAAGCTCTGGAGACAGATCCAGACTTCCCCCAGGTCCCCTTTCACCCCAAAGCCACATTGTTTCCATTTAGAGCAGTGGCTGTCAACAGGGTGACACTGGGTGACATCTGATAGGTTTTGGTTGTTGCTCAACACCCTACAGTGCCCAGGACAGTCCCTATCACAGGCAGTGGTTGGCCACAAATGCCCACAGTGGCGAGGTGGGGAGACCCTGGGTTTGAGTGACAGCCTAAACCCAAGGCCCCAGGCTCCCGGGGGTGGGGGCGGAAGGCCAGGAACCCCTCATGTCCTGAGTAAAGTTTACATGTGGTTAGGCTTTGCCAGTGCCGTCCAGTAGTACTTTTTGTGATGATGGACGAGTTCTGTATCTTCATTGTCCCGTACAGGAGCCACCAGCCACAGGCAGCCACTGAGCCCTTGGCATGTAACCCGGTAACCCATGCAACAGAAGACCTGAGCGTCCAGTGTTGCTAGCTTGAAGTAACTTCAGTGGTGTTCCCCAGCGTTTTTCTCATCCCCCTCCCTTCCCTTCCCCTACAGCTTTCTTCCTCTTTCCCCTCCTTCTGAGTCTTTCGTCCCCAGTCCTGGGAACCTTTTTTCTGACTTGGTGTTTTCTCCTGAATGCCTCCTTCCTGGCCCCCTAATCAGAAATGCAGAAGCCACCTGCCCCACACAGGGGGCCACTTTCCCTGCATCTGGCACTCACCAGGACAGTCATAGAACTGGCCTTGGGTGCTTGGGGAGAGTGGAGAGGTCTGGGGGGCATCCACTGGCCTCAGCCTCAGAGCTTCTCATCAGTAACCCAGGAGGCAAAGGCCCAGCTCAAGATTAGCCCAGGCCACTGTATCTGTGCCAAGACCTACAGCTGTCCCTGCAGGGCGTGCATCTCTGCAGCCCAGGCTATCACAATGGTGTCCCTTTTGGTGGGGATGTGAGGCCTGCTGCTGCCTGGGAAGAAGCTGACAGGATTGTTGGTGCTGTGGGGAGAAGCTGGTGTAACTGAGACCCATGAGGGAGGCCCTTTGTGGGTCTGTGGCTGGGAGGAGCTCTGGGGAAGATGGGCCTTGAGAAATCCCAGCTTAGCACCTTTGACAGTTGCTCCACTGAGTCACCCTAGACTGCAATCTCACAGATGTTCTAACCACCCTCTCCCTGGGGAGCCCTTGGGGGTGCTGCAAGCCCAGTCCTCACTCACTGGCTTTGTGCTTCTCTTCCCGACTTCCTTTTTTTGCTCCTGTTGAGAAATGTGGGTCCAGGGCTGCGTGCTCCAGTGTGCGGAAGGAAGGGCAGCGTGCTCTTTGGACTGAGCTGGCTCAAGGGAAGCTGGGTCTGAGGGGAGACTGACCTCGACCCTTCTTAAATGAAACACCTTTTCCCTGCGTCTCAGTCACCGTTACCTGGCCTGATCACTGTGTGCCACACCCCATCACATCCATCCCCACAAGAATGCCAGGAGGAGGGGTCATTGGCCTTTTTGTCAGCACAAACCTCTGGAGGCCCAGCTCCCAAGACCCGCCAGGCACACCTGCCAGAGTGCCTTAACTTGGGATGTCTGCAAACCTCTGTCCATGGCCGAACCCACCCCACTGCCTGTTACTGTAAATAAAGGTCTATTAGCATGCCACCATGCCCCTCCTCCGATGCATACAGTGCCCAGCTCAGCACCTGGTGCAAGTAAGCACAATCTGGCTTCCAGCCATCACTGCTGTTGCTACTAACACAAATATTAGGCCCCTTCTAGAATGCAAAGATAACCCAGGGCTGCTCGTTCTGTGTCCAGATCACAGAGTTTTTCTTTTTATCCTTATCAACTTTATTGAGGGATAATTTACAGGCAATAAATCATATCCATTTAAAGTTATTGTCAAGCTTTTAAAGAATTAAAGTTCGTCTTCTTCAGAAGCTTACCGAGGACTACAGGCTGTGGCGTAGAGCCCTGGAGCAGCCTCCACTGAGGTTCTGTATTTCAGGTCACAGTTGACATATAGGTGGGAGGTCCAGTACGTGCAAAGTCACATGAAAGCTTGGGTGTCAGAGTGCATCAGGTTATGGATTCAATTACAGAGCAATAATCACTGACCCTGTCAGATGTTATCTTACGTGTAGGAAAAGGTAAGACCAGGGCCATTTATCTGCAAAGAATATAGTGACTCAGGCAAGAGTCCGGAGAGGGTGTGTGCTCCATCCTGTTTTGTCTTCAGAGCATCTTTCTGGGGAGCTGCACATCGTTATAGAGACAGGCACTTTGTGAAATTCTGCTGCCAAGCACAAATGAGCAAACGTGGTTTCCTATGTTTACTACTTTGTCTCACAAAGCGCACATTCACAGTGCATTATTAAGGGGCCCTGGCAGCACCGCCACAGTGTATCTCTGCTCCCTCTTAAAGTTCCCCGTGCCCCTTGGCAGACAGGCCCCTCTCACTCCTGGGCCCAGGCTACCATTGACCAGCTTTTTGCCACTAGAGGTTAATTTTCATTCTATGTGATTGGAATCATACAGATGTTCTTGTATCTGACTTATTTCACTCCACATAGTGATTCTGAGATTCAAATGTTGTGTGTATCAGTTGTTTGTTCCTTTTTATTCCTGAATGGGAGAGGGGATGTCAAGCTGCACAGTTTTATTCCTGGGCTACAGTGGAGATGGATGGTTCTACCGTCTCTCTGAAACACCATCTGCAGTTTCTTCAAAATCTACCTACACATCTTCCATCCCATCCTGAGGAGTCCCCGAGGGTTGAGAAATGCATGACCCCACACCTGGCTGACGTGTACAACTGGCGGAGTTAGTTTTTCCTGTTGACACTGGCCACGGGCGCCTCAGCATGCACAGCCCTGGCCTTGCTCCTCTAGGCATGCTGGGGGCTTGTCCACACGTGTGGTCTACGGATGGAGGAGAGTGGCCTCTGGCCCATGCGTGCCATGCACTGGACCTTCCCAGGGAATCAAGTTACATGATGTTTCCTTGAGGAGCTACATACAAAGTAAAAAACTGAAATCAAGAATATCAGTCATTTCTGAATATGCCAATTCGCCCATGGTGCAGTTTGTACAGCTTAATCACTGCAGAACAGTTTTGAGGATAAAATTAACCAAAAACCTAAGTAGACAAAATATTCAAATTTTTGGAATCTGTCACAAAAATCCACAGATGACTTATTTTCCATTGTAGCTTATAATGTCCAAAAGCCTTTCTAGTGACTTATAACTGATGGTGAGCTCCCACTCTGTGGCAGCTGTGGGACACTGGTCTAAGGACTACACCCTGATGCCTGGTGAGTTACAGAGGCCATGAGAAGATGTCAGTGAACCTGAAAGCCAGGGAGAGGCTGTGTTCCTGCCGGACTGTGGGGCTCCTTCGCTCCCCTGCTGTGGCCCTTGGTCAGGCCACTTTCCCTCTCTGGGTGTCAGTGGCTTCATCTACGAAGTGATAAAAAACTAATGCAAACCAGAGCAAAATGAGATAACACGGGGACCCCTAATGTCCCAGGGAGATGGTGAACTGAAGCACCGCGTGCGGTGAGTTGTTGCTGTCTCCACCCCTCAAGGAGACCGCAGCTTTGCAGACGTGTGGGTCCCATCATCGGCCCCATTCTACATTCCTCCCTGTGTCCCTGCCATCGCCAGGTGACTTTGCTGGGCCCTCCCACCGCCCTAACTCCCAATCCCAAGATCTTCAGTGAACGTGACGCGCACAGCAGAGGCCCAGAATGTATGTGTGCATGTGGTGACAGCTAAGCCTGCCTGGAGCAGAGCCCCAACCCTGCAGCAGCTCAAACAAGCTGAGATCAGCAAATGCACATCTGACTCTCAGACATGGGGGCAATAATAATAAATGCTGTTTGAGTTTTGGGGTCTTTGGCTACACAGCAATTGCTCACCAATATGACAGGGTTGTATGACGTGGCCATGCGGAACTGTATTATAGGGGAAGTGGTGAACAGTGTGATGAGATTTTAAAGAGGAACAGATTTACCACTGACTTTAGAAATCATGGAGGAGAAATCTCTGGGGTTGCCCTTGAAGGGTGTGTGGAGGAGGACATGGGAGAAGGGGGAAGAACCGTGGCATCCTGGCTAAACAGACACAGGGCAGAGGGAGCCTCTGTGTTGGGACTAAGATGGGGATGTCGGGGAAGGGACATGGCAAGCTGACTGTTGGTGGGGAAGGCACGTGTGGGGCTATATTGTGATCATTGTGATGTATATACATTGTCACCTCCTACTGTCTCTGAGTCCGGCTGTCCCAAGCCCCCGCCGTGGAATCCAGCAGTGTTCGGGCCAACTCTCAGAACCTTGGCTTTGTCTGGGGGACCCCTCCCAGACCACTTCACCTGCAAGCCCTCCCACACGGTGACATGACAGCCCCGCTGTCACTGCACATGATGGAGGCCCATAGGGTGGCCGACCACACTCCTGCCAGGTTGTGGGGACCTCTGCCCAGGCGCTGACCCTTTGCCCAACTGGGCAGTGCTCCAAAGCACTCAGAGTAGGAGTGCAATCATTTTTCATTCTTAGATTCAGTAGGCACACTATTTTGTCCAATTTCCATCCTTGCTTCATCATGTTAACGAATTGTGTGGACCTGTGGTGGCTCCAGGCACTGCTTGGCTTAGCATAGGCTTAGGGCACAGACTCAGGTCAGACAGGGCTGGGTTTACATCTCACTCTCAAATGGTAAGATCTTTTTTTCTGGTAGGGGAAGAAGAATTAGTAAAAATCTCTGAAACTCAAATCACTCTTGCTCCAAAACCACAGGAACACGTAGATGCTCTAGTTGACATATGAACACCCCGTAAATGTCATCATCAGGGTTGCTAATCAGCTGTACGTAGAGAGGCAGTGCTGGTGTCATCAAAAGCACAGCAAAAATAACAACAACCTGGAAGCGAGGAATGGATTCAGATCCTTCTCTCAGAAGGGGCTTTGTCCTGCCGTCGTGACCTCTGCTCAGTTCCCCAGGACAGGTGGGGGCCTGCAAGCCCAGCAGGTCCTCCAGGCTACCACCCTCCCCCTCTGCAGCCCCCACCACCCCCACCATCCTGTGCCTGGCCCTGGCTCACCAGCCCAAGCTGACCACCAGGCAGGTCTCAGCAGCAGTGCTCTCCGCTGGAAGTCGGCTCCTGCTTCTCGGGAGGCCTGAGCTCAGAGATGCAGGATACAGAAGGCTTCAAACTCCTGCCTTTCTGTTAAGAAAAAGGCTCTTATCTCTTGAGGAGTCACAATTCAGATAAGAGGCATCCAGCAGCAGGTTCCAGAGCTGGGAGGCCCGAGGAAGTGCAGCTTCTTGCTCAGGCATGGGACGCACAGGGGCGCTGGGCAAGCATCTTTTTGTGGATACACATGCCTGGTGACAGCAGTCCTGGGGGTGGGGCGGGGCATGCGGGGGGCAGGAGGGGAGGAACCCAGGAGCCATCTGCCCGACAGAAACAAGGCCTGCCGCACAACATCCAGGCGCAGGGGGCTAGTTCCGAGAGGAAAGTCTGCTTTCTTGGATTTGGGGCAAGTTTCTCATGTATCTACTTCTTCATCTGCTGATTTCTGTGGTGAACCTCCTCATCTGGCAAGATAAGGGGCAGCTTGAGAGATGGAGGGGGGGATGGGGTGCAGGGTAGGAGGAAACCAGAAGCAGGTCCTGAAAGCTGCAAGAAGTCGGTGCTCTAGGAAGGTGCTTGAGGTCTAGGCTGCTTGTGCTGGGAGACAGAGTGAGGCAGGACAGAGCCCAGACTGTGGCTTTGGTGGAATCCAAACAAAGTTAGCGGGTTTTGGCTGGGGGCGGGGGGTGGTGGCTGAGAAGAGAGTGTGCCCTAAGGAGTTGGGAGTGTCATGGGAGTCAATTATTTAATCAGCAAATGTCTCCTGAGGGTCTCTCCTGTGCCAGCCCTGCAATAGCTGTGCTGTGCAGAAGGTGAGCAAAACCAACCAGTGGGCTCCCAGCCCAGGGTCCCTGCTGGCGACAAGTTGTCGGCTACCACCACACGCATGCTTCTCCCCACACGCGTGCTTCTCCCTAGCCAAGCAGGAGGCAGTGGAAGAGCCTCTGGGAACCTTGTCCTTCAATGGGCAGTTGTGAATCATGGCAGAACCCTTCTTGAGAAAGGCAAGGTTGGAAAAACTGGAACCTGCCCTCGCAAGGCTCAAGTTGGAGACATCAGGGGCCCAGAGGCCAGAAAGAACCCTGCAGTCTTTGCTCTGTGTATGGTCAGGTGCTTGGGGCTCAACTTAGTTTGCAGATACTCCACCCCATCCCACCCCATCCCAAAGCTGACCTGAGACAAGGAAGGAAAGGGCAGGGAGAGGACCGGATTGTGGCCATGCAGGGGAGGACAGAAGCATGGCCACTGCAGCGTAAAGCGGGCCAGGGGAGGTCTTACTTTGGGTGTCTTAGTATCTGATTTGCACTGAGAAAGGGGTCACTCTGCAGCCACACCACACAGGGCAAGGGGCAACTGGGCTACCATCAGGTGTCTGCTGCCACAGCCTAGGCAAGGGACTGGGGTGGTCTGGGGAGGAGGGCATAGTGCTGGTGGCAAGAAATGGACATTTGGGGATGGACGAAGGCATGGGGTTTGCTGAAGTGTAGGAGGTGGAGGAAAGGGGGACATGGTGTGTGCGGACCGTCCGGAGGGAATCAGGCTCAGCCATGCTGAGTTGAGGGAGCCCTAGGGATACTCATCCATCTGTGGATCTGGTGCTGAGGGAGGGTCCCAGCCAACCTCCTCTATGTCATTGCACGCAGCACCCGGGGTCTAGGGGGATGTGAAGAGCATGGAACGGCTCTAGCAAACCTCAACACCAGTGCTCAAGGAAGCAGCGGGCTCAGGAGCAAGGATGTTGCAGGCTGGGAGCTGGTAAGCCTGGGCTGCGGCAGGCAGGCCTGGGCAGGGCAGAGGCGCAGAGCCCAGCTCTAGGAGATGTGGGAACAATGAGCGCCTTGGCTCTGGGTAGACAGACGTCCCTCCCAACAGATCCTCAGTTTCTGTAACTCTGGCCTGTGATGGTTGGGACTTCTCGGGCTGTACACTCAGCACAGAACATGTCATTGTTCCAGGCACAGGAAGGAAGCTTAAAATGGGTGGACCTACCAAAAAGGCTGGAGGGAGAGGGGCAGGGCCAGGAAGTCGGGGTGCATTAGTCCCTTTCCTGAAGGACCCCAGAGCCTGAAGAAGGGTCTGGCACTGTATGGGCACTCAAGGCGCATTTGCAGCCTGAGGGCAGGAGTGAGCACGGGAAACTCCTACAGGACTGGACCCAACAGCCAGGTCACCCCCATTGCAGAATTCTGGTGCACCCTCAGTCTCCTGAGTGACCCCACATGGCTCCTTCTGCCCTTTTTCTCATGCGGAACAAAATAAGGAAGTATGTGAGCCAAACAGTGTAGCCTTGGCTGTCGCACAGCTGGAGGTCAGGTCTTCTCTAGCTGTGTGGCCTCCAGCAAGTTACCTGGCTTTGCGGGAGCTCAGTGTGCTCATCTTCAAAATGGACACCATAACAATGACATTTTGGGATGACTGTCAAATCAGGGATGATGTATAGAGATGATAGACTGGCTATGTGCTTGCATATAGACCTACAAATACCACTCTTTTGAAAGGAGAGGGAGGAGCATGGACCCAGCCCAGCATGTGGGAAAGCCCAGGGAGGGTTTAAGGTGTTTTATGTTTTGGCAATGGAGAACAAGGCGGTGGCAGACGGTATTACTCAACGCTGACCCCAGCAATATTTCTGGCCCCACGTGCCCCTCTTGAACCTCGCCACCACCCATCATAAGCAGAGACTGTGTCCCCTCCCTTCATACCCCCGGGGGACCTTTGTGCTGCTTCAATGAACAAACTGTGGTGGAAGTGATGCTGCACAACATCCAAGGCCAGGCCGTAGAGGGCATGGAACTTCTGCCCGATCTCTCGGGGCATGGGCTGCGGGTGATGGTGTTGAGCTGACAGTCAGAGGTCCAGCACCCTGAGGCTGCCACGCTGGAGAGTGCATGTGTCAAGACCACAGGGAGATGGAGAGAGATGCCTGAGGAGCCTCGGCTGCTCCAGCCCACATGCTGGGTGAGGGATCCAGGAGCTTGCATGAGCCCCGCCCAGATGGCATATTTGTGAGTAAAGCAGATGTTGTTGGATGTGTGTCTGAGGACTGCGGAGGTTTGCTACACAGCAACACCTGACAACGAAGGGTTCTTGGTCAGAGGCTCGGTCATGAGTGGGTTTGTAACACCTCTTCCCAAAGCCAGCTTCTCCCCTAGGGCTGTGAGTGATTTGAGGGCCAAGCTTCCTGGCATCAAACTCTTCTCCCCGCTGGTCTTTGCTGATGCATTCATCATGACATAGAATTTCATTCACTGGGCTGCGGCATTTTACTCTTTACCCAGAAAGTCATTTAAACTCTAGTGTGAATGAGTGTGGGGTGATTTTTCCAAAGCAGGGGGCCCTGGGTGCCTGAGAAGAGAGTGAAGAGCCTGAGGGACACCTTTTGGAGCTCCTTCCTGCCCAGACCCCAGCTGCAGCTGTTCTGAGAAAAGCCTCTGTCAGCGTGGGCTCAGGGACTGCCCCTCCTGCGGCATCCCCCTGCTGTCCTCTCACGGGCATTTCCCCAAGGGCCCGCTCGTGTTAGAGCTCTAGCTCTCCGCTGGTCACCTTCAGACTGACGATATATTCACTCCAGGCCTCTTGCTTCTAATTTCTCAAGTGAGTTGCCATTCATACCAGCCCCTCATCTGCCTCACCGGACTTCCCACCTAATGCAGCCAGGGTGCCCTCTGCTTTGCCCACCACTCCAACAGAGGATGTCTGCCCTAAAGCCTGCAGGCCCCATGCCAGGGCAAGGCAGGCCCTGCCTTCCACCAGGTACAAGGTACAACACAGAGTGGCATGCAGCCACTGCTAGGGAATATTTTTTGTTAAATTGTGGCCCAAGGGAGGTCTGGGCAGGGCTTGAATACTCCATTCAGAAGTTATGGCTGATGTGCCCTGGTAGGCATGCGTGTGGCCTGCTGGCGGGAAGCAGCTGCTGCTCGCTGTCCCAGAGTGTCCCCTGCCTCCTGACCCCTCCCCAGGGTTCCCATTCCTCCAGGGCTCTCTACAACCCAGCAAGGGCTTGGAGCCGGCTCCAGCCTCTGTTCTGAGGGGCGGGTGCTCGTGCCCAGTCGGTGGTGAGTATTTTTCGTAAGACCCCTGGATACAAACAAAGCCATGTCTGCAAAATACCAGATCCCTTGATGGAAAGTCTCTTGAACATGCTGCGGCCTGCTCCGCCCTAGCATGTGCAGCCCAGCCATTTCCACTTTGCTCCCGGAAGATGCCTGACCATGAGCTTTCACTTGTAGTTTCAGCAACATTCCTAGGATCATCATTAAAATAATTCATGTTCTCTTCAAATGCCAGCACAGAATAAAGTCACAGGCCCCTCACCTCTAGGGACTCTGAGAGGCCAAACTTTGAAAGAAAAGAAAAATGCCTGAGGTGAGATGATTGAGAAATTAAAACTGTGTGCCCGTGATCTGAGCCTTGGAATTCAGCTGTGGCCATCTCCAGGAAAGGCATCCCCACAGAGCATCCACCCCTGGCTGGAAGATAATGCGGTCGCAGAAGCTCAGGCCAAGTTCACCCCACCCCACGCATGCAGAAATAGTGCAGAAGGTCGGCCGAGACCCTCACTAATGGAGAGAGAAGGGCTAACACATACAGGTAGGATTTGGAAATATGAACAAAAAGGTGGGCTTTGCAGTTTTCACAGTCAGAGATCATCTGGTCAAATTTCTTTATTTTCCAAATGGAAAAACTGGCTCCAGTGAGGTAAGTCTCTGGTTCAAAGTCACCCATTTTCCAAAGGTCTGGTCTGGATCTGAGATTGCTCCAAGCCCAGTACAGCTTGCCCTGTGTGGCATTGGGTCTGAGTGACTCATGCACGACCTAGCAGGAGAGACAGACTAGAAAAAAGCTCCAGGGTCTAAAACCCAAGGCCAGATGGTGAGTCGTGGGCCAGTGAGGGAGATGATACACAGAGAGCAGCAGCCTGATTTGGAGGGGATCTGTCTTGCAGGGACCACTCTGAGGTGTGTTCCAGACCATGCTCAGCGGTGCCCAGCAGGATGGAGCTCTGCTGTTTGTGGAGGCCACCTGCTCACGCACCCACTGAGCTCATGACTCCTCCCACCCTGCCCTGCTTCACGGCCCTGCCCCTGAAGGCTGCCTCCTGGGTCCTCTCCAGATAAGCCACATTCACTTGCATCCTTAACTGGACACTTCTATCCAAAGACAGGCTGGAGCCTTTGGAAGCTGACAGCCACAGCTTGGGGAACAGTGTGACCCCAGGCTTTCCTGGCATTCACGTTGAATCACTTGTCTAATGTCACACAGCATTTAAGAGGCAGATCCAGGATTTGAAGCAGATCACTGGGCCCTGGAGGCTACACTGTTCACCACCCTGCTGTGATGCCTTCAGAAGATAAAACAGGCACATTCCGGGTAAATATGCAGGCTAACGCATGCATGGAAAAAATTTCCCTGGTATGAACATGTACGTGAGTAGAAAAAGTTGCTTAAGACCTATGATGCCAGAGAAAGTGGGCATGACTGTGACTCAAGATGTGGAGCTGGCGTGAAAAGAGGGGCAGGAACTGCATCCGCAGTGAGCCTCCCATGCATTCCTGGGGGCTCCAGCAGCAAAGCAGGATTTTGGAAATAAGGAAAGCTGCTTGTTCGAAATAATTTTCTTCTGTCAGTCCAGCCTTTAATTAGCCAAGGTAAAAACATTGAACTAGGAATCCCGAGACTTAAGCTTGAGTCCTGACCCAACCTATAAATTCACTGTGTGACCTTGGGAGGCTTGCATAACCTCTCTGAGCTTTCCCTTCTTTGTAAATTGCACAATATTACCTTCAAATGTAATCATGTGAGAAAGAAACTGCAGCTGCTTCTTGGGTTTAGAGCTGCAGCATCTGTGTGGGTTCTCAGAAGTACCATAGCCCTGACTACAAATTATCTCATAGCCAAGAGAACAACCTCATGGAACTCGAAAGTTGAAATTCACTCAGTCTGGGTTTTTTATATTTATTCTGGGGAACTTTTGGGGAAATGACTACAGTCAACCACTCTTATGCAACAATAAAGACGCAGACATTTTTTGAAAGAAAACTGAGTTCTAGTCAAATTAATGAGATTAATATAAGTAATTAATTTATTGGAGAAGAATTTATCAATTTGGATAGCCTTTTATTTTCATTTGGAATTTGAAATTACATTAGTAGAGATAAGTTGATGGTTTTTAGTTTCATTATTATGACACGTTGCATTAAAAACAATACTTTCCAGGTGACATCGATAGTTAAGAAAAAGTTAGAGGATAAAACCTCAAAAAGAGTAAGAAATCTAAAAGTCTAGATCAGTGTTTTACAGAACTCAGGTTTTCAGATGACTCCTTTGGGATAATCAGCTTTCTGCAGTTATGTTATGTATGGGACATTTTTGGGTGGCAATAAAGAAAAAGAGGTAGGGGTCAGGCCTATGGGACTGGGAGGCCCGCTACGCAACTCAGAATGGCTGGGACTTCTCGGAGCCCATGCTTCCATTTAGAGGGCCCAATAGAACCGTTTTCTTTGTG
This sequence comes from Homo sapiens, assembly GCF_000001405.40. NCBI lineage: Eukaryota > Metazoa > Chordata > Mammalia > Primates > Hominidae > Homo > Homo sapiens. The sequence continues at coordinate 23,115,321 of NC_000020.11, read as the reverse complement.
GCAGATAAAACCATGGCTAAGTGCAGTGGCTTACGCCTGTAACCCCCACACTTTGGGAGGCTGAGGTGAGAGGGTCATTTGAGGTCAGCAGTTCACAACCAGCCTGGCCAAAATGGTGAAACCCGTCTCTATTAAAAATACAAAAATTAGCTGGGCATGGTGGCAGGCACTTGTAATCCCAGCTACTCAGGAGGCTGAGGCAGGAGAATTGCGTGAACCTAGGAGACGGAGGTTGCAGTGAGCAGAGATCTCACCACTGCACCCAAGCCTGGGAGACAGAGCAAGACTCTGTCAAAAAAAGAAAAAAAGAAAAAAAAAAAAACCACACAAAAACAAAAAGGACCCAGAAGCAGTCCTTCAGGTTAAATGATACTTCCTTGTCATATGAAGGCCGCATGGGCCCAGTGCCCTGCTGGGCAAATGGAGTTTCCCAGTAATTCGGAATTGGGGGAACCTACACTGTGAGCCCCATGGCGCTCTGAAGGCTGAGACTTGGTGTTAGCCAGGAACTGTCCTTTTGTTGTTGTGTTACATCACTGTGTTAAATTGAACCATTCTGGTGTTCTAGGCTTGTTTTATCATATTTGTAAATGTTTCGGTTTAGTAGTTACAGGAGAGTTAGAGCGTATGGTAATGTTATCTGATCTGACTAAAGTACTATTTAAGGACAGCGGTGGGAAATATGGCCTATGAGAGCCCAAATGTTACAGGCTACAACTGAGACTCCAAAGAGAACCTGGCCTCTCAGACTCAGCAAATGGAATTCTTGGTTCAAGGGCTGGTTTGCCCAGCATGTGTCGGTGCCCACACTTGGAGCAACCTGCCAGCACCAGGATGGGTCCCACTGGAGGAAGCAGCAGTCGATGCTCTAATGCGGTGGGAAGAACAAGGAGCAATTCTGAAAACAGAAGTGTCAAAGTTACCATCCCTTCTCTTGGTTCCTGAGAATCCTTGGCCAGAAGACACAAACACCTGCCTTCCTTGCTCCAGGAACCAGAGAGGTGGTGTAGACCTCAGGAAGTCTGCTCAAGGACAAGAGGCAGTCAGCGGCTTCCAGAACAGCTTCTAGATTGTGGGGGAGTGGGGAAGGGCTGGTCTGGGAGCAGGAAGAAGCTCAGTTCTGCTGCTGGCTGGCTGTGTGCCCACAGACAAGGAAGTCTCTTTCACTGTCCAAGCCTGAGTTTCTTTAAAATAAAATGTAAAGTTAAAATAAAATGTAAGAATGCAGTGGCACCCTAGATGTAAACTGTGTGTGCCTCGTCACAGAGCAGGTGCAGAGCAAATGCCAATTCCTTCCCAGTGCCCAGCCCACCCCAGGCCCACGGGGGGCTGCCTGGCCTCTGTGCCCAGCCTGAGACTACACTGAACTCAGGGGCTGTCATTTCCCCTCAAGGTTGCTCTGCTCGCAAATCATCTGATTTCATCAGGACAGTGAATGGTGGAGGGAGGTTGAGGCAGCAGGGTAAGTAAGTATCTGTGAGACGACCAACAGCTATTCTGGACTTCGTAAAAATGTAAAGCTCTCTGAAGGACATAGCATAACAGGCACAGCTTTCCTCAACTAGTTGAAGTGGTTCTTGGCTTTCCTGGTCTAATGCAACTCACGGGACAAATGGCTGGTGGTCCTCTATCCTCCCTGCCCTCTGAGTCATTCTCCAGCCTGGCTCGGGCCTGTGCACCAGGTCTTGTGCCTGCTGGGGCCTCTAAAGCCATCCATGTCTCCAGGTCTCTGCAACAGCAGCAGGATTCCAGTGGCAAGCTGATAGGAGAAATTTAACAGGGCTTTTCCTGTCTACCTTGACTGGATTGTTCTTATTTTTATTTGCAGAAACCAGAGTAAGGCAGCCCATCCATCAATCAATGCCTGCTGCTCCTTATGCCCCCATGGCAGGTATCAAACTCCTGCTGCATTCTGGGGCCTGACGAAGAGTTGCAGATGCATGTGGAATGGGCTGAACTCTGAACCCATGTGTTCATGTAGTACCTTTGCCACGTAGATGCATACTCCAGCTACTGCTCTAGGTACTAAGGATGGATTAGTCACACATCAGGCGAGCCTCTGCTCTTGTAGAGCTGTAAGGTGACCAGTGCAATGAAGGAAGATGGGGAGGTGAGGGAGGTAAGACCTGGGAATGTGGGGGAGGGGGCAAGTACCTGCAGAAGCTGAGTGTGTGAGCTATGAGGAGAACACCACAAGAAAGAGTATCCAGGCAGGGGGAGAGGTGAACTCACAGTTTCTGAAGTGGCCTGTGCTTAGCATATTCTAGAAAAGCCAGGGAGCTAGTAGGGCCAGGAAGGAGTGTTTTGTCTTATTTTGTTTTTCAACAAATGAATGAACACATGGGAACAGTGCATGCTGGCTAATTACCATGTAAACTATTCACCTGCTCTTGCTGGTAGGATGGTAATGCTTCCTGAACAGAGGTGTCCAGTCAGCCTGGCTCAGCATGCCCTGCCTACACAGGGATGATAAGCCATCACACAGCTTGTGGGTCTGAGCCATGCTGCACAGTTCCACCAGACACAGAAGTCGTGCCTCCAAGGACCTGGGCAAGGCCAAACTCCACCTGCAGGAACCACACAGCTGTTATAGCTGATGTCCTGGCTTCCTGTGCTGGAGGAGCTGTCTGGGTCTTCTGGATTTTGAAGCTGGAGACATCTGAGCTGTGGCATTTTGCTGTAGTTACTGCACTTCTTTGAGTATCTCATTAATTTCTAAAATGGGCATAGTAATAACTAGTAGCATGTAGAATTTTGGGGAGGAAAATCAGAACATGTAAGTGATACTGGCTGAATTGTGTCCCCAAAATTCATTTGTTGACCTTGTCACCTCAGCACCTCAGAACTTGACCTTAGTAGGAGAAAAGTCCTTTAAAGCAGTGAGTAAGGTAAGTGAGACCCTGGGGGCTAGCTGAAACCCTAATGCAATAGGACTATGTCCTTACGAGAAGAGGAGATGAGGACGCAGACACTCACAAAGGGAGGACTGTGTGCGGAGCAGGGAGGAGAGGGGCATCTGCAGGCCAGGGAGTGAGGCTCAGAGGAGCCGGGCCTACCCACACCTTGATCTTGAAACTGCAACCTCCGGAGCTGTGAGAAGACACATTTCTGCCTTTGCCCCTGCCTGTGGGGCTGCCAGAGCAGCCCAAACTGACTAAGTCAGCTGGTGAGGACCCCTGGGAATGCTCGCCTGTGAAATTCGGCCCACGGACTCCGGGGAGGCCCCAACTGTCTGTGGTGGCAGGTTTGGAGTGACCATGGGCTGGATGTCCTCACAGCTCCTCTTACGTTTTTAAAAAAAGTGACATTGATGTAGCTTCGAGGCTGATAGGGCCAGGGCCATTTCATTATTTTGGCTTAAATGTGTGTATTTGCCATTTTTTCACCCTGCCCCGAAGCCCCTTGCTGTGTGCCGGCCCATGGGGCGCATGTCTCTGGGGGCAGGGTGGGAGCTAGAAGTGGATTTCGACAGGTGCATCAGGCCCTGCCCTGTCGCCTCACCCTAGTGGCCCTGGGTCTCAGGGTCCTTATGTGTGAGCACAGGGCGATAACAACGCCTTCGAGAACCCAGCCAGTTCCCGCAGGATTCTAATGTGGTGATGGGGAGGGGGGCACTGATGCTCCTCTCCCATCTTTGGTTCGCCCCGAGCTCAGAGCTCAGCTCACAGCCTGTCCTCACTGACCATGAGTCCCTCAAGCATCAGCACTTCTCGGTCCTTAGCCTGAGCAGCAGCCCGTGCAGGGCAGCTGGGAGAGCCAGGGCATAAAAGCTTCAGCCACCCTCTGTGGTGAGGGGCAGGAGGCAGCTGCTGGCAGGTCAGCTCTTGGACGTTTCACACCTGTCCTTTCGAGACTGTGCTCCAGCTCCCAACAGAGCACCAGTCTCGGGAAGCACCTGCCCTGTCTCCTCTCCCTTCCCCATCTCCCTTCCCCTGACCCCACCTCCCAAGTTAACCACCTGCCTCCAGGTCTTTGTCTCAGGGTCTGCTGTGGGATCTCAAACCATAACAAGGAGTGAAGCAAAAAGCTTCATGAATATCATTGCTGCTAAAACATCATGCATCTCTGGATCCAACTCTTGCTGGTCCCAAGCCTGACTTTGAGTAACCCTGTATATTGCAAACTACAGACATGCTCTCCAATTGCCTCAGGCTCTGAGCATTTATTGGAAAAACACAGGCACATTAACCTCCAGGTTAAGCACTTCTTAACCTGGAGGGCTCGCTAAAACCCAGCGTTCTCATTCAGTGGACGGAGTTTGTGATAAGTTGAATAATTTCCCCAAAAGGAGATGTTGCAGTCCTAACCCCCAGTGCTGTGCATGTGACCTTATTTGGAAAAAGGGTCTTTGCAGATGTAACTAAGTTCAAAGGCAGGCACATTCAGGATGGGCCCTAATCCAGTGTGACTGAGGTCCTCATAAGAAGAGAAAAGAGAGACACAAATGTAAACACATAACGGGGGCAGATGGCCATGGGAAGATAGAGACAGAGCTTGGAGTGATGTGGCCACAAGCCCAGGGACACCTGGGTTTCCAGGAGCTGAGAGGAGCAAGGAGGGCTCCTTCCCTAGAGGCTTCAGAGTGAGCGCAGACCTGCTGACACCTTGGTCTCAGACTTCTAGTCTCCAGAGCTGTCATTTTAAGCCACCCAGTTTGTGGTACTTTGTTTTGTCAGCCCCAGGACATTAATCCAGGGGTAGGAACTTTTCTTTCTTCCTTCCTTCCTTCCTTCCTTCCTTCCTTCCTTCCTTCCTTCCTTCTTTCTTTCTTCCTTTCTTCCTTTCTTTCTTTCCTTCTTTTGAGACGGAGCCTTGCTCTGTTGCCCAGGCTGCAGTGTAGTGGCAAGATCTCAGCTCCCAGCAACGTCTGCCTCCCAGATTCAAGAGATTTTCCAGCCTCAGCCTCCCTAGTAGCTGGGATTACAGGTGCGTGCCACCACGCCCAGCTAATTTTTGTATTTTTAGTAGAGACAGGGTTTCGCCACATTGGCCAGGCTGGTCTCAAACTCCTGACCTCAGGTGATCCACCCGCCTCGGGCTCTCAAAGTGTTGGGATTACAGGTGTGAGCCACTGTACCTGGCCGGAACTTTCATTTGTAACAAGATCCTCCATGCTGCAGATGCTACTATGGGGAGCTCACTTGGAGGACAGCTGGCCCAAGTCACGCCTGCCCCTCCCAGCCTGGCCCAAAACACACACGCACTTGGAGAGAGTCTGAACTCCACACCCACAGCCAGCCATCTCTTCAGCTTCCTCTCCACCAGACCCTCCTTCCCATGTGCCCTCCTGGGGTGTAAAGGGTCCTGGCACCCCTCTCCTCCATGGATTTGCGTATACCCATCACTCTGCCTATATCCCTCCATCCTGGTCTAGACAGCTCCAACTCCACAATTCATAGCAGATGCAATTTCCTACAGAACTTCAGAACAGTTTGGGTCAAGATTGTTTCAAATAAGTTCCTGGACACTTAAAATTAGCTTCACCTTCTGCTTCCCCCACCCCAGTGTTCAGTGGAAGGACTTGTTTATTATTGTACAGTCCTGGGGCGGTGGGCAGTGTCCTTGGTTTGAGCAGCATGGAGGACTTCAGCTTCCTCCCATATCTGGCCGAGCCCACCACACAACATATCGTGATTGCTAACAAATACCTTGGGCGTGTTGCCTGCCCCAGCAAGTCCCTCCAAGTCAGGAAAATGAAAAGCAGAGATTGCCATTGTTTAATGAACATAACTCAAATTTCCCATGGCCTGCCTGGACCTCAGGAGAGGGTCCAGTCTTTACTCAGCAGGTGGCCACAGAGCCTGAACTGACTGCATTCTACCACAAGCCACACTAAAGTTCAGTAAAGGGGAAAGCAGGGGGAGACGGCCCGGTTCCCACTGGACGCCAAAGCCAGGGCTGGAAACCATCGCATCCACCCTTTGGCTTCTCCTCTCTGGTGCGTGGTGCATTCTAAACCCACTGGAGGTCACAGCAAAAGCCTAGAAGCTTGTGAATTCTCAAGATGCTTTGGGGAAGTAAACACAAAGGAATTCAAAGTCCAGGGCACTGGGAGCCCATTTTCTCTCTCAAGGAGTGGGGCAGACGTTTGCCTGAGAACCTGCCCCAAGGGCCACATGTGGTCTCTGAGGTAGGTCAGTAAAGCACACCGGAGGAAGCCAGAAAAGGGGACTTTCAACCCCAGAGCCATCCTTGTGTGGCTGAACTCATGCCAGACATGGAACAAAACTGCTGACTTTGTAAGAAAGAGGTCCTCTTGCAACCTCTGGTCCCTGGATGTGCCAAGGTGCTGACCAGAGCTGCAAAACAGGCAAAGTCACCAAATTGCTCCAGGTCAGGAGCCCGCATGCAAGCTTCTAGTTACACCTTCCCATTTTCCTTCCAGTTTAGGAATTGTACTTTAATACAGAGATGTTTTTGGAACCAAAAAGTCATCCATAGTCTACTACCCAGAGAGGCTCACTGCAGGCAGGTCATCAGGTTTCTGCAAAGTTTTAGATATAGTTGAGGTTACTCTGAAGAGTTTCAGATCTTGGGTTTCTCCTACTTGAATGTTTAAAGATAAACATTGCCTTGTATATGCACAAACTCATTGCCAACATAATTTAATTGATGCATAACACATCATGTGTTTACATGACAGTTTACCTAATCATACTACTATTGTTGAATTGGTACAATACTCTACTTTGTTTCAATAATGGTTTCATGATATTAATGCAGAACACTGATTTTGTAATTAAGATGATTGTCTTAGAATGGACTCTCTTAAGAGCGAGGATCTGGAGAAAAACACACAGATTTTCCACCTGTGCACCTACGTGCACACACACCACACTCACACACACTTACACACACATACAACTTAGATTTTAGTTTGGCTTCTGTCGCTAACCGGATGTTTCAACATGGTCAAGTCACTTAACCTTTCTGGATCTGATTTCTTTGCATCTGTGAAACAAAAGGCCGAAGAAAAAGGCCTCCGGTTCCCTCCAGCTGGAGCATGGGATGATTGTTCCCAAAAAGATTCACGTGGCTCTTTCCAGGGTAAGCTTTAATAATGAGTGAGTCTATGTCTGCACCCAGGCTTGAGCATGTTTGAGTAGGCTCCTCTATCTAAACCATTTTTTTTTGTATGTATCCTTGGTGGAATCCATATATTAATGATTTATAAATGATTTTTCAGTTGGAAAATAACACAGCCACCAGCTTGTGTGCCCTGCCATGTGACGTTAGCAGGGTTGACTTCTTCTGGTTATTCCTCACATCAAGTATCAAGACTATGGGTGAGAGAAAGGTAGGTGGTTTTAAAATCACAACTGAAAAGCATGCAAACAAAACCCCTAACTCTATCACACTCTCCAGTGTAAGAGATCAACTTAGGCCTGGTCTGGTCTCTTAAAACCTCCCTTTCTCATAGACTTGGGAGTACCATCTAGGGATGGCAGGTATTCAGTTATCCAAAATTCCCCAAGCACCTTTCTTTAAACCAGGGAGAGAAACTAATAGTTTAAATCACAAATAATGTACAAGAGCTACAAAGTATGAGTGGGCTTTTTGGATGTGGATTTGTCAGTACTGATTTGTGGGAGCCTCACTGACCAGCTGCAGGGCAGGGAGCTCACAATCCAGTAACATTCGGCAGAGGTGGGGGATTTCCATGCTTCCGGGGATTTGGCATAACTCCTCCAAACTCTGGTCTCTAATCATCCACCACATGACCCCTGGGACCCTGACATCCAGTCTGGACTTGATTGTCTTCAGATTGTTCACCTGCAGCCAGTTCTGGGGCTGAAGGCTAGGGCTACCTTCCTTCCTGCAGCCCCATGGCGCCATGAACTCTCCAAGTTGCTTTGCTTTTTATCCCCAAGAGGCTGAGTCCCCCTAATAGCCATGTGCCTGCTGGAAACTGATGTAACCCACAAAAGCTTTTCCAAGTGATGGGTTATCACCAGGTCAAGGTGAGAAAAATGAGGTCTTTGGAGAGTCAATAAGTTTGCTCCAGGTCAAAGCAGATGATGTAGATGTGGACAATGCCGAGGCTGAGGGTGACTAACAGATCTTAACACACAGAGTGTTAAAAATCTGTTCACATCTTGCCATTTTTACTCTTATAGCATCAGTGAGCTAGAGCTTTAATACCTTAAACAAGTATATTTGAATACTGAGGCTCACAGCGGAAACAAGCTTCTTTCAAGATTTTAAAATTGCTACCAGCTTTGCGATAACACAGCATTCCCGATTCCTAATCTAGTTGTCTTTCTGAAAGTAGGTTTTAAACAAGTAATATTTGAGAAGAGGAAAGCAGCCTCATGCAGGATGGATGCAGCCCTAAGTTACTACAGTGCACGACCCCAAAGGTCAGCTTAGAGCAAAGCACTCAGGCTGGGCCATGCAGCCCCACTGCTCACATGGCAGGTCCTTCTGTGCGTGAAACTCTAAAGAGGCTCTGGGTCTATGAAACATGAATTTTTCTAGTTTCTCTCATGGGCTTTGCCAGCACCTCCCAGCACAGCCTTTGCTCGATTGTTCTTGTGGTCAGCAGTGCTCCACTGACAGCAGAATGGCAGGGCACCCAGCAAGGCGAAGCTGGCCCTGCAAAGAAGCCCAGAGACAGGAGCCGAGTGTGATATAAACAACAGCTGACAGGCAAGGCTGACACAATATCCTGGCTCTTGATTCTCATAGAATAAACAATTTGACAAACTTCCTGAAATCCGTGCCCTGCACCACACCAGCAGAAGAAAACATTGGACTTCCATATTAGGCTTGGAGCGTAGCTGGCCGGTTGAACTGAAATCCTCCATTCTACCTGCAGGGGTAGAACCAGTGATTGCCCAGCATCCCCTGACACTAACGTTTGAAGGTTTTATCATTCTATGCTTAGGCATTGTAACTAAGCACCAGGGTTAAACAGGGTTAACCCTGACTTCTTTTCATGCTACCCCTTCTCTGCCCAGATTTCCAGAGCTGGAGGCCTCACACCTGGTGGTGTACGGGAGCCGGCCTGGGCTGACTTAGGCTTGTTTGCAAGAGCAGATTGTGAAATTTCCAGGAATCTCACAAGCTGGTTCTTAAACACAGTCATTATTAAAAATAAACTTTGTAAACCTACAGGTAAGTAAATTATATTTTTTTAAAATAATAAATAGTAAAACCTGCATGCCTGATGATTTTTACTGCAACGTGTGCTCTTAAGGTTATCTGCATCTGTGGAGCCTCCTGTTCCGCGGCAGGCTGCTCACACCTCCTCCCTGCTCCATGCTCCACAACATCATGAGGAGACTGAAGCTGACCCTGGTGGAGGTATTTATACCACGGAAAGAGGCAAATGATACAAATGGGTTATTTTTTTTCCTGAAAAGCTGTAGTTAATAATTTGCTGGGCCCACTGCTCATAGGTCATTGCTATGCATTCTAGCAACCAGCACTGGGCTGGGTGCATGGAAGCCAGACATTCCCCAGATGTTCTCTTCCAGAGAAGCTCCTTGGAGTTTCTCTGAAATTTCTTACTGTGAAAGAACTTGCTGAGCATCTTTGAGGGCAATGCTAGCTGAGACACTTGGAGACCCACCTCCAGCAGAATGGTGACCACATTGGCTCTTTCCCCGGCCCCTGACTTCTTGCCCCACATTTCCGGACCTTCTGCTCCCGAGGTTGCGGCACAGGCAGTGTAGGGAAGTCAAAGAGCCTGGAGTTTGAATCTCACCTTGAGCACAGCCTTGGCACAAAAACTTGGTCTCTACATACCCCAGTCTCCTTGTCTGTAAATTGAGATGATCACAGGACCCTCTTCCCCGTGTTGTTATAAAGCTCAGGAAGCAGGAAAAGTCAATAACCAAATACATCGTTCCTGGTCCTACTCTTACCCTGGCATGGAGCCCTGGCTCTCCTCACAAGCACTTCCTCACCAGCCTGAGCCAGCCTCACCTGGCTTGCAGGGGTGTGACAGGCAGTGCTGGAGCCCAGTGGGTCCAGGGTCTATACACACTGCAGGGGCTTCAGGGTTGAGCAGGAGACAAGGGTCAACTGCAGGGCAGAATGGGTCCCTGAACCTGGCATCCATAGTGGACTTTGGCAGGCCTGGACAATATCACAGCCAAAAGTCACGGTCTGATCAGAAAACTGGAGGAGCAAAGTGTCAATCAAATGGTCCCACGGGCACTCCCGATGCCGGTTCCAGGCTGACAGGGCCACCTCCTGTGGTATCTGGAGCAAATCAGCACAGAGACCCTCTGTGTTAGTCAGAACTCTCAATGTTAACCAGCACATCCTCTTTCTTTATTCTTTCTCCACCCTCCACCCTCCTCCCCAGGACCCCGACCTCACCTCACAGTCGCCAACTCCCTTGGCCCACTCCTGTCTCTGGTAGTTTCTGTTCATCGAGGAGTGACAAGTCACCAGACATGGGAATCAGCACTCAGCGCATAAACCAAAGAAAACAGGAAAATTCAAAAACACCTTTTCACTTCAACAAAGCCTCCCTTTAGGCTGAACTGAGGTTTTGTGGAGGTGCACTGTTATTCTGCAGGCCATTATATAAAAGTCACAACAATTCAATGAACCACAAAGAGAAGAGAATTCTGTGCACAATCATTACTTGATTCTACACCAATACCATTACTCAGTGACTCCTCTTTCCATGTAATAAATGTCTAGTGCAGTCGGTCACTTAAGATTTCTTGAAGCAAGTTTGATTTCTCTACTAATTTCTAATTTCCTGCTACACCCCTTTCCCCTCCTTCCCTGAGAGAGACCCTCAATCGCTACTCTCGCATGCCAGACTCTGGCTACATTTTCTGGCATTACATCAATCAAACTTGGTTTTGGAGTTTTTAACTTGTCTGTGAGCTCCTTGAGGGCAAGGCTGTCTATTTTATCCCAAACCCGGTACCTAACCAGGTCTTCAGGCTGCCTGTCAGTGGTTTGGAGGGAATTGCATGCGGAGGACCTCTGAGGAGTTGTAAAGACATCATGACTCAGACATACAATGGTGAAGGCGCAAAACGTGCCCCAGTTACCTCTCCTCTCCCTTCTGCTGGGATGAAAGGCCCCTGGTGCTTGAGTGTCGGGGAGTCGATAACAACTTTGTGCAGGCCCCTCAGGGAACTCCCCTGGCTAAGAACAGTGGGGTGAGAGTGATGCCTGCAAAGCAACCTGCCTGGAGGGAAGCCTTTCAGAAAACTCAGATGGATCACAGGGAGTGGTGGGCCCTTCTCTGTCTCCCTCAAATCATGCACAACAAAATCCGGAAACCATCTAAATCTCATCAATAGCAGAATAGATTTGCAAAACCGTGGCATATTCACAAAGTGGAATACTCAGCAGTGAGATGAACAGCCTGCAACCACACACAATGCGGATGAATTGCCCAAAGACGCCAGATACAAAGAGCACACACCCTGCATGCATGGATGCTCAACAGCCCAACGTGACCATCGCTGCTGTCAGAGCGGGGAGTATGGAGCCTGGGGGAATGACCCGGGGGTCTAGGGAGCAGAGAATGTTCTGCTTCTTGATCTAGGAGCTGGTTATGTGATGGGTTCAGCTGGTGAAGATTCCCCCGGCTGCTGGGCATGACATATGCGAGGTAACCGGGCACAGAGGAAGTCACCTATCCCACCTTCACAGAAAGCATCTGCACACATTCCCTCCCCTACCCGCCAAGGAAAAATTCTCCAACTCCAACTCTTCTGAGTGGGAGTTGGCATCATTTATAGGAAAAAAAAAACCCTGAGCTGATGTCATATCTTTTCTTGTTATTTTAGCTTGCCTGTCATTATTTTTTGTTCTTTTAAATGAGCTCCTCCACTTTTTTTTTAAACTTCCTTCCTGGCATTTGAGTCATTTCCCAATGTCTTCGTGTGCTTTAGAGAAGGAACTTGGTAGCCAACATGGTCTGTGAGTTCTACTGTTTGTTTCTCCAGGAGTCTTCTATCCAGATGCAGGCAAGAGCTGGGCAGAAGGTTTTTTTATTTTTATTTTTATTTTTTGTTTTTATTTTTATTTTTTTATTTATTTTGAGACAGAGTTTCACTCTTGTTGCCCAGGCTGAGTGCAATGGTGCGATCTCGGCTCACCACAACCTCTGCCTCCTGGGATTAAGTGATTCTCCTGCCTCAGCCTCCCAGGTAGCTGGGATTACAGACATGTGCCATCACGCCCAGCTAATTTTTTGTATTTTTAGTAGAGATAGGGTTTCTCCATGTTGGTCAGGCTGGTCTCAAACTCCCGACCTCAGGTGATCCACCCGTCTTGGCCTCCCAAAGTGCTGGGATTACAGGCGTGAGCCACTGCTCCCGGCCTGGGCAGAAGGTTTTGAAGAAATAAGGCATGAGAACAATGGCTCGATTTTGCCTTAAGGCAAGACTGTGAAAGATCACCTTTACTAAAATCCCTAAGGCAGATAAAGATCCCATTGTCTAGTGGTGAGAGCTCACTGTCACACAACCCAGGGAAGGCGCTTTCAATCGGCCCCTGATTTTCCAGCAACACTGGGCAGGAGTGAGTGCTCTGTTAGGAACATAGCTAGGCCAGCCCTGGGTTTCTTGCTCCATGAAGTGTTTTCCTTTCCTGGTGCACAGTCTTGAACATTGACCTGGGCAGATTCAGGGTGAATTAACATACCCTTAGCTGGCATGAGGGGGAGAAAGACCCAGACACCTTCACCGTTGACATCAATACTGAGGGCTAAAACATCTCACCCCATTTTTAGCTTATTCCCATCTGGCTCTAAGGACCCCTGACAGGGCCAGTGTGGGTATCCAAGCTGGTCTTCAGCACCCTTCCCAGAACCCCAGGCTCTTATCCGGCCCTCAGCTGCCCCATGCTTCCCTTCAGTTAGAGAGGTCCACCTCTGAACCTGCTAAGAGGTATCCATGCACCCTCAGTGGTGGCTGGGGCCAACAAGCCCCGCAAACTACAAAAACATCATATAAAATAATGGGAGGGGTGGGCAAACTGCAGCATGTGGACCAAACCAGCCTGCGGCCTGTTTCTGTAAAGAAGGTCTTATTGGAACACAGCCATGCCCATTGCTGTACATATTGTCTATGGCTGCTTTTAAGCCTCAAAGATGGACTTAAATAGTTGCAACAGAGACCAGTGGCCTGCCAAGCTGAGAATATTTAGTGTATAGGCTCTTACAGGAAGTGCTGCAGATCCCTGATGTTATGATGGTAATGGTGTTCCTTTGCTTCTGTAGTGTGTTACATTTTAACAGAACTTTCTGGAGACAGCGCCTGCAGAGGACTGGCTATTGTGTTGACAGTTCCAGCATCTTCTTAGGATGGTAGAGGCTATAGTGCCCACTGCACCATCAAAGCCCTGCTGGATGGCTTCCTGCACCTTCTTGGCACAAAGCTTGTCCCCACCCCTCCCAGGGCCTGCAGCTCTGGCCCCACTGAACACCTCAGCTTTGCGGGGCTGGGCAATGAGCACTGGCCTTTGGTTCATGAGATCCAGGTGGATGCTGGTGGCCCTTTGGACGGGTGTGACTTCCCTGCAGCGAACAGGTGACAAAGCCACTTGCATCTAGTTCTTATGCAATGTATAAGTAAACTTCTGCCCTGAGAATCTCTCCTGTTTTTTTTTAATAAAACATTTTATTTTGAGATATTTGCAGATTCACATACAACTTATGAGAAATAATACAGAAAGATTCCATGTACCCTTTACCCAGTTTTACCTGTGATAGTACCTTGTAAAGCTATGGAACACTATCACCACTAGGAGACTGACCCTGTCGCAGAGCACGGCACATGTCTGTCACCATGAAGATGACTCCTGCTGTCCTTTTTTAACCACACTCACTTGCCCCCTGACTCCACCCCACCTTAACCCCTGACAACTATTAGTCTGTTCTCCATTGAAAGAATTGATAGAATATCATTTTAAGATTATTGCATAAATGGAAGCATACAACATGAACCTCTGGTTATGGCTGCCCCACTCAGCATAATTCTCTGGAGACGCATCCAGGTAGATGTGTGGATCAATCTATTACTTTGTATTACTGAGTAGTATTTCAGAGTATGGATGAGCCACTTTCAACCATTTACCTGTGGAAGGATAATTGGGTTGCTTCTAGGTTTTGGCTATTGTGAATACAGTTGTCATAGACACTCATGCACAGATGTTTGCATGAACATGGAATTAATACAGCAAAGCCTGACCAAGAGAGGGCAAAGGACTTTGGCTGCAGATTCCCGTTTCTGTCAGGCTCCATTTCTGGAGGCACATCAGGTCAAAAAGGAACATAAACTCCTTCAGTGGATGCTCCTCCTCATGTCCCTACTCTTTCTACTCCAGGTATAAGTTAGGGTCCTAGCTCCTCCATCACTCCTGGCTCCTCCCTCATCACTCCTAGCTCCCCCATCACTACTGGCTCCCCATCACTCCTGGCTCCTCCCTCATCACTCCTGGTTCCCCCAACACTCCTGGCTCCTCCCCCATCACTCCTGGCTCCTCCCCCATCACTTCTGGCTCCCCCATCACTACTGGCTCCCCATCACTCCTGGCTCCTTGTTCACTCATGGCTCTTTCAACCCTCCTTGCTTCTTCAACATCAGTCTTCCAGGTTTGAGCTTGGCAAGGCATCAGCTTGCCTAACAGCTGAGAAAACTGCCGTTACTCATCTCACATGAAACTGTGGAAGGACCTGTCTTGCAGGTTGGTAAGAGGATTAAGGGGACAGGGTAAGGGAAAGCGTTTAGAACTCCTAGTTCCCATACATGCCCATACATGCATGCTTTGCTCAGAATGCTTTGGGCTCAGCCCAAGGCCCTGTACTCCACAGTACACAGAGATCCAGGGAAATGCAAGCTGACAGGAAAGCAGCCTCCGTGAAAGATGCAGCTGTGCTCATCCGTGAGCGCAGCTCCACTCAGTGCATGTGTGTGGATTCGTCAGAAAGCACCAGGCCCTGTGTTATTGCTGAGCAGACAATAAGGTCCACGAGACGCAGCCCCTGGCTTCAAGAAGCTGGTAGTGTAGTTAAATGACCTAAAGAAGAAATATCCTTTAGGTTGCAGTCACTCAATAACTCTTAACTCTTCTGCACAGAAGTCTGGGCTGGGGGTCCAGGGCCATTCAGGCCTCCCTGAAGTCCCCTGCAGTGCCTGTGCTGTTACTGTCCTATGCTGGGGATCTGGTGTGCACAGCACAGTGTACAGGCAAAGCTGAGGCTTGCTCTCCCTGCACAAGGCGGGTGGTGAAGCATTGGCTGTATGTGGCAGAGAAGCTGCAGTTTCTAGATCTTCAGGCATGCTGGCCAAATGCTGACACTTGGGGAAATAAAGCTAGTTAGAACATCTGGGACTCTTCTATTTGGCCTTGGGGAAAGGAACAAGGAACAGTGAAGATTCACGCTGTGACATCAATATTCATGCTAGCAAGCTCTCCACCTCTCACTTCCCAACCTCAGTGCTTCTCAGAGCTGGTGTAAGAATCACCTGTGTGTGTGTGTGTGTGTGTGTGTGTGCGCGTGCGCCTCACCCACAGCAAGTCTGATATAGTTGGTCCAGAATGGGGCTTGGTACTATGGTTTGTCCCCCACCCCAGGTGATTCCCATGTATGGCTGGGATCAAGTAGTTACTGATCACTTGCTCCCTATAGCAGGCACTAGGGAGCCAGCAATAGACAAGAGGGATGAGTTTCCAGCTCTGACTGTCTCACAGTTTACTGTTGGGAGATCAATTTCACATATACAAAGTTACCACTATGCTCAGTTCTGGGAGGAAGAGGAGCAAGGTTGAGAGGTTTGCAGTGAGAGCATGTAACCAGGAGGCTGAATCTACAGTGGGGAGATGGGCAAAGCTCCCCAAGGCCTAATGCAGTTAAAAGAGTTCATCAGTCACTCAGTCTGCATGCATGTTCACACACGTGTGTGCGTGTGTGTGTATTGGCCTTGTGGAAGGACTGGGTGGCCCACAGAACTGTGGCTGGGGAATGTGGACATGAAAATAGGAAGGATCCGCTGGGCACGGTGGCTTACGCCTGTAATCCCAGCACTTTGGGAGGCTGAGGTGGGCAGATCACAAGGTCCAGATATCAAGACCATCCTGGCCAACATGGTGAAACCCTGTCTCTACTAAAAATACAAAAATTAGCTGGGCGTGGTGGCGTGTGCCTGTAGTCCCTGCTACTCGGGAGGCTGAGGCAGGAGAATAACTTGAACCCAGGAGGCGAAGGTTGCAGTGAGCTGACATCGCGTCACTGCACTCCAACCTGGTGACAGAGCGGGACTCTGTCTCAAAAAAAATTAAAAAAAGAAAAAAGAAAACAAGAAGGACCAAAGTCCCAGGGCTAACAGGGCCGTGTTAGAAATCTGATTTTTGGCCTGGCGCAGCGGCTCATGCCTGTAATCCCAGCATTTTGGGAGGCTGAGGTGGGCGGATCACTTGAGGTCAGGAGTTTGAGACCAGCCTGACCAATATGGTGAAATGCCATCTCTACTAAAAATAGAAAAAATTAGCTGGGCATGGTAGTACATGCTTGTAATCTCAGCTACTTGGGAGGCTGAGGCAGGAGAATCGCTTGAACCCAAGAGGCGGAGGTTGCAGTGAGCCGAGATCGTGCCACTCCAGCCTGAGCAACAGAGTGAGACTGCCTCAAAAAAAAAAAAAAATCTGATTTTTATCCTATGATCAATGGCAAGCCCCAGCAGCATTTCACTGTGGTGTGTGTGCTTATGGGAAAACAAATGATCAGGCTTCTATTTCAACATGATCTCACCTTACAGCATGGAGCATAGGGGATGAGGCTGGAGCCAGGGGCTGGTCAGGACACCAGTGCTGTGCCCACCCATGTGAGAGGCGGTGGAGGTGGGGCATGGGCGGGGAAAAAGAGGACTGGCCCAGGGCATGGAGCCAGATCATCCCTAGAGGCTGGGAAGGTGGGAGGAAGGATGCCGCCTGCACGTCGTGGATCACTGGACGGATGGTGGACTGGGGGAGGAAGTGGGAGTAGTTTGGGTCTTGGTGACTCTGAGATGTTCTGGGAAATAGTGGACAGCTGGGTGCTCTGATTGGGAGATGAAAGGACAGGCCTGATGTGGACAGGCACATCTGTGAGGCCGCGAGATGGGGCAGTAGGAGACATGTGGGGAGTGGATGCAACCGAGCAGCGGTGAGTTGGGCAGGAGAGAGACAGGGCCCAGGAGGGAACCCTGTGGAGGCCAGAGCAGGGAAGAGGCCCAGGGAATGTGGACCACCTGGTGCCCACACACTGGACACTTCCAGGAGGGATGCCTGAGGGTCAGGGAGCAGAGGACTGATGGGGCCCATGTGGTTGGCCTGCAGAGGTCAGAGGAGGCCGACGTGAAAGCAGCCCCAGGACACCAGAGAGGCAGAAAGGACAGCCATGAATGAAGAAGTGGGCAGATGGAAAGCAGTGGGGGTGAATGCACGTGCTGAGAGCCTGGCTGCAGCAGGAGGAGAGAACTGGGCTGTGCTGGCCTGGACCTCAGCTTTGCCAGATCCTTGCACGGGTCCAGGAGCCTCCTCCATGACCCGTGCAAGGATCTGGCAAAGCTGAGGCTGGACCTGGCCTGTGGCTGAGCTCCCCTGCCCTGGGCTGAGGAGAGCATTAGTTTGAGTGAAGTGCCTACTGTATCTGTTTCTTTAGGAATCAGGTTGCTGTATTACAGGGAGATGTCGACAGTAACCCTCAACCAGAGCAGGGCTGCTTTCCAGCTGCCCCCATATCCTTGATGCTTTTATTTGGTATACGAGTTGTGCAGTTTCCTAATACTACTGTGGTTCTGTAGCCCCTCCAACCTGCCCATCACTTGAGACTGAGTTGAATGGAAATGTGTTTTATAATCTTCTGTGCAATAAATTGGTTTTGCAGTGTGGCAACCCAACTCGTGAAAGTGCTTATCATTTTCAATTATAATTTTTTAGCTCAGAGATAAATTATTAAAGCACAGCAAAATTGTTCCTGAAGATAACATGCTCACATGGTAATTACTCAGGTAAAATGCTGGTAGTCCCCGGGCATTCTGGCTTTGCCTTTCTTAGGAAACCATGCAGAACTATCTCTGTATGACGCAGCAGTGTCACGTTTTATCCTGAGTAGGCAAAAGATGCAGCCTGCTCCCATTGTGGGTCTGAAACAGCTTCTGCAAGTTGGAGCCTGAAGTGACCCAGTATCTCACCCTGCATTTGCCGCCCACTTTGTTCCCACGGGAAACAGGAAGGTGAGGGTGCCAGTGCATGGGTGTAGATGCCAGGTTTCCCGACTGCTCCAGCGTGTCTGCCTTGCCCTGGCCATGCCATCTACTGCTGCTCGCTTCATTGGACCCCAACGTACGGTGCTAGCTGTTGGAGTATGAACAACCAGAAAAATAAAGGCCAGTCTTCCCCAGGTATGGTTGTCAGCTGTTCTGAGCCACCACCTGGAATATCTGCAGGTGGAAGTAGCCACTGAGCTGCTTCCCTCAGTGTCAGTGCCCGCGAAGGAAGGCTACTCTTTCACCAGAAACAGTTCAGCTAGAAGACTCTTCTGTCTTCCAATATGAGTGGGTGGGAGTGTGGGAGAGCAGAATTTGGCCCTAGAACTGTTGTGTAGATATGAATCTGATTCAGCAAACAGACCAAAGCTCTGCAGGCCTGAGAGGGGCTTCAGGGCCTCTGGGTCAGCTCTTGTGTCAAAGAATGAAATTTTTAGGACTCAGAAGTCTGGAGAAAATGCTTTTGGCTGCAAGTAACAACCAAAGTATAACTGCTCAAACAATTAAGAATGAGAATAATTTCATATAAGAAGTCTCAGGTGGGATCATTTCAGGTTTGGTGAATCCCACAGTTCCAGGAGGCTTTTGGGGACCCGAGCTCCTGCCCTCTTTTTGCCACCTTTCTGAGCCAGCTTGTCCTGACCACAGCAGCTTTGCACACCAGCCCTCAGAAGATCACTCAGAGGACAGGCTGGCCATTTCTCCAGTCTCTGTTTAAGAGCAAGGGGGACTTTCCCAGAAGCATATGGAACTTTCCCTTATGCCACATGGGCCAGTCTGTGTCCCTCCTGAGCCAGGTCCCTCCTGAGCCAGGTGTCAGCTGGGGACAGAAATGTCATCATTGCTCAGATCTGTCAGGGTTGTCCCCTGAATAGGGGAGTCTCCCAGCACGTCCCAACGCTTACTAGCATCAGGTGCACAGTGGAGCTGGTCTTAAGAAGAATAAGGGAGAGTAACAGTTGTAGAGTCTTCAAGAATTCATAAGATGTTACAATTAGAAGGACCCTCCCTGCTTTATAAAGAGGAGAGATGTCCAATATTTTGGCTTCCCTGGGTCACACTGGAAGAAGAATTATCTTGGGCCACACATAAAATACACTAACACTAACGATAGTGATGAGCTAAAAAAAAATCACCAAAAAAATCTCATAGTGTTTTGAGAAAGTTTATGAATTTGTGTTGGACTGCATTCAAAGCCATCCTGGGCCTCATGGGCCCTTGAGCTGTAGGTTGGACAAGCTTGGTATAGGGAGAATCCTGGATAGTTCCCAGCTAACTTTCATTTGAAGAACTGTCATGACTTTCGATAGAAGATGCATAGGCTATTGTGTTATAGGTATTTAGTGATGTTGAGGCTCCCAGGGCTGCAGGAGCCAGCCTGGCGGCACTAAGGAGGAAGCTAATGCAGGCACTGATTGCCACGTTGGGCTGGTTGCCAGCATTGCAAGACACTTTGATTTTTTTTTTTTTTTAGAAAAGCCAGAAATGCAAATCTTTCTGTAAAATCTCACATTTCTTAAATATGCACAATTCACTGAAATATTTAAAACACTGTGTGGGTCTAATAGTAAATGATGAAGAGCTGGACCCAACCTGGGAGCCAGCAGCTGACCTCGTCCCGATGAAGAGACTGGTGTCTGGAAGCTGTCCTGAGGCTTTGCCTTTACTTTCTCCAATGACCAGGCACAGCATCCAGCTTGGGAGACACAAGATGTTCCAGCGGAGGCCTTGAAGAGCACTGCCATATTGTCCCGCACTGGGCTCAGGTCACTTTCCAACTTTTACCTTCTAGAAGGAACTGGAATGGAGGGACGAGATGAACCAGGGCTCTCAGGGGCAGTAGACAGGATTGTGTCCTGCACAGAGGAGTGCTTTTCTTACAATGCTAGAGAGAGGTAGGGCGTGCACAGTGTGATTCATAGTTTCGAGGAAAACCAGACAACATTCAGAACTTCTATGGGAAATGAAGCTGGATGATGAAATGTAGCCACTGGTAAAATAAAAGCAGGCAAAGAAACCCCACTATGGGCAGACAGATACATATACGGGCACCTTCATCAGTGGAACAGGCCAGAAGTGGGGGCGTGGGTGGACGCTTATTGGGTGAACAGCTTTCCGTGCTAGGATCTGGCATGGAAACATCAACCACGCCTTTGTGTATTGGGGGATCCAGTCGTGATTTGAATGCCTAACTAGGAAGGGCTCTTCTCTGTCATTTCACCAGGGGCAGACTGGGCATGTGCCCTACCCATGCTCCTTGCTCCCCACTATTTTAGTGCACGGGGACCTGATGTCACAGCCAGCACCTACCTGGGGGCTTTCTCTGGCTGCTGGGGCCATGAGACAGCCATGTTCCTCCCCTCCTGCTGGTCCCCCCACTTCCTAAGAAACAGATATATCCGGACTGAGAAACGAGGCAGGTATACACAAAGGCAAGCTATTTGTCATTTTCGACAAAAAGGATATCAAAAAGCAACTTCGCTTATTTTCAAAATGACTGAATCAAACCCAATTCTGTCAGCTCATTCTTTATGAGATGTCAAAACCCGAGCACGCTTCATCCACGTGTCCAGTGAGGAAACACCATAATCGGGGCGGCATCATGGGCTGCATTCTCAGCTTGCCCTGCTCCTCTCCTTCTCTGCCCGGACTGGCTCTCACAGATGGATGACAAAGAGCCCTGGAGAGTGGAATTACTCGGCTGAAGCCACAGAACATGGGCCAGCAGTGAGAGCAGAATTCAGATGGTATTGTATCTAAAACACAGGACTTGGCTTCTCACAGTTCAGGACAACAGGGAGAATTCCAGGTTTCTGTGGAGCGATTGAATCCTACCATCAGGGCACACAGGGAGCTCCACAGACAGCTCCCTGCAGAGAGGCAGACTCTGCTTTGCTGATGGCTCTGAATGCTTCTGGCTCCCCTCCAAAGGGGTCCCAGCTTATGCCCAGCTGGCATGTCTGTGCTTTGGAGGTCAAGGCATATGAGCCCACAGACTGGCATATTTGAGTGAGGGTTACAGAGGTAGTGCACCTGCCGTGTCCTTTATCTGCACCCCAGCAAGGAGGGTTAGGTCATCAAAGCTGGGAAGTGTTCTTGCAGGGGAGCTGCCTTGTGCCCACTGGGAGATGGCAAGCCCTGAATGCCTCAGACCAACTTGAATGGCTCTGGGACCCAGCAGCGGGGATGATAGATTGGCATAAAGATGCATGGACAATTGACCACATGGTGCTGAAACCTTCGGGCAACACCTTGATACCAGGATCCCATGGCAGGTAGGGAAAGCTCTCAGTGCTCAGGTCCTGGTGCTGGGCATGAAAACACACACATGCCACCCTGAGCCCTACACACGTTGCCTGGATTCTTGGATTAGAGCCACTGTCTCTCTCCTCTGATGATGTCTCTCCAGCAGCCTTTCTTCTCTGTGTGCAGGTGGGGTCTATCCAGCATTGCTTCATCTCTGGGTCTTTGCAAGGGTGCGGGGACCTAGGACATGCTAGACATTTCTTCCTTCTGGAGGGTTCCTGGTGACTTCCCTGCCAGAGAATCACCTAGGGCAAAAATAATAACCATAAATCATTAGAACTGTTATTCAGTAAATGTGAGATTGTATTCATACCACTAATCGTGGAACCACAGACTTACCACCTACTATGCCAAGCGCTTTACTGAGTCATCTCATTTAATCCTCATGGCTCTGTGGATGTGACACCATTTACATGTAAGGAAACTGAAGCCCAGAGAGGAACGGTGTTTGCCCAGGGGCACGTGGCTAGTAAGTGGCACATTTTGACTAGTGGTTGAAACTACAGAAGATAGGGGCTATTATTCCCATCTTGTGCTAAGTCAGTGGAGCTTGGGGATGCCCACTGAGATGCGGCAAGGCAAAGGCAGCAGTCCTGGCCTTGGGAGACTGGGCTGAGACCCAGCGCTTCCTCCTGCTCCTGGACAGTCTCCCTGGTTGCAAACCCTCATCCCAAGGGTTCCTGGGTGTGGACCTAAATACACCTAGCACTGGAGGGTTCTCAACCAGTGCTTGTGAGGTCTTCCTTTCCAGTTGTAGTCTATACTCCTCAGGAATCTTCAGAATTCCCCAGTCAGCTTCCCAAAGGAAATTAAATTTTCCCGGAAAAGCAGGCTTATCTATTCAAATTAAATGACTTCTTTTCAAACAACTGTGATGTCATTGTTCTCATTTTTCTGAAGAATTAGATCTTGACAAGTTAGGCTAAATAGATCATTTTTATTTCTATCAAATTATATTGTCTAAATATGGCTAAATTGTTACGACAACTTACTGGAATCACTGAGGATGCTGTTAATGTCAAATGGAACCTGAAATCATCCACACCAGCTGTGTGAGCATAATTTAGAGACTTGTATTTCATGCTCAGAGCTGTCCCTGGAGATCAAATGTGTGAACCCGATCCTGCTGAAAACTCTGTTTCCCTCCATGATTTATCTCTTTCCAAAGGCTGGTGAGTAGCCTTTGCTTATCACGGCCAGTGTCAAGAGGTGAGCACAAGTTAACCTCAAAAACAACATTCAGCCCAGCCAAGTTTTCTATAAATATGGTACATGATTAATTATGTCAGAAGACTATTTACTAAATGTGGAAAAATCAATAACACTCTAAGAAGAATGTTTACCCAGCCTAGGATCCAAACAAACACTCTAAAGCCAGGGAAGTTTTTGAAAAATACAAGCTCCGTGTCTCCAGCAAACATAAGGGAGGTTTTACTCCTTTTCATTTTTGCCTTGGCAGGGATGGGCCCTGGGGGTGTGGGCTCTGTCTCTGCTCATTGCAATCAGATTGACATGACTGTTGTCCACTGATGTCGGCCACGTGTCAGCCCCTGCAGGAAGCACTTACCACTAGGACCTCTTTTAATTTAATCCCACTGACAGGACAGCGGCATCATGACTCTTATCCTCCCTGTTTTGTAAACTAAGAAACCAAGGCCCCAAGAAGTGAAAGTGTTGGTCCCAATCCCAAAGCCAGCAACTGGCTGAGGCCCCAGTTCCAGTTGCGGGAGTAGAGTCAGGGTGGTCTCAGGCCACCGTGTCCTGGTGTGATAGGAATTCACTGTTCCTGCCAGGTGCTTTTCTGAGCTTCTTTTAGGTATGCACTCTCTTAGCCCTCACAAAGCCCTGTGAGAGTCGGAGACAGCTGAGGGTGTGGAGTCACAGATAGCTGTACCATATAACAGTGGACAGAGTGGCTCAGACGTGACCTTAGTCACACAGCTGTAAGTCACAGAGTGGGATTGTAACCCAGTGCAGACAGGTTCCAGCCTTTCTCTCTCTCTTTTTTTTTTTTTTTTGAGACAGGGCCTGGCTCCATCTTCCAGGCTGGAGTGCAGTGGCTTGATCACTACAACCTCTGCCTTCCTGGTTCAAGCAATCCTCCTCCCACCTCAGTCCTCCGAGTAGCTAGGACTACAGGCACACACCACCACACTCCACTCATCTTTTCTCTTTTTTTTTAAGTAGAGATGAGGTCTCGAACTCCTGGGCTCAAGTGATCCACTCACTTTGGCCTCCCAAATTGTTGGGATTATAGGCAAGAGCCACTGCCCCCAGCCTCTATCCCTCTCAATGCAGGACAGATGGTCAATCGATGAGCCTCCCCCAAGGGCAGACGGGTGTCCTCGAGTGGGGTTGCCTGCAGCAATCCTGGCATCTTTGTGCCCAGGGTGAACCTTGTAGCACCCCTCACCTCTGTACAACACAATGACTTTCAGAAATCATCATGTCATAATCAATATTAGTGATTTTCCTAGTTTTTTAAGTTTTAAAGCAAACGATTAATAAAGGACAAATTTCAATTTTACAAAAATGTTATTCAAATTCTGTTAAGCGCCTCATGTATGAACTAAAATCTGTACTGACAAACAAAAATATCAGGTCTCACAGTTTTCACTCTGTTTCTGTTTTAAACTTTGAACACAAAATCCCTAAGTGGTCCCATAGAATGACAGGTCACAGTGACTCCAGTTCTGTTTCATTTCCTCCACCATTTCTGTGCCACTGTTGCTCATTGTGAGTCTACCATATACCATGTTATGCCAGGAAATACGCAGTGTGCTTTGTTTCCCTTTTTAATTTAATTTTTAGTTACAAAAAAAAAAAAAAAGGAAAAAGACAGGCCGGATGCCTGAATGATCCACAAACCAATTAGTCTGCTCCCAAATAACTGAGATTAAACTCGCCCCATATTTGAGATCAGAACATTCCATTCCAGCATCGTGCAAAGTAAATTTTTAAGGCAATTTAAAAAGAAAGCTCAGAGTACTCATAAAGACTGCAGAATACACACAAATGGTGAGGAGCCTTTTGCTCAGGGTACATGCCATGCTGTTAGGCTCGCCATGGTTCTAGAACACCTAACGTGGCTTCCGTCCAAAGATCTGCCGAGAAAAACTTTTTCCATCTCCTTCTGCTGATTCCTGCTGTTTAAGTATCGGTCCTTGGAGAGGTCTGGTATAATCTGCTCTCTAAATAAAATGGGATGAAACACCATCCATGGGGAATTTAGTATGTGAGGTGCAGAATTCCCTCAAAGTTTGCATTCAGACTATCTTAAATTCTTTGTAAAACTCCACCAAATCCCTCCCAGGAAAAGCAAGCTCTTCATCCTCCCCTGAGGTCGAAGCACCATGCCCTCAGCCTCTACGAATCCCCTGAACAGCCTCTAAGGAGCGTCCCCTATAGGTGGGAGCGGACACAGAAGGGCGGGGCTGGAGCTAGAGAACCTAGCTGTAAGTGTCCCAGGTGAATTAACCCACCTGAGCCCAGCAGGGATCAGCCAAAGGGTGAAGGGACACAGTGGAAGTCAGATGTGGGGGACAAGGAATAGGAAACTACCCTGTGTCTTGGCAGTCAGCGGGTCAATTTGGGATGAAATTGGGTGTGTGCAGTTTAGACAGAGGTTTGCTTACATGTGCAGTATGTCGAGGGCTCAGCAATGGTCTCAGTGTCCACTCTCTTCCCAACTTGCTTTCTCCCTAATTCCAGAGGGGAGAGTTAAGCATGATTTCACTTTTATTAATGTTAGAGCAAGAAAGTTTCCAGAGGCCCTGTTCCCACCTCTGCATTTATAGATGAGAAGTGGGGCTGAGTTAACCAAGTTACTGAAAATAATAAAGTAAAATCCAAGGACCCCCAGGGCAAGGCAGTTTCTGCATTTTACATAGTCTTTCTCACTGTTGGTGCTTTACAAATACTTCCAAGGTTAATGGATAAAAAACAGAGTATATGTCTTGCTAGTTCATTTTCTTCTTTAAGATGTCATCACTTGGCTAAGTGAACAGTAATTGGTTTGAAAGTTCCCACATGGAAGATGAATAACTTACAGCTAAAGAAGATATCTTGACAAAGATCTGGGGGTCAGAGTGGCTAACATGCTGAAAGTCACTCATTTAGCCCATATCCTTAAGCACCAACTAAGTAGAATGCTGAGCGAATGCTGCAGATCACAATCTACCTCTGAGGAATCTACCTCCGAGCTGCACAAACAGGGGCCTAGACCACGAGAACGGCTCCCTGCTATGAGTGGATGCTAGGGCTGCAGAATTGATTTTACAGAATGTTAAGAAGTTACCTGCTTGTAAATAAACCCTTAGAAATGAAGCTTCTCCCAAGCAGAGAACAAGACTGACCCTTGCCAAACTCAAATGCATGGCCAGCTATATTGACTGGGAGCCAGGGACACCAGCCTTCCCTGGACCCCTCACAGCTGGCTGCTTACCCAGCTCTGGTGGCACACTTAGCGTCCCGAGGAGGCAGGTCACAAGGACAGGGGGTCTGGGAGACCCTGAGCCCCAAGAGGCAATCCCCTGTGTTCTCAGAACCAGGTACCTCCAGCGGACACAGCCTTCCAGGACCCCAGCTCCCGGCAGGAGCCATGCAGTCCTTCTGCGTGCCCGGTGCCCTTCCCCCCACCTCCACCCAGCCCCGAGAACATCTGACCTGGACTCCACAGCCTGGAAACCTGCGGCCACCTGCTGAGGGCCCCCCCACCCACTGCTTGGGTCCACTGACCAGTCCCCTTCCACATGTAGGCCTCATGCCAGCCCTCAGTGTTTCCCCGTGGATTTCAAGACGAAGCCTCAAGCCTTCATTACTGGGGTTCACAGGGCTCCATCTTCCCCTGCATCCTCCCTCCCACTGCCTGGGCTTTGGTCTCCCTGCCCTTCACTCACTCTCTGTCCCCAGGGCTTCTGTACATGCTGTTCCCCCATCCCGACACCATTCCACATCTGAGCTGCTTCTCCTTTAGATTCCGGCTTGACTGCCTGTCTTCTCCAGAGGAGTCTCTCCTAATTGCCCATCCCCCAGTCAGGATGCCACCCCTGTATCAACCACGACCTCCCCGCTCCCCTGTGCTGCCTGCAATAAAGCCATCAGTGCCGTGACTTGTTCAAAGTTGTCCACTCTAACAGGACTCCAGGATCACAGAGGCAGGGATCCCCTCCTGGAATCCAGTGCCTCACTCAGTGCATAGCAGGGTCTTAATCAACAATTGTTAGATGGGTGGATGGACAAACAGATGGATGAATGAAGGGGCACAGGGAGGGTCTGGTGGCTTCTATGGAGAGTTCCCAAAATGTCTCAAATATCTTTGCTAAAATGCAAGGACTTAAGGCACATTCTTAGGAGGTATCCAGCTGGAGTCAGAGATGCCTCCTTGTCCCTTGGGGAGCCAGCGAGCTCCTAGCCCCCGGGACAACTCAACATCTCCATGGAGGCCACTGTGGTGGTCGCTGGTGCCGGGTCCACAGGCGTTCACTGTGTTCTCCACCGTGGCGCTTCTTCCCCTGGGGCCCTCACGGTCAGTGCAGAGCACCAAAGAGTTGCCGCTGTGTAGAGAATTCTTATAATTGTGCATTGCATCCATTTTGAATCTAATTTGGACCCTCTCCTACCAGAAGCAGGGTTTATTGCTCTTGACACGGTGTCTAGGGCTCCACCCCCTCCCAGTTCCTCAATGCGGCCAACCCAGATATCTGCCTTGTACACCCACCTCCTGGTGACCATTTCCCTGTGGGACAGGCAGATACAGCCCATTTGATGGTCTCAGTGACTCCACACCCCACAGGGACTTCCCAGACATGCCGCCATGCCCACCTCTCAGCCACAGGGACCCCACGGAGCCCGTGTCTGTTTGCTCTAAACCCACCAGTGAGAAGTCCCCTTGGGAAACCTGCTTGGGAAACGTCCTGGACCCCAATAAAGGCTTAGGACCCAGGTCTCTCTCTCTCCCTTCACCCCCCTCCAGGTGAGTGTTTGTGACCCAGACAGCTCCCCACTTTTTGCTGGCCCCGTGGGGTGCACTGCCCTCTCCCTGGGATCTGTAAGTGACACGGTGCTTGTGTTGCTTCCTGTGTCTTCTTGTGCTGCCTCCTGCATCTCCCCTGACCCACACCCCAACCCAACTCTCCTCCCATCAGGGATCTCTTAGGAAGTGGCTGTCTTGATAGGAATAAACTGGACATGGGTCAGACGAGAGCCACAAGGGTGTCTGTCCATAGAAACAAGTTTTATGTGAGAGAGACCCCTGGTCACTGGGCAGGGCTAGAATTTATAGTCAGTCTCTCAAAGTGAGAGATACAGCCTGCTACCAATGACAGGGGACTTGGAGAGCAGTGGAGCCTCTCCCTCAGCTGAGATGGTGCTGAGGTGTGGTCCCCTCAGGCCCCCAGAGTTTCCTGGCACTGGCTCCAGCAGCCCAGGGTCACCTTCTCAGCAAGTCATCATGGGTTGGCTTCCTCCTTGTCTGTTTCACTTCCCCTCCCACATAAACTAGTCTCCCCAAATCCTGTCTCAGGGTCCCCTCCTGGGGGATCCCAACCAATGAGCAAAGGTCTGTGGCTGCAGGAAAAGCACACTGTGAGTCCCTGGCTTTTGCCGAGTCGCGGTGTCGCGGGAGGGCCTGCCCGGGCTTCGATTCCCGCTCCCTGCCCAGATTTCCGGCCCTTGCTAGGAATCCTGAGCCGGGGGAAGTGAGCCTGCAAGCCCTGCGCCACGAGGCCGGACACATTTTCATTTTCTTTCTGATGCTTTTTGTGACCCTGACACCTCACAATGCAATATTTCCACTATGAAACCCCCAGAACTGCCAAATTTCACCCAATTTGGATTAACATTATCGAGGAGCTTGGCATTATGTTGAAAACCCAGACATTCCCACGACCCGTATCCTATTTAAAAAATGCCTGTCTATTTAAGGTTCACGATGGGAGGATAAAAGAAAAAAGGCTCCCAAAGTCAACAGAGAACATGAGCTAGGCAAAAGGAAAGTCCAGTTTGCTTCTAAAAAAGGCTGAAAATTATAACCATCCATGGCCTTGTGTCTTAAGTCTCAGAATTTTTTTTTTCTCTTTTGGTGGTTTGCAAACCAAAGTGGAATTTTATTATGGGTTACTAAGGGAGCTTCCTCGAGTTCCTAGCCCCCAAAGCCCCTGCTCACTCCATGGCATGCCTCCGAGGCTCCTCATGCCATGAGAAAGAGAATGGAGCCAAAATCAAGCCGGCAGTATCTCGGGGCTGTAACGTCTTCCCCCCGTCGCTGTTTCCACAGTGCTGAGCCAGGGACCCGGCAGAGCTGCCTGACTCCTTTTATGAACAACAGCACCGTGATGAAGGCAGCAGGAGTCAGAGAACTATTCATTGCAGGAAGCCCCAACATCCGGTGAGAAATAAGAAGTACAACAGTACAGGATGCGCCTTGGGTCAGGGGGACGTGGAAAGCCCTCAGCCTTTGTGTCCTTCTCTGCGCCGGAGTGGCTGCAGCTCACCCCTCAGCTCCCCTTGGGGCCCAGCTGGGAGCCGAGATAGAAGCTCCTGTCGCCGCTGGGCTTCTCGCCTCCCGCAGAGGGCCACACAGAGACCGGGATGGCCACCTCCATGGGCCTGCTGCTGCTGCTGCTGCTGCTCCTGACCCAGCCCGGGGCGGGGACGGGAGCTGACACGGAGGCGGTGGTCTGCGTGGGGACCGCCTGCTACACGGCCCACTCGGGCAAGCTGAGCGCTGCCGAGGCCCAGAACCACTGCAACCAGAACGGGGGCAACCTGGCCACTGTGAAGAGCAAGGAGGAGGCCCAGCACGTCCAGCGAGTACTGGCCCAGCTCCTGAGGCGGGAGGCAGCCCTGACGGCGAGGATGAGCAAGTTCTGGATTGGGCTCCAGCGAGAGAAGGGCAAGTGCCTGGACCCTAGTCTGCCGCTGAAGGGCTTCAGCTGGGTGGGCGGGGGGGAGGACACGCCTTACTCTAACTGGCACAAGGAGCTCCGGAACTCGTGCATCTCCAAGCGCTGTGTGTCTCTGCTGCTGGACCTGTCCCAGCCGCTCCTTCCCAGCCGCCTCCCCAAGTGGTCTGAGGGCCCCTGTGGGAGCCCAGGCTCCCCCGGAAGTAACATTGAGGGCTTCGTGTGCAAGTTCAGCTTCAAAGGCATGTGCCGGCCTCTGGCCCTGGGGGGCCCAGGTCAGGTGACCTACACCACCCCCTTCCAGACCACCAGTTCCTCCTTGGAGGCTGTGCCCTTTGCCTCTGCGGCCAATGTAGCCTGTGGGGAAGGTGACAAGGACGAGACTCAGAGTCATTATTTCCTGTGCAAGGAGAAGGCCCCCGATGTGTTCGACTGGGGCAGCTCGGGCCCCCTCTGTGTCAGCCCCAAGTATGGCTGCAACTTCAACAATGGGGGCTGCCACCAGGACTGCTTTGAAGGGGGGGATGGCTCCTTCCTCTGCGGCTGCCGACCAGGATTCCGGCTGCTGGATGACCTGGTGACCTGTGCCTCTCGAAACCCTTGCAGCTCCAGCCCATGTCGTGGGGGGGCCACGTGCGTCCTGGGACCCCATGGGAAAAACTACACGTGCCGCTGCCCCCAAGGGTACCAGCTGGACTCGAGTCAGCTGGACTGTGTGGACGTGGATGAATGCCAGGACTCCCCCTGTGCCCAGGAGTGTGTCAACACCCCTGGGGGCTTCCGCTGCGAATGCTGGGTTGGCTATGAGCCGGGCGGTCCTGGAGAGGGGGCCTGTCAGGATGTGGATGAGTGTGCTCTGGGTCGCTCGCCTTGCGCCCAGGGCTGCACCAACACAGATGGCTCATTTCACTGCTCCTGTGAGGAGGGCTACGTCCTGGCCGGGGAGGACGGGACTCAGTGCCAGGACGTGGATGAGTGTGTGGGCCCGGGGGGCCCCCTCTGCGACAGCTTGTGCTTCAACACACAAGGGTCCTTCCACTGTGGCTGCCTGCCAGGCTGGGTGCTGGCCCCAAATGGGGTCTCTTGCACCATGGGGCCTGTGTCTCTGGGACCACCATCTGGGCCCCCCGATGAGGAGGACAAAGGAGAGAAAGAAGGGAGCACCGTGCCCCGTGCTGCAACAGCCAGTCCCACAAGGGGCCCCGAGGGCACCCCCAAGGCTACACCCACCACAAGTAGACCTTCGCTGTCATCTGACGCCCCCATCACATCTGCCCCACTCAAGATGCTGGCCCCCAGTGGGTCCCCAGGCGTCTGGAGGGAGCCCAGCATCCATCACGCCACAGCTGCCTCTGGCCCCCAGGAGCCTGCAGGTGGGGACTCCTCCGTGGCCACACAAAACAACGATGGCACTGACGGGCAAAAGCTGCTTTTATTCTACATCCTAGGCACCGTGGTGGCCATCCTACTCCTGCTGGCCCTGGCTCTGGGGCTACTGGTCTATCGCAAGCGGAGAGCGAAGAGGGAGGAGAAGAAGGAGAAGAAGCCCCAGAATGCGGCAGACAGTTACTCCTGGGTTCCAGAGCGAGCTGAGAGCAGGGCCATGGAGAACCAGTACAGGTAAAGGGGGCCCTGAGTGACCGGGGGAGGGGATGGGCAGGCATGGGGGCACTGACTACAGTACAAAGAGGTGGCAGCAAGAGCAGGCCCAGGTTTCCTGTGGGCAGACACACCCTGGTCCTTGCAGCTGACCCCTCAACCTCCCCCCACGCCAGGCACTCGGGCCCCCTTAGAGCATACTGCCCATCTGCAGCACGGCCGCACGTGGGGCTCTCTCCCAAGGTGGGGACGTGCAGGCACAGAGGCGCCATGGCTTCCAACGCTGTCTGTTTTGTTTCCCATAGTCCGACACCTGGGACAGACTGCTGAAAGTGAGGTGGCCCTAGAGACACTAGAGTCACCAGCCACCATCCTCAGAGCTTTGAACTCCCCATTCCAAAGGGGCACCCACATTTTTTTGAAAGACTGGACTGGAATCTTAGCAAACAATTGTAAGTCTCCTCCTTAAAGGCCCCTTGGAACATGCAGGTATTTTCTACGGGTGTTTGATGTTCCTGAAGTGGAAGCTGTGTGTTGGCGTGCCACGGTGGGGATTTCGTGACTCTATAATGATTGTTACTCCCCCTCCCTTTTCAAATTCCAATGTGACCAATTCCGGATCAGGGTGTGAGGAGGCCGGGGCTAAGGGGCTCCCCTGAATATCTTCTCTGCTCACTTCCACCATCTAAGAGGAAAAGGTGAGTTGCTCATGCTGATTAGGATTGAAATGATTTGTTTCTCTTCCTAGGATGAAAACTAAATCAATTAATTATTCAATTAGGTAAGAAGATCTGGTTTTTTGGTCAAAGGGAACATGTTCGGACTGGAAACATTTCTTTACATTTGCATTCCTCCATTTCGCCAGCACAAGTCTTGCTAAATGTGATACTGTTGACATCCTCCAGAATGGCCAGAAGTGCAATTAACCTCTTAGGTGGCAAGGAGGCAGGAAGTGCCTCTTTAGTTCTTACATTTCTAATAGCCTTGGGTTTATTTGCAAAGGAAGCTTGAAAAATATGAGAAAAGTTGCTTGAAGTGCATTACAGGTGTTTGTGAAGTCACATAATCTACGGGGCTAGGGCGAGAGAGGCCAGGGATTTGTTCACAGATACTTGAATTAATTCATCCAAATGTACTGAGGTTACCACACACTTGACTACGGATGTGATCAACACTAACAAGGAAACAAATTCAAGGACAACCTGTCTTTGAGCCAGGGCAGGCCTCAGACACCCTGCCTGTGGCCCCGCCTCCACTTCATCCTGCCCGGAATGCCAGTGCTCCGAGCTCAGACAGAGGAAGCCCTGCAGAAAGTTCCATCAGGCTGTTTCCTAAAGGATGTGTGAACGGGAGATGATGCACTGTGTTTTGAAAGTTGTCATTTTAAAGCATTTTAGCACAGTTCATAGTCCACAGTTGATGCAGCATCCTGAGATTTTAAATCCTGAAGTGTGGGTGGCGCACACACCAAGTAGGGAGCTAGTCAGGCAGTTTGCTTAAGGAACTTTTGTTCTCTGTCTCTTTTCCTTAAAATTGGGGGTAAGGAGGGAAGGAAGAGGGAAAGAGATGACTAACTAAAATCATTTTTACAGCAAAAACTGCTCAAAGCCATTTAAATTATATCCTCATTTTAAAAGTTACATTTGCAAATATTTCTCCCTATGATAATGTAGTCGATAGTGTGCACTCTTTCTCTCTCTCTCTCTCTCTCACACACACACACACACACACACACACACACACAGAGACACGGCACCATTCTGCCTGGGGCACTGGAACACATTCCTGGGGGTCACCGATGGTCAGAGTCACTAGAAGTTACCTGAGTATCTCTGGGAGGCCTCATGTCTCCTGTGGGCTTTTTACCACCACTGTGCAGGAGAACAGACAGAGGAAATGTGTCTCCCTCCAAGGCCCCAAAGCCTCAGAGAAAGGGTGTTTCTGGTTTTGCCTTAGCAATGCATCGGTCTCTGAGGTGACACTCTGGAGTGGTTGAAGGGCCACAAGGTGCAGGGTTAATACTCTTGCCAGTTTTGAAATATAGATGCTATGGTTCAGATTGTTTTTAATAGAAAACTAAAGGGGCAGGGGAAGTGAAAGGAAAGATGGAGGTTTTGTGCGGCTCGATGGGGCATTTGGAACTTCTTTTTAAAGTCATCTCATGGTCTCCAGTTTTCAGTTGGAACTCTGGTGTTTAACACTTAAGGGAGACAAAGGCTGTGTCCATTTGGCAAAACTTCCTTGGCCACGAGACTCTAGGTGATGTGTGAAGCTGGGCAGTCTGTGGTGTGGAGAGCAGCCATCTGTCTGGCCATTCAGAGGATTCTAAAGACATGGCTGGATGCGCTGCTGACCAACATCAGCACTTAAATAAATGCAAATGCAACATTTCTCCCTCTGGGCCTTGAAAATCCTTGCCCTTATCATTTGGGGTGAAGGAGACATTTCTGTCCTTGGCTTCCCACAGCCCCAACGCAGTCTGTGTATGATTCCTGGGATCCAACGAGCCCTCCTATTTTCACAGTGTTCTGATTGCTCTCACAGCCCAGGCCCATCGTCTGTTCTCTGAATGCAGCCCTGTTCTCAACAACAGGGAGGTCATGGAACCCCTCTGTGGAACCCACAAGGGGAGAAATGGGTGATAAAGAATCCAGTTCCTCAAAACCTTCCCTGGCAGGCTGGGTCCCTCTCCTGCTGGGTGGTGCTTTCTCTTGCACACCACTCCCACCACGGGGGGAGAGCCAGCAACCCAACCAGACAGCTCAGGTTGTGCATCTGATGGAAACCACTGGGCTCAAACACGTGCTTTATTCTCCTGTTTATTTTTGCTGTTACTTTGAAGCATGGAAATTCTTGTTTGGGGGATCTTGGGGCTACAGTAGTGGGTAAACAAATGCCCACCGGCCAAGAGGCCATTAACAAATCGTCCTTGTCCTGAGGGGCCCCAGCTTGCTCGGGCGTGGCACAGTGGGGAATCCAAGGGTCACAGTATGGGGAGAGGTGCACCCTGCCACCTGCTAACTTCTCGCTAGACACAGTGTTTCTGCCCAGGTGACCTGTTCAGCAGCAGAACAAGCCAGGGCCATGGGGACGGGGGAAGTTTTCACTTGGAGATGGACACCAAGACAATGAAGATTTGTTGTCCAAATAGGTCAATAATTCTGGGAGACTCTTGGAAAAAACTGAATATATTCAGGACCAACTCTCTCCCTCCCCTCATCCCACATCTCAAAGCAGACAATGTAAAGAGAGAACATCTCACACACCCAGCTCGCCATGCCTACTCATTCCTGAATTTCAGGTGCCATCACTGCTCTTTCTTTCTTCTTTGTCATTTGAGAAAGGATGCAGGAGGACAATTCCCACAGATAATCTGAGGAATGCAGAAAAACCAGGGCAGGACAGTTATCGACAATGCATTAGAACTTGGTGAGCATCCTCTGTAGAGGGACTCCACCCCTGCTCAACAGCTTGGCTTCCAGGCAAGACCAACCACATCTGGTCTCTGCCTTCGGTGGCCCACACACCTAAGCGTCATCGTCATTGCCATAGCATCATGATGCAACACATCTACGTGTAGCACTACGACGTTATGTTTGGGTAATGTGGGGATGAACTGCATGAGGCTCTGATTAAGGATGTGGGGAAGTGGGCTGCGGTCACTGTCGGCCTTGCAAGGCCACCTGGAGGCCTGTCTGTTAGCCAGTGGTGGAGGAGCAAGGCTTCAGGAAGGGCCAGCCACATGCCATCTTCCCTGCGATCAGGCAAAAAAGTGGAATTAAAAAGTCAAACCTTTATATGCATGTGTTATGTCCATTTTGCAGGATGAACTGAGTTTAAAAGAATTTTTTTTTCTCTTCAAGTTGCTTTGTCTTTTCCATCCTCATCACAAGCCCTTGTTTGAGTGTCTTATCCCTGAGCAATCTTTCGATGGATGGAGATGATCATTAGGTACTTTTGTTTCAACCTTTATTCCTGTAAATATTTCTGTGAAAACTAGGAGAACAGAGATGAGATTTGACAAAAAAAAATTGAATTAAAAATAACACAGTCTTTTTAAAACTAACATAGGAAAGCCTTTCCTATTATTTCTCTTCTTAGCTTCTCCATTGTCTAAATCAGGAAAACAGGAAAACACAGCTTTCTAGCAGCTGCAAAATGGTTTAATGCCCCCTACATATTTCCATCACCTTGAACAATAGCTTTAGCTTGGGAATCTGAGATATGATCCCAGAAAACATCTGTCTCTACTTCGGCTGCAAAACCCATGGTTTAAATCTATATGGTTTGTGCATTTTCTCAACTAAAAATAGAGATGATAATCCGAATTCTCCATATATTCACTAATCAAAGACACTATTTTCATACTAGATTCCTGAGACAAATACTCACTGAAGGGCTTGTTTAAAAATAAATTGTGTTTTGGTCTGTTCTTGTAGATAATGCCCTTCTATTTTAGGTAGAAGCTCTGGAATCCCTTTATTGTGCTGTTGCTCTTATCTGCAAGGTGGCAAGCAGTTCTTTTCAGCAGATTTTGCCCACTATTCCTCTGAGCTGAAGTTCTTTGCATAGATTTGGCTTAAGCTTGAATTAGATCCCTGCAAAGGCTTGCTCTGTGATGTCAGATGTAATTGTAAATGTCAGTAATCACTTCATGAATGCTAAATGAGAATGTAAGTATTTTTAAATGTGTGTATTTCAAATTTGTTTGACTAATTCTGGAATTACAAGATTTCTATGCAGGATTTACCTTCATCCTGTGCATGTTTCCCAAACTGTGAGGAGGGAAGGCTCAGAGATCGAGCTTCTCCTCTGAGTTCTAACAAAATGGTGCTTTGAGGGTCAGCCTTTAGGAAGGTGCAGCTTTGTTGTCCTTTGAGCTTTCTGTTATGTGCCTATCCTAATAAACTCTTAAACACATTGATTGTGAACTTGTTTTAATATATTTCACGACAACTCGAAATACCTGGCAGAACTTGCTTTCAAGGTCATTACATTTATCCATCTCCCCTTTCAAAGAGTTGCTAAAAAGAAGGTACCTTGTGGCTGAGTTTCTGCACCTGCACCTGCTGGAGGCGACAGGGGGCGCTGGGCTCTGCCTTCCTTCATTACCTCAGCAAATGTGTACCCTGCCCCTCAGCGTGCTGCCCTTGGGGACATGGAATACAGAGGGCTGGGCTGCACTGCGCCCAGTGTCCATGGCAGCTGAGTCCACTCATCCATGGCCCCCTCATCACTCTTTAATTCTCTGCATCTTGTAAATTACATGGGTGATGCCTGGCGCAGAATTAAACATGTCCAATGGATGCGATGTGAAAACACTGTTCTATAATTATCATTGGAGCATTTATCACTACTTTGTCAGCAAAGCCCTTTCAGTTTATTTAACTAATTGGACAGGCAGATCAGATCGCTGGTTGTTTGGCTGCACAAATCTCATGGTGATTCCAAGTCAGGAACAGCAGATGGTGGTCAATTCTGAGTCAGCCTGCTTTTAAGATTGTGCAAAAGGCTGTGGCAAAGGCACAGGACTTAAGAAGAACAAAGGGTTCTGCTCTGTTATGCTAATGGTACAGGACACTTGCAATAAATATCCATTATTTAGGGTTAAATGCAGCTGATCCTGTTAGAAGTCTATTCATTAACAACATACACTTGGAAATTATTCCTCGATATGAACAACCATGGCTGTTCCCCCAACACACACACCCACACACATAAACACACACATGCATGACACAGAGATATGCATCCACAAACACACACAACACACACCCACAAGACACACACCCACAAGCACACACAGTTCTAACATCCTTCTGTGTCGTACTGGAACACCTGAGGCCAGTGTTTCTCAATTTAGGAAAAGCCTATGAAAGAAAACACCAACTTGTGATGGTTACATTTTTTGGTGACTTTTGCTATCTCACTAAAATTTCTTAAATGCTAGGTAAATCATTCGCAAACAAATAATTTGCCAAGAAAAATTAATTTGCACACATATCTATTGCACAATGCAGAGTACATTTGTGTTGCTATCATCAGACAAAATGCAGATTACAATGAGAGACTCAGACATGTACTATGTACCTTCTGTGGGATTGAACATGCATTGAGTGAGCCTATCAAGTTCTCAGCTGACTCTTGTGTATATTCAGCAAGAGGAGATACAGAGAGCAGAGATGATAAACTTGAAAACCAGAGAAGTCGGAGTCAGCCTTTCCCTGAATTATATTTGACATTACAGGTGCTTAGAAACAGAATGACTAATGGGTTTACCCTTCAGATCCTCTGAATGCCTCCTAACTCTCCCTTTTCAGAGGAAATTATGAACAGCTCAACAGTGAAAAAGTGAAGAAAGAGGCAGAGAGAGTAAAAGGTATAGATCAAGTGCAATCATTTTTCCGGAACTGTGATTGACTTAAGGGTGCTCAGCATGCAGCTCAGGCACAGGCCCTCTCCTGAGTCCCCAGGAGAACCACCACCAAACTCTCCATGAGCGGTTGTCCCTCTCTGAGTTCTGGTAGTTGGGTTCTATTTGAGGTTTGTCGTGATTAACTTGGATGATGATGTTCTCTTGTGGTTAAAATTGGTTCATAGAATTCAACTGAGTGGAAGAAAGGATGGAAGGGAGGAAAAGAGGAAGGGAGGAAGGGAGGGAGAGGGAGGAAGGGAGGGAGAGGGAGGAGGGAGGGAGAGGGAGGGAGGGAGGGAGGAAAGAAGGGAATGAATGGGAAGGAATGAATGGTAGGGAGGGAATGAATAAATGGGAAAGAGAAGGAAGGAGAGATGAGGGAGAGAAGAGAGAGAGAGAACACAAAAGGGGGTAGAGGAATGTCCCAGGTGTGGTGGTCACAATCAGGTCTCACAAAGCTGGGCTTGGAGCCTGAGAAGGAAGGGCTGAGTTTCTCAGGGCGTGCCGGTGCGAATTTCAGGCCACTTCGTTCTGCTGGCCTTGGTGAGGCCCAGCACCCTCCTGTCACCTTCCTGCAAAGCCTGCTTGCCTCTGCCACTGGCCTTACGCCTGTCCACATAGTTCATATTGTAAGGTCTGAAGCCAAGCCTGTGACCTGTCTCTGTGGGGCTCCTACTGTGTTCAAGTATCATGAAATAATGAAATTTGTGAGGTGGAAGAAAATAATTGGGACGTCTACCTTCTTTCTCCAGGGTCTGGCTTTCCCAAAAACGTTATATCACAAATGTTTTACTTCATTGTTGAAATCGCTGCCTCCTGTCCCACGTGTGTTTGTCGGGGTGTCACGCCCTTGTCTGCTTTCCTTCTCATCCGTCCTGCAAGTCCTCATGCCCTGGCCTCCATCCAGGCCCTCATCCCCCATGGCTGTGGCTTCGTCAGCTTCTCCTCGGATTTCCACCAGTTTTGTCTTCTATTTACAGCCGCGTGGTGAAGGGACTAATATGTGTTTGGCAGATTTCATCCTTCACCAATAAAAAATATACCTTTTTGAACCTTTTCACTTCAAATTATATTATATATGACTTTACAACTGATATACCCGATTCATTCTGCTGCATCTGATGAATATCTGGTATTTTTTCCCTAAATTCAGCCTTCTGGTGACACTTCATGTTTGTCTCTTGTAAACAACAAAGCTGGATTTCACTTTTTTTTTCTTTTATTCAATCAAAAGTCTTTGTCTTTTAATGGGAGAATTCAATCTATTCACATTCATTAAGGTTACTAATAAATTTGTACTGACTTATTTTATATGTTCCATTTATAATGATTCATTGGGATTTCTAGCCTCTCTCTCGTCAATTATTAGATTGATTAAGTTTTCTTTGATCTACTTTTTCCCTTAATATTTTGGAATTGATATAGACTATTTGTATTCTTCAAATAGTCTTACTTTTTCACCTCACATACTAAAGCCTATATCTTCTATTAATGTCTTGTGTTAATTAATAGCTATCTCCTCCCTCTATTCCCCAAAATACCCAGCAATCTGTTATTTCTATTTCCTGTCCTCTCAGGTTACCCAGATTCCCACACCACTGCCCACCTGGATTGCATCTGAATTTTATTTTTTTATTGTTATACATTTTTACAACCAAAACCTACTTGGATGCCATGAGTTTTTGTTGATTTTTTCTCATCTTCACCTCTGATTCCCAGTACTGTTGGATTCAGTTATCACGGGAGTGTTTTGTTTTGAGTTGTGTCTTTTTCTGAGAAGGTCATGCTTGCATGACCAGAAATGCCTTTCCCTTCCGCAAGTTGAATGATGCCTCACCTAGACATAGATTTCTAGGCTCTAAACTGTTGTCCTGTAGAACTCTGGAGATATCCAGCCTTTGCTTTCTTGCATACGTTGTTACTGATGAGAAGGCTGATGTCAAATAATGTGTTTTCTTTCATGGACCATTTCTTTCTTTTTTCCTTTTTTTTTTTTTTTTTTTTTGAGATAGAGTCTCGCTCTGTCACCCAGGCTGGAGTGCAGTGGTGTGATCTCGGCTCACTGCAACCTCCGTCTCCCGGGTTGAAGCGATTCTCCTGCCTCAGCCCTCCTGAGTAGCTGGGATTACAGGCACACGCCACCATGCCCGACTAATTTTTTTTTGTATTTTTAGTAGAGACGGGGTTTCACCACATTGGTCAGGCTGGTCTCGAACTCCTGACCTCATGATCCACCCACCTCGGCCTCCCAAAGTGCTGGGATTCGCCCGGCCTTCTTTTTCTTTTCCATTTTTCCCCGAGTGCTTTGGCAATTTTCTTATTCTCTGTTGAGTTCTGAGGTTTCGCTTCAGGTTGCAGGTGTGGTTCCTTTCTGGTCCCGCCTGCACTAGGTGAGCTCTTCCCAGCACAGGAGGGCATTTCCTTCTAGCTGTATTTGAACCTGAGCATGTGTCTGAATCCTCTGGAACCTCCTGCAGGGCTCCTTAAAACGGAACCCCTCCCTCAGAGCTTCTGACTTGGCCGATCTGGGGTGGAGCCCAAGACTGCATTTCTGCTGATGCTGCTGGTCCAGGAACCGCCCTTGGAGAACCGCTGCTTCATTTGGTCTTGAGTGATCTTCTCTTATTCTTGTTAGTATACCTTCTTGTTCATTGTCTTGACTCTCTTATTTTGGAAACAATTTTAGATGGTTCTTTCCTTCCTCACTTTGTACCTATCTTCTCCCAGTGGGCTATAAGGCTGGGCCTTCTCTCCAGCACTCCCAGCGATCCTTGCTCTGCTCTACTGTTTTTCCAAAACACCAATCACCTTCCACCCTGGTTTATGATTTCTGTTTGTACACTATGATTGATTATTTAGTATCTGTATTTATTTACTAGAATGTAAGAGCCAACAGGGGCACTTTTTTGTCTTTTGGTTTCTGATATACCCTAGGCCTCTAGACCAGGGCCTGGCATACTGTGGTGCTCAGTAAACACATGTGGAATGCATGACTGAGCTGGGGGTTGGAGCAGTGTACCAGGTAGGGTGGGCTAGCACACCCTCCTGGTGGGCCTGTGTGAGCCTCGATGCTGTCCAGGGCCTCTTCCTCCACCATCTGCCACCTGTCCCCTGTCTCCAGCTCATGGCACGGCCTGCACTCAAGTCTTCACTATTGCTGCTCTGAATTGTGGCCGCCATATCCAGCTGGTCTGGGGCTCTTTGCACTCCAGCTCCCAGAAACAGAGCCTGAGAGAAGGACTCACCATCCTGTGGTTCACTGGGAAGCACAGGGAACAGTGGTAATGGCATCAAGTGGTGACATCACTGTAGAAATCCTGGGAAATGGTGCAAAACATGCCAGGGTCATCACATCTGAAAGCCAAGGGAGTGGTGTGTAGATACCCATTGGTAATGAGTAGAGGGCTGCCCTGGGTGGAGGTGGCGGGTAATTCCCAGCACTTCCAGATGACCACACATGTGGGCAAAGTGGCCTTCCACACTTAGGATGGGGAAACCTTCAGGTACAGATGCAGGCCCTGGCAGGTGTACTTCACCTGAGCACAGTGAAAAGTGCAAGCACGATTTGTTGAGCACTGGCAGCCTCCAGCACACAGCTGTCCTCTAAACTCAGTGCAGACAGTCCTCCCTGCCTCTAGAGGTCATGCCTCCATTTCCCCAGGAGGAGCTGTATCCATGGGGATGGATTTCTCTCTCAGGAGTTTTCTGCTGGCTTTTATCACTTTATTCCTTGCATGATAGGTCAGTGGCTACATGACTTGTGTCTTCCTGAGAGACTGTAAGGCACTCAAGAGCAACGGGTACATCTGTATTGTGCCTTGCTCACAGTCAAGCCTCAAAAGATTTTTTAAATACAAGACCCCGGATATGTTATTTTATACCACATATGTTATTAAAGCAATGAAGAGGAAAAAAATCACTGACCTTTTACTATGTACCAAATGGGAAAATAGTATTTGCTATTGAGAAATAGGTAGTATTAATATCTCCATTTTATAGTTAAGGAAATTGAGGCAGAGAGAAGATGAGTGGTGAATTAGATGAATGAAATCTTACACTCTCACTCTTAATCACTAGGCTTCCCTGCCTCCCATTAGACATGAATAGGAACTGCAATTGAAAAAGTGTCAACCAGCAAAGAGTGGGGAGATGAGTGGGCCTCTCAGCCAGTTTCAGATAGGAAAAGCAGAGTGTTAAGCAATATGGGTATTTTTAATAATATGTTCAAACAAACTTACTTGGGCTTGTGTATGTACCCCCCAAACACACACACACACACACACACACACACACGCACACACACACTGGGGTAGAACTACTCAAAAGCCCTCTGATCAGAAAGATTGTGCATCCTGAGACCTGCCTTGCCTGCTCTGAGGGCAGATCCCAGGGAACGCACCCTCACAGTCCCCCCACGTGGCTATCCCCAGTCTGCCTTGGTGAGAGCAATGTGTTTGAATGCAGTAGGAGAGGAAGGGAAGTGGGAATGTGCAAATCGCCCCATGGTCCCGACCTGCTCAGAGGCTACTTCCCAACTGGAACTCTTGCACACGGTAATAGAAATGTAAACGGTATAACTTCTTTAAAAACAGATGGTTTCTTTCTTAGAAAGTTAAACATACACTTAACGTACAACCTGACAATTCTGCTCTTAGATATTTATTTAAGGGAATGAAGCCATGATCTACATTGTCTTGGCCATAGATATTCACAAGGTTTATTTATACAGCTTCGATCTGGAAAGAACCCAGACATTCATCATTAGGTAGCTGGGTGAAGACTGTGGGTCATGCACACAATGGGATATCCCTTATCAAGGAAAAGGAGCAGGCGTCTGAAATACACAATGAGCAAGAAAGCCAGACACAAAGGAACAAAATTAGCTGGACACTGCCTGATTCCATTTCTATGACATTCTAGAAGAGGTAAAACTAATCCGCAGTGATGGATGGTAGTTCAATGGTTATGTGAGAGTGGGGGTGAGGGTTGGGAGCAAAAGACCTTGAGGGACCTTCGTGGAATGAAGGAAATACTTGTGTCTTGATTGGGTGTTGGTTACATGGGCGTTTGCATTTGTCAAAACTCCTTAGACCACACAGAAAATGGGTACATTTTATTGTATGCAAATTAAACCTCAATAAAGTTGATTTTTAAATGCTGCTAATCATTGTTATAAATTAAACAAAAGATTTACAAATTGTGACCTGAATATTTTTCTAGAAGTGGGAAACATGATTGCTTTTGACTTCGTCATTTCAGTGGTATCAAAAAGTGAATGACTATTGTGGGCTGGAGTTAGTTTTGTACTTTCTACACTTTATCCACTGCCGGTTGCTTTACCAAATCCTCTGCTCAGCACTGGAGACTGGGAAGACATCTGTCTCTGACTGTCCTCCTCCACCTCCCACCAAAGCACCACAGGGATCATGAATATCCCTAATTATACTGGCCTCCATCAAAACACACACACATCATGAAGGAGCGGTCACCTCTGTGTGTTCCAAGGCCACTTTCCTTTCATCAATCCTGAGTATTGACTTTTTAAACTTGCAGCTTTGTTTTTTTTTGTTTACCCATTTTCCTTTGAATCATCTGACTACATTTCTTTCTTAGAGATGGCCACAGCCAAACCCTGCTTTTTGGCTGTAGGTCTTTTGGCTAGAGGCCCTTCAGTTTTAGGAAAGCATCTTTTACTATGGAGACAACATTTCATGTTATTTAACTTTATGACTTAAAAACAACCTCGGAAAATCTTCTGGCAGAGATTGCAGACGCCAAGTTTGAAGTGGAATCGGTGTCAACAATAAAGTCATGGCCCTTCATTAGGAGGTTTTCCCATTGCACAGGAGAGACCAGTTGCCCAGTTTGACTTCTTTGATGTTCACAGCGCCTGGATTTGATGCTTAATGGGTTTGTGACTGCAGTGAAATGCCGTTCATTAACTTTTGTTATATGTTGAATTGTCTTCAGATGAGGTATGTATCCTATTTGAGCAAAGAAAAAATAATTCATTTG
Organism: Homo sapiens; assembly: GCF_000001405.40. NCBI lineage: Eukaryota > Metazoa > Chordata > Mammalia > Primates > Hominidae > Homo > Homo sapiens. The sequence continues at coordinate 23,071,849 of NC_000020.11, read as the reverse complement.
GGCCTTATAATTTCAAAATTTGGAGTCACATTGGGATGGAATTAATACACCCATTAGCTTAACAAACAAGAAACAAACCAAAAAGAGAGAGAGATGAAAGATATGTTGGGGAAATGAGGTTCATAAGAGACTTTAGCTGTGCTGTTTAGCCTACTAAAAATTCATCTTGTAGGAGCACTTAGCTCTATGTTTATATCTATTCGCGTAAAGCAGATATGAATTTTAAATGATTATTACATGAATGCAAGAAAATCAGTATCTGTTCTAGGTATGTTATTCTGGTCCTGCTTATATCTAAATATGTTAATAAACTTATAATATTTAGCAGTAAATTTGCCTGTGCATATTAAAGCCTGGTTAACATAATGCTTATTTTTCTCTCATGACAAGAAATTCAGAGGTGGGAAAGCCAGGGCTGCTGCAGCTGCTTTCGGCTGCATTTCTTCTTTTGGTCCTCCGCACCAGCGAGCATGTGGCTTGCATCCTCGTGCCTACAGCATGGCTGCTGTGCCTACAGGCCTCACACAGAAGTCCCGCTCACCAAGGAAGCATTTTTAATCCTTTTTAAAAAGTTGAAGTAAGATTTATATGCAGAGAAAGGTACGAATCCCAACTGTACAATTTAATGCATTTTGATAAATGTATATACCATTGTAACCATCACTTTGGTCAAGATGTGTAACTATCCATCACCCCTAGTAAGTTTCCTATGCTCCTTGCAATCAAGTTCCACCCCATAGACAAACACTGTTCTGCTGTCTATCACCACAGATTTGTTTGGCCTGTTTTAGAAGTATTCGTAGATAGAATCAGCATTTATTGGGGTTAGGCCTGTTATTCGGTTCTTTTTCTACCTTTCCTACCTTCCTCCTCCACCTCCTCCTCCTTCCCTTCCTTTCAGTTCTCTTTTCCTGTTTTCTTTGGGGTTATTCAAGTATCCTTTTTAAATTATTATAATTTCATTTTTGAGAAACGTTAGGTCTACAGATGAATTAGGTAGAAAGTACAGAAAATTCCCATATATGCCTCCTCCAATCCCATCCCGCAAGATGTTTCAACAACTTGCAGTTGTGGGAGAGAAAACATAATTTCCTTTCTTTTCCTTTTTACGTTATTAGGTGAGAAACTCTCCTGAAAACAGATGTCAAATTAACATAAGAAAAACAAGCAGAAGTTTATTAATTTATGTAGTACCCATCACACAGGGGAAGCCTTAGTCCAAAAGTATTTCTTTCTTTCTTTTTTTTTTTTTGAGACGGAGTCTCGCTCTGTCGCCCAGGCTGGAGTGCAGTGGCGCAGTCTTGGCTCACTGCAACCTCTGCCTCCTGGGTTCACGCCATTCTCCTGCGTCAGCCTCCCGAGTAGCTGGGACTACAGGCACCCGCCACCACGCCCGGCTAATTTTCTGTGTTTTTAATAGAGACGGGGTTTCATTGTGTTAGCCAGGATGGTCTCGATCTCCTGACCTCGTGATCAGCCCGCCTCTGCCTCCCAAAGTGCTGGGATTACAGGCGCGAGCCACCGTGCCCGGCCAGTCCAAAAGTATTTCTGAAGGCAATGGCTTAGGGGTCCTTGGTTAAATAGTATTTCAGCAAAGAGCCATAAATCCTATGTAGTGACAAAACAAAGAGGAGAGCAGTTCTTGTCTTTTAAAAGGCAGGAAGATCTGGGAAGATAGTAGAGCCCCCTTCCAGATGTCTCTTGTGCCTGCTGATGCCCTCTCTGGGCTGGGAAGCGAGTGCTGTCTTCAGTAAGGAAGGGCTTGTGTGCTGCCGTCAGCCAAACAGCGGCCGAGGCCAAGTGCTTCCCTGTGCTTGTGGCATTTTTAGCTGAACAACCCTCAATATTTTGGGAGAAATAATTTGGTTTCCCTCATGTTGGTGCGGTACATTTGTTAAACTTGATGAGCTAATATTGACATATTATTATTAACTAAAGCCCAAAGTTTACATTAGGGTTTATTCTTACTGTTGTACATTTCATGGATTTTGACAAACATGTAATGACTAATGATGTGTTCCACTGTCACAGTGTCATGCAGAATCGTTTCTCTGCCCTAAAAATCCTCTGTGCTCTGCCTCTTCTTCCCTCCCAACTCCTGGAAACCATGATCTTTTCACTGTCTCCATAGTTTTACCTTTTCTAGAGTGTCATATAGTTGGAATCATAGAATATGTAGCCTTTTCAGATTGGCTTCTTTCACTTAATAATATGCATTTAGGTTTCTTCTAAACATTTTCATGGTTTGATAGCTCATTTCTTTTTTGTGCTGAATAATATTGCATTGTCTGAATAGAGCACTGTTTATTTATCCATTCACCTAGCAAAGGACATCTTGGTTGCTTCCAAAATTCGGCAATTATGAGTAAAGCTGCTATAAATATTCATGTGCAGATGTTTTTATGGATATAATTTTTCTACTCATTTGAGTAAATACCTAAGAGTGCAATTTCTGGATGGTAAGAGTATGTTTAGATTTGTAGGAAACTGCCAGACCATCTTCCAAAGCGTTTATCATTTTGCATTCCCACCAGCAATGAATGAGTTCCTGCTGCTCTACAACCTTGCCAACATTTGGAATTGTCAGTGTTCTGGATTTTAGCCATTCTATTAGGTATGTAGTGATATCTCATTGCTGTTTTAATTTGCAATTCCCTAATTACATGTGCTATTGAGCATCTCTTCAATACTTCTTTGCCACCTGTGCCTCTTTTTTGGAGAGGTGTTCATTTAAATCCTTGGCCCATTTTTATATGGGTTTTTTTTATTGTTGAGTTTTAGGGTTTCTTTGTATATTTTGGATATTAGCCCTTCATCAGATAAAGTCATGCACTGCATAATGACATTTCAATCAATGACAAACCATGTATATGAAGATGATCCCATAAGATTATAATACTGTATTTTTACTATACTTTTTCTATGTTCAGATGTTAAGACATATGAATACTTACCATTGTGTTACAATTGCCTCTACTGATCAGTAGAGTAACATGCTGTACAGGTTCGTAACTTAGGAGCAATAGGCCATACCACATAGCCTAGGTGTGTAGTAGGCTATGCCATCCATGCTTGTGTAAGTACTCTATGATGTTCACACAATGACATTGCCTAACGATGTATTTCTCAGATGGTATCCCCATCTGAGACTGTATATATTTCACAAATATTTTCTTCCAGTCTGTGGCTGGTCTTTTCATTGTCTCTGGAGAGTCTTCTGCAGAATAGCTGTCTTAAATTTTATGTATATTTTACTATTGCATCTTAATTCCTCTGTTGAGTATCAGGAGTTCAGCTGAGCAGGAGAGAGAGAGAGCTGAGCTGTCAGGTGTTGGAGTAGCCAATTAAAGCAACAATGAGCCAAAATGAAAGTACTGGTAAAGCCTTTAATCACTTATTGCGATGGTACAAGCAATAGTCTCAACCAGAGAAAATGCTGACCCCTCTTGTTTCTCTTTGCCCATGGAACTGTAGTGCACCAATACAGGGTCAGGTTGTTGGGGTCCTTTCACTATTGACTGAGCCCCAAACACAAGGCTCCAGTAGCTTTATGGGCCCTGGGGTCAGAGGGAGGGTGAGTGGGGAAGGGCCAAGAGTAGGGAAAATGTCTTTAAGCCCCTACCCCATAAGGAGGCCTTTGGGGATCATGAATATCTCTAATTATACCGACCTCTATCAAAACACACACACATCATGAAGGAGTGGTCACCCCTGTGTGTTCCAAGACCACTTTCCTCTCATCATTCCTGAGCATTGACTTTTTAAACTTGCAGCTTTGGTTTTTTTCTTTTACCCATTTTCCTTTGAATCATCTGACTACATTTCTTTCTTAGAGATGGCCACAGTCAAACCCTGCTTTTGGGCTACAGGCCTTTTGGCCTGTACAGGCCCTTCAGTTTCTAGGAAATGTGCTTGAGCATATTCTGTGGGCCTAGCATTGTGCTAAGGACCGTCCTCCATCCTGTGCCAGCCACTATGCGTTGTGCCCATTTCACAGATGGATAAATAGAAGCTCAGATGTATTTCAACAAATTGCTTAAGGTCACAAAGCAAGCAGCTGTCAGAACCAGGAATGAAACTGAAGTCTGTCTGACTCCTCAGAATCATGCTCTTATTCCAAACTTGTCTCCAGAGAGGATAGTGGTGGGCATCAGTCTGCTGGGCAGGTGGGCCGTGGCCACCTCCACTGCTCCCCTCAAGGCTTCCTTTCACTATTCCCCAACTGTGACAAGGGTGAATCACTGACTGGCACAGAACACCTGTGGCATTCACTGTGGCAGTGTCAGATTGAGATCACCGCTGGTCCTTAACAGGGCAGGTGGGTCTCCCCGACATTTGGGGAAATGCAGCTTCACAGAGAAAAGAGCCTGGACTCCATAAGCAAAGTCTTTTTCCTAATATTTTGCTAGAAAAATTTACAAACGGTGAACAGCTGTGTGGATTCTACCTAGGTAGAATTCTACCGCTTAGATTCGAACACCATCTAGATTCTACACTTTTAATATGTCACTTGACTTCTGTCACAACTTTCCATCCACCCAGCCATCAATACAGCTTATTTGTGATGCATTTGAGTAAGTTGTAGGCATCAGTACACATCCCTCTAAACATGTCAACCCATGTCATTAACTAGAGGCCGATATTTGTTATGTTTTTCTTTTGAGATAAGATTTACACACAATTAAATGTACAAATTTTAAGTGTGTCATTCCATGAGTTTTGACAAATGCAGACATCTGTGTAATCAACACCCTGTCAAGATAAGGACCCGGACCATCACCCTAGGAAGTTTCCCCATCCCCCTTCTCAATTTTACCTTCTCCCCAGCTAGAGGCAACCACTGTTCTGATTTCCCCCCATCATGGATTATTTAGCCTGTTTAATGACGTCATATAATTCAAATCAGACAGAATATACTGTTTTATGTAAAGCTGCTTTTATGCTGTGCAATGTTTTTGAGATTTGCACATCATAGGATGTGCGTTCACTCTTAATTGCTCCTAGAATTCCCCTGAGCAGCTTCACTAACAATTGTGTATCAATTTACCTGCTGATGAACACCCAAGTGTTACCAGTTTGGGACTATTATCAACACACAGCTGTGCTTCTACGTCTTTCGGAAGCAACATCTCACAAGACTGTTTCAACAGGGCCTTGACACATCTCAGAGGCAAACCCACACATGATGCATAAAACTATAAAGAGCACACATTTCTTCTCATTTGCTTCCTTTTGCTTAAATCATTTCAGGGATTGAGATGTGGTTACATGCTGGATGTCAGAGTTACACAGCCCTGCAGTTGAATTCTGGCTTCACTGCTGCCCCATGACCTTGGCCAGGCTACTGTTCCTAAATTAATTTCATCTTCAGTAAAATAGGGATAATAAAAATAATTTGTTGTGAGGATTCCATGTAATGTGCTTAATGTCCTTAATATGGCACCTAGCACAAAGTAAATAGTCAGAAAATGGCATGGATGAACAAAAAATGACATGCAACCAAGTTCCAATAAATAGCCAAAAAATGCAAATGCTGGCACCAAGAAATGTGGTAGAGATTCTAGAGCTTTCCATTAGACATCTACAGAATAACTGCTTTCATGTTTTATACTCATCCAAGGAAAGTGAGTCTCCATATCTTGCTGAAAATAAAAAGAACTTTCCAAAACACCTCCAGTTGTCCAGCCCATGGACTATGTATTTATTGTCTTCAAAGGAAACTTTGCTATTTGCCTTGGGGGGTAATACATGGCAACATGAGTTTGGCCAGCCTGGGAATCGCATTCCTGGGAAAAGGAATGCCATTGTAGATCTAGCTAAAAAGAAGGATCTGAAGAAGAATGAGTCTGAAGGTCACTATTGCCATGAACTCTACGTGCACACCTCATTTTATCAGAAAATTCAGAGCTGAGGTGCCCATACTGTTGATACAAAGCTTCAAGGCAAACAAATCCACGTCCAGCTCAGCCTCTACAGGCACTGTGCTATCCACTGTGCTTCCTTTTAAAGGGATACAACACGTAGGTGGCAGAACCTAGAAAGTGTTTTCTTTTAATAACATTATTGGTGCTGACACTTTTATTACTAGGCACTCCGATGGGCGATGTTCCTGATAATGGGAATTTTCTTTTCCTTCCATCAGATTGCTAAAGCAAATAAAATCCCTCCAAACATGAAGGATTGTTACTCCCTGTGGTGCCTTCCTGCTTCTAATCATTTCTTTTCACTATAAACATTGTTTAAGTTTGACAGTAGGGCTTTGTGTGCACTCTGAAACTGAAGGAGGAACTGACAGCAGCTTTTTACATTTTCTGTTTCAGGTTATAACAGGGTTCAAGATGTGTACTTTCATGGAAAATGATGTTTCCATCTTTTCAATGGTTGTTTGGCTCAAAGGGGTGGATCAAGAACAAGGAACATTAATTGGTAGAGAGAAAGAAAAAAAAGTGACCAATAAAGAATCCCCTGATCACTGTGTGGGCTGCAAATAGCTGGGATCAGACCACCCATCCTGCTGTGTCCAACGCTCTGTGACTCCTGGAGCCATGGTATAAACCGAATCTGCAGGGAGTGGCACACGCACACGTCTTTAATTTCCATTTCCTCATTATCATCTCTTATATTCTACTGCTCAACATGAAAAAAAAAAAAAGAGTGTGAGATATTGCTAATAAACTGATCCTTTCAAGCTTAGGATCACAGCCCCGACAATCAGAGTCCTTAAAGTTCTTGCTGCTAAATCCAAGTGAGTTTTGTTTAGATGACAAAGGACCGATGCTCTACTGTGAGGACTACAGTGCCAGAAATACAAATGACCAAGACATTCTTGATGAAGAGGATTTATTACATCATCAGGGCCATCTACCCTAGAAATCAGCAGACAGGACTATAGTTTTAGTGAGATTTTAAAAATTTAATAAAATTCAGAAATGAATTTCTTAAGTGGGAACACTAAGCTCAGTTCAGCGAGAGATGGTTGATAGTTTTAACTCATTTCATTCACAAGCCATTAAGATTTCATAAGACGCAGCCCAAATGCTGTATTTGCTCACGTGCTAAACCAGACATGCTAGGGCAATTCTGTCAAAGGATTTTTTTCCCTTTGGTTTTGTTATTAATCCTTTATTGGCTTTTGCCTCTATGACTCAGCCTGGTTGGCCCAATGCAATCACAGGGTCCTTAAAAGATGGAATATCAAGGCAGAAGGGTTAGAGATGTGACACAGAAGCAGAGGTCAGAGAGAGAGGTGAGAAGATGCTGTGTATGCTCTTGGCTTTGAAGATGGAGCTAGGAGCCTCAGGTCAAGAAATAAAGGTGATCTCTGGAACAGATAAGGAAAGGATCCTCCCCTATATTCTCCAGAAGGAGAGCAGCCCTGATGGTGCCCCAATTTTGGACTTCTTACCTCCAGAGCTCTAAGATGATACGTTTGTGTTGTTTTTAACCACAGCAGCAATGGAAAACTATTACACTCCATCACGGAAAATACTAAGCTGCTCACTACAAATGACCGATATTTAAAGTTTTTTAAAAGTATAACAATTCTGTAATATAAAAGTAATGAAGTTCTCACTGAAGAGCAGTCAGAACAAATGTATGCAAAATGGTGTGTAAATGAGTGCAGTGTCTGTAAGGTGGTGACTATGGCGCCCATTTGCCCGCTTTATATGAACTACCAATTTTTGAGATGGAAACACCTTCATAGCAGAATGAAATGACCTGGAAGATGAAAGGTGGTGTTCCTTCCTTGGGAGCTGGGGAGTCTAGAGTGTGGAGGAATGTCAAACACATTGACTTACCAGAAGCTGCATGATACCGGAAGCCAAGAATCCAATAGGCCTGGTCTCAGCCAAGCCAACTCTGAGATCTGTGGTTCTATTGGGGAGTAAGGTGGAAGCGTTTTTCTCTTTAACTGAAAGAACAGAACCACATTTTTCTCTCTCCTTGTAATATGAAGCTTGTGGTCATTTCAGTCCTTACTTTGCCTTCTACAACTTCCTAAATACTCACTGTATTTTGCTTTTCCTTTCTCTTCTCTTCCTTCTTAACGCCCTCTCTTTCACTCACCATAATTCCACAACAGTGACAAGAAACATCCACAATGGACAGAAACAAGACAAAGAGGGCTTTTCCCACCATTGTCTCTTGCATTTGAATACAATGCTTCTTAGTGGTTGGGTTTTTTTCTTCTCTATATATATCTTTTTTGAAGTAGAGGAAGTTTTCATAAGCAAGTCCTGCATCTTCTAAGTTTTTTTCTTTATTAATGTTTGTAGGGCAGGGTTTGGAAAACTATGGCCTGCAGGCCCACTCTGGCCCACTGCCTGTTTCTGTATGGTGCGTGAGCTAAAAATGGCTTTTTTGCATTTTTTTAATGGTCAGAAAAAAATCAAAAGAAGAAAAATATTTCATGGCATGTAAAATTATGAAAATTTCAAAGTCTGTAAACAAAGTTTTATTGGACCACAGCCACATCCATTCGTTTATATATGGTCTGCGGCTGGTCTCCTGTTACAGCAGCACAGACCAAGTGGCCTGCAAAACCTAAAGCACTTATTATCTCTGTTTCTTTGCAGAAAACAGTATGAGGTTGACATACTCATAGCCCAACAGTATGAGGTTGGGCTATGAATTCTTAATACTTTTAGCATCTTGGATTCCTTCAGTCTTCCTCCTTTCCATCCTATTGCATGACTTTCAGCTTCATGATAACAATGTCCTCTGCACCTCCTGTCTGTGCAAAAATTTTACAAATTACATTTATCTTGGCTTGAAGGTGGAGTTCCACTATCCCATCAGGATAAGGTTTGTGATACTTGTGCCCATGCAGGTAGAAACTGTAGATTCAGGATCCAAGGAAGAGTTGGTAGAGCCAGGACCCAAGGTGGAAAGCCCAGGAGGAAGAGATGAGGGTAGTGAGGATGTGAGCAGAGCCTGGGAGGCCACTTCATTCATGCCTCACATACAATGAGCCAGTTGTTTCTCAAACCTGTGCATCAGAATGCCCTGGAGAGCTTGCTAAAACCCACAGGGCTGGGCCCAATCCCCAGAGTTTCTGATTCAGGAAGTTTGAATTAGGGCCCAGGAATCTGCCTTTCTGACAAGTTGGTAAGTGATATATGTGTTCACAGAGAGAAGATAAAAGCTGATGCTGACAATCTTGGCCACTCCTTTTTCATACTCCTAAGAGGATCATTGAAACTGTGGTGGAAGGTAGGGGAAGGCAGGTAGAATCCTGTGCAGGCTGGTCTCATTGAGGCCGTTGGGTTGCCCAGCGGAGTGTGTGTGCAGCAAATTCCCCAATACCCTTTTCCCCAAGACCTTGTCAACAGGCAGATTCTGATGCAGGAGGTCGGGGTGGGGTCAGAGGTTGTGCATTTCTAACAAGCTACCAGGTGCAGTGATGCTGCTGGTCTGGGACCACACACTGAGGGGCAAGGCTGCAGGGGACTGCCTTGGTTTGCATACCCTTCTTCTTCCTCTGCCTGTATCACAGCAGGAACATCCTGTTTTTAATGCCAGCTGCCCTTCAGTCCACCAGAGGCAGCAGTGCTCCAACGTTCTGGGGCCATGTCCACATCTTTATCATTGCTTCTGAGCCCCGGGGACTGACTCATTTAAATGACATTTTCAACTCTGGAAAAATGTTGGGCCAGAAATGGAAACAGCAGCAAACACTTTCTGGGAAACAGGAAGCCAAATATTTGGTTCTTGACAACTATTTTCCCCCCAGATTCAGAGCCTACTTATTTCCCAAATAAATAAAACTTTTAGATAGCAAGATAAAATATGAAAATGATGTTCACGCTCAAGACCACAGGATGAGAGCACAAAGAGTGCACACTAGGAGAAAACAGAGGGCTATAAAGTGTCTCTGGCATATTTCAAGTTCTGAATTTACTTATTATCAGCTGTTTGTGTTTATTCTGCTTGCAGTAGAACCAGCTGGAGTTTTAAATTTGCACCGTGGGTGATGCTGCCAAAATTATCCCTTGCAGCTGTTGGCTCCACGCTTCTTCAGTGGCCAGCTGGTTGTCAGAAACATAAACGTAACTACCAGTCCCAAGGAGGAAGCAGTCTGCCCTATTGTCTATGGAGAACAGACAATGCGTCCCACTGCCCTTCTTTCCTGCAGGGCCCTTTAAGGGACCCAGAAAGCTCCCTCTTGCCGTATGTCCCAAAAGTCCTTTCCAAAGGAAAATAAACCCCAGAGAGCCATTTTTTGGCAGTGCCTTGCTGGGATCTGGCTTCGGAATTATTCCCAATCTGAAAAGTCTTCTCGATGATTTGGACGTGGACTGAATGTTTCCCCATCCTTCCTTCTACTTTTGAGCACCCATGGTGGGTGGACCAGCTATGGGTGGAGGTAAGCGAGGTCTGAGGCACCCCCAGTGGGAAGCCACTCCCTTCCTCTTCTCCCAGAGCTAGATGGAGCCTCAGTCACTGCCAGGCCTGTGGGTAGAAGAGGGATTTCTGAATGATGGGATCAAATATTGGCCGCCCCTACTTCAGAGTAAAGCCCTCTCCAGCACCCTGCTCTCTGTGACATCTTCATTCCTGGAAGGCTGTTCTGCCCAAGCTGAAGATGTTCTCAGACAGTTTACCCAGAGCTGTCAAGCCATCCTGCAGGCTTGTTCTCAGCCACCAGAAGTCTAGAGTAGCTAGTCTGCAGTTTTCAGTCCTGATGGAGCTAGATATTGATGAAAATAAGAAGTCTGCCTGCACCAGCTTCTGCAAATCACCAAAAGATCTCTGTGCAAATTTGTCCAATACTGACTTGGTCAGATAACCAGGGTTTCAATATTCATTGCTCTCATCACTAAGTTTTGGGGAGGTTTGCTACTGGCAGTAGATAACCGATTTTGTGGGGCTCCACCAGGCTTGCTGCTTTCACACAACAAAGGCAGAGTTCAGTGGTTATGACAGAGGCTGAAAGGCCTGCAGCTGAAATGTTTACTCTCTTGCCCTTGACAGACACGGCACGTCAACCTTGCTCTAGGGCATCCACAGAATTCCTCCAGATATCTGGGTCTTAGCAGGCACTTTTGTTTATCTGTCCTTCCACAACTCAAACCAAGAAGCCAAAGATTTAGCATCTCAGTAGTTCACTGGTAATAACATGGGGTGAGTTGGGATGGGTCTCTATGACACAGCCCGGCTGAACCCATGTGATAAAGTCTATCCTCTTGTGAAATGTGTTTTTGGGGAAGCAATCACTGAACTCAGGGGGTGCAAAGACCCCAGCCTTCTCAAGATGACAGGAGCGGCTCTTTCAGGCAGCAGATTTTTATTAAATTCTTGAAAATTAGTGAGCTACAAGGGAGTCAGAATAGCTTCTGTTTTGCAAGAGACTGCAAAAATGCGATGTGTATTACCAGCCACATTACTTTGAACTGACTAATTTTCAATTATCAAAAAATAATTTTACCTTTTTTTAATGAAGGAGTGGAGCCTTTAACTTATAAAATAAATGCATGTAGAAAATATAAGAAAGAGAAGAAAGTAAAAATCATGCTGCTTCAACTCAGAGATAATGATGTTACCAGCAGCAAATCCATATGGGTCTGCAGCAACCTCCATTCTTGCCTCCTCAGAAGAAAGAATTCAGCTGAGAGGCAGAAGGAGAGACTAGCAAGCTTTCGAGCGGGATTGAAAGTTTATTACAAAGCTTTAGAGCAGGGAAGAAGGAAGGAAAGTACACTTGGAAGAGGGCCAAGTGGCCAACTTGAAATACAAGTGCGTGGTTTGACTTTTTCACTTGGGGTTTTATGTGTTGGCATACTTCTGGGGTCTTGCATCCTTTCTCCCCTGATTCTTCCCTTGGGATGGGCTGTCCACATGCTCAGTGGCCTACCAGCACAGTTTGTTTACTGGAGTTGTACACATGCTCACTTCAAGCATTCTTCCCTTGCCAGTCAAATGTCCCTAGAAGGTCATATACCAATTAAACTCTGTCATTTTGCATCTTAATGCACAAGCTTGAGCCCACTTACCCAGCTCCTGAGATCTTATCTGGAAGCTGCTGATCCCCAGTTTGAGGTTTCTTCTATTGATAGGGAGACTGCTTTCCCTGGCACTGGCTGCAACAAATTATTTTAGAAAGACAGTTAACAACTGCCTGACCATCATCTGATGGTTGTCTGACATTCCTGGTGGTGGAGGAGCCCTCTCCTGCCATGCTCAGGCCTGACTAGCTACCTACTGTAACAATTATATATATATATCTCCTATACCATAAGTAGTATTTCTTTCTATATTAGGTGTGTTTACTTCCATAGCTTTCCATCCACTGGATCTATCAGTTATAATTTGATAATAGGTATATTAAATATACTTACTGTGCTAACAAAATGTTCAGATCTCTAATTTTCACAAAAAATTAAAGGCAAGCACTAAATATTTGCAGTTATATTAGTGATAGATATTTTCATTGTTCAATTTCTCACATTTCATGCATTTAAAGAATATATTATAATATACTTCTGTAAAATAGCATTAAAATATATAGTTCCAATTATCTTATTTTCCTGCCTAAATAGGTTTTGTTCTCTGCACATGCTCACTTTTAAGCCTCTTGTCCTGCATACATTTAAGGCCTGAACTTATCCCACAGGAGATGTGTGCCAACAGCCGAAGCACAGTTGACGTTTCTCAAACAACACTTGTGGATTTCTTGGCTTCCTTGTGAGGACTTTGTCTTCCAAGGACAGTGTTTCTGAGTGTAAGAGCATTTCTTTCAAATATGCATTGTTTTCAATAAAAATATAATCTGCTATGAACAAATATTTTGTAGAAAATAAAGGGAGAGTCTAACATGGCAAAACGCACCTTGACACAATAACATTCTAGAGGCTTCTACTTGAACTGACCGAAATAGTTCTGTGTTCTTTTAAGTGAATAGTTCTTCATTCAGGGGTCTCATCAGCTTGAATGGAGAAAACATTACTTCTATATTTTCACTAATCTGCACCTGAAACAGCATATCCTTTCCTTCCAAAAGGAAAGAAAAGAAAAGGCAAGGTAAATACCGAGAGCAGTGTTAGCAGGACCAGAGACTGTCATCGCTGTAAATCACAGACACAGACCACATTACAGTTGTCACAGATCTCTCAAAATATTGTTTACATTGATCACCACTTTGAAATTATGGCATTTAGGTGGCGCACCATGAGAACTTGTGTTTTAAAATATCCCAAAAGAAGCACTTATATTTGATATCACATATTTGCTACTTTTTGAGATTTTAATATTTCATTTCAATATGACTGGATTCCTTTGTAATTCTGTGAGTTTTATTTGATACATTTATTTAAAATATTATTCTAGAAAGGGGTCCGTGGGCTTCAACCAACTGCCAGAGGACCCATGGCCCAAATGCCTGTTCATCTCTTGCTCACCACCTATTGGCCTGAGCAGAGATTACCAGGTCCAGCCAGATACATGTTTCAGAAAGAGACATTGCCCAGCAGGCAGCCTCTGGGGCTCTCTTGCTATTTTCTGTGGTCCTCCACTTTTCTCAGAAAACACCTCTTGAGAGGAGGGGATATATCAGGACACCTGAGTGAGAAGACCAAGGTAGTGTCCCATGAATCTGCTAGACACAAAATTCTCTTTGCTCTCAAAGTAGGCCACCCTGGATGACTGACCCTGAATAGATCACTGGGCATTCCCGAGCTTCCTTTGGCTCCATGGAAATCCAATAGATGATAGATCCAAAGTTCTGTGTCAAGGTAGACAGCTATAGGTATTCTATCCTTCCTCATACAATAAGCCCCCGGCTGCAGGAAAAGGCTCAGAGGTCCACTGGCAGTTCATCACTTAAGCTCTCATGCTTCATTCACTGGGGGAACATATGTTCTTCTTCTTAAAAACAGCTATACTGAGATATAATCCACACATCATACAGTTTACCTATCTAAAATGTATAATTCAATGGCTTTTGGCATACGCATAGAGTTTTGCAAATTAATTCTAGAACATTTTAATCACCCCAGAAAGAAACCCTGCAATCATTAGTAGTCTTTTCCTAATTCCCCCTTACTCTCAATCCCTAGGCAACCACTAATGGACTCTTCGTCTCTCTAGATTTGTTAATTCTGGACATTTCATGGAAATGGAATCATATAATATGTGGACTTTTGGGACTGGCTTATTTCATTTAGCATAATGTTTGCAAGATTGTGCATGAATCAGTACTTCATGTCTTTTTATTGCCAAATAGCATTTCATTATATGGACAGGACATGCCACATTCCATTCATTCATTCAACAGCTGATGGATATTTGGGTTCTTTCTACTCTTTGGCTGTGAAGAATAATGCTACTGGGGCTGGGCGCAGTGGCTCACACCTGTAATCCCAGCACTTTGGGGGGCCAAGGTGGGCAGATTATGAGGCCAAGAGATTGAGATCATCCTGGCCAACATGGTGAAACCCCGTCTCTACTAAAAATACAAAAATTAGCTGGGTGTGGTGGCGTGTACTTATAGTCCCAGCCTCTTGGGAGGCTGAGGCAGGAGAACTGCTTGAACCTGGGAGGCAGAGGTTGCAATAAGCCAAGATTGCAGCACCACTGCACTCCAGCCTGGTGACAGAGCGAGACTCCATCTCAAAAAAAAAAAAAAGAATAATCCTATTACGAACATTTGTATAGAAACTTTTGTGTGCAAATATGTTTTAATTTTTCTTGAGTGTATATACCTAGAAGTAGAATTACTAGATCACATGGTAACTGTTGTTTAGCATTTTGGGGAACTGCCAAACTGCTTTCTAAAGTGGTTGCACCAGTAAACATCTCCATCAGCACTATCTGAGGATTCTTCTCTGTCTTTTGATTGTAGCCATCCTAGTGGGTGTGTATTGGTATCTCATTGTGGTTTTAATTTTCATTCCCCTAATGGCTAATGATGTTGAGCATCTTTCCATGTGCACAGGATCTGTCTTCTCACTCAGGTGTCCTGATATATTGGCCATTTATATACCTTCTTTTGAGAAATATCTATCCAGATCTTTTGCCCACATTTTAATTGGGTTTGTTGTCTTTAATTATTGACTTGTAGTTCCTTATATATTCTAGAGAGACCTTATCAGGTACATAATTTGTAAATGTCTCCTACCATTCTCCCATTCTGTGGCTTGTCTCCACCTTTTTTTTTTGAAGCATAAAAGTTTTAAATTTTGATAATGTCTAACTTATCTACATTTTCTTGGATTGCTTGTGTTTTTTGTACCATATTTAAGAAACCAGTGCCTTATTGAAGGCCACAAAGATTTACACCTATATTTTCTTCTAAGGATTTTCTAGTTTTAATCTTACATTTAAGTGTTTTGACCATTTTTCTTTAATTTTTTATTTGATGTGAGGTAGAGGTCCCACCCTACCACATGTAGATATGCAGTTGTTCCAGAATCATTTGTGGAAGAGACTATTCTTTCAATTGCCTTGGCACCCTTGTGGAAATCAATTGACCACAAATGTGAGGGTTATTTTTAGATTCTCAATTCTATTCCATTGATTCGTGTCTGTCTTTATCCCAGCACTATATTGTTTTGGTTCTGGTGCTTTGCGGTAAGTTTTGAAATCAGGAAGTAAGTGTTCATATTTTTTTCTTTTCCAAGATTTCTTTGGCTCTTTGGAATCCCTTGAACTTCCATGTGAATGCTAGGATCAATATGTAAATTTCTGCAAAGAAAAAAGCGGAGATTTTGATAGAGATTGCATCTAATTTGTAGATAAATTGTGGGGATATTTCCACCTTAATCATATTAAGTCTTCCAATCCATGAACGTAGGGTGTCTTTCCATTTATTTAAGCCTTTTAAAGTTTCTTTCAGCAACGTTTTGTAGTTTTAAGAGCAAATGTTTTGCATTTCTTTTGTTAAATTTATCCTCAAGTATGTTATTCTTTTTGATGCTATTATAAATGGAATTGTTTTCATAATTTTCATTTTTTTATTGTTATACAGAAATACAATTGTTTTTTATGTATTGATCTTATATCCTGCAACTGCTGAACTCCTTTATTAGTTCTTAGTTTTTTAAAAAAGTGTTTTCCTTAGGATTTTCCATATACAAAAAAGGTTAATATCATCCACAAATAGATGTAGTTTTATTTGTTCCTTTCCAGCCTGGACTTTTAAATTTCCTTTTCATAACTAACTGCTCTGAAATCACCAGCATAATGTTAAATGGAAGTGGTAAGAGAAGACATTTTTGTTTTGTTCCTGACCTTAGGGAGGAGGCTTTCAGTGTTTCACCATTGAGTATGATATTAGTGGTATGGTTTTTTGGATATGCGACATATTTTCTTTTACAAATAATAGACCAATAAAGTCTATTCTAAAGAATAGACCAACAAACAATTGTCCACTTTTACCCTGTTTCTTTAAGAAAGCCTGAGTAAGAGGCAAAATTTTGGAAAATACTTGTTTTGCTCTAACGTGCTGCAGTTATTAGATAACATTTGCTTAACAGACAGTTATTTTTCCATCCTTGAATTTATATATTGCTCATAGCCATAGAGACTTAATTTTTATGTGTGCATTTTAGTATTGTTAGTGTATTATAAATATGGCTAAGGTATGTATGGGGTCAGCACAATGCCACTGGGGCCCCCTTCTGTCTGTGGACTCCTTTTCATCTGTGTTCTAACAACATTCACACATGTTTGCTTTCAATAAAAATGGCTGAAGTCTGTTCACTGCCCAGGTAGTTGGTCCAGCCTCCTCCACAGACATCAAGCAGAAACTCCCATCTAAAAAGCTGGGCTTGGCTGGGCATAGTGGCTCATGCATGTGATCTCAGCACTTTTGGAGGCTGAGGTGGAGGATTGTCTGAGCCCAGGAGTTCCAGACTAGCCTGGACAACATAGTGAGACCCCATTTCTGCACACACACACAAAAGAAAAAAATCAGCTGGGTGTGATGGCACATACCTGTAGTCCCAGCTACTCTGGAGGCTGAGATAGGCGGATCACTTGATCTGGGAGGTCAAGGCTGCAGTGAGCCATGATAACACTGCTGCACTCTAGTCTGGGCTACCGATTTTGAGACTCTGTCTCAAAAGTCAATCAATCAGTCAATAAATAAATAAAAAGCAAGACTTCCTGGATGGCTACCAGTGACCACAGGGGTCTTTGATAAAGCTTTTTTTTTTATATATAGCAGTAATAACAACCATATTTGTTAAACAGCTGCTGTCTTCCAAGAAAAGTAATAGTCACTGTATGTACATTTTCTGTTTTATTTTACACTAATCCTACATATTAGATATTATATCTCCAGTTTTTGGGAAAGAGTTTTATTTTACACTAATCCTACATATTAGATATTATATCTCCAGTTTTTGGGAAAGAACACCAGAGATTGAAATAACTTAGCCAAGTAGGCCAGTATGTGGCAAAATGGGGGCTCAGACATACTCCACATTGTAATTCTTTCATCCTTACCACAGGCCGGTGAATCTTTGTTTCACCACTTACTAGCTGTGTGACATTGGAGAGTCACTGATTCTCTCTGGCCTTCAGCTTCCACACCTGGGCAATGGGGACAGTCACTATGGATGTCTCTAGGGCAGATGGGAAGCCTAAGACAGGACATGCTTCAATTTCTTCCCTATGCCTCCATCCCTGATTTTTTTTCACAATTGCTTATTGTTATTAGTGGTAGAAATGCTTGGCTGGAACAAATTAAATCCAACAGACATTTGGTGAGTCCCTACCATGGAAAAGAAACCATGCTGGATATTGAATACAATCAGATGCCGAATCCAAATTCTAGGGACTTGAGTGTTTTCTTTTTTGCTAAAATTTATTGAGAGCTGACTACGGCTCCTCTGTTCTAAATGCTTTACATGTATAACCCATTTAATCTTCATCCTAACACTTTGAAGGAGGGACTATTCCCATTACACAGTCAAGGAAACTGAGCTACACGGGGAGGGGTTATTAGTCAAATCTTAACAATAAACAAAAACTTGTGAATGCCGGAGCTGGGTCTCCAGTGCAGCCAAGTCGGCTCCAAAGTCCACACTCTTAATTCACCCTGAGGCTCTGAGGTCCCCCATCCTTGTCTTTGCAGGTGAATGTGAGAAAATCACCCTGGAGAGGACAAAGAAACATCTACCACAGGTGCTCCAATAAGCTCTGGGCACTGTCTAGTTACAAAGCGTGCTGTTAGGTGTAAGGGGATACAAAAATGTGTGGGAATCTGGAGTATAAGTGCAGCAAAAAGTGTGGTATATGCATGATTAGGTACAGGGCAGGGAGGGAGTGGTGAGTACTAAAGAGCTGAGAGAACGACCTGTCTATGGGAATCACAGACAGATCAGTTCTGGTTGGGTTATTCAGAAAACTTGCTGATGGGGAAGCTTGAACTGGGACTTGAAAGAATGGAAAGATTTCAGTGGGTGAAGAGCCTGGCAGACGAGAATGTTGCTAGCAGAGGGAGAGACATGAACTACAGGGTGGAGATGAGCGGACAAGGTGCTTCTCTGACAGTGAGCAGGAGCCTCCCTTGCCAGGATGTTTCCTCATTCATGGAGACCAGCAGAACACTGGTCCTTGAAGCCTTGTGAGGTGCAAGGGGTGCAGGCTCTGGGTCCAAATTCCAGCATAGCCCCTTGAGTGCAAATTTTCTCATCTGTGGCCACAGAGTAGAGGCACTATCGCGAGCATCTTCAGTGCGGAGGGGAAAGAGTATGGGCTCTCCCAGCGGGTGGGAGCAGCACTGAGGGAGTATGAGGATCAGAGTAGCCTCAGCCACGGTGGAGAGCTGGAGAGATAAGCAGCAAGGAAAAGAGCTGGGGACCCAACTGTCTCAGCATAAATTGAGAAGGCAGGAGCAGTGATCAGGGGAAACAAGACACAAAAACTAGGCAGTGGATGAAGGAGAGCAGAAAGTCAAAGGCAAGTGCATGGTTTAAAACCTCAGTGGACCAACTATTGATACTGGGAAAGATGGGGTAAGGGTCCCTTCTAGAATACTCCCTCCCCAATCTCCTTGGACACTGCTATCACTGCCAGGGGAATGGGTAAGTTCACCAAAAGGTGGGTTGTAAAGAGATGATGAAGACCACCAGCAAAACCTTGAGAATGGCCACTCTAGTGGGTGGTACAAGAGGATCCCAGGGGCCTCCCCAAGGCTCACAGGAGAGGAAGGGAGGAAAACATGTGTCTCAAAAGTAATTGGAGGAGGAGCCTTGAGAATGGTGAAGGGTCACAAGTGCAAATGGCACCAAGGCTTCTAGAAGGATGGCTGAAAACAAGATTTTGGCAACAGTATTTAGGACCAGATGGGTGTTCTTCAAGGGAGCTGTTTCAGGAGTAAAGCAAGTCTGCTGGTGGGCCAGAGTGAGGGTGCTGGGCCAGGAACTGGGCCAAGCATTGGGAAGTGGATGTGTTATCTGCAAAGGGATAGGAAGGAGTGGCCCACCCTGGTGTGCAGGGGGCACAGATAGGAAGATAGGGATGGGGCAAGAACACAGACAGGGGACCTTCAGTCACCAGAAGGTAGTCTAAAATATGCAAAGCCTCCAAGGTATTGGCTGGAGAGGAAAAACAAAGCGGCTGAGGGCAGGCCCCACAAGGCAAAGGTATCCTGAGGGTCAGGGGTAAAGCCCTTACAGGTGGGAAAGCCAAGTGGGTCATGTCCACCCATCCTTGTGTAGGGCAACCCAGACACTGTGGTACCCCCCATGGGACAATGCTCTGCTTCTATCTGTTGTTGCTCTAGTTTCTTTCTAATACAGAAACATCCAACATCTGCACCTCCTCATATAGGGTTGATCCAAGTTTCACAGACATCACTGAGTTCTTAGTGGACTCAGCTATTGGGGCTGTTCTCACACTTTTTTTTTCTTTGCAAGAATCAGCAATGGGTGCAAGTGGACCTGTGTAGGACGTCCAGTGAAACATTGTGTTGGTGAATCAGCTAGAATCCATCCAAGAACTCAGCCAGCCTGGTGTGGGGTGAGATCTGATCCTTGAATGTCCCTCAGTGGCTTTTAGGGCTGGCAGGTTCAGAAGGGCCCTCTCATCACCCCCCCAGGGCCTCATTCCTTGTTTAACACTTTGCTATCACAGTCTTGAATCCTTGTAATTGAACAATGGACCCCACATTTTCACTTTGCACTGGTTTCTGATTCTGTAACCGATCCTGTCCCCCTCTCTTGTCTCATTCACTCTGGGAATTGTCCCCACATTCTGAGACCTTTCAGCAGTGCCCCAACGAGGTTCCTGCCCTTATCTGAAGCTCCACCCTCACCCCCATGGCGGCACCGCAGGCAGCCCTGCTTTTGCGTCCCGCGTAGGCAGGCTGTGCACCGGAGTCACGACCCCCTGATTCAGCCTAGGCAGCCACAGCTTGACTGCTCCCGCCGGACAAGCCCTACTGTGCTATCTGCCGCTCTTCCCTTCCTCTTCCCAGGGGGTCCGCGTCAGGGGAGGCGCAGCTGTGTGCATTCCGGGAGCTTCAGACCCCCGTGTCCAGCAGCTCCTTCGTTTCCTGGGTGCTGGGGCGGCCTTCCCAGCGAAGAGCTCAACTCAGCGGGACGTTTGGAGGCTCTCTGCCCCAAGGCGCTGGGGAGTGTGCGGCGGGACAGTCGTGCTTGCCTTTTTCACTTTCAGAGTGTCCACGCCCCACCCGTTTGGTCACTGCAGGTCAGTCCAGTCCAGCCCGGCCCACCCCACCGGTGCGTGTCTGTCGCACGTGGCAGACGCCATACTCTCTGTTCTTGTTTAAAGCCCAGGATCTACTGGGCCCTGGAGGCAAGAGGTGAACGCAGCGGAATCCACGCTGAGCTGCCCGGGAACGGAGCTTCCAACCCCAGAAGGAGGACTCTGTGCTCCTACACCTTAACCCTTTTTAGCCCGAAACTTCTCCAACTTCCTTGGCTTTGTTTAGAGCTCGACAGCGCCGCCCCCTGGCGCTCGTTGTGAGGACAGTAGAGGAGAGAGGCAAGGGTGTTTTTAAACAGTTTGCCTCTCACCATTATGGGGGCGACCCGAGGGGGAGACCCACTCTTCCGCATTCCCGGTAAGTGAACCACCGGAAGAGGTCGAAAGTGACGGATTCCCATGTCCTCCTCCAGCCCCCCCCCCACCCTGCCCATCCACAGGACGGTGGCTCTTCAGTGCCCTTTGCCGAGCAAGTGGCGTTTCTATGCACGTGGGTATCAATTCGGACTCTGGACGAAATGGAAACCTCCTTAGCCGACCCGGGTGGGATCAGCTGGGATCCTGCGCGCTCCCCTGGGGGGTTGCCAGCCACTCTGTTGGGGTGCAAGAAGCACCATCCTTCGGAAGCTGGGCCGAAACTGGCCAGGCTGACTCGCTCCCACGCGCCCGCCCCTACCCGGCGCCGCAGCAATTCACCTGCCACCGCCTCTGAGCCGGGTCCGGACTTCGGCGCCCTGACAGTGTCCCCGCGACTTCCCCACCCGATGAGATGGGGTCTGGCGTTGGCCAGTGCGTGTCCAGGGACTCGCGGGTCCCTGGCCAGCCATGGGGCAGAGGGCGCTGGTGTTAGGCCAGTCTTCCCCACCCTGCCCCGTCACCCCAGCCACACCCACTGTCCTGTGAGGCCAAGCGCGCTCCGCTGGTTTCCTGAGCCAGGCACCTTGGCCGCGGACAGGATCCAGCTGTCTCTCCTTGCGATCCTGTCTTCGGGGAAGTCCACGTCCTAGGCAGGTCCTCCCAAAGTGCCCTTGGTGCCGATCACCCCTCCCAGCGTCTTGCAGGTCCTGTGCACCACCTCCCCCACTCCCCATTCAAAGCCCTCTTCTCTGAAGTCTCCGGTTCCCAGAGCTCTTGCAATCCAGGCTTTCCTTGGAAGTGGCTGTAACATGTATGAAAAGAAAGAAAGGAGGACCAAGAGATGAAAGAGGGCTGCACGCGTGGGGGCCCGAGTGGTGGGCGGGGACAGTCGTCTTGTTACAGGGGTGCTGGCCTTCCCTGGCGCCTGCCCCTGTCGGCCCCGCCCGAGAACCTCCCTGCGCCAGGGCAGGGTTTACTCATCCCGGCGAGGTGATCCCATGCGCGAGGGCGGGCGCAAGGGCGGCCAGAGAACCCAGCAATCCGAGTATGCGGCATCAGCCCTTCCCACCAGGCACTTCCTTCCTTTTCCCGAACGTCCAGGGAGGGAGGGCCGGGCACTTATAAACTCGAGCCCTGGCCGATCCGCATGTCAGAGGCTGCCTCGCAGGGGCTGCGCGCAGCGGCAAGAAGTGTCTGGGCTGGGACGGACAGGAGAGGCTGTCGCCATCGGCGTCCTGTGCCCCTCTGCTCCGGCACGGCCCTGTCGCAGTGCCCGCGCTTTCCCCGGCGCCTGCACGCGGCGCGCCTGGGTAACATGCTTGGGGTCCTGGTCCTTGGCGCGCTGGCCCTGGCCGGCCTGGGGTTCCCCGCACCCGCAGAGCCGCAGCCGGGTGGCAGCCAGTGCGTCGAGCACGACTGCTTCGCGCTCTACCCGGGCCCCGCGACCTTCCTCAATGCCAGTCAGATCTGCGACGGACTGCGGGGCCACCTAATGACAGTGCGCTCCTCGGTGGCTGCCGATGTCATTTCCTTGCTACTGAACGGCGACGGCGGCGTTGGCCGCCGGCGCCTCTGGATCGGCCTGCAGCTGCCACCCGGCTGCGGCGACCCCAAGCGCCTCGGGCCCCTGCGCGGCTTCCAGTGGGTTACGGGAGACAACAACACCAGCTATAGCAGGTGGGCACGGCTCGACCTCAATGGGGCTCCCCTCTGCGGCCCGTTGTGCGTCGCTGTCTCCGCTGCTGAGGCCACTGTGCCCAGCGAGCCGATCTGGGAGGAGCAGCAGTGCGAAGTGAAGGCCGATGGCTTCCTCTGCGAGTTCCACTTCCCAGCCACCTGCAGGCCACTGGCTGTGGAGCCCGGCGCCGCGGCTGCCGCCGTCTCGATCACCTACGGCACCCCGTTCGCGGCCCGCGGAGCGGACTTCCAGGCGCTGCCGGTGGGCAGCTCCGCCGCGGTGGCTCCCCTCGGCTTACAGCTAATGTGCACCGCGCCGCCCGGAGCGGTCCAGGGGCACTGGGCCAGGGAGGCGCCGGGCGCTTGGGACTGCAGCGTGGAGAACGGCGGCTGCGAGCACGCGTGCAATGCGATCCCTGGGGCTCCCCGCTGCCAGTGCCCAGCCGGCGCCGCCCTGCAGGCAGACGGGCGCTCCTGCACCGCATCCGCGACGCAGTCCTGCAACGACCTCTGCGAGCACTTCTGCGTTCCCAACCCCGACCAGCCGGGCTCCTACTCGTGCATGTGCGAGACCGGCTACCGGCTGGCGGCCGACCAACACCGGTGCGAGGACGTGGATGACTGCATACTGGAGCCCAGTCCGTGTCCGCAGCGCTGTGTCAACACACAGGGTGGCTTCGAGTGCCACTGCTACCCTAACTACGACCTGGTGGACGGCGAGTGTGTGGAGCCCGTGGACCCGTGCTTCAGAGCCAACTGCGAGTACCAGTGCCAGCCCCTGAACCAAACTAGCTACCTCTGCGTCTGCGCCGAGGGCTTCGCGCCCATTCCCCACGAGCCGCACAGGTGCCAGATGTTTTGCAACCAGACTGCCTGTCCAGCCGACTGCGACCCCAACACCCAGGCTAGCTGTGAGTGCCCTGAAGGCTACATCCTGGACGACGGTTTCATCTGCACGGACATCGACGAGTGCGAAAACGGCGGCTTCTGCTCCGGGGTGTGCCACAACCTCCCCGGTACCTTCGAGTGCATCTGCGGGCCCGACTCGGCCCTTGCCCGCCACATTGGCACCGACTGTGACTCCGGCAAGGTGGACGGTGGCGACAGCGGCTCTGGCGAGCCCCCGCCCAGCCCGACGCCCGGCTCCACCTTGACTCCTCCGGCCGTGGGGCTCGTGCATTCGGGCTTGCTCATAGGCATCTCCATCGCGAGCCTGTGCCTGGTGGTGGCGCTTTTGGCGCTCCTCTGCCACCTGCGCAAGAAGCAGGGCGCCGCCAGGGCCAAGATGGAGTACAAGTGCGCGGCCCCTTCCAAGGAGGTAGTGCTGCAGCACGTGCGGACCGAGCGGACGCCGCAGAGACTCTGAGCGGCCTCCGTCCAGGAGCCTGGCTCCGTCCAGGAGCCTGTGCCTCCTCACCCCCAGCTTTGCTACCAAAGCACCTTAGCTGGCATTACAGCTGGAGAAGACCCTCCCCGCACCCCCCAAGCTGTTTTCTTCTATTCCATGGCTAACTGGCGAGGGGGTGATTAGAGGGAGGAGAATGAGCCTCGGCCTCTTCCGTGACGTCACTGGACCACTGGGCAATGATGGCAATTTTGTAACGAAGACACAGACTGCGATTTGTCCCAGGTCCTCACTACCGGGCGCAGGAGGGTGAGCGTTATTGGTCGGCAGCCTTCTGGGCAGACCTTGACCTCGTGGGCTAGGGATGACTAAAATATTTATTTTTTTTAAGTATTTAGGTTTTTGTTTGTTTCCTTTGTTCTTACCTGTATGTCTCCAGTATCCACTTTGCACAGCTCTCCGGTCTCTCTCTCTCTACAAACTCCCACTTGTCATGTGACAGGTAAACTATCTTGGTGAATTTTTTTTTCCTAGCCCTCTCACATTTATGAAGCAAGCCCCACTTATTCCCCATTCTTCCTAGTTTTCTCCTCCCAGGAACTGGGCCAACTCACCTGAGTCACCCTACCTGTGCCTGACCCTACTTCTTTTGCTCTTAGCTGTCTGCTCAGACAGAACCCCTACATGAAACAGAAACAAAAACACTAAAAATAAAAATGGCCATTTGCTTTTTCACCAGATTTGCTAATTTATCCTGAAATTTCAGATTCCCAGAGCAAAATAATTTTAAACAAAGGTTGAGATGTAAAAGGTATTAAATTGATGTTGCTGGACTGTCATAGAAATTACACCCAAAGAGGTATTTATCTTTACTTTTAAACAGTGAGCCTGAATTTTGTTGCTGTTTTGATTTGTACTGAAAAATGGTAATTGTTGCTAATCTTCTTATGCAATTTCCTTTTTTGTTATTATTACTTATTTTTGACAGTGTTGAAAATGTTCAGAAGGTTGCTCTAGATTGAGAGAAGAGACAAACACCTCCCAGGAGACAGTTCAAGAAAGCTTCAAACTGCATGATTCATGCCAATTAGCAATTGACTGTCACTGTTCCTTGTCACTGGTAGACCAAAATAAAACCAGCTCTACTGGTCTTGTGGAATTGGGAGCTTGGGAATGGATCCTGGAGGATGCCCAATTAGGGCCTAGCCTTAATCAGGTCCTCAGAGAATTTCTACCATTTCAGAGAGGCCTTTTGGAATGTGGCCCCTGAACAAGAATTGGAAGCTGCCCTGCCCATGGGAGCTGGTTAGAAATGCAGAATCCTAGGCTCCACCCCATCCAGTTCATGAGAATCTATATTTAACAAGATCTGCAGGGGGTGTGTCTGCTCAGTAATTTGAGGACAACCATTCCAGACTGCTTCCAATTTTCTGGAATACATGAAATATAGATCAGTTATAAGTAGCAGGCCAAGTCAGGCCCTTATTTTCAAGAAACTGAGGAATTTTCTTTGTGTAGCTTTGCTCTTTGGTAGAAAAGGCTAGGTACACAGCTCTAGACACTGCCACACAGGGTCTGCAAGGTCTTTGGTTCAGCTAAGCTAGGAATGAAATCCTGCTTCAGTGTATGGAAATAAATGTATCATAGAAATGTAACTTTTGTAAGACAAAGGTTTTCCTCTTCTATTTTGTAAACTCAAAATATTTGTACATAGTTATTTATTTATTGGAGATAATCTAGAACACAGGCAAAATCCTTGCTTATGACATCACTTGTACAAAATAAACAAATAACAATGTGCTCTCGGGTTGTGTGTCTGTTCACTTTTCCTCCCTCAGTGCCCTCATTTTATGTCATTAAATGGGGCTCACAAACCATGCAAATGCTATGAGATGCATGGAGGGCTGCCCTGTACCCCAGCACTTGTGTTGTCTGGTGGTGGCACCATCTCTGATTTTCAAAGCTTTTTCCAGAGGCTATTATTTTCACTGTAGAATGATTTCATGCTATCTCTGTGTGCACAAATATTTATTTTCTTTCTGTAACCATAACAACTTCATATATGAGGACTTGTGTCTCTGTGCTTTTAAATGCATAAATGCATTATAGGATCATTTGTTGGAATGAATTAAATAAACCCTTCCTGGGGCATCTGGCGAATCCCAGCTGTGTGTCCGGTGTATGGTTTGGCATTATCTCCTCTGCGAGATATCCAAATTCACTGTAGTCATGAAGGGTCTCAGTTTGTGGCTCTCATTCAAATATTCATTTCTAAACGTCTCATCCAGTATGAAATCATTCTCATCTCTTTTGGAGATTAACAACATCATCTTTTCAATGCACACGTTTCTTGGGCTCACTTTTCTAAGGTGGTAGGGCTGGCTGAATGCAATATGCAGGGCTCGGAAAGATTTTTTAAAGAAGAAATTAAAAGCAAGTAGAGTCCAGGCAAATATTCAGATGCTTTATATGTCTGGATAATGCTGAACTCATGAGTTTTAGTTTGACTGATTATTGTGAAGACCGGGTTGGAGATTTTGACATCCATCGCAGAAGAAGTAATGGCTTTAGTGTGTGTGTGTGTGTGCTGGGGAAGCTCCATGCACAGTGCCCTATGGAGATAACAAGCTGAGCCATGCTCCCCCTAAGTAGCAGACTAAGTCTTTGTGAAGGAAGAGCTACACAAATGGGGGCAGGACAGGTGCAGATAAATGGGGCTGGGAGACCAGAGGAGACAGTGACACCTTATAGTTCGCCCCCTGTTACCCAGCCTTCTGTTTGTCAAAAGAGTCTGCTCCCAGTCACTGTCAAACTGACTTGTAGGGCCTCATTGCGTTAGGATTTCTTCTTATTCCAGAAGAGGGGCATTTTCTTAAGGAACACTGGAAGACCAAAACACACTTTCAAAACCTAGAGGCAAAAACCCTTCATGCAGCACTTGGGCCCCAGGACATTAGTTGTGCGGGGCCCTGAGCTTCCCTGTCCTCCTCACTTCCTGCTGCCTGGGGGATCAGCAGTTCTGTTTATAGGTCTCATCTGAACTTGAGATTCTCAAAACGCTAAATAGCCATAGTGCCTCTCAGGGAAAGATACCAGGACCACATAAACAAATCAGTTAGCTTTAAAAACTATCCCTGAGAATTTAAAATCAGGATAGACCTTGTGAAACCAGAGCCATGGGTCAACCTGTGTGATCTCTGCTTTCTGTTCACATCATTGGACATCCAGGTCTGAGGGAGACTCCCAGGGACCAGTTGCTGGTGAAATTTCATAGCACAAAAGTCCGGGGCAAGAAAGCCAAGGTGGTATTTCTGGATAAGCCAGCATTCAAGTTTGTTTGTTTGTTTGTTTGTTTGTTTTTCCTAGCCTGCTGTTTTAAAGTAAACAGAATGCATTTTTTTAAGTCAAATGACTTTGTTATTTTTTTTTTCCAGTTCTCACCTATTTCTTAGATTAGTTCAGCAATTATTTACTGAGCATTTACTCTGTGCCTTTCATAGTGATAGGCACAATGACAAGTCCCTACCATATAAGTTAGACTCTGGCAGGGGAGAAAGATGCAAAACAACTGATCACCCCCAAATTGTACTTAACTTAGAAACAGTGATAAGTGCAGGGGAAGAAAAGCACAGCACACTCTGAAAAGGCGCACGAGGAAGGCAGGATTTAGAGTGGAGGACTAGAGGGAGCTTCCTGGACAAGCTGACACTTAACACCAGACCTGAAGGGGAAGGAGGGGTTTGTCAAATGCAAACTGGAGGGGAAGCAGTCCAGGTGGGAAGGATCACACCTGCAAAGGCCCTGTACTGGGAAGAGCCCTGGTGGAGCGGACTGGGCATAGTGAACAAGGTGAGGTGGGCTGCAAGGCAGCTGAAGAGGTGGAAAGAGAGATACAAGCAGTGGGAGATGACTGTAGGGGCTGTAGGTCAAAGACACTGAAAAAAAGACTGAAAGAGTGACATTGAAAAATGTTCTGGGTGCAAGTGGGGGCACTCAAGGAGTTTTGATGAGAGTGCACTGGGATTCAATTTATGTACTGCATTGTTTGGGAAGATAACAACTACTTCTAGATGTATTTACATGTCCCTCTTGGGCAGGAACCTGCACAATTTCCGCTGTAAGCACCCCGCAGGGCTGATATGTGGTGTGAACAGCATACACACCTGGGTGTGACCCCAGCCTGAAACCTGCTGGTCACATGGCCACGGGCACCACATGACCCTTCAAAGGCTGTAAGACGGGTTCAAGCAGTGCCGCCTCACAAGGTTTCCAGGAAGATTAGATAAGCTCAGTTTCTGGCCCATGGTAGATACCCAATAACTGTTTACTTGTGTGCCAGTGAACTGGTAGATGCATAAATGAGTACAGAAAAAAGCTGTGTTGGAATCATGAGTGTCTTACGGGCAAACTCAAGGTTGCACAAAGTGGATACTGTTCCATCAAGGGAAGATGCAGTTGCTTGGAGCAATGTTGTCAATGCTAGAGGAACTGTAATGTTGGATTTGCAGGCATCTATATCATAGCTTAAACAGGAAGATTTTTGTGCCAGGTGAGAAGTGAGCTCCAACACTCGGTCACTCTAAAATCCAGCTTCGAAGGCTTCAGCTTATTTTCCCTTCTCACAAGGCTTAGTCAAGTACAGGGGACAGAGACTCCCTCCGCTGTTCTCCCAAGGAGGCTCGGAGGAGGAAGAACATGCTCCAGAGTGCCCTTCTCCATTTCTCAGGGCCCAGAGGAGAAAGAGAAACATAGCTCTGGCCCCAACAGAGCCAGCAGGAGGTACGGAGGGAAGTTCCTGTAGGTGACATTCCTTTGAGAGACATTATGGTTGTGGATGGGGCCAGGGGACAGAAGATCCCCCACCTCCTACCTTCTGGAGTCACTTGCTATTCTCTGTTGAATGCGATTCCTTATTATATCATCTATTCAAGGAAAACTGAGGTTGCAAATAATACATGAAAACACATTTTCTTCATGGTTATAGCTGAGTGGGGGTACCCAAAATACATCTCCTGAGCTTTAGAAGCATTTCTTCATAAAACAATGCAGACAATGCCCAGTTCTTTCTTTCTTTCTTTTCCAGAATGAATGCCCTGGGTTCAGTGATATCTCTTTTTGTTTTGAGTGTTCCCTTCCTCATTTTTTTTTTTTTTGGTTAGCAGGTTCAGATGTAGGCAAACAACTGATTTCTTCTCACAAGGGAAGCTAAATATTGTTTTAACATCAGATGCTAATAGAATCGAAATCCTTTTCAGGGTGTTTTGAAAGTGTGATTGTGAAAGACAAAAGAACCCTGGGGATGGGTTAACTCAAGGTTACGCCCACTGGAGAGGGGGAGCAGAGAGCAGAGGGTTTCAGGGATCCAATGAGAAACACCAAGAGTCAAAGCTGGGGTCTGTGACAATTATGCCACCTGGGCCACAGGCCAGATATTTCCTTGGATCTCTGCCTGAAGGAAATCTTCTCTTAAAATAGCCATTTTAATACCGATATTATCCTAAGACAAAACCCACTTATCTTCTGCATATTCAACGCCTGGCAATATAACCTCTGTGCTTTTGGTTAGAGGTTAGCACCTCTGTGCCCATCTCAAATCTTCTTTCTGACTTCTTGCTAATGCCGTACCTAAATGCTAAGTTACCCCGCTGTTGTCCAGCAAAGCTTTGTTCTACTTGGCAAAGAGGAGAGGGGCTTTTCCACATTCTCCCTAATTCCTCCCCTTTTCCCACTGCCTACTGCCTTGTTTCGATTTAAATCCTTTGGGAACATGGATCCCACCTTCCACAGACTCTTTGGAGATCCTACGCCTTGTTCATTGTCCCCCTCTTTTAATAAATCTGTTCTGAAATGCTCATATAATCCCAAATCCCCATTTTCAGCGAGCCTTTGCCAGGGTTTGACTCCAGTCTTTCTTCATGTATTTTCCCCCTCCTCCAAAAAGGTAGCATGCAGAAACCCAAGGGTAGTGCCAGGAGAATGGAAAGTCTGAAAAGGGCATGGGGCAAGTCCCAGTTTCACTGTTTAATTTGTCTATGACTCTCCACAGCACAGGATACGGCCATGATAAACATGAGCAAACTCAACAGCAAGCTGCCTGGAGGCCCGTGACAAACGGAAATGGTGCTTTTGGGATGCGGCTGGATCTTGAGGAGCACTCTGCTCTGTTTGGCGGAAGGGAGCTTGGAGTGGAATCCACACCCTCTCTCCAGTGCTTGGAGTAAAGGATCACGAAGTCATTATGGAATTAGCAGCTTGCCCAGGGACATACTCAACCCTCTAGTTTCTCCAGGTGGTGTCTAGATTCCAGGATACTTCTTTTCAGATCCATAAGGTCAAGAGGGCTATAGCTTCCTATGTAAATTGGTTGAGGTCTCCTAGTCTGGGGGGATGAACTCGGGAAATGGTATAACCAGGTGGCCTCCATGGATTTGGGGATAGCACCATCTCCAATTCTGTACCTCCTCAGGTCCTCCCCATGCTGTCTGTGTCCTTCCTCCTTGGCCACAAATCACAGCCACTAAGAGGGAAGTAGATGGTGACCAAAACAGTCCCGATCTTGATTGGGGCAACAGTTAGTTGCCCCAATGTAAAATGTAAAATTGTAAAATGTAAAATGTAAAAATTTGCATGTCAAAATTCATAGAACTGTACAACTAGAAAGAGAACACTCTACCATATGTAAATTATACTCCAATTAAAAATAGATTAAAAAGAAATTACAGCCTCTTCAGAACACTAATGAAAGCCTGATTAAAAAAAAAAATGGAAAAAAAAGACACCCAACTGTGTACCAACTCCCTCTTCCTCCTTCTATATCATGAAGTAGTCACCATTTGAATGGTAAACCTTCCTCCCCTGGGCCAGGAACATGGCCTTTGTGTGTCACTGTGCACCTGCAGGTGGATACTGTTGCTCTGCCCTCTCCACACAGTCATGCAGCCTTCCCTGGGCCGCTGTGGGCTGGAAGTGGGAGAGCCGGAACTCAGTCCTGGTTTGTGTGCCTCTCAATTTGTTCTTTCTCCCCATCTACGACACGTTCACACTGGGTGAGTGCTGACCTTTGGCAGCCCCACTCTTTAGGCAGAGCCCCAGAAATCCAGTCATTTCAAGTGCTATGTTACGGCAGGTGGATGCTCATGGTGTCTTTTGACAATAGGAAGCCACATGTTTTTCTTTGTAGAAAGTCAATACTCCCATTCTAGGCATTTTTTTACATAAGTTCTCCCCCATTTCAGAAGGTGCCCCCACTGTTAGGCACTAAAGTCCCTTCCTTCACAGGATTGAGGTCCCTGCCTTTCAGTTCATATAAAGTTGATGAAAGTTGGAAAGAAGGACATGATCATCCTGCCAACCCCTCCCTGAAAAGCAGAGGCATGTTAAGCCTCAATTTCACAAGGACCCCAAAGCTTTTGATAGGCTTCTCTTACTAGGCAGACCCAAGCCCCTCATTAGAGCCTGCCACCACTGACCCCTGGCTCTTAGGACACAGCCCTCATCCTTGAGGTGGCATAGAAGGCATTAGGCTCCTGCTCATGTGCCTGCCAGTGCCTCACACGCCCCTGTGGTCTGTGTTTTGGTCACATTGAGCCCTTCAGTGCCTCCCACTGCAAGCTCTTTGCACATGCTGTTCCCTCTGCTTAGAGCTTACAGGAACACCTTGTGCCCCGCCCCTTCCTTTCCTAGTTAATGCCTAGGTACGCTTCAGAGGAGGTCATCTCCAGCCACTTTCCTGGGGAAAGCCTGCTCTGAGTCATGGGCAACTTCTTTTATCATCATCTCTTAGAAAGTACATTCCTTTCCTGCACAGTGCTTATTTAGGTTTAGAACTGTACTCTCATTTCTGTGCTTATTTGATTAATGCCTGTCTTTTGCCACTAACCTCCAAGCTCCATGAAGGCAGAAGCTGCCTTTGTAGACTCATCGTTTTGTCTGGAAACCTGTTGCACCACCCGAGAGAAGCACTCAGCGAACTGTCCACATGTATACCCCCATGCATGCTAGTCAGCAAGACAGTTTCCAGGGTGTGCTGCTGGCTGATGGTGTACACCATGGTGGAGCTGTCTCAGAAAACACAGCCCTAGGATTCTAACATTTGTCCTTAAGGAATCTGAGGCTATGCTGTCATCTACTTATGGAATGAGAATGTGGGAGATGGGGGTAATTCACTACCTCCAACCTCTCAGAGAAGAGTGTCAATGCCCACATTTGCTAGGATTCATGTCTGGTTTCTGAGGCAGTGCCGCCAAAACGTGCTATATTTAGTTGATCCTTTGCATCCACCTCTAGCATCTAAGGAATGCCAGCTATGATGACTTTAATGAAAGTGAAGCCAATACTTCACAGATGAGTGTGAAACTCATATGCATCTTTGCTCACAGATCAGAGCTGACAAACTGGGCAAGTATCCTGCTGAGTGACAGCCTGTCATGTCTAAATACCATCTTCCCTGACCATCTGGGAAAATGGAACACCTGGCTTGCCATGGAACAGTACATTAAAGACAATTGTAAAAGAAAAAGCAAGATCTCTGACAGATGGAGGGATGAGCAAAGGCTGTTTCTACCTGTGGCAGAAAATGTTTTTATTCACCATGATGTCAACAGCTGTGACTCCTGGTCTTAGCAGGCAGAACAAGATGACCATCGAAGCAAGCCTCCCAGGCAGGTGACATATGTTGGTGGCTTTCAGGATCCTGGCTGTATGTCTCATGACTTCAATTCATTGCAGTCTTCTGTACACAAACTACAAGGGAGGGTTTCATGCAACCAGTTGTTACAAAAGCCTGGGGTTGATGGAACTAAAGCTGGTAGCACTGTTGATGGGCTCCAAACACAGCCCCGACAAGTGCTCAGTGCACCTCGTTGCTGCCGGGAAATGAAAAGGCCCTGAAGCTAAAGAAGAGAGCAGCGGGTAGGCTCACCCTACACCCCCACCCCGCCACCACCTGCATGACTTATGACTGCAGGGTCAAGGGCAGTGTTCACGCTCATTTTCCAGTGGTGATGGAAGGAGGACTAAGCAGAGAAGCGTGCTATCTCCTGCCCTCCCACCATTTGATTCGCGTGTCTCCACGGTGTCTCTGCCAATGCAGAGTTTACAGCTGGGAAGAGCTCAAAACTCGAACCTCCCTTGGCACATATTCCAAGTGGGAAACTGAGGCTTAGAGAGGTTAAATCACTGCTCACGGGGTAGCTGAGGCTGAGGTGTCCTGCCTCTCAGAGACTTTTCTTTCCATCACCTGAAGCTGCCTCTCCTTCAACCTTCATCAACTAAGTTAAAAAGGCTGACATTTCTAAATAGAATGTGTCTTATTCCATGCTAATCTGGGCAGCCACACACTAGTGTTGCCAAGACTCCTGGTAGGTGCCCTGTCTTGCTTATCAGAGAGTTTGCCCAGTCTGATCACTGAGAGACTAAAGAAAGGACCCCCAACCCCACGTACAAGCTGGGAAGAAGCCCTGGGGACCACTGCCAGTGCTGTGAACCCCTCACCTCACTACTATCAACCTGGGTGGTCCTTGGAGTTCCGTTCAACCATATTCATCAGTGCCCATCCTGGCAGGCATTGTCAGACACTGAGGAACAAAGAAATAATGCAGTTTTAAAAAACTCCAAGTAGTTATGGTTACACGAGACCCACAGACATGGAGACTGACTTCAGATGCCCAAGGTATCCCTGGTGGGTGCCAACAAATTAGAGATGGTTGATGTCTCTGTGTGTGTGCATGTGTGTTTGCAGGATCAGAGGGTTCTCTGACTTAGTTTTGAAACTTCCATTCCACAGTCATGTCTCCAGTATGTAGTACAGACATGGCTACCCATTCTCTCAGAGTGGTCTGTGAGGCTGACCACTCTGAAGGGCATAGGGTGTTGACCTTTGGCTGTCTCTCCCCCTCCCCACACCATCTTCCCCATACCACCAGAATGATCATCCAGAATCAGGCCGGTTAAACCCAGAGGTAGTCTCTGAATGCTAAGCCAGGTGGGGTCCCCCAAACTTCATACATGTTCCTATGTTGTTACACCAGATGCTAACATAAGTGTTCCAAGTTCTCCTTTGTCCCCTCCCCTGCTTTTATCAGAAAGCAGAATTAGAGCTCCTCTTAAGCTCTTTCCCTTTGGGAAAGATAATTTATCCTTTGGTTAACACATCAGGCAACAAAGATACGGCCTTTTATTGTGTTCAACTTACATGTTAATATCTAATGTGGCTGATGTTTTACTGAAAGATGACATTCTAAAATAGGGGGTGGTGATGAAGCTGCTTCCTCTATCCAAAACCTGGGCTGGTTCCCATCCCTCGCTGCTCTCTGGTCAGCTTTTCCCGCCCATGGCTCCTCTCTCACTCACCACCACAGTATAAATTGCTGCCTTAATGAGTTCTCATGTTCCCACATCAAAGGATCAGGGAAAAAAAATTACATCATAGGAGCTAGATGAAGTTTTTATCATCTGCTTTGTTATTACTGACCTGGTTTTATGCCTTGCAATAAACCCCATGTCATGTCTCTCCAAACCTTTTCTACTCACAGGAAGACTGCTCCCAGCTCAGGGCAACTCAGGGAGACACCTGTGACAGCAAGCAGATGTTATTCCCAGGCCGGGGGTGAGTGGGGAGGGAAGTAAGTGCCCCAGGCTGTTAACATAAGTCTCACTTAACAAGAGCTCAGGAAGAGACATAAAGGGCAGGTGCCTGGGGGCATCTTCCTTCCTCCTCTCTCCTGTACAAGCTGTGCTCCCACCACAAGGCAGAGCGTCTGCAGAGAGGAAGGGTGCTACCTCCCTCCACCTTCTTGAGTCCTCTCCCAAGCAGTGGCTGTAAGGAGTCACACACAGGGACCATTCATTTCTCACCACCTCCTGCTTCCCAGCCCTTGAAGAACAGCCAGAGGTTCAGGAATGATTAATATCCTAGCCCAGTTTCCAGAGGAGTCCTACCCATATGGAAGCATCCTTTTGAAAGCCAGAGTGCAGGGGAGAGGAGAGCAGCAGAAGAGTTCTGACACTCTCCGGCAGGTACATGGGCTGCTGGAAGGAACAGGTGGTGGAGCTTAGGTGAGCATTCAGGAGATGCAGTCTTCGGGGCTGTAGGAATGGTGCCCACCCCTTGGGAGGTGGCCACGCAGGGTGGGTAGGGGAAGGGCTCCTCAGAAGGTGGTGGTCCTGGTGAGGGGGATGCGCTTGCGGCCGGGTTCTGGTTGCAGGGCTTCCTGCTGGCAGGGGAGTGGGGGGCACATGCACCCTGCCCCACCTTTGCTCTTGAGAGCAGTGGCATAGTAGTCCAGGGGCTCCTCCTCAGCACCTCCAGCACCTTCCAGGAGGCAGCAGCGCAGGCAGAGAACCCGCTGGAAGAATCGGCGGAAGTTGTCGGAGAGGAAGCCATAGAGAATGGGGTTGGCGCAGCTGTTGGCATAGCTAAGGATAAGGGACACGTGGTTGACGGTGGCATCAAGGCTGGTCACGAAGAGGTTCAGCAGCTGCACCACGTAGAAAGGCATCCAGCAGAGCACAAAGACGACCACGACCATCAGCACCAGCCTGGTGATTTTCTTCTCCGAGCGCCTGCGCTGCTGCCAGCCAGCGCGCAGGGCCACGGCGCGCATCTTGCCCACGATGAGCAGGTAGCACAGGCCAATGGCCAGCACGGGCAGCAGGAAGCCCAGCAGGAAAGTGTAGACCACGAAGACTGCCGACCAGGCCGGGTGTGGCCACTGCAGGTTGCAGGCCACGGCCTGGCCGCCGCGAGCCGGTCTGGTGTCTGCGAAGATGGCGATGGGGAGAGTGACCAACAGGGATGCCAGCCACACGCCCAGGTTGATGAGCTTGGCCACGCTGGGCCGCCGGTAGGTCGCCGCGCGCAGAGGGTGCACCACGGCCACGTAGCGGTCCACGCTGAGCACGGTGAGACAGAAGACGCTGGTGAACATGTTGAGGCCGTCGACGCTGAGCACCGCGCGGCACAGCACGGAGCCGAAGGGCCAGTGGCGCAGGGCGGCCGACGAGGCCACGAAGGGCACGCTCAGCATGAAGAGCTCGTCGGCTACGGCCAGGTTGAGCAGGTAGATGTTGGTAGCCGTCTTCATCTTGGCGTAGCGAAGGATCACGAAGATGACCAGGGCGTTGCCCACCAGCCCCACCAGGCACACCAGCGCGTAGATGCACTGGATAGCGACCATGCCCGCCGCCCGCGCGTCCCCGGGCCCCGCCACCGCCTCCTCCGCCTCCGCCGGAGCGCTACTGGCATTGGCTGCAGAGGGCCAGGCCGTCCCCAGCCCTTCCTCGCCCCCGGGGGGCAGCGTCGAGGGGGCGCTCATGACCAGGGGTGCCGGCGCAGGGCAGCTGAGCGCGGCGGAGCTAGCGCTGCGCCAGAGAGCTCGGGCGGCGGGCCCAGGGCGGGGGCTGGCGCGCAGACGCGCGGCTCTTCCCGGCTACGCTGAAGAGCTGCGGGCACCGGGGAGCGCCCGCCAATCCCCGCGCCGCGCGCCCCACCGCGCGGGCGCCCGACTGGCTCGCACCGCTGTGGCCCGCGCCCCTCGGCACCCCAGCTCCTGGGGGTCAGCGCCTCACCCAGCCCTGGAGTCGTCTCCGGCCCCGCCCCGTTTTCCCACCTCGGTCGCCCCCTCCCCGCTGCCGACTCTGCCCCAGGTTCCCAGGTCTCCAGTCCGGCTCCAGTGTCAACAGCACCCCCAGCCCCGTCCGGCCCTCCCGGGGTCCCCCGCCTGGCTTCTTTCCTTCAGACCTCTATTCAGATCCCGTCTTCCCCAGCAGCCCTTTGAGGTCCAGTTCCCTGCTTTGCTACAGGGGGTCTGCGGCGGCGGGGCTGGGGGTCCCGGAGTCCTCCCTTTGGGTAAAGATGTGCCCGGAACTGGTCAGGGACCACCTGGAAGCTTGGACCACTTGCCTTGCACTTGACATCCCCTCACCCTGCCCTTTAATCCTCGCGACGACCCATCCTTGCACATGGCTGAGTCCCTTTTATAGAGGCGGAACCTGAGGCTTCCACTGGCGGCTTGGTGAATTTCAGGTCTGTCAGGATGTCCAGTTTTCCCCACAGCTCACCACTCCTTTCTCTGCTCCCCAACCCACTCTGGACAAGTGCAGATGCCGGACCTTTTAACTTCTGTGTCCGAGCAGCTGAGGTGCTATGGGCACAAGGAATGGAGACGGACAGGTGGAGGCAGAGATGCCACCAAAGAAGGCCAAGCCTGTGCTAGCTCCCTCGGGAACTGGCAGAAGCTACGGGAGCCGGACATCTCAGAACCTTCACCCTGTGACCTGGTTCAGTCATTATCCGCGGGTCTCCATCCCTGGCCACTAAAATGTGCCTGGGGAGGACTGTGGTCGAGAGGTCGGGAAAGAAAGGGGTTCCGGCCTGGAATTACCCTTCTTCTGCTAAACTCCAGAGATAGTGAGTTCACTGGCTCCTGGACTGGACACCCAGGAGCAGCCGCCGGCTCCAGCCCTAGTCCCTCTAGCTGGCACAGGGCACAGGAACGTTCCTGAACTGGGGATTGGCCTGGGAAAGTTATTCTTAAAGTAGCTCTGACTTTTAGGATCCTGGCTGTCTTTGGCCCCTTCTCTGTGGGATGGTGGCCCCCTTTAGCCCCCAGTACAGCCCAGAAAGGCCTTTAGTGGGTCTAAAATTGGCCACCTGGGGGGTGGGGTCTCAGCTTTCCGCTGGGTGGCTGGGACAGCGATGGGGAGGAGGGAGTCCTGTTGCAACTGGAGGAGGCCTTTCTAAGACTGGGGGGTGGGGGAAGCTGCCCACTGCTGTTTATCCAGGTGTGGGATGGGAGCACGGGCATGATCAGCACCAGTGCAGCCCCATAGTTGACCTCAACCACTGTCTCCAGTCTCTGCTACTCAAATAGATGTATTGGGAGGATTTGGTCTAGCACTCCTCCACTCTGTAGGTTGGTCTGTCCTTTCCTTTTTGTCCCTAAGAGAGAGACCTTTCACATCTTTGTCCTTAAGAGAGAGACCCTTCCCTGAGAAAGAGGAAGGAGATGGCACCTTTGTCATTCTACTTGGTGCCATCCTTTGGTGGAAGGGAACAAGAGCAACCTCAGATTTGGGAGGGAAGAGGAGTTTAGGGGCTTTTCCCTTTAACCCTGGTCTTGGGAAGACCCTTAGGTGGCTCCTCTGCAGATAGCCTTTCCAGGGCTTAGTGTGGAAGTGCTGGGGGCTATCTTGTCTTCCTGGTCTCCTCTCTTCTGCTGTCCTCTCTGCCCATTGAACACTCGGCCCCTTCCCTTTCCTGAGAAAGTATTTCTTCTTGTCCTGCCTCATGTGTGAGCCCCTGGAATCTTTCCTGTGCCTACTTTAGGTTTTTCTCCTAATGCTCCCCGATTCTGCCCTCCTCTCCCCATACACATGTGTATGCCTCCAAGCATAGTAAGCTAGCATGTAAGAAGAGAAGCATGCACGACTGTCCCCATTGGTTATTAGCCCTATGTGATAAACAGCTAGTGCTTCCAGGAACTTACTTCCCTGTGCTCTAGGCCCCCTCTGCAGCATGAGGGCCTCATCCTCAATACAGAGCTTTCCAATACAGGCTGTATGCTGGAATTACCTGAAGGCCTCACACAGGGATGCCTGGGCCCTGTCTTCAGAGACTCTGACTGAATTATCTGGAGTGGTGTCCAGGCATCCAAATATTTTGAAGGCTCCCGGGTACTTCTAAAGTGCACAGATGCAACATTAGATGGAGAGACAGAGAGGCAGCAGCCTGGGGACCAACTGCAATGTACAGATATTACTGTGCGTTCAGGAGGGCTAGCAGAAGAGGTCAGGAGAAATGTCAGGAAAGCCAAAAAGAGAGGCCCCTGCTTACAGGAGCAGGAAGCTGGAGACCGCTGAAGGGCAGCCTCGGGGCCCTGGGACAGGAAGAGGCTGGGGCAGCTGGGTGCCCATGGCTGTTCTCTCTCAGGATACTAAAGAAGCAATGGAACAGGAAACCAGCCGCTACCTTTCTCCCCCAGGAGAGGAGACCTAGAGAAACTTTCACGCTGAGTTAAAACACAGGAAAACAAAGTCTGTTTATGAGACGCTTTTCAGCACACCCGTCCCGTTCTTTTGCCCAGTACACACTGGGGCCTCTTCCTTGTCTGTTGATTAAACTCCAGCATCAGGTCCAAGTGGCTTCCCTGTACATTGTCAAGAGTGGCATGGAGCCAAAGGCTGAGTCTAAGGGATCTTCTCCTCCAAGTGCTGAAAGCATGGCCCACAGGCCTAACTGATCCCTGTGGAGCTTCCAGCCCAGTGATGAGATAGTGAATCAGGGGCCTCTCAGCCCCTCCTGAAGCCAGAAGCAGCAGCTCCTTTGTTAGAGATGTGAATAACTCACCTCCCATCTCCACACTTCAAAACTGCTGCTCAAGCTTGGAGGTACTTGCAACCTCAAGCAATCTTCAGAACCTCTGGCCTGCAAGTCAGAGAGACACAGCTTTCCCTGCAAATCACAGTGCACCAAGAGGAGTCTTGGATCTCAGCAGCAATGACAGCAGTCCCTGAATGCCACTTCTATCGCCTGCTGGTGTGGAAAATAATCTGAAGTGCTCTCAGCAGCTCAGAGTGGCTTTGACCAGTTCTGCCATTGAGCATATTAAAAGCATGATTTACCCGTGGCTAAGTGTAGGACATTGTCTGAAGTCGCCTGCGTGGATCAGGAAAGTGTCTTCAGATTCCCACCTGAACTTCAGGGACACCCTAGACATTGCAATGATAGAGACCTCAGCTGTACCCCAAAAACTCAACTGTTAAACCAAATATAAAGGTGAGGGCTTCCTTAAGATTTCATTAAATGGTTTCCTTTAAATAAATTGATCCCACAATCAGATGAGATAAAAGAAAAGTCAGCCAGAGAAAGGCACGGGACTAGGATAGGTCACATTGGTCCAATGTTTACAAAGTATCAAAATTAGGTCCACTCTGCTGTCACTGTCTGGAGGACAGGGGCTGCAGCACACTGGGGTAACCATGAGCAGCACCTCTGTTCTTTGGTAGTTGTTTTCAGACTGTCTTAGCAACCTGGCTTCATGGTTGTGCATATAAAGAGAATGAGATGTAAGATGGAAAGCAAGGATTTCAATTCTGAGCCATCTACTTACTGGGGTATGAGCGTGGGTGGGACCCTTGGAGGAATGCTTCTCAAAATGTGGACCCAGACTGGCAGCATCAGCCTCTCCTGTTACGAATCCGCATCCTGGTACCCACCCAGACCTGCTGGATGGCAAATGCAGAGGGTGGGGGCCAGCCATCTGTGAGTTAACCTGCCCTCGAGTGAGGGACTCGATGACTCTGGAGTCTGAGAGCCACTGGCTGGGCCCTTCTGGGCCTTGCTTCCTTATCTGGCCACTTCCCAGGATAGTGAATGAGGATCAGGAAAGAGAATTTTCCATGAATGCTTTCTGAAATCTCTAAACCATGGCCACATGGGCTATGGGGCACTCGAAATGTGGTGAGTTCAAAGTCAGGTGCTGTGTCAGACACACATGGGATCTCAAACACTTATGATGAACAAAGGAATGTAAAATATCTCATGAATACTTCTTATATTTCTTACATGTTGAGATGATAATATTTTGGAAATAGAGATAAAGCATATTATGAAATGAATTTTACTTGTTTCTCTTTTTTTTTCACCGTGGCTACTTAAATTTTAAATTTCATTCGCACCACACATTCCATTTCTACAGCATTATAGACCTACAGGATATGGCTATTCCTATAGCAATGCTGCCCAGGGTTATAAATGATGCCACTAACAAGGTGGCCCTGTGCTGTCAATACAGGAGCCACTAGACCCCTGTGGCTCTTTGAATTTAAGTAAGTTGAAAATAAAAATTTAAATGGGCTTTCTTAGCATATTAACTACATTTCAAGTGCTCAGTGGTCATGTGAGGCTGTGGCTGCCAAGCTGGGCAGTGCAGTCCTGAGATGCTTTCATCACAATGGAAAGTGGAACTTTTGAGGTTCAGAACCTGGAGTTCCACCGTGGCTCTTACAGTCTCAGCCATGGTTGCATACCTTCCAAGCTCCACCGCCTCTTCTTCCTCGTGGGCAGATCCCTGATTTTGTGTAGGACAGCACTTGAAATGTATTTGTGTGCTCAACATTGGTTTCCTCTCTGGAACCTGGGATCACTTCAGGGGTGGACACGTGGCCCAACCATGACTGATGAGACATGCGGGGAAATCTGCAGAGGCAACTTCTAGGAAAGGTTGGGCTCTTGCAGCCACCCTGTGACTATGAGGTGAGAAGCTTGTCCAGTGTGATAGCTGATCCACTGAAGATGACAAGGAAAACAGCAGAAAGGAACCAGGCTACTTGATCATAGTGAGAGCTGATAAGGCAGCCAATCTGAATTTCTTTCTACGTAAAACAATTAACATTAGTGTTTCATTGCATTTTCTATTGCTTGCAGCCAAAAATACTCTAACCACTGTCCTTGGGCAAATTACTGACCTCTTTAAGCCTTGATTTTCTCATCTCTGAGAGATGAACACAAGAGTTTGTATTTCATTGAATGAGATAAGGTAATGATAAGAATAAGAAATATTTATGCTGCACTTACTATGTGCTCAACTCTGTTCAAAACAGTTTACTCATTTAACATACGTATCATGCTTAGCCTAGGATCCTGAACCTTTTATGTTCTCAAACTTACCCTTATAATCATTGCTATTGCAGGAACTAGGCTATTAATTCAGACCTTCTGTTCCTAGACATTTTACCAACAGTGAAAGTAAACTTTCACTCCTCCCACCACCCCACAAGGAAAATTACAGGAGCATTTGAAAACATTTTTGAAACTCAAATGCTCTCACAATTGAATGACACAGGAATCAATACTTAGAAAACTCTGCCTTTTCAGTGTTCAGAGTATAATGCATATTTTTAAAAATAGACTCAATACAAGTTCTTGCAAATCTATTTGGAAGCGAAAAGAGCTCATTATAACAATGGTTCTGGATGGATTACAAACTTCTCAGTTTAGAAATGGGTTTTTGTTTTGTTAGTACACCATGCTCTCTACTATTATTTACTGCATAGTTTGAGTCACTCACTAGTCAATTTCTCAACGCTTTGTCAAGGACTATGAAGGGCTGAAGATTTACTCTACTTGAGAACGAACCAGGTAACCTCCCACAATTTCACAGATGCTAGCAGAAGACAGGGCACTCCTCGGTTAGACACCTAGGGCTTCATTACTTAGGGCCCAGCAGTCAGTGTGGGCACCAGTTCCCCTTACCCCTCTTCCCATTCCCACAGCTCATGGTATGTGGGTGGGTCCACGTGGACACTGCACAGAATTGAGGAACCTTGCATTTAAGAAGACTTAATCTTACAAGGGGCTGATAGCAAACTTTCCCAAACCTTGTCCCAGAGAAAGATATTGTCTTTATCATCCTGATCTGAATACTAATCTTCCCTCTGTAGAAGGAGACAGTATCTCTGTTTCCTAAGGCTCTTGCTGGACAAACATCTTTGAAAGGACAGTTCAGAGGAGATGCTGTCAGAGTCTTAGCTCACAAGATGTGCAGAAATGGAAAGGCCATGGAGAATTGTCTCCCAACACTGGGAAACCACTCAGTCTCACTCACCTCTACCATGCTTTTTCAGTGTACCCTATTTTTTTTCTCAGCAAAGCTGCTTGCTATATTTGCATTTGGCTCTGAGCTGACCCCAACCTCAAGTGTTACCTCTTGGTCATCCACCACTTTCTGAATAAATTATATTCAGTGGTCCAAGTTCAGATGACGAGGGAAGGGAATCTGATGGATCCAGCTTGGGTCCAGTATCCAGGCCTGGTTCAATTAGTGTCATCAGGGGTCAGTGCCATTTAACACACTTTGCCCACCCTCTGTGGATGGGCAGGAGTGGGTAGAGTCCTGTAGGGTAAGGACAGGGAGACAGCCTTGGTAAAAGTTCATTTAACAAGGATGGATTGCATAACTGGTTTCATCATTGTTAGTAGCAGTAGTCTCTCTATAAATCTTATAAATCACTTATATTGAAAAAAGTCA
This sequence comes from Homo sapiens, assembly GCF_000001405.40. Taxonomy (NCBI): domain Eukaryota; kingdom Metazoa; phylum Chordata; class Mammalia; order Primates; family Hominidae; genus Homo; species Homo sapiens. Next base: position 23,028,769 of record NC_000020.11, on the reverse strand, counting down.
TCAAGCATGACTCAAATAACTTCAGCAGAAAACAGTCACCCTAATAAAGTCATTTAATTATATATGTCTATATATTCTGAATATTCAGCGAAGTGGATTATGCCACCGGCTGAGTGTATCCAGAGTGATGCTTGACAGCTCCTTTTATTGCTAATGGCTCACAGAGTTTATGCCCTTTAGGAAGTGCCAGAATCATTAGTACTGTCACTGAAATGTGCTGTTAATGTAAATTCTACTCAGAAAAATGGAACAGCAATTGCAAAACCAGCAGCTGGAGAATGGGCAGCCCAGTGAGGAAAGATCAATGGGAGAAAGGCTTGTAACTTTCTCCCATTTTCTAGAAATTTGTGACTTTCTAGAAAACGAAGCCAGTCTCAACAGTGCCTCCAAGGACCTGAAGCTTCTCCAAGTGCTGTTTTGAATGGGAAGGCAGGAGTCGGAACTGGCCATCCAGGACTGTCTACATGGCCTCTCTCTCTTCTCATCTTCCTCTAAGAAATTTCTCCAGTTTTTCAATCTTGACCTCTCAGAAAAAAGAGATTCTGATCTTGTGAACTGATGCTGCATGTTGAATGAGTTTTCATCCTGCATGATACTTCATGGATTTATTTGCATTTTAATTATTCTTTTATACAAAAGAGCCATAGAAAAGAAAAGTCTGACCCAAGTTTTGTCAAGATAAAGCAGAGTATGGGAAGTGGGCAACTGTGAGAACTTGGTTAGAGCCAGTCTGTATAGTTTAGTATTTAATGGGGAAGTTTGGGGTGTGGGAAATGGGACCTATTTCCTTTGCTCTTGAGGTTAGGTTGAGCCATCTGGCTCCCTGCCCTGCAGTTCCCATAACTGAAGAGTTATACATCCCATAACCCCTGCCCACTAGTGAACCCCTTCCTCAGCTCTGGGACTGATTGTCTTCAAGCTGAGCACACACTGAGCACTGGGCCTGCCTTCTTCCTAACACAGGTTAGGACTGACTTCTTGCTTTGTCCTTTAACTTGAGTCCCCAGCCCACACCCCTGACATGTGGCTTTTCTCTCTCTCCTGCCGTGCTGCTCCTGGGCTGGCACCTAGGCTCCTGAGACAGGGGATTTCTGCCTTGTAATCCCACTGGCTTTCTAGGGCTGGAGTCCTTGGCTACCTGTTCATTTATTTATTAATTCATTCATCCATCTAGGTTTTTGTAAGCTCCAGACATTGGATAAAGCATTTTGAGGGATAGGTGAAAACGAAATCCTGCCCTTTACTCTTGAGAACTCACTCTGCTGTGGGAGGAGAGACAGGCAGGTAAGCAAAGAGCTCTCCCAATGCGATGACAGCCAGACCTGAGCCTGGGTCAGTGACTCAGGGAGCAGGGAAGACAAACCTCCTTCAGCTTGGGGCCTGGGACAGACTTCACGATGGGAGAGAATTCGGATAATTACTCAGCCTTCTCCTCTAGATCAGAGAAGGTGGGCAGGATGGAACCATGTGCATGGGTGGATGGGGGACAATCTAAGGACTCATTTTTTTTTCTGTGAGGCTGGAGCAGAGGGCCCCTTGCCTTTGCTTCTCTTGACCTCCCCTCTCCTGCCTGTTCTGGCCCTCAGTAGTCTCACTTGGCAATAAGAGTTGGATTCTGGGTGGGTGCCTGGACTGGAGAATCTTTGGCTGTTAACACTGTTCACACAGTTCAATATGGCTGGAAAAGTGTGGATGGAGCCATGTTCAGAGTAAAAGAAGGTGTGCTTAAGGTTTATACGTACGCACTCTCTGCAACCCCCCTGGAAGCTTGGCTACAGGATGGCAAGGGGTTGGCAATCATCTTCAAAGACCGAATCTGGAGTAGCTCTTGGAGATGTCTTTTCATAGCGTTAGATGCAATTACACCAGCAGGTTTCAACTCTTCTGTTTTAGTAACAAAATTCATGCTAAAAATAAATATTTGCTGAGTGACTGATTTGACACTCATCTTTCAGAGAAGCCCAAGAATGGCCCAAGTGTTGTTCTTTTAGGCCTCTGGTTGTCAAATTGGGATCTTTAGACCAGGAGCCTCAGCATTCTCTTGAGTCTGCCTAGAAATGCACATTCTGGGCTCTACCCTCCATGCTCTGAATTATATACTCTTGGGGCACAGGAATCTGCATCTAGCAAGCCTTCCAGAGGATTCTGCTAGTGCTTCGGTTTGAGAACCAGTGCTCCTGACTTTGGTTGGCCATTGGTGTCTGTCTGAAGAGGGTCTCCACTGCCCCAGGCATGTTCCTTCTCTCACTGCTGCCCCCTGGGATGGAAACTCGACATCCCCTCTTTCCCTTCCTACTGGCACCAACGGTACCAGAGCAAACCCCACAATCTCCATGCCTACATTTCTTTGACATCCACCTGTCACCATCTTTGGAGGATTCAAGTGAAGTTCTTTGTCTTTTATGGGACAGAGCTGTTTTCTAAAGTCATAGTAACATTCTCGGTCAATGTAAGATAAAATGACTGGGAATTTCACTTTTAAAAATAGGTATATCAAAGGGAAAAATAGTAACAGTTCTGGTGGAGAGACCTGGTGAGCAACACCTTAAACCAAGTGATGAAAGCTGAAATCAGCAACACTGGGATGAACCTGCATCACGTAATAGCGGATGTGATGCCCTGACAAGAGCACCAGTCCTGTTTGCAGCATCACTGCCCCAGATGCATGCCTGAATCTGTTCCTTAGGATACATCAGGAAACCCAAGCTGAGGAATGTTCTACTAAATAAATGATCTCTACTCTTCAAAAACATGCGGGTCAAGTGACAGGTGCCGAGGAGAGGGAGAGGGTCTAGGAAGACCCTAGTTGGGACAATTGGCAGCATTCAAATGTGGCCTGTGCATTTCATACTGGTACTGTTCAATGTGAAATTTCTTGATTTTTGTAAGATTCTCCCTGGGGCCTGATAGCTTAAAGGGATGAGTAACTCCTCCCTTCTCAGGCCCAGTCCCAAGGTGCAAGACCACTTGCATCAGCAGCCTGTGCCAGCAAGATAGCAGAAGCAGGAAGAGAGCCGGCCAGAAGACACGTACCCCTGAAGATTGAGAAACAGGCCATCCGGGTACAACGTAGCAATTACGTCAGACTAGGACACTTCCTGTTTAAAGGAGACTATAAAACCTTTGTCCTGTCCTCACTTGGGGCTGACGCCATTTTAGGCCTCAGCCCGCCTGCACCCAGGCGCTCATTAAAACAGCATGTTGCTCCACATCGCCTCGTGTTGTCTGTTGGCACGCTCTCGGGATTCGAACCGATACAAGAACCTTACAATTTTCTTTATGTAAGAGAATGTCCTTGTTCTTAAGAAAAGCCAGCTGAAATATTTAGAGAGTAAGTTTGCAGGATGTCTATAACTTACTGTCAAGTGTTTTAGACAGGAAGAGAATCACATAATGGAAAATGTAAACAAGTGAATGTGAGAAAGGAGTACATGAAAGTCTTTGAACTATTGTTACAACTTTTCTGTGGAAATTTACTTTTCAAAAGTGCGTATAGACATATAGGAAGAACAATTTTAGTAACTAACATAGTTATTTTTTAGTAGTGAGATGATGGGTAGTATTTCTTTTAAAAAGATCTGCTTTTCCCCAAATATTCTGTAACAAGCATGAACTATACTTGAAATCAGAAAAAAAATGAAATGATAAAGACAATTGTTTCTTTTCATACATACTGCAATGTAGCACATGAAACTGAGATCGGAGAGACCAAAATAGATGCCCTTTATCAACTAAGGTGGACTTTAAGGTTAAGAAAACAGAAAAGTTTTCTTCTCTGGTGGAGCAACTCCTTAAATTCCTAGGGCTACAAGAAAAGCACACCCTTGCTAAACTCCCTAACAATAAGAGCTATCAGGCAAATTCCTACCTCCGATTTACAACCCAGACCACCACAACTCTGATTGGACAGAGGACCTTAGAAACATTCTTTTCTGATAAGCAACTGAAGACGTCAAATCAGTTCCAGCAGCTTACAGAGACTGGGCACACATTGTGTTTGTCTCCTACAGTTCACTTTTTGATGGAAAAAGCCACATTCTACCTTATTTTTATGCTGAAACCCCACCCCAAAGGGAGCACGGAATGCATGGTAATACATCTGTGCCTATTGTGCGTGTGCTCACCTCCCCTCTCCACATGCATAGCTTTCCCCCAAACCTACTGAGTACATGTAACTCTATCGTGTGATACAGGCCCTGTGAGACATAAAATCCATTCTGCCCCTTCCCTCTTCAAAGAGAGAGCGCCAATGTCATATGCTGGAGACAGTCTCTTCCTGGTTTGCAAACTTATATTGCCAGTGTAACTGAAATAAATCCATGAACGAGGCACAGGGCTAGTCAATCCGCCAAGACACCAATTCACAAAGAGAAGGAGATTGAATCCTAGGACCCTGATCTAGAAGATGGGAAGGAACCTTAAATCCATCTCTCCAAGTGTACAATTCTCTCTGGGGCCTGAAAGCTTAAGGAGATGAATGACTCCTCCCTTCTCAGGCCCAGTCCCAGGGCGCAAGGCCACTTGTGTCAGCAGCGTGCATCAGCAAGTCAGCAGAAGCAGGAAGAGAGCCGGCCAGAAGACACCTACCCTGGCCGGAAGACAGGTACCCCTGAAGATCGAGAAAGAGGCCGTCTGTGTACAATGTAGCAGTTACATTATACTAGGACACTTCCTGTTTACAGGAGACTGTAAAACCTATGCCCCGTCCTCACTTGGGGCTGACTCCATTTTAGGCCTCAGCCTGCCTGCACGCAGGCACTCATTAGAACAGCATATTGCTCCACACTGCCTCCTGTTGTCTGTTGGCGTGCTCTGGGGGTTTGAACCGATACAAGAACCTTACACCGAGGAGTTTGGTATAAGGGATGTTAACGGTTTTGGAGTGGGCTGAAGTGTGGGGACGGTTGGTTGGTTGAAAAGTGCAGGGTGAAGTCATGGGATGGGGAAGTGGTGAAACTGTTTCTCATGCTGATTCTGTTCTTCTATGGGGGTCTTCATGCTGGTGGGTGTTTAGTAGGAATCTGGGATCTGGAAAACACCCTAGGCAGTTCTTAAACAAAAGCCTTATGATTCTAACATCAGAAATCCTATTCATAGGAACAATAGGGATGCCAGTGGTCAGTATCAGTGCTGCATGACTTTCAGTTACAAGGAAGTGGGTCAAAGTGCAGGCTGATTAATGCTTAATTATAACTCTATTTCTGTCCAGAATTCTTGCTAACCCTGTGAGGATGGCTTCACCAATAAAATACTCCTTTCTACTATTTAGCCATCCTAGTGGTCTTTTGAATGAAAAAGAAAGGCTGAGAAAGATGGAGTAGGGGCCTGCGGTCCCCCACCCCTCACCCCTCACCCCTCATTCACTTGCTGGTGCTCCCTTCAGCTCCCTTCAGCCCCCATCACTGGAGCTAGATGTCCATGAGCATTCTGCATTTTCTCTTCTTTCTGCTGACTAAAGAGTATCATGTTTTGCTGGTTTTTCTTCCATATTTGCTATTCTAAGGTGTTAGAAATGCTTAGAGCCAGAAAGACACACAAGAAACAACTGTGAAAGTTGATCATACAAATCGGGTCATTCTTATCATATCCAAATAAAACCGCCAAGAAGCCAAGAGGGAAAGGTGCTCAGGATGCATAACATTGCTCCAAGAATATAATTTTCTGCAAGCCTGGCTGCTGTAACCTGAAACCAGTTTTATCTAATAGCTGCTAAAATGACCTGCTGCAACTCTAAGACCAATTATACCCATTCCATTACTTACCAATCAAAAGTTGCCACCTCACCGGAACTGTACTAGTGCCAATGAACTTTCTCAAAGAGCAATACATAACACTTCTCTTTGTTATAAAACCTCCAACCATCTCTTTGTTCTTTAGACACACCGAAAACCACCCAATATGTGGTCTTGCAATTCTTTCTTCCCAAATAAAATGTTAAATTTAGAGGTTCATCTTTACCTTTTAATTCTTTGACACAACCGAATAGGACAAAGCAATGCATTTAACTTGTTCAACTGTTGATGAAATCATTGCAAAGGCAGCTCTAATTTTTTTTCAGACCTCAGTCTACTGACAGCATGAACAGAAAGAGAGGGTCTCTTTCTGCTGGTGCTTCGGTTTGAGAACCAGTGCTCCTGACTTTGGTTGGCCATTGGTGTCTGTCTGAAGAGGGTCTCCACTGCCCCCAGGCATGTTCCTTCTCTCACTGCTGCCCCCTGGGATGGAAACTCGACATCCCCTCTTTCCCTTCCTACTGGCACCAACGGTACCAGAGCAAACCCCACAATCTCCATGCCTACATTTCTTTGACATCCACCTGTCACCATCTTTGGAGGATTCAAGTGAAGTTCTTTGTCTTTTATGGGACAGAGATGATTCTCCACTCCAGAGGGTCTGGAGTGATTATAGGAATGTAATCGCCTTGAACAATCAGCGTGTTTTACAGCCTACTGCCCTGCATTTTGTGTGGAATGCAGTTGTCTTATTGCTTGGAACCAGCTCTCAGTAGACCTCAGCAGCTTATAGACAAACCCGAGTGAACTTTCCTCATGACCATGCTAGTGTCTCCATCCTGGGATGAGCCACAGCTTCATCACCATAACATGCAACCTATGTGCTGGTGTGATGACTCGCTGTGTCTGCACCACTGAGGCTCCTCCTCCACATGCCATGACGCGTCCTCTCTTCTCTCCATCTCCCCATGAAGTCCTCCTGTCACTTTCCCTCAGGGAGACATGGCTTTGGAGAGTACTCCCAACAGCATGCTTATTTGTGCCAAGTAATAAAACTCCTGTTGATCAAACCTACAGTCTCAAGGAGATTGATTTCTTACTTGCCAAGCAAAAGAACCTGGGTTTTTTTTTTGGGGGGGGGTGGTAAAAATAGTGTCTAATCCACATGTGCAATTAGCATTCCAGTAGACTTACACCATCAAAAAGATACTCTTTCTTCTGTCCTGCAGGGTGCCTTCTCCTCTGTCCTGCCATGGGTGAGGCTGCCTGGACTTAGGGGAGGCACTACCTTCCCTTTTCTTTGCTTTGCCTGCCTCACTGAGCAACTCTGAGGTATTACGGAGATGCCTATCTTTCCTGGTAATTTTAGCATTGTTACAATGTGCAGATCTGGACAATACTTTGGAGATGCCAAATACACAAGATAATGGCTGTTATTTTAAAGCTCTTCCTCCTCTGCAAATACAAGTTACTAAGATAATACAGAGGGCTTCACTATAACAGGTGTGGCTTTGGATGTATAAACAGTGCAATATACCAGAGTCTCTTGATTAGCTTGAAGTGCTGTGGGCTGAAATCAGGACCTTAGATCTCTGCCAGGGGTGGTAAATGTGCTCACTTTTCCTTCCAAACAATGGGTGGTGAGCCTGAAGGAAATGCCTCCAGAAAAGCTTACTGCTGTGCTACAACACCTTGTCTGTGTTTTAAAGGGCCACAATGGAGGCCCTCCCAGTCCACATTTGACTTCTCCCATGTATACTTTTCTTTTGAGATATGTTTATGACTTATTTGCGAGTTATTAGAAATAACACAACTGTTAGAAATAACACAGTTTCTTAAAAATATCTGTTTGTGTTAAGTTTCCAGAACTCTGTGACCGTGTTCAAGAGAAGACTGTCAGTAACGATAGCTACAAACCACACTCTATTTTCCGAGATCTTTTTGTTACGACAGACTTGCTGTCTAAAACCCTGCTTGGCCCATAGTGTTACTGGAAGGAGGTCCTGATCCAGATCCTAAGAGAGGGTTCTTGGATCTCACTCAAGAAAGAATTCAAGGCAAATCAATAGCGTAAAGTAAAAGCAAGTTTATTAGGAGAGTAAAGGAATAAAGAATGCCTACTCCATAAGCAGAACAGCCCTGAGGGCTTCTGGTTGGCTGTTTTTATGGTTATTTCTCAATTATATGCTAAACAAGGGGTGGATTATTCATGGGTTTCCTGGGAAAAGGTTGGGCAATCCCAGAACTGAGGATTCCTCCCCTTTTTAGACCATATGGGGTAACTTTCAGACATTGCATGGCATCTGTAAACTCTCATGGCGCTGGTGGGAGTGTCTTTTAGCATGCCAACGCATTATAATTAGCATGTAATGAGCAGTGAGGACAATCAAAGGTCATTTTCGTCACCATCTTGGTTTTGGTGGGATTTGGCTGGCTTCTTTACTGCATGCTGTTTTATCAGCAAAGCCTTTGTGACCTGTTTCACGTGTCAACCTCCTATCTCACCCCATGACCCCTTAACCTTCTGAGAATGCAGCCCAGTAGGTCTCAGCCTTATTTTACCCAGCCCCTATTCAAGATGGAGTCGCTCTGGTTCGAATACCTCTGACAACAGCCCATCTGTTCAATACGTAACTATTTAATTAAGTAAATTCCTGCATGTCTAATTAGCTCCTGTGAGTAGTTCATAGGCCTCGTTCCCTTTCGCAGAGCTGGGGTTCTAGGATTCCACGGAGTAGCAGAGACCTCTGCAGCCTTCTGGGGAAATGTGCTGTGTTTCCGCAGGTACTTCCCTCAGCCCCATACAGCATCAGGACATTCTCCAGGTGCTCCTGGGTAGGAGGGTGCCATGAGGGCTGTGGATTGAGTAGATGTGGGCTGTGGGACTGTGGGAACCTGTCTCTGAGCATCTGATTATCTGACTGCCACCGTGCAGGTGGGAAGGAGAAGCTTTAGAGTCTAGTGTTTTACCGCAGGTAAAGTCTAGTGTTTTTTACTGCAAGATATAGCAATCTTTTTTTTTAAAAAAATGTAATTCATTGAAATAAGCCTTCCTCAAAAATTCAACATGAAATGACAGGTGCTTTCTCATCTGTCACAGGCATCTCATGACTGGCCATGTTCAGGCCTTGGGCAACGTGTTTTTCTGCATATTTCGATAAGCCTTAATTTTGTGCTTTTTCTCTTGAATCTGACAACCAAGACACTAAGTTTTGTCAAAATAACCTGCGCTTATGAATTGCAGAATTCTAAAAAGATACAGGCGATTTGTCAAGAGCCCTTGAACAGCATAAAGCCCTTTTACCCGAGTCAGCATTGCCTCAGCCAAATCCCTGCATGGAACGACTGTCTGCAGCCAGCCCCTGGCACCGACTGTCACTGCCAACGAGTCTTTGCAGCGCAGGGCTATTTCCTCCACTCAGGCTGCCTCTGTTCACAGGAGAAAGCAGGTTCCAGGCTGCAGCTGCTGCATCCTGTCCCAGAAGGTCTTGCTGGGCATTTGCACTGACAGCCACTGAGTGGCACTCATGGCGTGGTGCCTGGCTCTTGAACTCCTTGCAGCTCTGGGGGTGCCTTTGGATGTTACTAGGGTAGATGGGGGAGCCAGCTTGCAGGTATCATGATCCTTCAGACCAAGGAGAGCCACCTTCCCAGAAAGACTCCCCTGCTCCCTGCAATGAGTGACATGGACCCACAGCGGGTCCTTTTCTCCTGTCTCCTGGAGAGACCCACTCTGGGGGTCATTCATGCTGTCGTCATGCAGTGGGGCTCATCCTGGCTCAGCTCTGTTCCCCATCCCCACCCTCTTCCCTTACCGTCCAATGAACACGAATGCTGGCCCACGTTCTGATTCTAGAAACCCAGCCCGGAACGCTGCCCTTATAAAGATGAGTCCAGAGCGAAGCCTCCTGCCAGCGTGTGTGTGTGTGTGTGTCTGTGTGTGTCGAGAACACAAGGCCAATGGTGTTCAAGGAACAAGTCACCACCCACTTCCCAAGTAGGGTTGTCAAACTACAGGATACTTGGTTAAATTTAAATTTCAGGTAAACAATCAATCATGTTCTAGGATAAATAAGTCCCAAATATTGTATGAGACGATAGTTTGGAGCTTACTTATTTTTAGTTTATTGCATAAGCTAAAAAACCACTACTTATATAAAATTCAAATTTAACTGGGCATTCTGTGTTTGTATTTGCTAAATCTGACAACTGTACCACTGTGTTTTTTGAGTCTGTGTCTATTTTGAATTGATGCAGAGCTTAAGAAAGCATTTGCAGCCACTCAGCTTCTCCTCATGAATAATAATTGTAGTAGTAGTAGTAGTAATAGCAATACCAGCAATAGTAATAGGAGTAGTGATAATTATAGCAACAGCAGCAGTAGTGACAGTAATAATTATAATAGCAACAGGTGCAGTAGTAATAGTAGTAGTAATAATAACAACAACAGTAGTAGTAATAGCAGTAGCAGGCATATTAATAGCAGCAGTGATAGTATTAAGTACAAATAATAATAGAAGCTAGCACATATTTAGTGCATCTTATATTTCAGGCAGTGTTCTGAGAGTGTTACACATATTAACTGATTTGATCCTCCAACTTCTCCCTTCCCCTGCAAGGTAGGGACTATTATGATCCACATTTTACAGATGACACAATAGAGGTCCTAAGAGGTGAAGTGATTTTTCCAAGGCAGCACAGCTGATAGACAGTGGAGTGGGCTTCAAACTCAGACAACCCAGGGTTCATGCAGTCTCTTAGAAGAGTCAGATTGCATGAGTTTTCCAGAAAAGTCAAATCATTTCCTGACCAAGGCCTAGGAATCTTTTTGGAGTGAGTAGGGATGGACAGGGAGTTGACCCCTTCTCTCTGCAGTGTCGCCGGTTTCTCATCCTGATCCTGCCCACATATAATGCAGGCATGTCCTCCTCTCTATTGTGTCTTGGGAAATTAACCTAAGCTTGTCATGAGCACCAGTACAGTCAGCTTCTTCTCTGGCTCCCTGTCTGGCCTACTCCCTGGGCTCTGGGTTTGTGGCAGGTACTACTCGTTTCCCCTCTGGTGCTGGAAGAGGCTCGTTCTGGCCAGGGAAGCACAGGGGTCTCTAGTATCCAGGTTTCTTCAACACTTATCAGTTAAGGAGGTTTGCATTCTTCCTCCAAGCACTCTGAAGAATATTCTCTGTTCCTGCTTTCTGCAAGTCTAAAAAGGTCACAGGTGGCCTGGCTAGCCCTCCCAGCCCTCTCAGCATCTGTGAAGGGTCTCTGCCTTGCTCTCCAGTTAGAACTAAAAGAGGGGAGCTGCAGCTGTGTTCCCTTCTGAGCGAAGGATGGAGGGGGGTTGTGTTCCCTTCAGAGCCTTCTGAGCACCTCCCCCCACCCCATGTCTCAGCACCTCTCTTCACTTTGCATTCCAGAGCACAGCTTCTTTTGATAGCTTGTTCAAAACCACTGCTGAACAAACACAACTATGATAGCAGCTAAGGATGGTTTCACAGCCGAAAGAATAAGAATGTGGGCATGGGAGTCCAGCTGACCCAGGTCTGATTCCTGGCTGACATTTGCCAGCTGTTATCTTGAAGCCATAACTTCTCTTCTCTGAGCTATGTTTCCCCTTCAGTAAAATGGGTATGATCTTTAAGGCATTCCCCTCCTTGCAGGGCAGCAATGAGGCTGAAATGAGGGGGACGTTTAAGTGGTCAGCGGGGGCCTGCAGAAAGGTCTGGAAAGGAGCTTTTCAGTTCTGGAAGAGACAATACTTGGAATGACCTGCTGTGAGCTGCCCAATTTTTTCAGGGTTTCAACTAAGGGCAGGCCCTGGTCTGTGCCACTCTGGGAAGTTAACACCCTGATCAATAATTTGCCTCTTTACTGGCATGAAGAACCAGAGGTCAAAGTTGAGAGGACCACAGCTGCTAGGGAGTGAGAATCCTGAGAAAAGGAGTCCAGAGAGGGGGTGCATGAACTCTGCTCGCTTCCCTGACCAACCCTTGAGCCACACAGGCACAGAGCAGGCGCCAGGCACCCAGCTGAGGATCAGGGAGCTGACTGCATTTGCTCTCTTCCCTGAAAAAGAGGGTTTCCAGTTTGAGCCCAGCTGAATTATTTTCCAGCTAAAACAAATAAGCAAGCTAATAAACAACCATTAGCATTGTTCTTAGAGGATAATTCACTCCACAGCATTCTGACCACAATGCCAGAAGACAATACGGAATTACTCAGTACATGAAGCACCAGGAAGATGACAACAGAAGAGAGAGGACCCAGACATTGGAATCAGCAGGTGAGGATGTTAAAGTGACTATTGGCTGTATGCTCAATGAAGTAAAGGAAGACATGCTTATAATAAACAAAAAGATGGAAATTCTAAGTGGAGAGAGAGAAATGATTAAAAATAGAAATTGGAGAACTTTAAAAATACAATGCCTGGAGTAAAGTTATTAGAATAATGTCAGGCACTCAGCAAATAGGTAGATGTCAAAGCAACGTGGAATGGAAGACATACTCAGTTTTATCAGAAAGGAACTACAGCAGAATAGAGTATACTTTTAGATAAAAATGTTATTCAGACGTCATTGATTATGAAGAAGCCTGTCTTTATGAAATTGAATTCCTCCTGAACTATTTCTTACAAAACACTCTTTCAGCAATTGGGCCATATTGAGCTGCACTTGAAGCCTGCTGCCTCACTGAATAGTGGGATCTTGGTGGGGGTAGGTGGAGGGGGATTGCAATTCATCTAAAAGCTTGTGGGTTTTGTGGCAGCATGGTAGAGAGAAAGAATACAGACTTTGGAAAGAGATGCTCATTCAAATCCTAGGTGTCTTTACCAGTTCTGTGACCCTGGCCCAGACAGTGTGTATATTTGTGCCTATGATTTTATTGTTGTTGTTGTTGTTTTTAATCTAGAAGGTAGATATTTTAGAAGCTGTGCTTATAGACTTGTTATGAGGATTTAATATGAACATTCATTGTAGTATGAGCCTGGCATATCATATCACCTCCTCTGTGTCTGTCAAATTTAACACTTTCTGAGATGTTTCAGATCCCTGGGGATTTTGTAATAGGCCCTTGGCTGAGCTTTAGCTGGGTCTCCGCAGGAACTTAGAAACTCCACACACAGACTGATGGGAGGAGGGACCTTTAGGCCTCCATTTGCAGGAACTGCTTTGCTCGGGCACCAAGATCAGCCCAGGACCAGGCAGAAGCCTGCCATGGGCAGCCTCAGCTTGAGGGCCACACACCTGAGGCCTGGGGAAGGGGAGCCCAAGAGCAGGTTCTGAAGAGGCCCCTTTTAGGATGAGCCCGATCAGATAAAGGGGAGGGAACTAGCCAACAACACATCTTTAAGGCCCTGGATAATAAAGTGTGCCCCAGTGAGGTAGGAGGTGGGACTCAATTCTGGAGATAGGTCTCAGATGTCAGACCACATTGAGGACTAGTTAAGACAGGGATGGAGTGGAAGTAGCTTTCCCTAAGATACATCCACCAGTGTGCCATGTGAGTTTACCATTGCCATGGCAACATCCAGAGGTTACCACCCCTTTCCATGGCAGTGAGCAGATGATCCAAAACTTACCATCCTTTTTCTAGAAATGTCTGCATACTCTGCTTTTTAATTTACATGTAATTAAAACTGGGTAAGAATGTGAGTGCAGACCTGCCTCTGATCTGCTGCTCTGGGCACACTGCCTGAAGGTAGCCCCACTCCATGAGGAGCAGAGCCTCTGATGCTGCTGTGCACATCTGCTTCAAGAAAATCTACTGTTTAACATCACAGACTGGCCCTTGAATTCATTCCTGCACGAAGCCAAGAGCCCTCTCAGGCTAAGCCCCAATGTGGGGCCTTGCCTGCCTTGTATCACCAGGGCAGGCTGTGGACCTTCTCTGTGTTCTGAGAGCAGCCCAGACGGTCTCACCTGGGTGGCTGTGCCTCCCTGCCACCCCCAGGCTCTGCAGCTTTAGGAGCACCTGCCATGCTCATGGTGTTCCCCATCCTGGGAGTGAATGCTGGGCAGTGAAGTGAACATTCGCTCCCTTTCTATTTCTCCATTGTTTTCCAGGCCCTGGCAAGAGAGCTGGAAGCTGGGGTTAGCAATGGATGCAAGGCAAGCATATTTAAAAAATATTTTTGCTATAACTTTAGAAGAATTAGAAATAAAGATTGAAATCAAAATACTCAGGTGGTAACATTTCAGCTTTTAGAAGAGACTAGGGGCCAGACGCAGTGGCTTACACCTGTAATCCCAACACTTTGGGAGGCCGAGGCAGGTGGATCACCTGAGGTCAGGAGTTCGAAACCAGCTTGGCCAACATGGTGAAACCCTGTCTCTATTAAAAACACAAAAATTAGCTGGGCTTGGTGGCAGGTGCCTGTAATCCCAGCTATTCAGGAGGCTGAGGCAGGAGAATCGCTTGAACTTGGGAGGTGGAGGTTGTAGTGAGCTGAGATCTTGCCATTGCACTCCAGCCTGGACAACAAGAGTGAAATTCTGTCTCAAAAAAATAAATAAATAAAAATGAAAGAGACCAGAGATGCCACTCTTTAGCTCAGAGCTTCAGGGTTCTCCAAGGCTGAGGGAACATCATCCTGGCTCTTCACCTTGACCTGTGAGACCTTGCTTAGCTCTTCACCCTTATCTTTTGCCTGTTGAACCCTAGCCTGTCTCAGGCTCACTGATAAACTGCAGTTTCTGCTAAACAGTCCAGCACAATTCCTACCCCAGGGCCTTTGCACACACTGTTTCCTATACCTGGTGTTTTCTTTTCTTTTTTTTTGAGATGGAGTTTCACTCTGGTGCTCAGGCTGGACTGCAATGGCTCACTGCAACCTCCGCCTCCTGGGTTCAAGCGATTCTCCTGCCTCAGCCTCCCAAGTAGCTGAGATTACAGGTGTCTGCCACCACACCCAGCTAATTTTTGTATTTTTAGTAGAGACAGGGTTTCACCATGTTGGCCAAGCTGATTTTGAACTCCTGACCTCAGGTGATCGAACCACTGTGGCCTCCCAAAGTGCTGGGATTACAGGTGTGAGCCACAGAGCCTGGCCCCTAGTCTCTTCTAAAAGCTGAAATGTTACCACCTGAATATTTTTAGTAGAGATGGGTTTTTGCCATGTTGGCCAGGCTTGTCTCAAATTCCTGATCTCAGGTGATATGCCTGCCTTGGCCTCTCAAAGTGCTAGGATTACAGATGTGAGCCACTGTGCCTGGCTGGTGCTTTCTTTAACTCACATCTGGGTGTTACTTCCAATTCTTAATTTTTACCTGCCAATTTCTACCGATTTGACAAACCATCAGTGCATTTCTTTGTCTGACCGTGTTTCCTACCTTTCAGACTAGGCGGGAGCCAACGTTTGATCATTTTATTAGGATGACTCAGCACTATATTATTAGCTGTGCAATTATGTGTCTACTGACCTTTTTTTGTCTCTGGCTCTGGGACAGCAGAAACTTCCTCTGCTTGTGCACTGCACTGTCCCCAGGGATGAACATAATCTGGATTGTCAAATATGTGTTCAGCAAGGGAGCAGCTACTTGCTTTCAATGTTCTAGTTATTTTCTTAATTTCTCCCTCCTTCTCTAAAATCATTCCTAGGAAAAAGCTAACGATCCTAGATATGTAAAATGAGGACCAAATGAATCTTGTTTCACTAATCGTTTTGGAATTTTAAACAAAACAGTACGTTCACTAAATTCAGATTTTGTTTATATACAATTTATATACATTTTTATATAGGGCACATTTATACCCTGCAGTGTGAAATTTTCAATTAATTATATGCTGTACCACTTCAAGAGCATCACTGTTAAGTCCAAATGGGATTGGTCCAGGCATCAGCTATAGTGTACCTTCTTATCAGCAATGAAAGCCATGCCCACCAACTAGTGGGACCTAGTAGCTTCACTGACAGTGTCAGCCCAACTGCCATAATCAGCCATCATTTCACTCTCAGCTTCTGCTGACTTTTGCTCTGGACCAGGATGGGAGTTGGAAAGGGCTTGAGGGGAGGGCTGTTGTACATTTATTTTGCAAGGTGTTGATTTGCAATGATGAAACGGAGGGTTAGACATAGCTTGGTGTACCTAATGTGAGTGTGAGAGGCAGACAGCTGTCTTAAGTGGAGATGTTTGCCAGCCTCAATTACTCTCAGAACATCATTGCCCTGTCTTTGGAAATCTAGATCCTTTCAAAGTAAGCTTCAGAATTTTCGTTTGAGAAAAAAATAATTGGAAAGCTTTCTCAGAATCCAGGTGTGTGCTAGGAGGGTCTTCAGAGTTTCACATAAAAGGGTCATAGTTTGTGAACTGAAATAGCAAAGGAAGTTATCAATTTCATACTCAGCAGGCTTCAAATGAGCACCTTGAATTCTCTGAGCAGAGACCATTGGCATAAATGCCTGTGAGGGAGGTGACCGACCTGGGTGTGTCCCAGGCCTACCCTGTGTGTAGACCTGGAGGAATAGGACAGCATTTTCATCAGAAGGAAGTGCCTTAAGGCCATATCCACAGGGACACTTAATCGAAGATGGCAAAAGGTGCTTGCCTCACTACTTCAAGAATAAACTTGTTTGTAATCTTCAAAAACCATTTCAAGCCCATCCTAGCTGGTGTCACTACTGCCTTGTGAGGTATCAGCAGGAGATATCATGGCTGCTGTTAGAGCTGGGAAGTCTACAGTTGATGGTTAAATGCTTGCTGGAGAGCCATCCTGCCACACCACGACAGAGCTGGGTCTTGAAAGGTTTTCTGTTTCCAGGATCCCAGAGGTCATGGTCCCAAATGTCTACAGGGGTCAGGGAATAATTTAAGTTAATAAAGTGGACCAAGGTAGTAGGGCAATAGGGAGTGGTGGGGACCATGGCCAGGTGGGATGCTATTCCCCATCTAAAAGGAGAGCTGCACTTCAGCCCTATCTGATCATGTAGTACTATGGGGCCTATTTTGCTACATCTAGTAATTTTACCAAAATTCACATTTGATGAAAAATTATTTGCAATTGCTTTTTAAAAAAGGTTGCAGGCTAAAGAAACAAAATTTTAGTTGATATTTAGCCCACAGGTGGTGGTGTTTGTTTTTCCATCAGGAGCCTCTGTAGAAGAGGGTTGGATGGGGCAGAGTGGTGCCCAGGGAGGGGCATTGGCAGTGGTGTGTGCCCTGTATTCTCAGTAGCCGCCTGTCCCATTTGTTCTGCAGAGGCTGGGTTATAGAGCTGGGGAACGGCTTTCCAGTCAAATTTCCCCTGAAGGGAAAGTTAAAAATGATGATGGTTAATCCCATTAACCTGGCAGATTAGATGCATGAAGTTCCTTGTCCCTGAGCCCACCTCCCTCCCACAACCCAGCTCCCAGCAGAATCCTGCCACAGCATCCACTTCTCTAAAATTATTTGTGGGTTTTATGGCAAAATTTCTGTGTTTTTTAGTGGGAAATGCAGTTAGTGTCTAATCTCCTCTTTTCTCATCCAAGCCTGCTTTTTGTCACGTCATTTTTGTAGACAGAAGGGCAGTAAGGAGCTTCAGTTGTATCTCCAGCTGTCATCTTTGAGCACTTTATCCCACGTATTGGCGGGCTTCTTGAGAACAAACAGTCCAAGGCTATGGGTGGGACCTTTCCAGTCCCAGCAGGTCATTCTCTGGGACCTCGCCCACCCCATGGTGAGGTGGGTTGGGGGGCAGGGGTGCAGACGGTGTCTGTTACCTACGGCTGTTTCTCACCAGGAACTCTGGGGTTCCCCTTCATAAAGGGCACTGCACAAGCCCCTAGTGTGTTCTCCACTCTCTAGGACAATTGGATTTGTCTGGAAGACCTGCTGTTTCTTCCAGGAGGATTGATGTGGTCTCGCAGATAAAACACATTGGCAGGAAGCCAGAAAGCACAACCTCCTCTGTCCTCCATATCCACCATACTGGCGGAGCCCGCTCTCCTCTGAGCCTGTGTCAAACTTGGGGACCCAGAGGGTGAGGCCGGGACCCTGCCCTTCGGGTGCTCACAGGCTCTCATTTGACCTTTCTGGGCTCTGCCTGAAGTGTCTCCTATTTATTTATTTTGCTTTATGTTATTTTTTGAGACAGGTTCTGGCTCTATTGCCCAGGCTGGAGTGCAGTGGCGTGATCTCAGCTCACTGCAACCTCTGCCTCACAGGTTCAAAGGATTCTCCTGCCTCAGCCTCCTGAGTACCTGGGATTACAGGCATGCACCACTATGCCCGGCTAATTTTTGTATTTTTTATAGAGTTGGGGTTTCGCCATGTTGACCAGGCTGGTTTTGAACTCCTGGCCTCAAGCAATTCACTGGCCTTGGCATCCCAAAGTACTGGAATTACACCTGGCTAAGCCTCTTCTATTTAAAAATAGAAATAAAAGAAAAAAAAAACAGATCAAAACCAAAAGTTATAGTGAGAGTGGACAAGCCCTGGACAACAGCAGGCATGAGGACTTACAGCCCACATGCTCAGGTATGCAAGAAATAAACTTATCTCTGCGTCCTTAAATCAAGGTCATTCTGACCCATAACCCCCTCCCCACAACTAAATTCCTGTTAACTGCCATCTTCGGCATTAGGAGAGGTGCCTCCCTTTAGGGCCTCATGGAGAAGGGTGTGTGATCTCTGTTAACCTTGAGCTCCCTGAGCAAACCTCAGGTCTTGCCACCCCTCTGGGTGCCCCACAGCTGAGCGCATAGCCAGGCTTCCACCCCAGGACTCACACTGCCCATCACCTTCCCAGCCACCCAGGGCACTGTCCTGATAGCTTCTCCCACCCTCTTCCAGCCACCAGGTGCAATCTCCAACATGTGCGGGCTTTGGGAAAACACAATCGGGCAAGTGAAGTTTGTTGCAGACAAGTTCTTCTTCCCCTCTGCCACAACCTCCTCCAAGGTAAGGACGTGTTCAGCTTGTCTATCAGCTTAAACAGGGAGAGTAAAGGGAGAAAGGCCAGGGGAAAATATAGAAATCAGTGATCCCAGAGTGATCGTGACAGAAGACAAGCAGAACAGACTCGAGGGGGAGATGTGGTAGTTTGTTTACATGGCATGATTCAAGGGTCCCTGCTAGGAGATTTTATAGTTTAGAATCATTCAGAGTGCCATTCTGCCTAAGATGTTCAGCATTAGAACATACTTTGTCTCCAGGAAATAGCTCTTACCTCAAGGCACTGTTTGTCATCACCACCATGTGGGCCCATGACCAAAGAGGAAGAAATCTGTCGTGGCAGACACTGGAGGAGGTGGAATTCTTGGCCAGGCTGTGTGGGTGTGGACTTTGCTCTAAGGGAGTGTGCCCGTTAGAACTGGGCAGTGTCCAGAGACAGCACCTTGAAGACCCACGTTCTTGGTGTGAAGAAGAAAGTGTTCCAGTGTCTGGGGGTTCAGAGGAGAATGCTGCCACTCACAAATTGCACAGCTTCTGAGCAGCCCAGACGTGGGGCTGGGGACATTATCCCCAAGTGTTTTTCATTTCAGGTGGCTTTTCCTGAGTTCAGCTATTCCTTTCCCATCCTTTTCTTCACAGGCCAGGAAGGAAATTTTTAAATGATTTATTCGGGACCCTAAGGTCTCTAGGTTACTTGAGTTTTTCTCTTTTTAGTCTTGAATTTCTATTTCTCTAAAAATTATATATACCTCTTTTAAACGATAGTCCTAGTGTTATTTTTATTTGAGAAATTGGAGATTATATATATGCACACATATACATATGTGTATATATGTACATATATAGGTATATATTGTATGTCTATGTATATACACACGTGCATATATACATATACATATGTGTATATATACATATATATATCTACATATACATATACATATACACATATACACACATGTGTATATATACATATATGTATACATATACACATATACACACATGTGTATATATACATATATGTATACATATACACATATACACACATGTGTATATATACATATATGTATACATATACACATATACACACATGTGTATATATACATATATGTGTACATATATACATATAGGTATGTGTATACATATATGTGTATATACACACACACACTCACAAGGTATATATCACGAATATCACCTCCTTCCCATCTCTACCCACCCTGATTCCCTCCCTGGAGGCCTCCGCTGCTGCTGGGGGTCTCTTCTCCCAAGGGTGGCAGCAGGGTGCAGGCTATGGCCTGAATGTGCATTGCCTTTGTTTGTGTTGGAGATGACCTCATGTCATTACATAAGCCACCTCATTCTTCATGACTGCATTGTATAGGCATCTCATAATATATTTAATTAAATCCCCTTTAATACATATTTAGATATTATTTTCTTTAGTTCTAAGCATCTACAAGTGATGCTTCATGATTCATTCAATATCTGTCTATATATTTTTTTTCTTTTTATCCTTAAAAATGTTTTCTCTGTTTCTGATTCCTGATTTTTATTTTATTATATTGTCTTTCCTAAAATTACTGTGTGTAAACATCACATCTGTGTGTGTGTCTTGGTTGTAGGTCAACTCAATTTTTGGTAGACTGGGGAGAAGTAAAAACAATGTAATTTTCTGTCCCTGTGCCATCCTTGTGGAATGGGATAGAATTGAATTCCTTTTATATGACTCTCACTGTCCCTGTGACTTTATTGCCACATGCTTTATATCTGGTATAGATTTACCCTGGAAATGTAGGGATCTTTCTAGGCAGCTGATATTTCAGCCAGTCTCCTAAGAAGATGCAGAGTGAGAAGATGAATGTTTCCGGCATTCTTTCTAACTCACCTGTGACAGAGCTATGGCATGCTGTGCAGGAGTGAAAACACGGATCCAAGTCAGTCATCGCAAGTTCCATCCTAAATGACTGCGGGCCATGGGCTCACCCTTTGTTGGGATGTCTGGGTCTTCCTGGCTTCACCTGTGACTAGGGAAGCTCAGAGTAGCTCAGCGTCCTCACCCTGCGTCAGCATCAGAATCACCTGGAGAACTTTATAAACAGCATGGTGCCTGGTCCCAGGCATGTTCCTTGGGTATATATCCTGGGCTGACAAGCCCTGGGACTGCATGACTATTGAATCCATGCGATTGAATGACAATTGCGAGGTTTTCAGTAGAACAAGAGGACTTGCGAAACTTGACCTCCTCAAATGTAGTTTACTGCAGCACTTTAAGGCTCACAGTTTTGAGTGTTGTAAAATATTTTCTCTCTCCAGTTTCATCTCTAAGTTTTCTATTTCTTGGAGTAGAAAAGACAAAATATGAATTTAAATTCATTCTTGGGGAAATAGTAAGCTGGAAGCCACCTTTCCCAGTGTTCAAGACTGGGGAGGAAGACTGCTGAGGAACTGGAAGTGCATAACCCTCCCGTGACAGAGGAGGGGAGGGGTGGTGCCTGGGGTACCAGCCTGAGACTGGAGCCAGGTTCCTCGCCCTGCCACAGAAATCTTCCCACCCATAGACTGGCTGGGCCAGGAGGGATTCTAAGTGCCAAGGCTCTGAGGGTGTCTTGGGTTCAGAGCCCCTCTTTCTTGGGGCCTCTAATGGTGACCTGCTCAGGGGCTGATTGGGAGTCACTCCTTGTGCGTTAGCCCCCTGCACTGTCCTTCCCATAGGAGAAGGGCATTCATCACTTTTATGAGCATATTCTCCTTATTGGTGGAAATCCAGCTGACTTTTATCTGTCTTTTTAAAAATTTTTTGAGATACGGTCTGGCTCTGTCACTTAGGCTGGAGTGCAGTGGCGTGGTCACAGGTCACTGCGGCCTTGATTTCCCAGGCTCAAGAAATCCTCCCACCTCAGCCTCCTGAGTAGCTGGGACCATAGGTGTGAGCCAGCACGTCTGGTTAATTTATTTTTATATTATGTAGAGACCAGGTTTTCCTCCATTGCCCAGGTGGGTCTCACGCCACTGGGCTCAAGATGATTCTCCTTCCTCGGCCTCCCAAAATGCTGGGATTACCGGTGTGAGCCACCGCGCCGGCCCAGCTGACCTTTCTTAAGCCTTCACTGTTGCCTTGCCAGAATGTTGCGTACCTTCCCTGCAGTCCTGTCATCTTTGCATTGTTGAATGTGTCAGAGACCTTAAGTCTGCATGTGCAGAGGTGATATTTTCATAGTACATTTAAACAAAACATCAATTTAAAACGCAAGTAAAATTGTAGGCATTATCACACTGTGCAGGGCCACACAAGGGGCTGCACTTGGGAACAAAGTGAATAATCAGAGGCTGTGGGAGGTAGGCTTTGTAGTGTCAAGAGGGTAGAATGACTGGGCACAGTGGCTCACACCTGTAATTCCAGCACTTTGGGAGGCTGAGGAGGGCAGATCACTTGAGCCCAGGAGTTAGAGACCAGCCCAGCCTGGTCAACATGGCAAAACCCTGTCTCTACAAAATACCAAAAAAAAATAAAATAAAATAAAATAAAAAAGCTGGGTATGACGGTGCACCTATAGTCCCAGCTACTCAGGAAGCTGAGATGGGAGGATTGCTTGAGCCCGGAGAGGTCAAGACTGCAATGAGCCATGAATGAGCCACTGCACTCCAGCCTGGGCAACAGAGTGAGACTCTGTATCAAAAAAAAAAAAAAAAAAAAAAGAGAGAGAGAGAGAGTAGGTGTCCTCTGGTTCCTGTGGGAAGATGTGATTGCCTTATTTAAATATTTCTGTGGGTTGGCAAAGAACTAAAACCTGTTACTCAGGGATAAGCAGGAACTGCATCTGGCCCCCTTTAGAAGTAGTGTTATTTGGCTAGGGGGCCTTATCATGGAAACAGAGTAGGGAGGGAAACCTGGAATTAGGCCATTTGAGGTCCTCCCAATTCCACCAGGTGTCAAGGTAGCACATGATAGTGGACGTAAATTTAAGGCCTTGTATCACAATGGATGAATGAGAGGAAAAAAGGAAGAAAGGAATAATGGACAGATGGATAGGAGGATGAATGGAAGGAAAGATACACAGATGGAAAGATGGGAGAAAAGATGGTTGGCTGAATGCACTGGTTAAGAGCTAGGCCTGAAATTATACAGGAGCTGTGGGATAGAGTTTGGCTTCTGACTGCCATTTGTTATCTTTGTGGGCTTGGGTAAGTTACTTAATCTGTCTAAGTACAACTCCCTGCACCATTACCACTGACCCTGCATCTTGTGAAATATGGATTTAGTAACAACTGCCATTGAGGATTTTCATGAGGATTAAATTAGATAATGGTGGATGCAATAGCCAGAAATACACAGTAAGTGCTCAATCAATGCCAGTTATTCTTTGTTTTGCTCCATTTTATTCCAAAGAAGTTTTGAGCTAGCTTTGAAATCATACATGATAAATGTATTGCAAATTTCTTATCTAAGTCTATATATTGTGTTTTCACTATCTTAATGATATATTTTAAAAAGGCATTCTAATTTTTAAGATAATTTATTTTCTCAATACTAATTGGGTATACCTAATTATAAAAACCAAAACCTGAAATGCTATAAAATCTGCAACTTTTGAGCATTTACATTATGCTCAAAGGAAATGCTCATTGGAGCATTTCAGATTTTAAATTTTTGGATTAGGGATGCACAACCATAAGTACAGTATATAATGCAAATATTCAAATATCACACCCCTACATGCCAAATTCGAAGTCTGAAATACTTCTGTTTCCAAGCATTTTGGATAGGGATATTCAGTCTGGTATTTTTTTGTGTTGTTGATGTTGTTTTGAGGTTGCTGCCTTTTGTATACTGTCATAATAATATTCTGTCTTCTTCTAAAAGCTTTACTATTTTACTTTTCACATTTTCATTCACTATTTATCTGCTAATAATTTTTGCATACGGAGTAGGGGTCAAGTCCATTTTATCCCACATGGAAGCCCAGTGGACCCAGTGCTTTATTGAAAAGACCACAATTTTCTCACTGCCTTTCAGCGGTTTCTGTGCCTAAATCAGGTGGGTCTGCTTCTAGACCCCCTAATCCTTCTCATTGTTCTTGCCTATCTTTGCACCACTACCACATTATTTTAAGAACACATATGCAGAATACATAAAAAAACTCTTACAGAAGATGAGACAGCTAGCATATATGGGATAATAAATTTTACAGACACTCAAGTTCATTTGAATTTTTGGCTTTTAATCATGGATTTAACCTGCCTTTATTGAGTGCCTAAAATGCACCATGCTGAGTGAGCAAAACTTGTTGCATTAATTTACTTATTTACTTGTTAGCCTTTACCTATGTGTTTTTCACTTTCCTTGATAATATTATGTGAGTGACCAATAAGAGAGGCAGATGTCCAAGGATTTTGGAAGTTCAAGATGGAATAATGGCAGCAATGCAAACAGAAGCCATAGAGAAGGCAATGGGCTGAGTGTGGACAGGAAAGGCTGGGGCACGTGGAGAAGATGGAGATGGTGCTGCCGCAGGTCACGTGGCTTACTCCTGTTACAAATTTGAAAACGTCCAACTGGAATGCACATTAATTCTTATATGCAGGAACAAAATGTTCAAGGCATTTAAAAAAATTGGAGCTCTCCTGGGAAGAATAGGAGATGACAAGACACAGCAAACTGGGAAAACAAAATTAAATGATTAACAGCTGACTCTCAATTGCAATGAAAGATTTAGGAATGATAACCGACACAACATTCATTCCACTGTAAACACCCCAGGTGTGCAAGAAAAGTGATGTACTCCATGTCAGTATTTTCATGGTGACCATTTACTAAAGACATTTGTAATCATCTGTCAAAAGACAGGGATATCAGGGAAATCATGCAATTATGTCTAAGTTTAGGATTGCATGTGTAGCATGCAATAGCCAGAAAATAAATGTTGTAAACACAGAGTGGGTGGAAAGGAAATAACAGAGGGTTTGGGGTTTATTGGCCTGTTGGGGAAATAAAAGCATTCAAAAGAGCCATTGAAATAATTTCTCAAAGCATCTCAGTTTGGAGTTAAACAGTGCCTGTTATTATTGTGATGTGACATTTAGTAAGTTTAACGGGAAAACTTGACTTTGATCACAAGACTCATGTTTATATAAACCAAGTTTCTGGCAAGATCTTCAAATAGAATCTGATGACCCTGAGGAATGGGTTCTCTCTCACTCTACATGGAGATAGGTTTCCCTCTTGCTTTTCATATTGAATATGAATCCCCAAGGACTTGGGCAACACAGAATTTTCTGAAGGGTGGCAATTTGAGCCACCACCACTTAAGCATCTCTTGAGTCAAAATGGAGGTGGCAGGTGTGGCTGCTGTGGACGTTGCGTATGCCAAATAATCAATGAGTCTAGATATTTGCAAGAGGCCTGTTAATGGAACTAGTTCCTCAGTGAATGAAATTGGCATGTATACTAACACAATAATTTGCCTGCATGAAACAGAAACAACTTG
This sequence comes from Homo sapiens, assembly GCF_000001405.40. Classification (NCBI taxonomy): domain Eukaryota; kingdom Metazoa; phylum Chordata; class Mammalia; order Primates; family Hominidae; genus Homo; species Homo sapiens. Next base: position 23,003,685 of record NC_000020.11, on the reverse strand, counting down.
AGTTGAAACAGCATCTCCCCACACATAGAAGGGAACTTAACCCACAGTCTCTGGGGTGGCTCAGGGCAGTGAATCTCTGTGATAGGAATGTTATCAAATCTTGGAAAAGGACAGAAACTAGCAGATGAAAAGTTGTGGGAGCCCAAGCAGCAATATCTCCATCTCTTGGCCCTCCCTCTCTGTTTCTGTTTCCTTTTTTCTGCTTCACAGACTCACTTCTCTGCTAATCACATGGAGGGAGGATGGCAGCACTCCCACTGGCAACCAAATCTGCATGTGACATCCTGCTGCACAAAAACACCTAGTTCCATAATTCCAGGGGATGACTTGCTGGGGTCAGTCATCCTCCTTGAGGAGGAGCTAACTGCTATCAGATTTTACTCTCATACAGACAGACTAAGCAACTTCACACAACACTTTTAGTGGTTTCTGTGTTGATTGATTGATTGATTGATTGGGTTTGAAGGACTATCAAGACCAAATGTATCATTCTCTGTCAAGAGGATGGCCCTTTCCAATGTGGGTGGGCATCATCCAATCTGTGGAGAGTCTGATTAGAACAAAAAGGTGGAGGAAGTTTGCTTTAGCTCTGCCTGACCGCTTGAACTGGAACATCAGCCCTTTCCTGCCCTCAGAGTTCCTGGTTTTCAGGCTTTCAGGCCTGGACCAGATTCTACACCAACAGTTTTCTAGCTCTTATGTCTTTAAGCCACACCATCAGCTTTCCTACCAGCTTCTCCAGGTCTCCAGCTTACAGATGGAAGATCATGGGACTTCTCTGCCTCTGGGATTACATTAGACATTTATTCTTATAATGAATCTCATTATATAATTTTTTATAATAAATCTCTCTGTTGGTTCTGTTTTTCTGGAGAATCTTAGGTAATACAGATACAATGCACCCCAAAGTTTAATATAACATCTGGCATAAGTAGGTGCTCAAATATGACAGTGGAGAAGAATGACATTTAGAATGCTCTGATTTCTGCTCATAATTCATTTGCTAATTCACTATACTATAGGAGAATAATTCTACTGTGGCATCCTGGTGACCTCACATGTATCCACACAGGCCACACAGGCAAAGACATGAACCAGATTGACTCTGAGTCTTGGCAGAACGCTTTGCGATCTCCCAGAACACCAAGGTTTTGGAAGTCCTGTGAGGACCTCGAATCTATCTTGCCTCATCTGCCTGAGAGGCTGTCATGAGATGGTTCCTCATCGCCTCCTGGGTTCTGATGCAATTTGAGGCTTTCTGCCTCATGCACTCCAGGTGCGGATTCTTCTGCTCAGCTCAGCACGGGATTGGCCCAGCAATGTCTGTAGCAGTCATGGGCCCCTTTTGTTTTGAAGTTGTCCTGTTTGGTGTGTGGGATGAGGACTTGGGAGCTAGCACCTTTAGCTATTTAGTCCTTCTTTCTGTATGTAAGTTTACCAAACTGAATCTGAAAATGGCTCATTTTATCTTGACCAGCCGAACCAGTCCTGCTGCAGCTGTGGCCTTGCTTTCTCCTGGGTGCTTGACACAGACTGCTTTGAGCATCTTCTCTGTGTAGCACTGGGAACCCTGGAATGAGCAAGGTGGCCTTTGTCCCTGGTCCTGGGCTCAGATCTCTTTGTGCCAGTGATGATGACAGCTTTATTAGAGGTGGCACAGGATGACACACCTCTGACGAGCAAAGCAACTCCATTGGCCCTTCTCATTCTCTCAATTTACCCTTAAACTCCCCCTTAGTACAGAGACTGCAGGCAGAGCCATCATGCTTTCATTCTGCCCTCTGTATGCCCAGAGGCCACACTCTGGGATTAACAGTGAGCCTTGGTGAACTTTCTGAGTCAGTTTTCAGATGGAACTAAGAGTGGTCACCACAAGAGGATTCTTACGGAGGCTTCTGGGTCCAGGTCACCAATGGTGATTTAAGGGTTAGAAGGCCCCTACAACAAGATAACTTTGTATTATTCATTGTAGGAGAGAAAATAGCTTCAGCAGTTACTTCTTATCCCCAAAACTTTGTTTCTGTCTTGTTGAGAGAACTTTCAAAGCTGTCTTGAAACAAGGATTTGAGGGAAGTGATTTTTCCGAAGGTGAGCCCAGGATGCGTCGTCAGGAAAGTGGGGAAGGAAGACACGGTAGGGGTCAAGCCGATACACGGTGGAGGTGAGCAGGCTTCCACTGCAGGTGCGTGGGGTGCTGGTGAGCAGGTTTCCGCTGCAGGCGACTGGGGCTGAATCCCATGGGAGGGCTCTAGGAAACAGTGTACAACATACTGCAGGGTTAGCTGTGCCTGCTCCTGGGCTGAGGAGGCCGGTGTGACTACTCACCCACCAAGTCCTGTCTGTCATTGCCCACGGGTAGCTCCTGGAAGTGTTGGCTCCGTGGCATTTCTAGCCTGTCTCCATGGGCAGGGAGGAGGCTCTTTTGGGGAGGGGCGAGTCCTCGATTGTGGGGACTAGAGTGGTGAGGGCCTTGGGGACGTGGGCAGGGAACCAACCCCACCAGCTCCCACCTTCTGCCTCCTACAAGTGTTTGTCTGTTGTGGAGCCAGCCTGAAGCAAATCTGATCAATGCAATCAGCTGGGAAGGCTAAATGCCCGAATGCCAAGACATGGTCCTGACCAGAGTGGATGCTGGCTTTAGACACCCTGCGTGGGTTCTCAGAAGTAGGACTTGTCAAGAGCCACTCTAAGGACACCTCTCACTTCAAAGAACGTCCAGTTTCCTTCAATGGTTTATTGAAAAAATGCGTGGGGAGAAAACATTTGAGGGCAGCACAGAGACTTGGAACCTATCACAAAGAGACACAGTCTCCATTTCACAGTTATCTTTATGGGGTGCCTGACCGGTGTCTTCAGAGTGTTTGTAAATCTGCCTTTGATTTTGATGTATTACTAGGCAGCACTTAAGATAAAATTGCTTGGGTCTGGTCTGTGGATGGAACAGAAGGAGAGGCTGGCCTGGCTGGTCCCGTCTTAAGTAGAGATTTTATATGCCTTGTTGGAACAATTTGTGGTCATCTTGGATCTGAGGCAAAGGAAAGGAAACGTTAAATACTCACAATGTCCTGCACAGCTTTGTGGACAGTTCTGGAACTCAGCTTGCCTTTGTGGAAAAGACCAGCAATTCCTTCCATGAGCATGCCTTTTATGGTTAGCTGAGATCTTCAAGGACCATTTGCATCTGATTCTCACAATAGGCAAAGGGTGTTCTATGAACTAAACGTTTGCACCCACCCCCAGAATTGATATGTTGAAACGCTGGCCCTCAAGGTGATGGCATTAGGGGGTGTGGCCTTTGGAAGATGAAGTCACAGGGGTGGAGTGTTCATGAATTGGATTTGTATCCTTCTAACAGAAACCATGAAAGCTATTTTCCTTTTCTGCCATGTAAGGTTACAGGGAGAGCACCCTGTCTGTGAAGAAGCAGGTTCTCATCTGATACCAAATCTGCTGGCACCTTGATCTTGGACTTCCCAGACTCCAGGACTGTGAGTAACACATTTGTGTTGTTTACAAGCTGCTCAGAAGGTGGTAAATTGTGATAGCAGGCCAAATGGACCACGACAGGGTATAAGTTGTTTTATCCCCATTTTATAGAAGAGGTAAACAGGCTCAGGATGAGCACAGGCCAAAACCGCCTAATGAATATTAGCAACCAGATATTTCCTGGCACACAGTCCACACCAAGTAAATGTTTGAGCGGCTGTTGAGCTGAATCATTGTTTAATTTTTGTCTTTCCACCACAGGAAGATCACAGATTGACATCAGCAGGAAAACTTGCCAGGCAGCAGGAGGATCCATTTGAAAACTCACGAGAAAAAGGCCCTTGAGGCCTTTTTCCTGGTTATTGAAGACATCTTAGGAAACACTTATGGTGACAATTAATCAAGCAAAAATAGATCCAGTTTTTCTGAAGATCAAGCTTAACATGTGTGCCATGCTTTAAAATGTCTTTCCAGGCACTCTCTCCTGCCCACGGATCTTGCTTGGGAAAGGAATGGGGCAAGTGGAAATGGCCATTTCTTAGATGAACACATCAGGGACTTGCTCCAGTCTGAAGTCTATACAGAGCTAGGCTTTGAATCCAGTCACGTAACTGTAAGTCTATTTAGGTGTTTAACACTTTTGCCTACCTCTGTCTGTCCTGGGCCAGCGAGGCAGCCCCTTTGCCTTTGAGGAGTTAAGGGGCTGGGGCGCCACTTCACCTGTCTTGTGTCTGCACTCACACTTGCTCTCTGTCCTGTTCAGTCTCTCTTGACTGTTGGGGTTCATTGCCCTCAACACCATATGCCACTTAGTTCACATCTCTTTCAGCAGGTGTGTGTTCAGAGCTTGACGGATTACCACCAGGCTGGGCCAACAGGGTCGTTTTCAAGTCAGCTAGCCCTAAAAGGGCAAAAAATTGTTGCAATGCTCCCAGATGTAACTCTGACCTGGTATGGTTCAGGGACGAGGCCACTCACACACACTTGGGCAACTGCTCTTCTCGTGACCAGCCTCTTTCTGTGGGAATCACTCCATGGAGCCACCGTCTCTCCCAAGCTACAATGTTCTACAATGGTGCAAGTGGGGGAAAAATTTCAACAAAATTTTGGATATCAGCTGCTTTATGAAGGCATGATTTATAATGATTTATTATAAAATGATGGTGTTTTAATGCTCTTTTTATTGGTTTTCTAACAGTCGTGGAAACACCATCAGGAGGATATAGCTAGACTCTGGGGGAAATGTCCACACATACGGTGCTCAATCTATCCTTTCACTGACTCCACATCTATAGATTTCATAGGGGGTCTTCCCACGGCTTCTCGGGAATGGGCCAAAGGTCATCTTCTGTGCTTAAGATTTGATAATTTAAAAATTGTAATGCTTAATTGTGTTTCAAAGCATCAAGATATCAAGACCTGAGAATAACCAAATTGAAATGTCCCCATGAAAACATTGCATGACCTTCTCAGTCCCGTCTCTGAGTAGTCAGAGCCTCTGTCCACTTGCCCTGGATGGCAGGGTGACTCTGTAGCCAGACTGAACTTGCTCACACTCAGCTGCTCTTTAGAAGAACACCCCAAGGCCATTCAGAAAAAACAGAAACTTTGAGGAGGTTTGTGTAATATCACAGTGCCCTTCACATCTGAGCTCCACACACTTTCTAGAATGTTTCAGGCCTATGCTTATGAGGTTTTTTTTTTTTTAATTTTCCTAGAGTCAATGGAGTTTTATGAAGGAAAACTATTAGAGGATTTAATTTCAAACTATTATTTTTGCATAAACCCACATCAGCTTATAAAGGCGGAGAGGCAAGCCCTGAATCCTTAAGCATAGAAAGCCATTAGGCCCCATGACTCTCTAGAGGGGTGCTGGTTTACAGGGATTACCTGTGTTATAAAAAGCAAATGATGTTCTTCTGTATCTCCTCCCATACTTGAATCCATTCATTATATCCCATGAAGTTGCTAACTGCAGAATGAGCATGGGATCAGAACCTCCTGGTTGGGGAAACTTTTTTTTTCAGTTCAGTGATCCTAGGGAGGACCACTCTGCTACACTGAGACGGCAGTGCACCATTCGGGTGGCCCTCACACCACATGGTATCCACCCCTTGAGTCAAATGTTGTTCATAATTGTAAAGGTCCTGACATCCTTGCATGGTGCATCTCATAGAACAGGCACACACTGGTTGTTGGTTAAATGAACAAAACTCTTCTATCCCAAATCATAGTGCACATTGCTGAAAACTTCCAGACAGAGGCCATTCAGTCCATTCAGTGCTGGCTTGGGACTGAGCTTCAGCCAGGGGGCTCCTGCAGTGACTTATTCATGAGTAGCAGAACGTGTGCTCCTCCTGGGTCCAGGCTTCTAGTACTGCCATCACACTGCAAGGCCGGGAAACTGCAGTGCTAGGTTATAAACACTGAGGATATTGTTGGTTATAGCAGGGGGGAATTCACAATTTTCCCTCTAAACCTTAACCCCCTCCCCTTACACACACACACACACACACACACACACACACACCATTAATATAGACCCATTTTTCACTATTATCAAATTGCAGCTCTTTGAGGGGAGAAATAATAAAAAATAATCTAAACCAGTGGATCTCAAATTTGAGAGGGCATCAGGATCCCCCTGAGGACTCCTTAGCAGACAGATGGGTGGGCCAGGCCCAGATGGCTCTTGGGCAGCCCCAGGACTTTCATTTCTAGTGTGTTCCCAGGTGATGCCGACGTGGTTGTCTTGGGCACCAAAGCAGAGGCCCACTGGAATCAACCCACACAGCAGCACGAGGCTGCAAAACCTCAGCATTCCTTCCCCACTGCACCAAAGGACTTGTTAGAGAAAGGCCAGCTCCTTAGAGTTTCTCAGATAGGAACAATTTGAATATCACCTATGGGTTACAGATGAGAATGCACATAAAATTGTTATTTTTCCACAGGCATAGCAGCAAATCAGCCTTTCAGAATATTGCAGGATCAGCAATGAAATTCCCTTTGCCAGAGAAATGGACAAACAAGGAAGCAACAATGGTGATGGTGGAAGTGTTCTTCAAGTCTAAGTTTGGGTTCTAGAAACATCTGGCCAAATAACGTCTTTCACAACTAAAATAGAATATAAAGAAGCCATTTGACCTGCCTCAGTTATCATGGTCATCATGACAAGCTGCAGCAGGACAAATCAGCTTAACAATTTCGGAAACTGCCAGAAATGCTATTTGGATTAATTTTTATTTGGGAGTTGGCTAAAACTGGTCACATCCCCAAATACCTCAAGATAAACAACATAGCATTATCATACAAATCTATATTCACCAAATTAGGTTAAAATAGGCTGTTTTGAGAAGGTTGAATTTTTTTATGGGGATTATTCCCAAAATACGTTTAGACACAAGAAGTTCAACTTTTCTTTTTTCCATATTTGATGTCAATCAAACTAATTACTACATGTTTGGAATTGCATTAATTGTATTCTTCAGTTACCTATAAAATTTAATTATCATGTCTTTATGGAAATTTTAATATCAGATATAAAGAATGGCATATTTAAAATGACATTTTAATACTTTATAAGAAGCAACAGAAATTCGACTTCCAAAGCACCTCTCAGTACTACCATTGGAGTACATCTATATTTTTCTGTCAGAATACTATCCAAAGCAAGCATAAGTAATCCTTATTTTCACGATACATTGATGCTCAAAAGTTGTGTGTTCAGCATGTCTACAAAGTAAATTACCGTATATTTGAAACAGCAGACTAAAACTGAAGTAACATCTGGAAAAAATTGCCCTAATTGCTAGCCCCTAAATTCATCTGACCTTGACACTCTCATCTGAATTTAAAAGTGTTTTAAATTCTTAGCCAATCAATTCAAGCCAGAACTGAATTCATATGTCTTCAGAAACTGCTAATCTAGAACAATGTAACTAGAATAGATTCCTGATCAAACTTTGGTTTTGTTCAGGTATCCACTCATTTCCTAGGTGACCCAGAGGCCACAACTCACAACTCCACCCCTTCCCGTGGCTGGTCCAGGCTGTGCAGATCTTGTAGTCACAAAGTCCTGGCAATGGGCTGGGGGTGGGATCTGACCTAGTGCTGACCAACATGTCAAAAACAGATGGCTGCAGAACCCTCTGGAAAAGCTTCCCTCATTCTTAAGGAATCCTGTGAAGAGATGGTCTGTTTCTGTCCTGTTCCCTGGATGTCAAATGTCTGGGTTTGAGACCCAGAACTCCTGAAGCCATCTCACAACTACAAGGGGAGCAGATGTAGCCACTGAGGATGGCCAAGCAGAGGGAGGGAGGACCTTTCCTGCCAGCATCGCCAGCGGCTGAATCACAGCCCAGAACCCCACAGCACCCTAAACGTCCTCTTAACAAATGTAATACGTTGTCTTACTGTTTGTGCCTGTGTGAAAAGTCCTCTTTGCTTGCAGTGAAGGCATCCTAGTTGATAAACATGAAATTTGAAAATTGGAGATTTCTTGGAACCAACATTTCATTTGTTTCAGTTCATTTTCGTGGCTCATCTTTTAAACCCTCTATTGAATTGCTTTTAAGAAGATATGCTGTATTAAAAATTACTCCTAAACTATTAGTTTTTCTAGATGGAAGGATATTCAAGTATCAGGTTTTCCTAAAATGGGTCACATGAATATTTTCTTAATTGGCTATTCAACCTGGGCCACATTTCTTTACAATTGATCTCATGTTTCCCTTAGTGTTATTTAAAGTGTCAAGTGAAAAAGGCAGTAAAAAAATGTGTCTTGGTGTTTATTCCTACAGACTGCTGGACTAAATTATTTGTGGTAATTGAGGCCTAATTGGCTATAGGTTTTGTTAAAATTTGTGAAGTAATCATGTTATCACCCAGCCAGAATTCCCTGGTTTTGAACTTGGGGACTTAGATTACTCTTTAATTGGACACATATCTCATGTCTTTCCTTTTGTTTCTCTGACAACTAGAGACCCTAGATTTTCCAGCAATTTCCCAATTCTTATTATTTATCCAACACATTCATTATTCTCACTGATGCTTGTGGAAAATATAACCCCTGTGGAAACCAATTAAGAGGTTTTCTGTGTAAATGACTGAAAACTCCATGCAAACCAGTTTGAACAATAAAAGAAACATTGTTTCTAGAAACCATAAGAAACACCTAAAAAGCCCAGAGATCAGAAGGCCCTTCCATGTTGGTTTAACAACTGGATCTAAGACATCATCTATCCTGCCAGCTTCATCCCAGGGCCCGCTGGCTTCCCTCACTGCGTGGCTGCAGCAGTTCTGACCTTCACACTCACATGCCTCACCATCCAAAGAGGAGAGTGTCTTTTCCAGGGGCCCAGATCTCATGTCTCTTTGACCAAACTGGGTTATGTGTCTGTTCTTGAACCAGGATTTATGGAGAGAATCACCATGGGAGAGGCAGGATGGGGTGGGATGGGTGTCCTCAAGGACTGAGACCAGTCAGGCCCCACCGCCAAAGCCTTCTGAAATAGGGGAGGGAAGAATGGATGTTGACAAGACAGAAAGTGACTTCCACAAGTAGTATACCCAGATCTGTGTACATGGAGCCATGCCCTATGGCAGAGTTTAATATAATACAATATTCTCCTTTTGATTTTTAAGATAGTCACTTTTAAGCTCACCGATTCTGAAGGGTCAGTTGTTTTTACTGCTCTGCATAAACCCTCCCTTGGGCCCAGACACCCACACAGCCCCAGGCTTCTGCTCTTCCTTTGACTATCCCATGGCTCAGAGATCTCATGGACTATCTTGGAGCAAACACACCCATCTTCAAGTGCACTTCTGCATTAAGGCAGGAGGAAAACAAAGAAATGGGAGACACAGAAGCCAACAAGCTAGAGTTGTATATACAAGAACATGAAGGAATAGGTGAGAGAGCCAATGGAAATAAATCCTTCACTTCAATAGTTCCGAGGGGCTGGTCTGATTTCTAGGTCCTTCTCCCAGGGCTGAGGGGCTGGTCTGATTTCTAGGTCCTTCTCCCAGGGCATGTGGACTTGTATGTTTGACTGAAGTTCCATAAGCCAATGCTAGCCCACATGCAAGGGTGACAGCCACCACTTAGCCATCACTAGCCAAAAGCAGGACATTTGTCTCTCAAGTCCATGGCCTAAACACTGACTGTGCCCCTGCTGCTAGGCACTGTCCCAGTGCTGGCAGGTAGACCCCAGGGCATCTGACTTGCTGCCGTAGAAGTCCATGAAACATTTTTTTCAGGGTCAGAGGTGTGACAGCCAGTCTTGGCTTCTGTCTCTACAAGAACTCCCAGGGCTTCCCATGAAGCTCTAGCTGAACATGGTGTCAGGGATCCAGGTCTCAGCGGCCTGCTACCCATAGCACAACAATGGAAAGCATATTTTTCTGTATGCTTATTTTGCTTCCAAAATTTTATCTCCAATTTTGAAAGTAATACATATTTATTATAAAAAGCATAAAAAGGGGTGGAGCCAAGATGGCCAAATAGGAACAGCTCCAGTCTACAGCTCCCAGCGTGAGCGACACAAAAGATGGGTGATTTCTGCATTTCCAACAGAGGTACCATGTTCATCTCACTGGGGAGTGCCAGACAGTGGGTGCAGGACAGTGGGTGCAGCGCACTGTGAGTGAGCCAAAGCAGGGCAAGGCATCACCTCACCCGGGAAGCACAAGGGGTCAGGGAATTCCCTTTCCTAGTCAAAGAAAGGGGTGACAGACAGCACCTGGAAAATCGGGTCACTCCAACCCTAATACTGCGCTTTTCCAATGGGCTTAACAAACGGCACACCAGGAGATTATATCCTGCACCTGGCTCGGAGGGTCCTATGCCCACGGAGCCTCGCTCATTGCTAGCACAGCAGTCTGAGATTGAACTGCAAGGCAGCAGCGAGGCTGGGGGAGGGGTGCCCATCATTGCTAAGGCTTGAGTAGGTAAACAAAGTGGCCGGGAAGCTCGAACTGGGTGGAGCCCATCACAGCTCAAGGAGGCCTGTCTGCCTCTGTAGGCTCCACCTCTGGGGGCAGGGCACAGACAAACAAAAGACAGAAATAAACTCTACAGACTTAAATGTCCCCGTCTGACAGCTTTGAAGAGAGTAGTGGTTCTCCCAGCACGCAGCTTGAGATCTGAGAACGGGCAGACTGCCTCCCCAAGTGGGTCCCTGACTCCTGAGTAGCCTAACTGGGAGGCACCCCCCAGTAGGGGCGGACTGACACCTCACACAGCTGGGTACTCCTCTGAGACAAAACTTCCAGAGGAACGATCAGGCAGCAGCATTTGCATTTTACCAATAACCGCTGCTCTGCAGCCACTGCTGCTGATACCCAGGCAAACAGGGTCTGGAGTGGACATCCAGTAAACTCCAACAGACCTGCAGCTGAGAGTCCTGACTGATAGAAGGAAAATTAACAAACAGAAAGGACATCCACACCAAAAACCCATCTGTATGTCACCATCATCAAAGACCAAAGGTAGATAAAACCACAAAGATGGGGAAAAAACAGAGCAGAAAAACCGGAAACTCTAAAAATCAGAGCGCCTCTCCTCCTCCAAAGGAACGCAGCTCCTCACCAGCAATGGAACAAAGCTGGACAGAGAAGGACTTTGACGAGTTGAGAGAGGAAGGCTTCAGAGGATCAAACTACTCCAAGCTAAGGAGGAAATTCGAACCAATGGCAAAGAAGTTAAAAACTTTGAAAAAGAATTAGATGAATGGATAACTAGAATAACCAATGCAAAGAAGTCCTTAAAGGACCTGATGGAGCTGAAAACTGAGGCACAAGAACTACGTGATGAATGCACAAGCCTCAGTAATTGACGAGATCAACTGGAAGAAAGGGTATCAGTGATGGAAGACGAAATGAATGAAATGAACTGTGAAGAGAAGTTTAGAGAAAAAAGAATAAAAAGAAATGAACAAAGCCTCCAAGAAATATGGGACTATGTGAAAAGACCAAATCTACGTCTAATTGGCGTACCTGAAAGTGACGGGGAGAATGGAACCAAGTTGGAAAACACTCTGCAGGATATTATCCAGGAGAACTTCCCCAACCTAACAAGGCAGGCCAACATTCAGATTCAGGAAATACAGAGAATGCCACAAAAATACTCCTCGAGAAAAGCGACTCCAAGACACATAATTCTCAGATTCACCAAAGTTGAAATGAAGGAAAAAATGTTAAGGCCAGCAAGAGAGAAAGGCTGGGTTACCCACAAAGGGAAGCCCATCAGACTAACAGCTGACCTCTCAGCAGAAACTCTACAAGCCAGAAGAGAGTGGGGGCCAATATTCAACATTCTTAAAGAAAAGAATTTTCCAGCCAAACTAAGCTTCATACATGAAGGAGAAATAAAATACTTTACAGACAAGCAAATGCTGAGAGATTTTGTCACCACCAGGCCTGCCCTAAAAGAGCTCCTGAACGAAGCACTAAACATGGAAAGGAAGAACCGGTACCAGCCACTGCAAAAACATGCCAAATTGTAAAGACCATCAAGGCTAGGAAGAAACTGCATCAACTAATGAGCAAAATAACCAGCTAACATCATAATGACAGGATCAAATTCACACATAACAATACTAACCTTAAATGTAAATGGGCTAAATGCTCCAATTAAAAGGCACAGACTGGCAAATTGGATAAAGAGTCAAGACCCATCAGTGTGCTGTATTCAGGAAACCAATCCCACGTGCAGAGACACATATTGGCTCAAAATAAAGGGATGGAGGAAGATCTACCAAGCAAATGGAAAACAAAAAAAGGCAGGGGTTGCAATCCTAGTCTCTGATAAAACAGACTTTAAACCAACAAAGATCAAAAGAGACAAAGAAGGCCATTACATAATGGTAAAGGGATCAATTCAACAAGAAGAACTAACTATCCTAAATATATATGCACCCAATACAGGAGTGCCCAGATTCATAAAGCAAGTCCTTCGTGACCTACAAAGAGACTTAGACTCCCACACAATAATAATGGGAGACTTTAAAACCCCACTGTCAATATTAGACAGATCAATGAGACAGAAAGTTAACAAGGATATCCAGGAATTGAACTCAGCTCTGCACCAAGTGGACCTAACAGACATCTACAGAACTCTCCACCACAAATCAACAGAATATACATTCTTTTCAGCACCACACCACACCTATTCCAAAATTGACCACATAGTTGGAAGTAAAGCACTCCTCAGCAAATGTAAAAGAACAGAAATTATAACAAACTGTCTCTCAGACCACAGTGTAATCAAACTAGAACTCAGGATTAAGAAACTCACTCAAACCGCTCAACTACATGGAAACTGAATAACCTGCTCCTGAATGACTGCTAGGTACATAATGAAATGAAAGCAGAAATAAAGATGTTATTTGAAACCCACGAGAACAAAGACACAACATACCGGAATCTCTGGGACACATTCATAGCAGTGTGTAGAGGGAAATTTATAGCACTAAATGCCCACAAGAGAAAGCAGAAAAGATCTAAAATTGACACCCTAACATCACAATTAAAAGAACTAGAGAAGCAAGAGCAAACATATTCAAAAGCTAGCAGAAGGCAAGAAATAACTAAGATCAGAGCAGAACTGAAGGAAATAGAGACACAAAAAACCCTTCAAAAAATCACTGAATCCAGGAGCTGGTTTTTTGAAAAGATCAACAAAATTGATAGACCACTAGCAAGATTAATAAAGAAGAAAAGAGAGAAGAATCAAATAGACGCAATAAAAAATGACACAGTGGATATCACCACTGATCCCACAGAAATACAAACTACCATTAGAGAATACTATAAACAAATCTACGCAAATAAACTAGAAAATCTAGAAGAAATGGATAAATTCCTCGACACATACACTCTCCCAAGACTAAACCAGGAAGAAGTTGAATCTCTGAATAGATCAATAACATGCTCTGAAATTGACGCAATAATTAGTAGCTTACCAACCAAAAAAAGTCCAGGACCAGATGGATTCACAGCCAAATTCTACCAGAGGTACAAGGAGGAGCTGGTACCATTCCTTCTGAAACTATTCCAATCAATAGAAAAAGAGGGAATCCTCCCTAACTCATTTTATGAGGCCAACATCATCCTGATATGAAAGCCTGGCAGAGACACAACAAAAAAAGAGAATTTTAGACCAATATCCTTGATGAACATTGACGCAAAAATCCTCAGTAAAATACTGGCAAACCGAATCCAGCAGCACGTCAAAAAGCTTATCCACAATGATCAAGTGGGCTTCATCCCTGGGATGCAAGGCTGGTTCAACATATGAAAATCAATAAATGTAATCCAGCATATAAACAGAATCAAAGACAAAAAACACATGATTATCTCAATAGAAGAAGAAAAGGCCTTTGACAAAATTCAACAACCCTTCATGCTAAAAACTCTCAATACATTAGGTATTGATTGGACATATCTCAAAATAATAAGAGCTATCTATGACAAACCCACAGTCAATATCATACTAAATGGACAAAAACTGGAAGCATTCCCTTTGAAAACTGGCACAAGACAGGGATGCCCTCTCTCACCACTCCTATTAAACATAGTGTCCGAAGTTCTGGCCAGGGCAATCAGGCAGGAGAAGGAAATAAAGGACATTCAATTAGGAAAAGAGGAAGTCAAGTTGTTCCTGTTTGCAGATGACATGATTGTATATCTAGAAAACCCCATTGTCTCAGCCCAAAATCTCCTTAAGCTGATAAGCAACTTCAGCAAAGTCTCAGGATACAAAGTCAATGTGCAAAAATCACAAGCATTCTTATACATCAGTAACAGACAAATAGAGAGGCAAATCATGAGTGAACTCCCATTCACAATTGCTTCAAAGAGAATAAAATACCTAGGAGTCCAACTTACAAGGGATGTGAAAGACCTCTTCAAGGAGAACTACAAACCACTGCTCAATGAAATAAAAGAGGGTACAAACAAATGGAAGAACATTCCATGCTCATGGGTAGGAAGAATCAATATCGTGAAAATGGCCATACTGCCCAAGGTAACTTATAGATTCAATGCCATCCCCATCAAGCTACCAGTGACTTTCTTCACAGAATTGGAAAAAACTACTTTAAAGTTCATATGGAACCAAAAAAGAGCCTGCACTGCCAAGTCAATCCTAAGCCAAAAGAACAAAGCTGGAGGCATCACGCTACCTGACTTCAAACTGTACTACAAGGCTACAGTAACCAAAACAGCATGGTACTGGTACCAAAACAGAGATATAGACCAATGGAACAGAACAGAGCCCTCAGAAATAATGCTGCATATCTACAACTATCTGATCTTTGACAAAGCTGACAAAAACAAGCAATGGGGAAAGGATTCCCTATTTAATAAATGGTGCTGGGAAAACTGGCTAGCCATATGTAGAAAGCTGAAACTGGATCCCTTCCTTACACCTTATACAAAAATTAATTCAAGATGGATTAAAGACTTAAATGTTAGACCTAAAATCATGAAAACCCTAGAAGAAAACCTAGGCATTACCATTCAGGACATAGGCATGGGCAAAGACTTCATGTCTAAAACACCAAAAGCAATGGCAACAAAAGCCAAAATTGACAAATGGGATCTAATTAAACTAAAGAGCTTCTGCATAGCAAAAGAAACCACCATCAGATTGAACAGGCAACCTACAGAATGGGAGAAAATTTTTGCAACCTACTCATCTGACAAAGGGCTAATATTCAGAATCTACAATGAACTCCAACAAATTTACAAGAAAAAACAAAGAACCCCATCAAAAAGTGGGAGAAGGATATGAACAGACACTTCTCAAAAGAAGACATTTATGCAGCCAAAAAACACATAAAAATGCTCATCATCACTGGCCATCAGAGAAATGCAAATCAAAACAGCAATGAGATACTGTCTCACACCAGTTAGAATGGCAATCATTAAAAAGTCAGGAAACAACAGGTGCTGGAGAGGATGTGGAGAAATAGGAACAGTTTTACACTGTTAGTGGGACTATAAACTAGTTCAACCATTGTGGGAGTTGGTGTGGAGATTCCTCAGGGATCTAGAACTAGAAATACCATTTGACCTGGCCATCCCATTACTGGGTATATACCCAAAGGATTATAAATCATGCTGCTGTAAAGACACATGCACACATATGTTTATTGCGGCACTATTCACAATAGCAAAGACTTGGAACCAACACAAATGTCCAACAATGATAGACTGGATTAAGAAAATGTGGCACATATACACCATGGAATACTATGCAGCCATAAAATGTGATGAGTTCATGTCCTTTGTAGGGACATGGATGAAGCTGGAAACCATCATTCTCAGCAAACTATCGCAAGGACAAAAAACCAAACACTGCATGTTCTCACTCATAGGTGGGAATTGAACAATGAGAACACATGGTCACAGGAAAGGGAACATCACACACCGGGGCCTGTTGTGGGGTGGGGGGAGCAGGGAGGGATAGCATTAGGAGATATACCTAATGCTAAATGATGAGTTAATGGGTGCAGCACACCAACATGGTGCATGTATACATATGTAACAAACCTGCACATTGTGCACATGTACCCTAAAACTTAAAGTATAATAATAATAAAAATAAATAAAAAGCATGAAAAGACCAAAAAATTATTTTAAACTCACACACACACAAAATTCTACCAAAATTTTACTGCATGTCATTTTTTTTTTTACCTTAGTAACAATACATGCTTTTTTCTTTCTCTACCAGCATTTTCATACACTTCATATGCACAGACAAATAATTTTGTGAGTGCATTTTTGCCTGTCGTTTTTCAGTTTGCTTTTAGTCTGCACAGAACAAAGCTCTCATGAACATTGCTTTACTGAGGGCATACTATTTCATTGTGTGACTGGACCATAATGAACTCGGCATCCTTTCTTAGGACACTTAAGTATTTGCAATTGTTTTCTATTTTATAAATATTTTTCCTTGCATAATGCAGCCACTGCATTTTAGATTTTTTTAAATAATTTTCTCATGTATTGAATTATTATTTTTTTTTGAGACAGGGTCTTTCTCTATGTCCCAGGCTGGAGTACAGTGGTGTGATCATGGCTCACTGTAGGCTTGGCCTCTTGAGCTTCAGCAATCCTCCCACCACAGCCTATTTTTTGTAGAGACTATGCCTCACTGTGTTGCCCAGGTTGATCTCAAACTCCTGGCCTTAAGCAATCCTCCTGCCTCAACCTCCCAAAATGCTGGAATTATAGGTATGAGCCACTGCATCCAGCCCCAGGCGTTAAATTAATGAAGTGAAAGTTATTATTTAAAAATAGTTATTCATATATGCAGTAAGAGAGGAAGTGATGTTTCAGGGACTCTGAGTCTGGGGGAAAAGTCTTTCAGAGTCAGTCAATCCCTGAGCTGAAAATTCACTAGACCAGATGTTTCCTGATGCTGATAAAAAATTATCAAAGTCATAAATGTTTTCAAAGTTTATACTTTTAATATGTGTAAAACCTTTGGAAATTATCACAACTTACAATGTGTGATTTGTGATTGGTCTTGTTTCTTTCTGGAGGACAGGATGAAGAATGAGGTCAGGCTACATCTTTCAGATTGGCAGGTGGCACCTTCACCCACGTTCCTCACATAGGCCCCCCTGCCCTCCCCCGGCTCTGCCATGTGCATGCACACACTCACACACTCACACAACGCTGACACAACTCCACACACTCACACTGATGAGGATTGCCAGGTAAAATCCAGGTATAAGATGCGCAGTTAAATTGAATTTCAGTTAAACGATGAATACTTTTTGAGTATAGATATGTCCCATGCAACATTTGAGACATTACTTATACTAAAAATCTATTTGTTGTTTATTGGAAATTCGAATTTAACTGAATGTCCTTTTATTTGCTAAACCTGGAAACTCTACTATTCCCACAAACATACATACACCCAAACATGATCACATGACTCGCACATATACACACTTTCCTTTGCATTGTATACTGTTTATTTGCTTATTATAATATAAATGGGTACCCCAACCACTGAAATGAAAAGCACATGTCATGGCAGTAGCTTGATATATACTTTTAATAAAATTACAAACAAATCTCATGTCTTACAGGTGACCATCCTAGAGCATTAAAAACAGATCCTGGGTTGGGCAGGGTGGCTCACGCCTGTAATCCCAGCACTTTGGGAGGCCGAGGCAGGCAGATCACGAGGTCAGGAGATCGAGACCATCCTGGCTAACACGGTGAAACCCCGTCTCTACTAAAAATACAAAAAATTAGCCGGGCATGGTGGCGGGTGCCTGTAGTCCCAGCTACTCGGGAGGATGAGGCAGGAGAATGGCATGAACCCAGGAGGTGGAGCTTGCAGTGAGCCAAGATCGCGCCACTGCACTCCAGCCTGGGTGACAGAGCGATACTCCGCCTCAAAAAAAAAAAAAAAAAAAACAGATCCTATTGTGTCTGGAATTCTAGTGGCCAAAGTGAGTTCCAAATTCTAGTGGCACAGCGATTTTCACAAAAGAGGCCAGCACACAGGCCACCGTCAGATAGCTCAGGGTGATGTGGTCCTCAGCTCACTGCTCCCCCTCACTCTTGGCAGCTTCAGATCTCCCTGTAAATGCTTCCCCTTGCACTTCCTAAGTTCTGGGCATGTTTATTTTACAGAAAAGGGTCTCAGCCCATCTGGGATTTGTTTGGAAGGGATATAGCCTCTCTGCTTTCTTTATAAAAGTAACCCCGAGTCTTTCTGTAAGTGGGCCAACTGTTAACTCAGCAGTGGGCCTCACCTTTTCCTGGGTGTGTTTCTGGAAGCAGTGTGTGGAGCCTGAATGTTAACTGTTTCATGCGTTGTGCCCCACGCACTGTCCCCTGCTTGGTCTTCTTTAAAATAACCTCTACAGGGCTGCCTGCCCCTCTCTTCTTTGTCCTCAGGGCCCTCAGTTTTGCTGAACAAGTAGGCAAGCTCAGCTTATCTTACGTGAATGAGTGAATGAGTGAATGAACCGGAGATTGGATTCCAGCTCCTTTTAATCTGTTTGTAGTTTATAATTTTCACCATGAACAAGTGGTGCTCTTGTAGTCAGTGATCATTGAATTCAAACTAAGTGGGTCCACCACGACCAGGACATTCAAAACCATCTAAATTTTGTATATAATTCCAGGAATAACTTGAGAACTATTCTGCTTATTCCTCTTGGTATAAACTGAAGGTGTGTGGAATAGTAATAAACCAGGCCAAAGAGTAAAAGGACACCCCAAATATTCATATGCCACAACTTCTTTCAGTGAAATGAAGGAAATGAAGAAAAAAAAGAGCCACAGCCTATGCAAGCTGGCAGTGGTTAGGGAACCAGCGGCTCCAGGGTGTGCAGTGAAGGGGAAATGCGCTCCTGGGGCTGCTGAGTCGGTGAAGGCGGTGTTGTGGTTTTCCTGCAGGCTTTCACATCCACGTTGGCTAGTGCTAAAGGAAAATCCACTCCTTTACTTAGAGCTCATGGTTTCCTCCCATCCGTAGAAACTGAGGCTCTGCGGATGTGGCTCAGGGAGAGGTGGTTGGCATCATGAGAAGCGGCAATCATTCAGCATCAGGCTTTTTCTTTCTTCCAAGGAGCATGCAGAACTTTCTGCACACTTATTTCATTAGTCCCCTGAAGAGCCTGGGGGTGGGGGAATTGCCAAGAAATGCTCTCCACGTCCCACACAATTGAAAACAGATCTGCCCAGGGTACAAAGGAGACCAAAGCAGGGTGCCTTCACTCCTCTGCACACTGCGCCAGGTCTGTAATGTGCCATCTTCAGCTCTTCATGCCAGAACATGTGGCTTAGTGCAAACAAACACATCCACATACCTAATCACTCTGTGAAATCCACATCTAAGTACACATTTGGCCCTTTCGACCCCCCAAGAGACTGCCTAACATGGGCCTGCTTTCTTGTAGAAAAAGCCTATTGTCATGAGGTCAGAGACTTGGTTTCTGAGAAGAGGAGACAATTGTTTTATCTGAGGAGGAAGGATGTAGGGGGGAGCAGAGGACAAGATGGCTTTTGTCTTTAATTGAGGATGTGTTTTCACAAACATAGAGAGAAGTATCTACGCATCTATGGATAGGCTCCGGCCATTGCAATCATTTGTCATCTTGCAAAAATAAAAAAGGGGACGACTCTTCAAAGAGACATAGCCTTAACTCCCCACCCCTTGAGCGGGGGCGGCTCTTATGCACTTCCACAGAGCAGAATGTGGAAAAGGGAAAGTAGCTTTGAAGCTGATAAAACTTACCACCCCCCGGCAAGAAGTCATGCCGATTATGTGCCTTTCATATGCTGTGAGGGTGCGATACTTCAATTCTGTGGTCTTCTCCCAAACCCCCAGTCCAACCATCAGAAATATGTCAGACAAACCCAAAAGGAGGGACATTCCACAAAATGCCTTACCAGGACTCCTCAAGACTATGACGGTCATCAAAACCAAGGGAAGTCTAAAAAATGGTCACAGAACAAAAAAGCCTCAAGAAGCCTGAGGGGCCTGGTGTGGTGGCACATGCCTGTAGTCCCAGCTACTTGGGAAGCCAAGGTGGGGGGATTGCTTGAGGCTAGGAATTTGAGGCTTCAGTGAGCCATGATTGCAACATTGCACTCCAGCCTGGGCAACAGAGCAAGACTCTGTGTCAAACAAAACAAGAGGCGCAAAGATGAGATGTAATCTCGTATCATGGGTAGGATCCTGGAACAGAGAAAGGACAAGAGGGAAAAACTACTGAAATCTGAATAACATATGGATTTAGTTAATAGTAAAGTACTGATATTTGTTGCTAGTTGTAACAACAATGTACCCAGTAATGGAGTTGATAACAATCAGAGAAACTGAAGAGGGGCATCCAGGAACTTTCTGTACTATCTTTGAACTTTTCTATAAATCTAATGCTATTCTAAAACAAAAAAGTTATTTAAATTTACAATAATAAAAAGGGGTGGTCCTGAGCAGAAGGTATACAACATCTATGCTTGCAAGGAAGATTTTTAGAATGTGGTATACAATTAAAGTTCTTGAGTTCTTTCCAGGTTATAGTAGAAAGAGAATTTTGAGGGAAGCTGATTATTAAATAATGAAATTCTCCAAGGCAAAAAGCACTTGCCTTATGCTAAAAAATGTGAACAGAAATACCCAATACCAAAAGAATCTGAAATTCAGCCCCTCTGTTAGAATTTGTTATATAGGCTTGGATACCAGTAAGCTGAGGTCATTTTTTTAGTGGGTAGAAGGGACTGTGGGACTGTGCAGAGTAAATTCTATGTGAGCCTCTGATGAAACATGGCAGACTGACCCCAAACCTTTGTCTTCACTTCCTCTCCAAATGACTGTGATGATGGTAAAGAAATAAACAAAACATAATAAGTACAAAGAACATAAAGAAGAAGCCATTCCTAGAATAATGTTGATGTGGTTTGGCTATATCCCCACCCAAATCTCTCCTTAAATTGTAGTTCCAATAATTCCCAAGTGTCATGGGAGGGATCTAGTGGGAGGAAATTGAATCACGGGGGAAGTTTCCCCCATGCTGTTCTCACAATATTGAATGAGTTCTCACAAGATCTGATGGTTGTATAAGCATTTGGCATTTCCCCTGCTGGCACTCATTCTCTCTCCTGCTGCCTTGTGAAGAGGTGCCTTCTGCCATGATTGCAAGTTTCCTGAGGCCTCCCCAGCCATGTAGAGCTGTGAGTCAATGAAACCTCTTTTCTTTATAAATTACCCAGTCTTGGGTATTTCTTTATACCAGTGTGAGAACGGACTAACACAGATGCTTTAGAAGAGAAACAGCTAATATCTACAAATAGCCTTCTCTGAGGCTGAATATCTGCCAGTCTAAATTCTCTCCCTATGAGAATTTGTAGATGAACTGGTGGTAACATACCTAGGCAGAAAGGCAGAAAAAAACATAAACTAAGTGGCTATGGAGGAGAGTAGCAGCAAGAAGTCAGCTGGTGCATCCTGCAGAAACCCACAATAGCCCTTGGGCCAAGGCACGATACCCCAAGGGCAGTGCTGAAAGACAGTCTGATAGAGGATTCAGTGGGTGCCTCCCTGATCCCAGGTTTCCCTCTCCCCAAAGGCAGGAGGTCAGTTTATTCTCTGGAGACATTGAACCAAGCTATTTTAGGATTCTGTACACACAGAAGAGGGTGCAGACCAGCCCGAGGGCCAACTATAGGGGGATTCTTTGAAATTTTTCATCATGAACAGTGGGGCCATTTTTCTGGCCCTTTCCTCTGACCTGTTCCCAAAGACCTGCAGCCCAGTGTGCACTTATCAAACCATGGATTAGAGGATTATTTTGAAGAGACAGACCCCATCGTACTTAACTTATCCAGAGAAACAGCTCCAGATAAAAACTGTTATGGGCTGAGCTGTGTCTTCTAAAATTCCTGTGTTGAAATCCTAACTCCCAGTACCTCAGAATTGGCATATTCAGAGATGGGGCCTTTAAAGCGGTGATTAAGTTAAAATAAGGCCATGAGAAAAAGTTTTGAAACCCAACATGACTGGTGTCCTTATGAGAGGAGGAAATTTGGACACAGAGACACCAGATGTACACCGAAGAACCATCGCATGAAGACACAGGGAGAGGGCAGTCATCTGTGAGCCAAGGAGGGAGGCCTCAGAAGAAACTCACCCTGCTGGCATCTGGATCTCAGACTTCCACCTCCCAGAACTGTGAGAAAATAAGTTTTTGTCGTTTAAGCTGCCCAGTCTGCGGGACTTTACTCTGGCAGCCCCAGCAGACCAACACATGTATACTCTGGTGTGTGCCAGCGAAGAGGCCAGCCATGTTGCCATGAAGTCCACCAGCTGACAGGCAAGCACATGAAGTTTCTGGTGTGATCAGGGCTTGGCAAGAAATACAGATCACAGACTCAGAAGCAGGCAGAAAAGAGTTTAATGAGGAGGCGATTTGTAGAGGAAAGGTATGGTGAGAGAAACCACAAGGGACCGTGAAGCCCCTGGGGTGAGCAGCAGAGTGGAGCTGTGATTATTTCCCAGAACCCAAGAAAGGCTGAGGCTATCAGAGAGGGACAACCACAGGGACTGTCACCTTCAGAAGAAGAATGCAACCACTGCCAAATCACAGCTCAGTGGGGAGGGTTCCGGGACACAGACTTCTTAGACATTCTCTCCTCTCTGTGTCTGACCTCCTGCCAGTGCCCCTCATTGGCTGAATCCACTGGAGTCCAGAGTGCAAAGAAGCTCCGGTGATGCTGCCATGCAGATCAGCCTCCAGGGCAGAGCAGAGCAGAAGAGGATGGAATCTAGAAGCACAGGTACAAGATACACAGCTCACTCTCCAGCCAGCTTCCCTGTACCTCCCCATCCACTGTTAACAGATGGCTGAGGATGACCAGGTAGATGAAATCCTTCAACACGAAAGGTAGACCAAAAAGAGGTAACCACACAAACCCCAAACAAACAAACACAAGGAAACTGGAGGAGGCACACAATATAGTAAAGAGAATGTTTTTAAAAGGAGCCCAGAGAAAACAAGGTAGCAAACAGGAAAAAAGATGACCCAAGGCAAGTTATTCCGTTTTAAACATGTGATACTGTGCAAAACGGAAAAAATCAGATAAGATGAAGGAAGACCCAGAAATGAAAAATGTGATAGCCAAAAGCTTAGTTTGTTCTAGCTGCTGTAACAAAATGTCAGAAACCGGGTGGCTTTTAGAAAACAGAAATTTGTTTCTCACAGCTCTGGAGGCTGGGAAATCCAAGATCAAGGCATCAGCAGATTTGGTGCCTGGTGAGGACTCTCTGTCTGGTTCACAGGCAGCATCTTCTTGCTGTGTCCTTGGTTTTTTTGTTTGTTTGTTTGTTTGTTGTTTTTTGTAGACGGAGTCTCCCTCTGTTGCCCAGGCTGGAGTGCAGTGGTGCAATCTCGGCTCACTGCAACCTCCGCCTCCTGAGTTCAAATGATTCTCCTGCCTCAGCCTCCCGAGTAGCTGGGACTACAAGTGCATGCCACCATGCCTGGCCAATTTTTGTATTTTTAGTAGAGACAGGGTTTCACCGTGTTAACCAGGATGGTCTCGATCTCCTGACTTCTTGATCCGCCCACCTCAGCCTCCCAAACTGCTTGGATTACAGGCATGAGCCACTGTGCCTGGCCTCTCCCTTGGGTTTTTAAATTAAGGGCCCTAATATCATTCATGAAATCACCCTCCAAAGACTTTGCCTTGTAATATCATAATCTTAAAAGTGAGAATTTCGACACAGGAATTTGGGGTGAGGGACATATACATTATGACCATATCAATATTGTAGAGAAATATTAGAAGATTAAAGGACTCTTTTGGGAAGTAAAATAGACAAAAAAGAAGCAGAAAAATAGAGAAAAGAAACCTAGAGGCATCTTCTGTTCCAGAAGATGCAGCAACTGGCTCTTCAGAGTTCCAGGAAGGCTGAAAAGCATAAAGGAAAGGAACCTGTCAAATAAGCAGTGGAACAATTCTATACTCCTGAGGCATGTGTCTCCAAGTTAAAGAAGCCGTAAGAGTACCCCCCCAAAAGACAGGAGAAACATACATACCAAGGACACCTTCATGACATTTTGGGGTTCTAGAGAGAAAAAAAAAACGTCCTGAAGGTTGAGGGTGACACAGAGAGAGCAGAAAGGAGAGAAGATCCCATTAAAAAAAAAATCAGAAGGCAATGCTGGAAGGGAAGAAGTTAGTGCAGCAAAACCTTCAAATTCTAAAGTACAGCCTAGAATTCCACATCCAGTCAAATAATAAAGTAGAGGCAGAATCCAGATATCCAAAAATATCAGGTGTCTGCTTCCAGGAAGATAGAATAGATGGACTATCTATCTATCCATCCCTATCCATCCTGCTAAAAGTAACTAAAATTTGGGACATTGTGTGCAAAGCAAACATAAGCCTCTGAAAGGTGAAGAGAAAGAGGCAGATGGGCCAGGGACCCCAGGACCCAACGGATGACCTAGCGGTAAGTCCCAGGAATCTCTTTTTGATTCATATTCCAGAGTCAGAGCTAAAGAAGTGAGCCACCCAGAAATACCAACAGGCACAGGCAAGAAAGGCCCCCCAAAAGCCTGCTCTCTCTGGCCAAAGAACTAAGACTTGGCAAGACATAAAACCTTCAGGCACACTGCCAGTGAGAATGTAAATTGTATAACCTCTTTGGAGAACAGCGTGGAGATATGGCAAAGAACTAAAAATAGAATTACCCTTTGGAGTGGCAACGCCACTACTGTGTATCTACCCAGAGGAAAAGAAATCATTATATAAAAATGATACCTGCACTCATATGTTATCACGGCACTATTCGCAATAACAGTAATATGGAATCAGTTTAAGTGTTCATCAGCAGATGATTGGATAAAGACAATGTGATACATATACACAATGGAATACTACTCAGTCAAAAAAAATGAAGTCATGTCTTTTGAAGTAACATGGATGGAACTGGAGGCCGTTATCTTAAGTGAAATAACGCAGAAACAGAAAATCAAACACCACGTTTTCATTTATAAGTGGGAGCTAAATAGTGTATAAACTAGGACAAATTGTGAAATGATGGACATTGGAGACTCGGGAGGGTAGGGAATAGGAGACAGGTGGGTGATGAAAAATTACTTAATGGGTAGAGTACACATTATTTGGGTGATGGGTGCCCTAAAAGCCCAGACTTCACAACTATACAATATATTGATGTAACAAAATTATACTTATATCTCTTAAGTTTATACAAATTTAAAAAAGAAAGCCTGTTAGCAACATCTGCTTTACTCCATCTAAACACCACAGAAAATCGGCAGCCCCATCTCCACTCACCAAGGCCAGATGGGGAGCCTAGACTACCAGGCTAATGAGGAGTCCAGCCCCCACAATGAATGGGTCACCGTCAGAGAAGACTGAGTAGGGAGCCAAGACTTCCATCCCTGCCAGCCTGTGAAAGTCCCTCACTCCCATGTTACCAGGAAGACCGTGGAGGGAGCCTGGACTTTTTGTGGATGCTCATCAAGTTGGAAGAGTTTTCTTCTATTCCTATTTTTCTGAGAGTTTCATCATAATGGGTGTTGAATTTTGTCAAATGCTTCCCTTCCCCCTTGATATGACCATGTGATTTTTATTTAGTCCGTTAACATGGTGGATTATATT
This sequence comes from Homo sapiens, assembly GCF_000001405.40. Classification (NCBI taxonomy): domain Eukaryota; kingdom Metazoa; phylum Chordata; class Mammalia; order Primates; family Hominidae; genus Homo; species Homo sapiens. The sequence continues at coordinate 22,978,029 of NC_000020.11, read as the reverse complement.
CATTTTTACATATTAAAGCAGCCTTGAACTCCTGGGGAAAAAAAATCTCACTTGATCATGGTATATAGTTATGTATTGCTGAATTCTATTTACTAATATTTTGTATGGATTATTGCATCCGTATTTTTTAGGGATAGTGGTCTTTGGGGTTTTTTAGTACTATCTGGTTTTGGTATCATAGTAATTCTATAATCACAAAATTAACTGGCATAGCATCCTTTCTGCCTTATTCTTTTGGTCAAGTCATCAGAGCCAGGATCAAGGGGAGAGCACATAGAGTGCAAAGAACTTTGGGGCCACATTTAAAGCCACCATAAAATTCAGTTAGGCATTCTGAATTATGACTCAAAAGGCATTATTTCAGGAACAATTTAATGGGGAATAATACTGTGCTTTCAGAACATCACAGGCTAAACTTTTGGGTGGGGGCAGAAGGAAGGGAACCATCTGCCTTTGTGGCTTGTCTGCATTGTTTCTATGGGAAATGTGTTCTGAATTCCTAAAACAATGTGCAAACAAGCTTTTTTAACTCAACCCTTTGTTTGCTGTATGATATTTCTTAATTCTGAAATGTAAAAAGCCAGTGGGGTAAGTCGTACAAGGTGACTGGCAGGACCTGCTGGAGCTGAAAAGGAATTGGGTAAGAAAATAGTGGCGATGGTTGCACAGCTTATTACAAGTGCCTGAAATTTGTTGGCCTGAAAGCCAAGGCTGATCTGTTACTGGATGATTGCCATTCTTAGACAAGTGATGGCAGATCCAAGGGTGTTGCTTCCTCTCATGTCCTCAGCGCTAGTGTCCTTGGGGACAGCAAGTGTTTTCCTGGCAAGCCACACTTTTCAGTTCTTTCATAGCTTTAGTCAACAGAAAAGCAGCCCTATGCTTTCCCACAAGCTAGTTGAGAGTTGTGGAACTCCACATTCCTGGATGTGCACAAATTCCTTGTGGTACCTCTTGCTTAGACTGGCGCCAGCCACTCTTGTTACAAGTTTACTTTACACTTAAACCCCTTCTCACAACATTTCCTGCCAGGTGGGGTGGTGAACCTAGCGGGGACTGTGATCTCTACAGTTTTAGGACCTCCTTTAAAGAATAGTCTGTCCATTAAAAGAACCGTCTAGATTTCTACTATGTGTCCCAAGTTTCTTAGTTTGCTTGTGTTGTCTCAATTTCCCCATTTGTAGAACTTCTTCTTCATGGACTTCCATCATAGAAGCTAACACCACAGGCAAGTTCCCTTCCCCACTGAGGGTGGGCTCACCCATGCTGGGGACTCCCTGCTCATCTGACCATTGATAGTTTGCCTCCTCTCATTGACTTCCGATTGTCTCTTAATTTGTTAAATATTTCCTTTGTTTCCTCTTGTTCCCCCAGAGGCTCAGTCGACTTTGTTCCTCTGCCTACCACCACCTCTGGGTTCTGGAACAGAATATCCAAGACCAAATTCTGTCATAGATGGCAGTACATGTGACAAGGCCATCCTCATGTCAGCATGTCAGGTGAGGGCAGGTTTGGGCACTCTGGCCTATGGGAAAACCCAGACGAAACCAATATGGATAGGGTATTGGTACAAGTAGCTCCCCACCCACCTGCTCACTCTCCTCCCAGTTCCTGTAGTCCTTGAATAGGTTCTGCACTCTAAAGCTTTGATATACATTTAATTGGTAACCGACAGCTGACTGAATTGTGAGGTGCTTAAAGAGGAGACAGGTTGTGCTACAGATAGACTGCAGTCAGTCACAAGATGTGTCTGGAATATGGGTTTTTTTGTGCCACGGACCTCTTTGGCAGTCTGCTGGAGCCTGTGAAACCTTTCTCAGAAGAAAGCTGATAAGTGCTGAAAATCAAATACGTGTGATTTAAAGAAAAAGCACTAAACTATGTAAGTATAGTCATGTCTATGTGGTTTTAGCTATTAACAGGTCCTAGCAGCAAGTGTGATAACTTCTATAATTTCCAAGTAGTGGGGAACATAAATGCTATTTGAAGATATATTTACATGTTTGAAATGAGATGAAAATATCTTCAATTTCTGCTGGAAATAAAGTCATAAGTCCTGATAATAAAACTCTAGCTTGTTGCCTCCATTCATGGTAGAAGGAGATGCCAAATTTCAGTTACAGGCTAGTGGAAATAAAGATGTAATTTCTTCTTAACCAAATTTCTGTCCTCAGACCTCAAGGTGGAGATCCCATCCCTGTTCCTAACAGAATTCTCCCCAAGATGAGAAGGACATTTTGTTAGGGAAATGGATCTTTGGCTCTGCAAAGGAGTCATCCTGGCTGCTCAGGAGTATGGGGGAGCTGTTGATCATATTAAATTGAGAAGGTTTTCTTACTGCCCCAGGAAGCCTGAATTCAAGTTCCTGGTGACTTGAGACAGAGGAAGGAGAGGCAAGCTAGATGCTTTGTGAGAGGGATTTGGACAAAGGCTTAGGGTAAGCGTAGGTGAGTATGTATGTGCGAGGTGGGGATGGCCTGTGCCCAGGGGAAACAGTGGTGCCTGCTCAGATTTAAGCTCTTTCCATTTTACCTATCATCCTCTGCTCTTCCAAAGTTCCATGCAAGGGTCCTTTGTTAGGTGCCAAGAAATGATGAAGAAGGGACAGTGTCAGTGCTTGAAGGAAATGAGAGATGGATAAGCCAACAGGCAAGCAAGGGAAGACCTAACACCTCCACTCCCCCACAGCTTTTAAAAAAGCCCACGTGGAAGCTCAAAGCTATGGAGGAGGATTCAATCACAAGATGTCCCAAGCTCCACCCCTAGCTGCCCTTGGGAATGTTTGGTTCATCATGGCTTGACATGTATGTGATACTTAGTATGACAAATATATAGTGAATACCATATAACAAAGTTTATTAACTACCAAAAGGTAAATTCCAAGAAGAAAAGAGTGACACAAATTTTGTTCCTTTCAGCTCATGGGGTGAGTGGAACAGGTGATTCTAGAGAGATGAAGAACTTGTTTTCTGAGTGGTCCAACTTTGATTTTCCAAGTTAACTATTTGGAGTCCTGAACAAAACAGGTAAAGAAGAGCAGCTCTGACTAAGGTCAGACGGGGCTCTGGACCAGCATTCCTGTGCCTGTACCTTTATGAAGCCCAGGCAGAGGGACACTGCCTCTTCCAGCTCCAAGGAATGGATCCATAATAATGACTGGGCCATGGATCAACAGGCAGCACAGCCTACGATCCTGGATTAGCCCTCCTGCCCATCCCCAGAATTCCTGTAAGCTCTTTATCCAGGCAGGAACAGAGCCCTAGGCATGTTCCTGAGGACTCAGGCACCTGGGCTCCCAGGCATGCCCAGATACTCCCTTCCCCAGCCTGAAGAGCCAGCACCAGTGACCTGGAATTTTTTTCAGAATTATCTTTGAAAATTTTGCTACCCTCTTCTGGGCCCTTTATATTGAAGCTTTTTATTGGCTTTTCTTTGGACTTATCCAAAATTGACCCTCTTTTGTGGCCCTTTGGATGACTTACAACGAGGGGGCAGCAGTGAGTCAACTACCTCCACTGCAGCCTGCTTCCAAATGGCTGTTCACTGTTCTTCCAATTACCTGTAGGTTGAAGAATTTGGACTAGATTCTATTCTTTTTAGAGGATATTCTTATAACTCCTACTTGAAGATTTGAGACAGCATATCATTTATTCATTGTTATGCTAATTACAAGGGACCGTTTCACTGGAGGGTTTTACCAAACATTCAAAGTCAAGGTAACACCAGTTTCATATATCACTTCCAAAAAAGAAAAAAGCATGTTATAGGACCAACAGGTTCATATACTGCTGTGCAGTAGACCAATTACACTGAGACAGCAGGGTTTGCAGAGAAAGTTTAATGATCATAGTGCATCAAGTGAGGAGATGGGAGGAGACCCTCAAATGCATCTCCCTGAGGAGTTCTGAGCTGGGGTTTTTAAGAGGACTGTGGAGGGTGAGGGGTTGGAAAATTAGGGTTGTTGATTGGATGGGGTATGGGGGATGAAATCATCAGGATGTAGAAACTGTTCTTTTGAGTCAGCTCCTCATGGGGTCCTTAAGACCAGCTGAGTCAGTAGCTGCATCAGTATACAGGACCTGAAGCAGTCTCCCAAAAGGAAAACGTAACTTGAACATCATGAAACTCTATCTATAGAGCAGTTAAGGGAAACTACAGGGTCTACACGACTACAGCACAACAGGCACTATGCAGCTCAGAAGAAGCGTCAGAGAGCAGCTGACCTCATGATGAACGCCGAGTGGGCTGCAAGCTGGGCATATTTTGTTTCTCCCTTCTCTTCTTCCCTCATTAATTTATCAAGTTTATAGGAACTGTTTCAGGCCGGTCACACTTCTCAATGGATTTGAGGAAGCCAGTATTACCTGGAGATCAAAGCTAGAAAGAGAGCACAAACACAAAAAAACACTAAGTTCTTGAGAGATGTTAGTCTACAGATATAAAAATTCTCACAACATTAACAAATGCAACCCAACAATGCACAAAGAATAGTATCCCATGATCAAGTGGTATTTACTCTAGTTATGTAAGGTTGTTTTTAACGTTTTAAAATCAACTGGGTATGGTGGCTCACGCCTGTAATCTCAGCACTTTGGGAGGCTGATACAGCCAGTTCACTTGAGGTTAGGAGTCCAAGGCCAGCCTGATCAACATGGCAAAACCCCGTCTCTACTAAAAATACAAAAATTAGCTGGGCATGGTGGCTACTTCAGAGGCTGAGGCAGGAGAACCACTTAAATGCAGGAAATGGAGGCTACAGTGAGCCAAGATTGTGCCATAGCCCTCCAGCCTGGGCAACAGAGTGAGACTCCACCTTTTAAAAAAATTTTTCCATAAGTTATTGGCGTACAGGTCGTATTTGGTTACATGAGTAAGTTTTTTAGTGGTGATTTGTGAGATTTTGGTACACCTATCACCCAAGCAGTATACACTGCACCATATTTGTAGTCTTTCATCCCTCACCCCCATTCCACACTACCCCCCAAGTCCCTAAAGTCCATTGTATCTTTCTTATGTCTCTGCATACTCGTACCTTAGCTCCCACATATCAGTGAGAACATACAATGTTTGGTTTTCCATTTCTGAGTTACGTCACTTGGAATAATAGTCTCCAATCTCATCCAGGTCACTGCAAATGCTGTTAATTCACTCCCTTTTATGGCTGCATAGTATTGCATTTTATATATATACTACAGTTTCTTTATCCACTGATTGATTAATGGGTATTTGGGTTGGTTCCATGATTTTGCAGTTGCAAATTGTGCTGTGATAAACATGAGTGTGCAAGTATCTTTTTGAAATAATGACTTCTCTTCCTCTGGGTAGATACTCAGTAGTGGGATTGCTGGATCAAATGGTAGTTCTACTTTTAGTTCTTTACGGAATCTCCACACTGTTTTCCATAGTGGCTGTACTAGTTTACATTCCCACCAGCAGTATAGAAGGGTTCTCTGTTCACTGCATCCACGCCAATATCTACTGTTTTTTGACGTTTTTATTATAGCCATTCTTGCAGGAGTAAGGGGGTAATTGTGCTTTGGGTTTGCATTTCCCAATCATTAGTGATGCTGAGCATTTTTTCATGTTTTTTGGCCATTTGTATATCTTCTTTTGAGATTTTCTATCATGTCCTTAGCTCACTTTTTGATGGGATTGTTTGTTTTTTTCTTACTGATTTATTTGAGTTTGTTACAGTTTCTGGATATTAGTTCTTTATCAGATGTATAGATTGTGAAGATTTTTTCCCACTCTCTTGGTTGTCTGTTTACTCTGCTGACTGTTCCTTTTGCTGTGCAAAAGCTCTTTAGTTTAATTAGGTTCCAGCTATTTACCTTTGTTTTTATTGCATTTGCTTTTGGGTTCTTGGTCATGAAATCCTTGCCTAAGCCAGTGTCTAGAAGGGATTTTCCAATGTTGTCTTCCAGAATTTTTATAGTTTCAGGTCTTAGGTTTAAGTCTTTAATCCATCTTGAGTTGAGTTTTGTATAAGGTGAGAGATGTGGATCCAGTTTCATTCTCCTACATGTGGCTAGCCAATTATCCCAGCACCACTTGTGGAAAAGAGTGCCTTTTCCCCACTTTGTGTTTTTGTTTGCTTTGCTGAAGATCAATTGGCTGTAAGTATTTGGGTTTATTTCTAGGTTCTCTGTTCTGTTTCATTGGTCTATGTGCCTATTTTTATACCAGTACCATGCTGTTTTGGTGACTATGGCCTTATAGCATAGTTTTGAAATCAGGTAGTGTGGTACCTCTAGATTTGTTCTTTTCACTTAGTCTTGCTTTGACTGTGCAGGCTCCTTTTTGGTTCCATATGAAATTTAGAATTATTTTTTTCTAATTCTGTGAAGAGTGATGGTGGTATTCTGATGGGGATTACGTTGAATTTGTAGATTGCTTTTGGCAATATGCATTTTCATAATATTGATTCTAACCATCCATGAGCATGGGATGTGTTTCCATTCGTTTGTGTCATTTAAGATTTCTTTCAGCATTGTTTTGTAGTTTTCCTTGTAGAGGTCTTTTGACTCCTTTGCTAGGTATGTTCCTAAGTATTTTATTATTTTTTTTTGCAGCTATTGTAAAAGGGGTTGAGTTCTTGATTCAGTTCTCTGCTTGGTCGCTGTTGGTGAATAGAAGAGCTACTGATTTGTGTACATTAATCTTGTATCTGGAAACATTGCTGAATTCTTTTATCAGTGCTAGGAGCTTTCTGGAGGAGTCTTTATGGTTTTCAAGACAAATGATCATATCGTCAGCAAACAGTGACAGTTTGACTTCCTCTTTACTGATTTGGATGCCCTTTATTTCTTTCTTTTGTCTGATTGCTCTGACTAAGACTCCAGTACTATGTTGAAGAGGAGTGGTGAGAGTGGGTATCCTTCTCTGGTTTTAGTTCTCAGAGGGAATACTTTCAACTTTTCCCCACTCAGTATTATGTTGGCTGTGGGTTTGCCATAGATGGCTTTTATTATATTGAAGTATGTCCCTTGTATGTTGATTTTGCTGAGAGTTTAATCATAAAGGGAGGCTGGATTTTGTTGAATGACTTTTCTGCATCTATTGAGATGATCATGTAATTTTTTCTTTTAATTCTGTTTATGTGGTCTATCACATTTATTGAGTCGTTTATGTGAAACCATCCTGCATCTCTGGTATGAAACCCACTTGATGATGATGGATTATCATTTTGATATGTTGTTGGATTCAGTTAACTAGTATTTTGTTAAGGATTTTAGCATCTATATTCATCAGAGATATCAGTCTGTAGTTTTCTTTTTTGGTTATATTTTTTCCTGGTTTTGGTATTAGGGTGATGGTGGTTTCATCAAATGAATTAGGGAGGGTTCCTTCTTTCTCTATCTTGTGTAGTGTCAGAATGATTTGTACCCATTCTTCTTTGAATGTCTGGTAGAATTCTGCTGTGAGTCGGTCCTGGACTTTTTTGTGTTGGTAATTTTTAAATTACCATTTCAATCTTGCTGCTTGTTATTGGTCAGTTCAGGGTATCTAATTCTTCCTGATTTAAGCTAAGAGGGTTGTATTTTTTCCAGGGATTTATCCATCTCTTGTAGGTTTTCTAGTTTATGTACACAAAGTTGTTAATAGTGGTCTTGAATGATCTTTTGTATTTCAGTGGTGTCAGTTGTAATATCTCCTATTTCATTTCTTAGTGAGGTTATTTGGATTTTCTCTCTTCTGTACTTGGTTAATCTTGCTAACGGTCTATCAATTTTATTTACCTTTTCAAAGAACCAGCTTTTTGTTTCATTTATCTTTTGTATTTCCTTTTGTTTGTTTCCATTTCATTTAGTTCTGCTCTGATCTTGGTAATTTCCTTTATTCTGCTGGGTTTAAATTTGTTTCATTCTTGTTTCTCTAGTTCCTTAAGGTGTTACCTTAGATTGTTTGTGTTCTTTCAGACTTTTTGATGCAGGTGTTTAGGGCTATAAACTTTCCTCTTAGCACCACTTTTGCTGTATCACAGAGGTTTTGATAGGTTGTGTCATTTTTGTCATTTAGTTTGAAGAATTTTTTAATTTCCATCTTGACTTATTTTTTGGGTCAGTGCTCATTCAGGAACAGGTTATTTAATTTCCATGTATTTGCATGGTTTTGAGGGTTCCTCTTGCAGTTGATTTCCAGTTTTATTCCACTGTGGTCTGAGGAGCGCTTGATATAATTTCAATTTTCTTAAATTTATTGAGGCTTGTTTTATGGCCTATCATATGGTCTATCTTGGAGAAATCTCCATATGCTGTTGAACAGAATGCAGTTGTTGGATGGAATGTTCTGTATGTAGCTGTTAAGTCCATTTGTTCCTAGATGTAGTATAAATCCATTGTTTCTTTGCTGACTTTCTGTCTTGATGTCCTGTCTACTGCTGTCAGTGTAGTATTGAAGTCCCCCACTGTTATTGTGTTGCTGTCTGTCTTATTTCTTAGGTCTATTACTAATTGTTTCATAAATTTGGAAGCTCCAGTGTTAGGTGCATATGTATTTGAGATTGTAGTATTTTCCTGTTGTACAAGGCTTTTTACCATTATATACTGTCTCTCTTTGCCTCTTTTTACCATTGTTGCTTTAAAGTTTGTTTTGTCTGATATAAGAATAGCTACTCCTGCTTGCTTTTGGTGTGCATTTGCATGAAATGCCTTTTTCCACCCCTTTACTTTAAGTTTATGTGAGTCCTTATGTGTTAAGTGTGTCTCCTGAGGGAGCAGATAATTGGTTGGTGAGTTATTATCCATTCTGCAGTTCTGTGTCTTTTAAGTGGAGCATTTAGGCCATTTACATTCATTGTTAGTATTGAAACGTGTGTTACCATTGCTTTCATCATGCTTTTTGTTGCCTGTGTACTTTTGTTTTTTTGATTTTGCTTTTTAACTTGTATTTTTGTTTTATAGGTCCTATGTGATTTATGCTTTAAAGAGGTTCTGTTTTGATGTGTTTCCAGGATTTGTTTCATGATGTAGAGCTCCTTTTAGCAGGTCTTGTAGTGGTGGTTTGGTAATGGTGAATTCTGTCAGCATTTGTTTGTCTTAAAGTGACTATGTCTTTCCTTCATATATGATGGTTAGTTTTGCTGGATACAAACTTCTTGGCTGATAATTCTTTTGTTTGAGGAGGCTGAAGAGAGGTCCCCAATCCCTTCTAGCTTGTAGGGTTTCTGCTGAGAAATCTGCTGTGAATCTGATAGGTTTCCCTTTATAGGTTACCTGGTGCTTCTGTCTCACAGCTCTTAAGATTCTTTCCTCCATCTTAACTTTGGATAACTTGATGACAATGTGCCTAGGCAATAATCTTTTTGTGATGAATTTCCCAGGTGTTTTTTCTGCTTCTTGTATTTGGATGTCTAGGTCTCTTGCAAGGCCAGGGAAGTTTTCCTTGATTATTCCCCCAAATATGTTTTCCAGACTTTTAGAATTCTCTTCTTCCTCTGGTACACCGATTTTTCTTAGGTTTGGTTGTTTAACATAATCCCAGACTTCTTGGAGGCTTTGCTCATATATTCTTATTCTTTTTTCATTGTCTTTGTTGGATTGGGTTAATTTGAAGATCTTGTGTTCGAGTTCTGAATTTCTTTCTTCTACTTATTCAATTCTATCCCTGAGGCTTTCCAGACCATTTCTAAAAGTGTGTCCAATGTTTCCTTAATTTTTGATTGTCTTTTTTTTAAGCTATCTATTTCCATGAGTATTTCTCCTTTCACTTCTTGTTTCTTTTCTTTTTCTTTCTTTTTTTTTTTCCTTGCATTGGGCTTCACCTTTCTCTGGTGCCTCCCTGATTAGCTTAATAACTAACCTCCTGAAATCTGTTTCGGGTAAATCAGGGATTTCTTCCTGGTTTGGATCCATTGCTGGTGAACTAGTGTGATTTTTTTGGTGGTGTTCAAGAGCCTTGTTTTGTCATATTACCCGGGTTGGTTTTCTGGTTCCTTCTCATTTGGGTAGGCTCTGTCAGAGGGAAGGTCTAGGGCTAAAGGCTGTTGTTCAGATTCTTTTGTCCCACAGTTGTTCCCTTGATATAGTACTCTCCCCCTTTTCCTATGGATGTGGCTTCCTGTGAGCTGAACTGCAGTGATTGTTATCTATCTTCTGGGTCTGGCCACCCAGAGAGTCTACCCAGCTCCGGGCTAGTACAGGGGCTTGTCTGCACAGAGTCCTGTGATATGAACTGTCTATGAGTCTCTCAGCCGAGGATACCAGTGCCTGTTCTGGTGGAGGTGGTGGAGGGTGCAATGGACTCTGTGAGGGTCCTTAGCTTTGGTGGTTTAATGCTCTATTTTTGTTCTGGTTGGCCTCCTGTCAGGAGGTGGTGCTTTCCAGAAAGCATCAGCTGTAGTAGGGTGAAGAGGGACTGGTGGTGTGTGAGGCCCTAGAACTCCCAAGATTATATGCCCTTTGTCTTCCACTACCAGGGTGGATAGGGAAGGACCATCAGGCAGGGGCAGGGCTAGGGATGTCTGAGCTCAGATTCTCCTTAGGCAAGTCTTGCTGCAGCTGCTGTTGGGAATTCGGGTGAGATTCCCAGGTCACTGGAGTTGTGTACCTAGGAGGATTATGGCTGCCTCTGTCAAGTCTTGCAGGTTGGCAGGGAAGTGGGGGAAAGCCCGAAGTCACAAGCCTTACCTAGCTCCCATACAAACTGAAGGGCTGATCTGACTCCCACTGTGCACTGCCCAACAGCCCCAAGTCTGTTTCCAGGCAGAGGGCAAGATAGGCTTGAAAACTTTCCTGAGGCTATCTGCCTCCCATCTGCTAGAGAAAAGGGCTTTAGTTCTTCCCTGGCCTGTGAAGTCTGCATGCCCGATCTTGCCCTCCCCTGAGTTCTAGCCAGGAGGCTTCTCACACCATTCAAATTGTTACAAAGTTCGGCTAGAAAATTCCTTCTCCTTGTGGAGTTTTACCCCCTGCTCCTCTGGCCACCCTCCCAATGGATCCCTGTGGTGCCAGGCAGGAATATGCTGCTTGGGGACCCAGTGAGCTCCCAGGGCCTTTCTGCTCCTTACTATACCTCTCTAGTTTGCTTGCCTCTCTAACGTGACTCAGATCCAGGTAACATTGGAAACTTCTCCTGCAAAAAGACCTTCAGCTTCTCCACTGGGGGTGTGTGTTCAGGAGAGGAGGTGTCCCTTTCCCACTTCTGCTGTTGGGGCACTCACAGTATTTGGGGTGTCTCTCAGGTCCTACAGGAGAAGTCTGCTTCCTTCAGAGGGTCTGTGGGTCCTCCTGGGATTGCTGGTTTGTTCTTGCAGTCAACCTGAAGTTAAAATTCGCAATGCAAGCTTCTGCATGCTGCTCTGTCCAGAGCTGCAATCTAGTCCTGCCTTCCGTCTGCCATGATCCCCTGAATCCTGAGAGTCCATCTTTAAATAAAAAGAAAAAGAATCAGTTAATGTAATCCACCATATCAACAGGCTGAGAAAAATGGACCCAGGAAAGCATTTGATAACATTCAACACTCACTGGTGATACAAACTCCCAGCACACTAGGAAGAGAGAGGAACTGTCTGAGCTTTGTGAAGAAGACACAAAATCTATAGCTGATCTGTAGTCTGTAATGTATAGCCTCATCTGTGCTTTCCTTGAGGCCCTTCTGGTCACTACTCTGATACCTGTGTTTACCTGTGCCCAGGAGCTCTGTGGCATCTTGCATAAGTAACAACATCATCCTTGCATCTGGACAGACTGGTGCAAGTAGCACATTATGATGATGCATCTCCGTTTTCTCATGACATGAGGAGCAATTTCACAAAGTTTTGAGTATTTCTTACGTTACAATGGAAAGAGAAAGCTGGAGCTAGGGTTTTCTTATCAAGGTTCCTTTTTATAAACCTACCTGTGGGATTCTGCCTTGTCTGGTCTGTGTTAGAAGGAAAACTGTGTGGTGCATGCGGTTTGGCCAGTGTTAACCGTGGTCTGGAAGCCCACCTGGCAGTGGTGAGATGAACACGAGGCATTGAAAGAATGAATAAAGAATCCTCTATGTTTTCTGCTATCTTTACAATGACAACAGAGGCAATGGTGGAGAGCAATGAAATTATTAAGATATACATCTTCCTAGCTAACCTGGTGAATTTAAGAGTGTTCTACAAACCAGCCCAAAAATCTGAGGAATCTGAGAAGCCGAAGAAGAGGATCACGAATCCAATTTCTCAAAAAAAAAAAAAAAAAAAAAGGGACTGATGAACAGAAGCCATGTCTGTGTCTCAGGTGTGTCTGTCTCTGTGTCTCATTGCCGTGAGACAAGATGGTGGATTCCTCACGCCATCACTCCCAGACCCAAGGCTTACATACCATAAGGAATGAATGGTTCAGAAGGGTTGTGTAGGACATCTGAAGTATAATAATGTTAAGGTTGTTTGATCCAAGGGCAGGATTTATAATAAATAATTGCTCTTAAACAAAGAATGATAGGTAAGTTAGAAATCCTAGCGGCTTCCTGGAACAAGGGTTAATCAAAAGCCAACACAACAGATCAGCATCCAAAATGCAGTTCTTTGGCCTCCACACTCTACCTCCTATTTGCTCTTACATTATCATGTGTCCTCTTCTTCCACAGTGGTCCCTGAACCTTTAGGGAGGGTACCTGATATTGTATAGCTTTAGCAGCAGTACAAGGGCAATAATGAGCCATTCATGCAGAAGGGGCCCCCTTTAACTAGAGCATTTACCATGACCTAGGTAATAGACATATTCAGTGGGTGAATATTCAGCTTATCATAAAGCCAGTCCTTGCATGTGAAGCATATCAGCTTCTTCATCTGTTGTGCTCCACTAGGCATTTATAGAATGAACTGGACAGTTCCCCTTCTCAAGGTAGGCAGACAATTTTATCCAGTGGCTTTTATCTGGTCTACCATGCTGGCTGTTCTCTTGGGAATACCTGTGTATCTGGATCATATATATACACCCAGCTGTGTTTGTTCAATAGTGAGCCGTGGGTCCTGTATCAACCCAAACATGCTCTTCTACTCTGCAGCACTTAAAAATCAAAGACTTTCACAATCCATTTTAGTAAAGGTTCCTCAGCAAGTTGATGAAACCAATCTGTAAAATGGAACACTCCTTCACACTATACCCTCTGGTTTCAATAGTTACTTGTTTTTGCCCAACCCCCACATAGACTACCTTCTCAGTAACCGTAGATCTCAGAGGCTGTTTTGTTTCTGGCATAATTTTCTATATGGTGAGCTTTGAAGTTAGTGACCTGAGCTCACACAGGCCTACATCTGAGCTGGGTCCATCCTCAAGGCCCAACGCAGCACATTCTTTTTATTTTCATTTTAGCTATTATAGATAATAACCAGGAGATTGAGTATTTTATATTTTACTATTAGTTTGCATCTCCTTATGAATCTAGTGAGTCAATTCCCTGGGAGTTTGATCCATCTCTAAGTTCCACTGGTAACTTATACCCTTAGTAACTGAATGGAATTCAGCTATAGCTCCATACCATGGTGACCACATGGTCACCCAAGAATCAAAGGTTTCTCATTTCCCACCATTTTATCCTTCCTTTCCATCCATTTAGTTTCATCACTTTTTTCCTTTGTTTTGAAACAACTTTTAAATAGCCTCTAAACAAAATGACTTTTTCTTTAATTGGAAATTGTATCTTCATGTTCTATAAACATGTTTATCTGAAACATTAACTTTAATATGTTATATATGTTAATCATATTAATCATATATGTAAGTGAAAAATAAAATTCAAGGACCTCTAACCAACTGATGGACCCTTCACCTGGGCCAAGGACATTCCAAAGTTAATTTGAAAAACTATTTCAGGCCATAATGGGAAGTAGGGGGTTGGACTGCCTCATTATACCCTCCTCCTTTTGGAATTCAGGCACAGCTGACCAGCATTTACATTACTACAGATTTTTTTTATCTTAATAGAGATGGGGTCTCACTCTGTTGCTCAGGCTGGTCTCAAACTCCTGGGCTCAAGCGATCCTCTTGCTTCAGTCTCCCAAATAAAACAGATCTTAAGACTGACAAAGCAGACTCTTTGTCGCAGTAAGACACCAAATTCCAGCCTGACTCTACTATCACATGACAGATAGCCAGCCCTGAAAGAAATTGAAGTTTTTTTTAAATCCCAAATCATATTTGACATGTTTTGAAATGGCCCTGCAAAGCTATCTCTTGTGGGGAAAATCTACATTCTGTAGAGAATCTCCATTCCTTTCCAGGTCTCTTCCCTGGTCCAGGAGAGAATTAACTAAGAGTCTGGCATCTTTTTTGTCTGATAAGAGCTCGAAACCTGCCACCTGGAGGCTTCATCTGCATGATTAACCTTGGTCTCCACAACCCTTTATCTTAATCCAGACATTCCCTTCTATTGATTCCAGGTCTTTAGATCGTGGTTTAAGTGCAGAGATGGAGATTCCTTTACAAATGAAGAGTTCCTTTAAAGACGTACATTTATTTTAAAAAGAGTTATAAAGACTGATTTAGTTTGATACTAGTTTGTTTCTTCATTAGATTACTGGATTTAGGGTGGAGGCTGTTAGGGAACAGGGCTAAGAAAGCATGCAGTTTTTAGGGCCTAATTCATGCTTTTTTTTTTTTTTTCCTCAGCCACCCCAACACAGGAAAAATGTGGTTCAGAAGGGATGTGTAGGACAATTGAAGTACAATAGCATACGGGTTGTTTGACCCAAGAGCAAGATTTATGGTAAGGACCTGTTCTTATACAAGAAACAATAAATAAACTGGAAATCTCAGAGGCTTCCTGGAATAGGGGTTAATCAGAAGCCAACCTGGTGGCTCAGCGTCTAAGATGGAGTTTATGAATGAATCCTCCACAAACAGGATTCTCTCAGGGAGGAGGATGGAGGACTTGCATCCTAAGGCTTATAAAATTAGCTGAAAAAATAGGTGCCCAGATTGTTGCAAAACTAGAAAAAGCTTTTCATGAAACATCTAGCACAGACAAAAGACAAACATCAAGAGGGATTTTCCTTAAAGCTCCAAAAACTCTAGGCTTACTGACAAGCACTGAGAAGTTAAAAGCACACCACCTGCTGATTCAGAGCTGAATGAGTCAAAGCAAACACATAAAAAACTCAAAGAATTAGGAAGAAATAACTAGACTTCAAGTTGGGGTTTAAGTTTTTGCAAAAGGTAACTTTAAACTCAAAAAGCCTGTGAGTACTAAGAAACTTCTAAGCTAAATAAAATTTGTGCAGAAAGACTATAAGCTATAAGACTATAAGGCTATAAGCCCATTGACAACCCACCAGTCTTGGCAGTCCCTGACCACACCTTGAAATATAAAGCTTTGGTTCTGTGCTCAGAATTCCAGAGCGGCAACTTATGATAAGATGATTAGATCAAGTTAAGTCATTCCTGAGATGAGTGAGCACTCTATGGAGACCATTCCTGAGGGGCTCAAAAAGGGGCAACAACACCTGTCTCATCAGGTGAGGTTGAACAAAGAGGATCATAGATGCCAAAGCATCAGCAACAGATTGATAAACTGGAACATGTCCTCACACAGATGCAGGCATTGTCCTTATCAGGAAGAACTGACCGGACCACACAGCAGCAACAGCATCCCTCACAGTTGGCATGCAGCTCAGAGGTTCTCAAACTCAGAACGACTGAAAAGAGGTATACAACCTTTATAGTTTAACTCTGCAGGCAAGCTGACTTTGAAGGAGCTGGGTGTAGTTCATTCAGAGTCGGGAGAAAGAAGCCAACTCATTTTCTATAAGACATGTGCATATACAGCTTCAACTAAATAGTGTCAAATATTAGAAAAATCAGAAATGAGGCTGGGTGTAGGGGCTCATGCTTATAATTTCAGCACTTTGAGAGGCCGAGGTGGGAGGATCACTTGGGGCCGGGAGTTTGAGACCAGCCTGGGCAACGTAGCAAGATGCCATCTCTGAAAGAAATTTAAAGAAGTCACCTGGGTGTGGTGGTGCATGCCTATAGTCCCAGATATTCAGGAGGCTGAGGTAGGAGGATCACTTGAGCCCAGGAGTTGGAGGCTGCAGTGAGCTATGATTGCAGTAATGCACTCCAGCCTAGGTGACAGAAGGGACCCCATCTTTAAAAAAGTTTTTTGGTGGAAGATCTTCAGGGGAGTTTTGTGCTTATTTACAAGAAGGAATGGCATTCGACATAGACCGACTTTCAAAAACCTTCAAAACTGCAAAGAATAAAACTCTGAAGTCTGATCTGTATGATTTGATGTATGGGATGAGCTTTGGAGGCAGAAAAAAATGCAATAATAAATCTGTGTGAAGATAAAGAAGCCCATTCTAAAGAATTCTTATGTGTTCTTTAGGATGTACAGCAAGAGAAATGGGAAGAAACAAGTGTGAACAGTGGATGGCAAGCGTACAAACACAAGAAGAAAGTCTCTTTTCCATGGAAAAAGTCACTAGGTCTCTGGAGAAGTCTAGAAATGCTAACAGTGTGATTGTAGCTGACCTCATGGAGCCAATCAAGATCATCAGTCCATGAGTAAATAGAAATGGACACTGAAGCAAGACCTGGAGGATGTGAGTCTCAAACATGCACCTGAGCTCTGGCTGACAGCACGATCGAGCTCCAGCAGATAGAATGTTGAGATTCTAGAAGTGAAAGGAACCTTTGAGAGAACTCTGAGGACACAGAGCTCTGTGAAGACCTGGCTCATGCCATGAGTATCTGAACATGCTTCCCGGAGGCTCTGGAAGACACTTGGACTCTGCCAGCCTGCCAGGGAAAAGGGAGGCACCCAGTACAGCTCCAGGAACTGCAGCACATGCTATACTAGAAGACAGATGTCTCAGTCTATGCAGGCTTCTGTAACAGGATTCTATAAACCAAGTGGCTTACAAACATAAATCTCTCACAGTTCTGAACACAATTCTGGAGGCTGGGAAGTCCAAGACCAAGGCACAGGCAGATTCAGTGTGTGATGTGGCGAGGGCTGCTTTCTGGTTCACAGACAGCTGTTCTAGCTATGTCCTCACATGGTAGAGAGAAACAGCTTGAGATTTTCATCAGGACACTAATCCTGTTCATGAGGGATCTAGCCCCCTGACCTCATCTAGTCCTAATCACCTCCATAAGACCCCACCTCCTAATACCATCATATTAGAGGGTAGGTTTTCACCATCTGAATTTTGGGAGGACACAAGTTTTCAGGCCATAACAGAGGCCGTGGATCAGGAGAAGAATAACTTCATGGTGAAGCAAGGCAAACATGTTATGATCTCCCTGGTAAGTATCCCAGGAGTCCTGATACCACCTTCTGGAAAACACATGTGGCAAAACTCCTGGAAACACAGGAACAAGAGAGATGAAAGTGTCTAAGGTTTCATTGTAACCCCACTGTCAGACCTCAAAGAGAGAAATCCATATCCCTGAAGTCTTCAGAATGAAGCAATTGTTGTGTGAAATGGCGTGCAGACACCTGGAGTGGTTTAAGGAGAAGAATGAGCTCCTGCCAGGTCAGCTAGGTGGCATTAAAAGACAGAAGGACAACAGTGATGGAATCCCTGACAGGCTGAAGTGCAAGGAAGCAATGACCTAAAACAGACTTGAAAAAGTCCCGCTGCTGAAGAAATGCTGAAGGCAACTGACCTTCAGACTGAGGCAATGGGCTGCCTTGCATGTCATGGGAGGCAAAGGCATGGGGATTGGGAGGTTCAGGCACTGCAGGCAAATGGGCCTCTGAAAGCAGGTCCTGAGAAATGTCTGCAGGGAAATTAAGAGAGAGAGACCAGATCAGGAAGTTAGGAGGGCCAAGACCTACAGCAGACGATTCTGCATGTGGCAAGGGCAGAAAAGTGTCCCAAAATGTGTCCTTACAAGGAAAGCAAAGAAAGCATCCAGAGAATCCCAGGCAGCTTCCTGGAAATCACCTTCACCTTGCTTTGAGATTTTTTCTCCCATTCTACAAGTTAGAGTTAAAAGTCTCTAGGAGGTTCCAAGCTTTTCCACATTTTCCTGTCTTCTTCTGAGTCCTCCAAACTGTTCCAACTTCTGCCTGTTACCCAGTTCCAAAGTCGCTTCCACATTTTTGGGTATCTTTTTAGCAACGTCCCACTCTGGTGGTACCAGTTTACTGTATTAGTCCATTTTCACAGTGCTGATAAAGACATACCTGAGACTGGGAAGAAAAAGAGGTTTAATTGGACTTATAGTTCCACATGGCTGGGGAGGCCTCAGAATCATGGCAGGAGGTGAACGGCACTTCTTACGTGGCAGCAGCAAGAGAAAAATGAGGAAGAAGCAAAAGTAGAAACCCCTGATAAACCCATCAGATCTCATGAGACTTATTCACTATCAGGAGAATAACGTGGGAAAGACCAGCCCCCATGATTCAGCTACCTCTGCTTGGGTCCCTCCCACAACACCTGGAAATTCTGGGAGACAACAATTGAAGTTGAGATTTGAATGGGGACACAGCCAAACCATATTAAAAGGGCAGAACCTTTTGAGAGAAGGGAGAAAAAGCTCTGCTTAAGAGTTTAGACTGAACTTCCCATTTAACCCAGCTGATCTCAAAGCATCAGCATTTTATGGCGGCATATTCTAAGGGCCCAGCCCTGAAATTCTTGGGGCTGGCTCTGCCATGTGTCTTAAGAAGCCTTAGAGACAACTATAATGCTCTAAGTTTGAGAACCACTGGTTTAACCTAAAGGAGATAGAGTTTACCCAAGAGACAGCTTTATATTTGAGGAAACAGATAATGTTCAGTCCATTCCTGTTAACCCAACTTGAAAATGGGATGTCCCATTGAGTTAAGATGCAGAAAGAATGAGCATTGTAGTGTGTGAACTGTGTTCTGCTCACCTCAAATCCCCTTTTTGGGCTGGGGTTGGGGGAGGTTATCTCTGAGCCCTCCAAGGGGAAGAGAGGGGTGCAGTTAGGTGGCTGACTCTGCTGCCCAGGAGATGTGGCCAGTACAGCTCCCCATGATGGCTGTGGTGGGAGGATGTGAGTCTGGTTAGAGCTTCACCAAAGCACACAGGGCCCCTCAGATGTGAGCCAGCAGCCGAGACTCAGTCGGAAAATGCCTGGAAAGGAGGCACAGAGGGAAGGGAGCACAGCATCATGCGGGCTCTGGGCGGAATCTCTTACCCTTAATTTCACCCCCTCCTGTGGGACCTGTGAGGAGTTGTTAAGGCTTGTGGAAATCACAAATTGGAGGAAAAACAAGTATTTTTCTCAGTATATATTTAAGGTTTCCTGAAGTGTGGTCACACCTCAGAAAGAGCTTGAGAAAATGTCCTCATTTCTGACATCTCAGCAAACCCCTGACAATTGCAGTGAATTCAGCTCTGCAGCAGAAAAAATCTGGGGTCATATGCTCTGCTGATACCTTTTTCCAATAGGGCCCCTGTGTGTCCTCGGATGCTCACTCCTGACCCCAACAGCCCAAGCTAACCCCCCCTTCTAAATCAACAAAGCTAACCTATAACAACCCTTGGGACTTCAGTGGTTTCTGTAGGTGACTTTTGAAGGCACCACATCCTTAAACCCAAAAGGAGTTTAAAGTCACGAAACAGAAGATGGTGGTGTTGACATTTTTATGCGAAGTCTGCGAATCAACAAGCAGTCTTCAAACCCAGCTTTATCAAGTTATCGATGCCTGGCAGATGGCCACCAAGCGGTGTGACATGCTTGATTCCTGCATTGCCAGCTGTGCCCTGAATCACTGTCTGATTTGAGAGTCTGACTTCTCACAGCACCTGTCTGTTAGACCCATCATCAACCTGGGTCCCACAGAAGGGGCAGACATAGTGGCCCAAGCTGTGCACTGGTTTCCAACTTGCTCCATAACCCCTGACTCCATGGCCCTCAGTAGATAATGTGGGTGCTACCCAGATCCCTTGAGCTCCCTTTACCATTTCTGTGCCCCTGTGGAAAGCTTCGGTGTACTTTTGACAGCATTCGCCCATGGTTCTTCAGAGGCCAGCCCTACAGCAACTGCAGCCACTTGCCTGCCCACACCCAGTAGGGTTGCCAGGGAGTCTATTTTTCCTCCAGGATGGCCTCCAACAGTGCTAGCGCAGGGGTGTGAAAGTCTCAGGTTGGGACATCTCTGAGGAGTCACCTGCCCTCCCGAATTCCCTGCAGGATGGGGTGAAGCTGCCTGCTGCAGCCTTTGCTTGAAATTCACCCTTGCAGTCTCTGTCACTCCTGTGTCCCTGTCCTGCTCTGCTTACCCTGCTCCCTTATGGGGCACCCATAGTCCACAGGTCTCCTCTCAGGCGCTGCTTCTGGAGCAGCCAACTCAAGCATCCTCCACCCCACAGAGCTGATTCATCCAAGATGGCCTAATAAATTTCACCTCCTGGGGTTTCACCATCACAACACCAAGAGCTGGCCTGAGTTAGCTGAGCTTCATGGTTGTGGGTGAGACCGTGGGTGAGACCCTGAACTGGCGAAGAGAGAAAGCTCATTTGGAGAGGAAGGGTGAAGAGTGGGAGAGGGGACAGAGCTGCATGAAGGAGCAGATGTGTTGCCTGAGAGGCACAGAGTCTTCCTTGGCATCACTCAGTGTTCCGATCCTCATTGCCTTCCCGAGGCCCTGCTGCACTGCATTCCCTGCCATGCTCTTTCAAAGTCTGTGTCCTGCAATATGCCCATCAGCAGAGCTGCTCCAGTTGGCCTGTTCCTCCCAACAGAGGGAGGCCCACCTGAAACAATCTGCATGAGGATGAGTCTGTTTGGAGACATGTGGGGTCCAGGTGCTCTTCATTCTCCATCCCACATTTGCATTCACCTGAGGCTGGATGGGGCAGCTCCCGTGCATGCCAACATCGGCCCACCCCAAGTCCTGTCTCCCTCTCAGCCTCTGCAGGGACATTTTCCAGCACCGGGGCAAAGGGGCAGCCTGGAAGGGGGGTGAGCAAGTGCTGCTAGGAGCCACCCTCAGTCGATGTGGAATGGGAGTCAGTGATAAATTCCCCAATTCCCAGCCCAGCCACCCATAGCAATAACCTGCCTCCCATTTCTGTGCCCCCCTTTTCCCAGCTGCTCCCAGTGCTACCTGAAGGTAGGGGGTCCTCTCCTAACTAAACTCCCCGCAGCTGAGCAACCTCTCAACTAGACTTCCTGCAACCAAGACCTCGACTCAATCTCCTTTTAGGGTGACCCCAACTAATACAATAGGGTCCCTCACTTTTCAAAGCAGAGTGAGAAACTCTCTGAAGCTCTGGGGCAGATTCTTGACTCTGCTGCTTCCCAGGAAACTTGGAGAATTTGGTTAGTAATGAATGCCTCTGTTTACCCCTCCACTCCCCTCTTTATTAGTTCTTTAGTAAGTCCTATCCATAGAGGATTAAAAAAAAAATCCTGTTTGTTTATGGTTTGGATGCACCAGGAAAAATTTCTACGACAAGTCGCAAGGTCAAATTTCCAGGAAGCCTCCAACTGATAAAAGGCTAGTAATTTCTAATAATAGCAGATACTTATTGAGTATTTACTATGTGTCATGCACTGGCAAACTTTACGTGTATTAACCCATTTAGCCCTCACAAAAGGCCTGTGGCTTAAGTATTCCTATTACCAACAGAGACATGAGCCAACAGGCGCAGAGAAGTCAAGCAACCTACCCAAGGTTGCACAGGTAGTAAGCACAGAGCCAGGATTCAAATCCAGGGAGTCTAGCTCAGAGCCCATCCTCTGAGCCACTTTGCCATTCTGCCCATGGAGGACACTGGCTGGGCGTTTGAGGCATGGGTTTCCCTAGTAACAAAGGTAGGCTTTGGCCTTCCTGGAGCATTTCTAGGAGTCCTTACTGCCCAGAAAGCCAAGTTCATCTCCTCATTCTGGCATGCAGATGCTCCCGGAGAGGTATGTTCATCTTGTCCACCTCATTGTTCAGCCACAAAAGGGAATTCCCTCCCCTCACCCTTCCCTCTTACCAGTGAGGCTGTGCACAGCTTCTCACAGAGGCCCTGATGGCCAGCACCAGACCTTGGGCTTCCCACCCCTGAAACGTCCATCCTCACCCAATCCCCCTGCTTCTCTACACATCAGACACATGCTGGCAGTCTGTTGGGGTGCTTTTTAATGGCCTGTGCAATGTTTTCTATATTTAAAAAAAAAAACTTTTTTTTAATTTTTATTTTTTGAGATGGAGTCTCTCTTTGTTGCCCAGGCTGGAGTGCGGTGGTGTGATCTTGGCTCACTGCAACCTCCGCCTCCCGAGTTCAAGTGATTCTCCTGCCTCAGCCTGCCGAGTAGCTGGGATTACAGGCTCCCCCCACCACGCCTGGCTAATTTTTGCGTTTTAGTAGAGACGGGGTTTCACTGTGTTGGACAGGCTGATCTCAATCTCTTGACCTCATGTGATCCGAGTGACTCGGCCTCCCAAAGTACTAGGATTACAGGTGTGAGCCAATGTGCTTGGCCACCAACCTTTAAAAGTCAGGAGAATTTACATACATATATATATATATAGAGAGAGAGCATCAGCTTTTCTTGAAAAAAAAAAAAAAAGTTCAGTTACGATACTGCAGTCCTCCAAGCCCCAGTTAGAAAGGACGCGTGCACTGTGGTTTGCTGTCGCTTCCACCTCTTTCTTTGTCTTAGGTCAGGTCAAACCATGCATTTCCTCGCTGAGCCATTGGCATTTGGTATCCAGTCCCCTCTTCCAAACCCAGCTATAGTGCCATATCTTGCTAAAACACAAATTCCAGGGCCCCACCTGTAGAGCTTCTGATTATGTGGGATTGAGGTGGGCCTGAGAATTTGCATTTCCAGTAAGTCCCCAGGTGATGCTGATGATGCCGGCCTGGCAGCCACACTTTGAAAGCCACAGCTCTAAGTTAAAACCTGGCTGTTCCCTGAGCCTCTCCTGACCTTTTCCTTGTGGTCTTTTTTTCTCCTTGTCACACACGAGGACTGCAAGGAGGTAGGTATCTGTTCCTAACTGCTACTTCCAGACCAGACCACTTCTCTTCCCTTGTCCTGCAAAACCTCTGCTCATTTGAAGCACATACAACGAGATTATACCGCCTTCCCTCACTTAAGGGGTATGTTAATATCTGACTCTTCTTTTGTCTTCGCTCTTGAACACATTAAAAAATCCAAGGAGATCATCCGTCCATTGCCCTGGCTTCTCAGCACCTTGACTTCCTCATGTCTAACTCTCTTTATCCACTCCTCTTCAGCAATCCCCTTCCATGGTCATTCCATCTCCAAGATCTCAATTTTGAGCATTCCATTCTCAAAATTCCATCTTCTCTCATTCTAGCTCACTCATTTTGTCACCCTTACTGCAAACAATGGGACACCAGCAACTGACCCATTATCTCCTTACTTCATCCCCTCCCCTCCCTTCCCTTCCTCTCCCCTTCCCATCTCTCCCCTCCCTTCCTCTCTTCCCTCCTCATTCAGTCCCAGCTCCAGTCTCTTTTCCTCTCTTCTCCTGGCATATAGCCTCAGCTCCCTTCACTGTTGTCACCTGACAAATTCAGGTGATAAACCTGATTCTTTCCCTAACCCACATGCACACCTGAGGACTATAGCCAGGACAGAGCCCACATCCATGCTGACTGTTCACATTTGTTTTAATTGAGCTTTCTTTAAAAAATTTTGAGATAATTGTAGAGCCATTTGCAGTTGTAAGAAATGATACAGAGAAATTCTGTATATCTTTTACCCAGTTTCCCTAAAGGTATTATCTTGCAGAACTAAGAATGATACCACAAGCAGGATATGGACGTGGATACAGTCAAGGACATTTCCGTCACCATGGGACCTGCCTGCTGCCTTTTTACAGCCACATTTCTCTTCCATCCCTTTCACTTCCTTAAGGCCAAGAAACCACTTATCTGTTCTCCATTTTTTTAAATTTGTCATTACAAGAATATTGTTTAAATTGAATCATACTATTTCTATTTTCCATCTGTTTAATCCATTTAGAGAAATGTGTGTTTATGTGTTTTGCTTGTTTCCTGATTAGGTTGGTTTTTTACTGTTGAGTTCTACGTATATTCTAGATAGTAGTCCTTTGTTAGATATGTCGTTTTCAAATACATTCTCCCTGTCTGTAGCTTTTTTTGTTGTTGTTCTCTTGACAGGGTCTTTCACAGAGCAAAAGTTTTAAATTTTGATGAAGTTCTATTTATCAAATGTTCCAACTTTTGATGTCAATTCTAAGAACTCTTTGCCTGGTCCCAGATCCTACAAATATTCTTCTGTTTTTTTTTTTTTTTCTAAATGGGTTATAGTTTTACCTTTTACATTTAAATCCATGCTCCATTTTGAGTTTATTTATGTTCAAAGGTGTGAGTCTTAGGTTGATATTCTTTGTTTGTTTGTTTGTTTGTTTGTTTGTTTGCCTGTGGGTGTCCAGTAGCTTTAGCACTGTTTGTTGAAAGGGCTGTCTTTCCTCCATTGAATTGCTTTTGTACCTTGTAAAAAAAAATCATTTGGGCATATTTGTGGGTCTTGTTCTGGGTTCTCTATTCTGTTCCATTGATCTATGCATCTACCCCTTTGCCAGTGGTTCTGGTCATGTTGTAAAGTCATTCATGGAGTCCCCGCTGGCCCTTACCCATGCCCATCTGCACCACTGGATCTCTCTATTCTGCTCATCCTTGGTATCATGGGAATGGCCATATGACATCTGTTGCCATTGCTAAATGTCCATCACCCTCTGCACCCACTTCACTCTCCATCCATGTCCTCACTTCTGACTGCCTTGAGGAGCAGGTGTATCAGAAGGGAGTTGCCCCATCACCCCACCACCATGGCATCTACTGACTGCCTCTTTCTGGCATGCGTGCTCTCACTTTCCTCCTAGTGTGTCCCTGAGGGTTCCATGCTCCCACTGAAGGCCAGCCCTGCAGCTTGCTTACTCAGCCACATGTCCTTCTCTTGCATTTAGGAGTTTGTTCTTCCAATTCTCCTTTCTCTTTCTTGAATTCCCGAATTTTCCCTATCATTCCAATCTGCATAGAAACATGTCACAATATCCCCCAAAAATGGGAGCCACATGAACTTCTGTGGGGAAAATTGTGAAGGACTTTGAAATGCACCAAAAGCTTAGTGGATGGCTTCTGTGGAAAACAGGTATTGTTTAGACATAGTTTCCCTTTTATCTGCTTCTCGGGGTGGAGCGGGGAGTGCTCTGTACCTTTCATTGTCTTTGAGCTATTTTATAACTATGTGAGTTGTAGATACCTGATTGATAGCAATAAAATGATACTTACCCATGAATACACAAATTCTGTTTTGTGTAAAGACAATTAATTTTTCTTCTGACTCTGTGGAAAAAGCAAGTTCGGCATCTATTTATAAAATTTATTTCAGCATTCCTAATTCAGTTATTGAAGTGTGGTAGTTTGAATTCTCCTTGGAAACAGAGGTAACATTTTACCATTACCTCTGTTTCTTCATTAATTAATAAATTGAATAAAATCTTGGACAAATATTAATTTTATGTTTATCTGAGTCATGATTTTAACTTTTAAATATTATAATCCTTTCACACATTCTTAAACCCAGATCCTTCTACAGGTACACTTCCATTTTCTTGCCTCTCTTTTGGTAAAGGCAGTTTTAGTCAACCCTCTTGACGGTGTGGTCTATACTTGTCTCTGCCTCCATACTGGGTCAGTGTAAAGAAGGGAATGCAGTATGATGTGTGGCATGCCTGAACTCTGGACTGAGATTCAAACGTGTCTCATGTGTGTGCCTCTGTCTCCCGATGATGTCATGACTTGCTCTAATCAATAACAATATAGAATCCTCTGTATCAGGCCTTTCTAGACCCCTTTAGATGCTAGGAGGGGGTACAGGAGATGGTAAAAAAATGTGAAGGATCTTTGAAGCCACTCATGTCCTTGGCAGTGTAAGAATTCTTGCTGTATTCCACATGACAGAGAATGCTATGATGGGAATTTAAATGCTATTCACCCATATTACTCTAGACCAAGGTTTCTCAATCTGGGTACTATTGACATTTTGGGCAGGGTAATTCTTTGTGATAGGGGGCTGTCCTGTGTGTTGGGGGATGTTTAGCAGTGTCCCTGTTCTCTATCTGCAAGAGGCCCATAGCTCCCCTTCCCCACCTAGTGACATCCAAAAAGTGTCTCCAGACATTGCTGAATGTCCTTGGGGTTGGGTGGAGAAAAATCACCCTAGCCAAGAGCCACTGTTCTAGAGTTTCTAAATCTGACCAGCTATTGTGGTAGGTTTGCCTCATCTAATTTTTGCAAAGAGCCAAAGGGGTCCACATGGAGTTGTCATTTCCCTTAGGAGCTTCTGCCTTGTGCCCACCCTGCGTTCTGACTGTAATGCCAGGCAGTAGGTCGGACAATGAGCAGCCTCAGCTCTCTGGGGAATCTGGTTCCAGTGGTCCTAGGGCCTCTGCAGTCAGAAATGCTCCTCTTTGTCTAGCACAGTTTCTTTGACTAACAATTTAAATTATCTTTACTCTCCCCAAGGTGGTGAAGAACAATTGTGAACCATTTGAATTCAGAATCAGGAGGTTAACCTTGCAGACACAGCTCAACCTCTGCCAGGCTAATATGACCAGGCAAATCATTACTATGTGGAGATTGATTTCTTAATCTTTAAAGTGAAGTGAACTGGTGGAAAGATCTTTGGGGCCCTGCCCTCTATATTTTTTAATGAGGACTGCCTCCCATCTTCTTCCTCTTTGCCTTGGCAGGTTACATGAGCTCCCATCTCATCCACCAGCCGTTGTCCTCACAGCACTTCATTACTTTCCCCACCATCCCCTCCAGACTTTGTTTAAGCCTGGCTTCCCAGTCTGCTCCCTTAATTACCTGATCGGTGTGCTTTTCTTTATGGGAGAAGAGTTCTAGATTATCGTGCTGTCCAGTACTGTAGATACTAGCCACATGTGGCTATTGATATTTTTAAAACTTATAATTCAATACAATACAATACATTTTAAAAAATAATTCAATACAATTCAATACAATACAATCAGAAATCAAGTTTTTTTAAAAAAATTCTTCATGAATTGATTTTGTGAAGTTATACTTTGTCTAGAATTTTGTCCATTCTGTGCACATTTCCAAATGAAAAACTGAGTTTTTCAATGGCACTAGTCAGTTTCTCTGTAGCTACACACGGCTGGGGGCTACTGTATTGGGTAGTGTAGATGTGAAAGAGTTGCATATTAGCACAGAAAGGTCTTTTGGACAATCCTGAACGCTAAGTATTTCAATCACTTTGTCCTCATGGACTTGGATATATTTATTTTATTAAGCTGAGTGTTTTCATGCATCTGTTATTTTTAACTTCTCTTCCTCCCACCCTTACGTCACTCAACATTGGATGATTCTTGGAGTTTTGAGTTGTCTTTTTCAGCCTTATGTCATAATTGCTAAATTTAATCCATTGAATAGGGACAGAAAGGTGATGGGATGAACTCACACTTGTGCTTCAGCTGAGATGGTACAGGGACCTCATTCCTGCACGACAAAAGAGAACACTGAGGTTCTAGCTTCTCCTCGACTTCCATTTCTCTTGACAGAGAACCCCTGTGTGGGGCCACGTAGAGTCCTGGGAGATGTAGCTTAAAGCCCTCAAGGGGGTGTGGTTGGGGAAATACTCTCTCTAAGCACTTCTACCATTGCTAGGTGCCTCCTCGGTTGCAAGAATTGAAGAAAGCTCTACTTCCCAGATGCAAGACCATGCCGCGAGGCTTATCCAGTACTCCAGTTTCAGACATGAGAGCAAATCTACCCAGGACTAGAAGCCATCATCCTGAGGTCACATCTCTGCCTCCTCACCCTCTCTGATGTGAAATTAAACTTAACTATTGTCCAGATCCCAGTTCAAGTTTCTTTTATCGCAGAACCTTAGTTTTCTATCTCCTCGGGGGAGATGATAATACTTACAAGGAGACAGTGGGAATTGTTATCTGAGGATGTTTGTAGCATTACCAAGGCAGAATCCAGCTGAGAATGGACACTCAGCACAGAGCTTTTTCTTCCTGAGTCAAAGGCTGTCTCTGACGCCAGGGTCTCAGATGTTCACACTGTGGGTGGTGGTGGCCTTTTCATGTGGTTATTCTTCTTAGTGCTTGGGTTATGAGCTCCTTAAGAAAGGAGGTGCCTCTCATATATTCCACTGGGTCATATATTTAGAACATGGCCTTTAGGCAAATATTTACTGTTAGACAGATTATTGCCTTGCTAATTTCTGGCATCAACTGTGTCTTTGTTGAGAAGGAAGGCTGACTCATAGTCTCAAGACCATGGGGAGACAATGTATTTAACTAATATTTAATTTATATTTGTTGCACAACTATATGGTCAAGAAATACAGTGGGAGAAAGAGAAATATAGTTTCATCCCTACCCATGGTAACAATCAACTCGTGGCATGAGAACAGTCTTTAATTTTGGTTCTTTGAGAATGACAAATGGTCAGATTTCACAGAACCCTTTCATGGGATGAAGAACTCAGAGAGGGCCTGGGCCCACAAGGGGCTGTCTGGGGTCTGTTCCCAGACTGTGGTTTGACTGGGCGTTGTCTGTGGGGTTTTTAGTGATTGTGCCATTGGTGGCCTTGGCTCCAAGTTGCAGTTGTTAAAAGGGCTATTTCATTACATTTTGTTTTCCTTATAGCATAGAGGGTGGGGAGAATGCCGGACTAGGAGTCACGATGACTCTGCTGCAGCCCTAATCTACCATTTAGATGTCAGATCCTGGCCAGTCATGCATTGCTTGGGCTGCCATGTCTTTATTCAAGACATGGGAACACCAGCCCTCTCTATTCTTATCCAGGAAAGGAATCACATTGGGAAATGGATATGATGAGTATGCAGATGCTACATAAATGTACACATATTTTTTTTCCTTTGGGCAAGTAATATAATTTTTTTCCACTTCTATGTGCAAAATGAAAATGATGATATTTACTTAGCCCAAAATACCTACTTTTAAGAATATAGGTAACATTTTTAGGAAAAAAGGAAAGAAAACAAACTTGAT
The DNA here is from genome assembly GCF_000001405.40 of Homo sapiens. Lineage (NCBI taxonomy): Eukaryota > Metazoa > Chordata > Mammalia > Primates > Hominidae > Homo > Homo sapiens. The sequence goes on along the minus strand of NC_000020.11, from coordinate 22,949,088 downwards.
GTCAGTGGGTATGGGGTGGAGTCAGGTTTCTAACCCAGATATGGCCAACACTATAATTCCAATCTCTACAAACAGGGGCACCAACACTTCCCATTCTCTGTCTTTTGCAGGCAGAATAGTGGCGATTGAAGAATGGACCAAGAGCTCTGATCACTGAATAAGAAAAGTGTGTGTGTGTGTGCGTGTAGGGATTCTAAGTAATACTATTTCTGACTCAGAATTATTTAGCATCTTGAAAAAGTTTAGGATTTGTTTTAGTAGAGCTTATTTTTCAAGATTCTTCAGCTGTTAACTAACATTAACTATCTAATGCCTACAAAGTACCTTCCTCATCATAATAATTTGTGTGCTTTTTCTAAAAAAAATTGTCTGGCTAGCCAATAAAAAATTGGTTCAAATTTGCATCAAATATATGTAAATCAAAGCAGGAAGGAGTTTGAGCAGTAAGATTGGTAAAGGTCAGAAAGATTAATAAAATCTGCAACTGGTGTTGGTGTGTTGAAATAGGTACCCCTGATGGGGTCGGTGAGAGTGAAAGACTGTAACTTCTCTGCAGGATGATGCATGAAATGTGCTCATCTCCTTTTCCAATTCCAGACACTTTTTCTCAGAAGAGCATTAGGCAAGACACAGAGCCACTTGTGCAGGCTGTCCATTACAGCAGGAAACAACAGAAATATCTACCAATGGAGGGGTGGGCATTCTCACAAATTACTTTACAGATATGCTATGGGTTACTATGACACCCATGATGATGGCTATCTATATTTGGTAATAAGAAAAGGTTTTGAGTTGAAAAATCAATATAAAAGAAAGTTCTGTTTAATGCATACCTTTTAAATAAAATTTTACCTGTAGACATATATGAACATGCAGATGTATAGAGAGAGGATTAGAAACATATTTGTTCATCAAATGAAAATAATGGTTATTTCTGGACCAAGGACTTTCAAATGACTTTCAGTTTCTTCTTTATGAGTTTATTTTTTAAATAATTTTAAAACAAATGCTTACTATATTATCCAAGAAAATAATTTTTTTTAAAGGATAAATATAGTTGATACTTTGTAGCATGAAGTAAACAGGACAGCTATCTCACAAAGTTGAAGTTCTCCAGAGAGACAGAACCAATAGGAGATGCCAGATAGATAGATAGAGATGAGAGGGGATTTGTTAGGGAAATTTGCTCACTTGATTAGAGGCTAAGTCCCACCATAGGCTGTCTGTAAGCTGGATAACGAGGGAAAGTGATAAGGTGGCTCAGTCCAGATTTAAAAGCCTCAAAATCATAGAAGCTGGTGGTATAACTCAGTCAAAAAAGGACAGTCTGAAAATTCAGGGGGCCACTGGTGACAGTCTTGGAGTGCAAAGGTCATAGAATCTGGAGTTCTGGTGTCCAAGGGCAGGAGAAGGAGGAGGTCCCAGCTCCAGGAGGAAGAGAGAGGGGGTAAGAGAGGGAGCGAGCAAATTCAACTTTCCTCTGCCTTTATGTTCTATTTGGGCCAGCTGATTGGATGGTGCCTCCCCAACCCCACATTGAGGGTGGATCTCTCCAACCTAGTCCAGAAACTCATATGCCAATATCCTGTGAAAGCATCCTCACAGATACACCTGGAAATAATGCTTGGCTAGCTATCTAGGCATTCCTTAATCCAGGTGATGACTAAAAGTAATAATCACAGTGCATATTGATAAAAGATTTGGATTTACTAGACCTTTAAAGATCTTTGAAAATATGCAGCTGCTTTGAACTGCCTGTGTTGCCCCCAAATCTATATGTTGATTCCTAATCCCCAGTGTGATATTTTGAGGTGGGGTCTTTGGGAGGTAATTTTGTTTAGATGAGGTCATGAAGGTGGTGCTCCTAGGATGAGATTATGTCCTTATAAAAGATGAAGATATCAGAGTGTGCTATCTCTTTGCCATAGAGGACACAGCAAGAAGGCAGCTGTTTGCAAACCAGAAAGTGAGCCCTCACCAAGAATTCCACCAAGTCAGCTCCTTAGTTACAGACTTTCTGCCTCCATAAGCATAAGAAACAAATGCTGTTTAAGCCCCCCAGCTTATGGCATTTTGTTCTGGCATCCCAAACTGTCTAAGATAGCAACTCAGGTGTCCTCTACAATTCTAAGCTCCTGCTTAGATTGAGACACTATTTGGCTTGGGGTCTTTTCTGGGTCGGAGGTAGCAGGGAGCCCTGCAGATTCTTCACCCAGGATCTCTGCAGTCAGTGTTGCTTTTCCTCTTGGCAAGAGAGAAGAGTTCAGAAATATTTTAAAGGAGAGAGATGCATTCCTTTCTTCAGCCTGACCCTGACTCATAAATTGTGTGGCTCTAGCCTCCACTCCCTCTTGGAAGAGAACCTAAGTTAAAAATGTAATAAAATAATTGGATTCTTTGTTCTGGATTTAAAAAAAAAACGTCACCAGGATCCAGCCAGCCTCTGTGACTCCAGTTTTATAACCAAGCTTGAGTGGTTTTCCTATCTCAGGAAAAGTTTGAGACACCGAAATGCTAATTTTTAATTTTCAATAAGTGCATCTGAGAAACATGGTCTGAATTGGAAAATGTCTTCTTTGAAGAATGCTATTTCCTTTCATCATACATATGTATATGAACTCTAGATTCTAAAATAATCTTTCACAGTTGCTTTTTTTATTATCAACTAAATGTGAGCAAATTATTAGATTTCTACCCTCTGCTTAAACCAACAAAAATATCTTTCTCCGCTCAGTGATTGCATGTGGGCATTCGCTCTCTGGGGCCAGCTGGAGGAAACACAGACCCATGTGCTGCGCTCAGCCTTCTCTCTTGGGGAGGAGGTAGGTAGAATGTAATTCAGAATGAAAACTGGAAGGAAGTATTCTCCAAGATATAAATGACATGAGCTTCTTCCTTAATGTACTCAAACTTTACATAGAAAAGTTTCCTTATAAATTAAGTCTGCACCACTTCTCCCCAAAGAACATTGTCGCTGTGGGGGCTCCTTCTCTATGGCAAGGTTTCATCTAATTTCAGAGGGTCATGAACTTGGATGAGGAGAAAAACCTACACCTCTTCTTTCACTTGCCTTAGAAACTTAGCATGTGCTTTGGTTATGAATGTGACAGCAAGCTACGGTAGTATTAGTAAAACCTGTGTTTTATCACCCATAAAGATTATGGGTATCTTCATATCTCAGATAACTGTTTTCATGGATATCTGAAATCATCCTGTACACAACTCGATACCTTAAAATTATGGTCAGTATTAGATCCACTGCTAGCTCTTTGTTAAAGAAGATCATTATTATCATATAACAGTGTTTTTATGTTTTGATAAGTGCATTTTTACATAATTGGTTTCCTTTGTGATTCTGTGTTTTGAATGTTTATAAGTATCATTCTGAGAAGGGGTCTGTAGGTTATCCACACTGCCAAAGCATCATTGGCACAATGAAGACCAAGCGGCTGACCTAGAGACCAACCCAGGCTCCAGGAAATCTTGCGGCACTGGGCAGGTCCCCACTTCCCGAGGAAAGACTCCTTCTTGGAGAGAGAAGTAAGTGCAGAGTAGGTACACACTAGATACTTGGTGAGGAAGGAACAGCCCTGTGCCCACTGCTGTCCATAACATCCCTCCTAATGAACGCCCCCTAAGCTTTTTTTTAATTTTCCAAAGATGATGTAGTGTTCATCGTGCACGTTTTCATGAAGAGCAGAGTGGTTAAGAACATGGCATTTGCCATCTGACAACTGGTTTTTGGATCAGGATGCTGTCAAATTCCAGCTGCATGGTGGAGGCCAATCGGTTTACCAGCCAGTGCCCAGTGCCCCTTCTCCAAGTGCAATGCCATCACCCACCTCATGGCATGAGAGTGAGGATTTGAAGAACTGATATGAATAAAACCCCTCCCACAGCGTCTCCCACACAGTGGCCGGTGACACTCACATCCGAAGTCCTGTGTAAAACCCCTCCCACAGTGTCTCCCACACGGTGGCAGGTGACACACACATCTGGAGTCCCGTGTAAAAACCCTCCCACAGTGTCTCCCACATGGTGGCAGGGATACACACATCCAGAGTCCTTGTGCAGGTGCAGCCTCAGGGCTGGAGAGAACTTTAGAGGCCCTTGGAGGTCTCCTCCTTCCAGAGGTTGCTCTATGAAGACCACTTGTTTCAGGAGGCCAATTTCTTTCATCTCTTCCTTGCTCCTTTCCAACTTCACCACTGGTCTCTCCACTCAATGGCTTAAGAAAAGAAGATTTGGGGTTGGAGTGTGTAGTGCACATCAATTTGAAGTGCTTCCCAAGCACCTAGTTTCCTATCTCCCACCCAACAGAATCCTTATTTCCTTCAGCCAAGCAGGAATAAATTGTAAGTGAGGTTGGTCACTTTGGGATCCATCTGGCTTAAGCCAATGATAGGTGTAAGAATGGCCATGTGACCTTGTCTGAAGCAAGGCAAGTGATTACTCTTCTAGAGGTCCTAGAAGGAAGATTTTCTCTCCTCTAGTCAGGGTGGTAAAAAGAGATTAGGGCTGGGGCAGCTGCAGCCATTTTATTACTATGAGGCGAAGCCTTACGAAGCCATGGAGAACAGAGCCCAGCGCTAAAGAAAACAAGCCCCTTGGTCACATCCTAAGAGCTCCTAGATTAGGCCCTGACTGGAGCTACTTACACAAGTCAGTTTGAGTTGGTTCCCTGATGCCTTAACTGAAGTATCCGATCTAATTACAACACGGTGTGATGAGAAAAATGATGTCTAAGGACTGTAACTCAAACAGGGGACTTCAGGGCACTATTCACTGAGCTGGGATGTCTGACTCCTGGCTTACTGCTTTTTTGGAACCGACTTGTGTATCTAAGCTCAGATAAGCCATCCCTTTCCTTTCATATTTCACAATTTCATGACATCTTCCTGGAGCTGTTGATAAATCACTTGATTGTTTCAGCATGGTCTGAAATATAAGAGTTTCCTTTTTCCTCTGTGCATCTTAAAAAATTTTTCTTAAACAATTTATTGGACACGAAAAATGATAAAGAATGATTTACAGGTTGCCAGACAGGTGTTTTGTTCCAGTTCTATATTTTAAAAAAGAACATGATAAATAGTTGATTTATGCAACACTGATGTATGAAGTACATGTAGCCTTAAAAATTAAGGAAGATGGAAGTATCTCTTTTTTTGAAGCTATTTCCACCTGGATTCTCTGGAGAAAGCTGTTTAAATTTGGTTCCCAAAGCATAGGGAACCCACCAAGATATCAGAGTCTTCTTTGGGTATAAGAGGTTGTTAGATCTCAGGCTTGGGTTAGTTTTATATGAAAACAAGCTGCATAAAATGTTATTTGAAAGAGGAGTTTCTCTGCCAAAAGATGAAACAAACAAGCACCAATGCCTAAAGAACTTAATACAAATAAGAACATTTAGAAATTCTCAGGAAAGCATTTATTAAGTAACAGATCTTCCCTTATGGTTATTTTATTTTAGAGATTTAAATATGTCTTTAATATAACATCTGTTGGCATTGAGTCATAAACTGCAATTGATTAGACATACAAAGAACTCTGGAAATTCCCAAAATTTCTGGAAATGGTTTTTATGGGTAAAAATGCTTTTTTAAATTTTGAAATAATCTTGGACTTACAGAAAATTTGCAAGAATAATATGAGAACTTCCTGTGTACCCTTCACCCCAGTTCTCCAAAAGTTAACACTTATCCACATTCGCATTATCATTCTCCTTCTCTATAGATTTGTTTTCACTCCTTTGGGGTAGGTTGCAGACATGGTGTCTACTTTTTTTCTTTTTATTCTTAAATATTTGAGAGCATATTTTGTCAAATAAGAACATTCCCTCCTTATCCCAGTATAATGATCAAAATCAGGAAATTAACATTGATCCAGCATTATTTCTAAACTATAGATCTAATTTAGATTTTGCCCATGGACCTAGTAAGACCATTTACAGCAAAAGAAAAAGAAAAAAAAGAATGGTTCGTAAACCTTAGTATTTTTTAATCAGAAATAGTTCCTTAATTTTTCTTTCATTTTTGGTACAGGTGAGCTATGTTGTAGAATGGCCTTGAATTTGGATTTGTCTGATGTTTCCTTGTGTTTAGACTCAAGCTATGCATTATGGGCTCACGTGCAACTGAGGTTACATTGTGTTCCCAGGGCATTGCATCATGGAGCCATACAAGTAATTTGTCCCATTACTGGTGAGGTTAATTCTGATCACTTTGTTTATGCAGTGTCTGCCAAGTGTCCTCTATTTTCTTTCTGTGATTAATCAATATCTTGTAGACAGTCACCTGAAGACACTACCATGATAATTACTTACTAGGGTTAGCTTTATTTCCACTAGAATGTAAACTTCTTGAGGCAAGAAGCAATGGTTGTTTTTTTATCATTTTGGATCAAAAATACCTAGAACAATGCCTGCCACATGGTGGTTGCTCAGAAAGTATTTGTGGGATGAATGAAAAAGAAGAGAGAGGGCCAGGTGCAGTGGCTCACGCCTGCAATCCCGGCACTTTGGGAGGCCCAGGCGGGCGGATCATGAGGTCAGAAGATCGAGACCATCCTGGCTAACACAGCAAAACCTCGTCTCTACTAAAAATACAAAAAATTAGCCGGGCATGGTGGCAGGTGCCTGTGGTCCCAGCTAGTCGTGAGGCTGAGGCAGGAGAATGGCATGAACCAGGGAGGTGGAGCTTGCAGTGAGCCGAGATCGTGCCACTGCACTCCAGCCTGGGTGACAGAGCAAGACTCTGTCTCACACACACACACGCACAAAAAAAAAAAAAAAAAAAAAAAAAAAGAAGAAGAAGAGAGAGGGAAATATTTATATTGTAATGATAAAATACTATAAAATACTAGGTTTTAAACTGATAAAATACTATGGTGTTATTCAAGATCTATTGGGTTTTTATTTCTTCTAAATTATTTCTAAAATGTCTTGCCCCTCTCACTCTAGTTCCTCTCTTTAGACAGCTCCTACCTCTCCCATATTTTTAAACACAACCTTCAAGTGAATGCCTCCTGCTTCTGTGTCTCTAGCTCAGGACACTCCAGGCTCCAAATGCCTACATCCCACAGCCTTACAGGCTTTCCTTCTGGCTGTCCCATATGCCCTTCAGGTTCTCCTTGGCCTATCCCAATCTTCATTACCTACTTTTTAAACCTACTTCTCATTCTGAGCCTTTTACCTGAGTTATTATCACGGTTATTCTCTCATGGCCAAGTACACAGCAGTAAGTCATTTAGATTCTCCTCCCTTTTCATCAGGCTGTAGGTTGCCAGGGTTATCTTGTGCCCTGGGTGTAGAAACAAAGGAAGCTGTCATCACCCCAAGGCTTGAAGAGGCAAAGGGAGGTGCCACAGAGAGGTGCCAGCCTATCATTGACACCCAGGACTGGACACACAGTGTCACAATCGCCTGCCTCTGTGCGGGGTGTTTCCGTAGCTGTATGCCCCTTTGTGATTGGTTTTCCGGGCAAATTCTTACATTTCCATTCTCAGTTTAGCAGTCACTCTCTGAGGAAGGCTTCCTTGACATCCTTTGCTTTGAGTCTCATGTCCTTCGAACAGACCTTAGATAAACATTTGTTGTTGAATTTACACCATATTATATTTCAGATGTGTTTGTGACAGGAGACCCTCAATTCCTGCTGCCCCCTGCTTTTCATGCCCTTGAGTAATTTCCCCCTTTCGAGTGTGGGCCCCTGTGACTTGATTCTGACCAAAAACCACAACAATGGTGATGGGCCATCCCTTCTGTGAGGAGATTACAAATGCCTGGGACTTCTCTCTGGCTCACAGACTCTCCCTATTGTACTGGAAGCCCATGCGAAAAGGAAATGAGGGGGGCCTGCAGCCCACGGCCAGCAGGAACTGAGGCCCTCAGTCCAGCCCTCAAGGAACTGAATTCTCCCAGCAACCCCTGAGCTTGGCAGTAGATACCTCCCTGGATGAACCTTCAGATGAAGCCCCAACCCTGGCTGAAGATACCTGGATTGAAACCTGGGAGAGAAGCACAAGGACCAGTTGTGCACAAGACCCAGATCTGCCATGGCTTGATTTCTGATCTACAGAAACTGTAAGGTGATAAATGTGTGTAGCTTAAAGGCACTGCATTTGTGGTAACTTGTTCTAGAAATATAGATAACTCATCCAATTATTTTTCTCCATTAATAAGTGCATTTACTTTGCACAAGTGACTGGCATTCTGCTTAATTCATTTAGTCTTCGTGGCCCTCCATAGCTGGTAGAGAGTATCATTCCCACAACATACATTTTTAAAAACCGTGAGGATTAGAAGACTAAGTTATATTCTGAGGCCAAACAGTTAGCAAGCACCAGAGACAAGGTTCAGGCTGCGAGGATCTGCCTTTGGGCCACTCTCTGGCCCTGCCTGTGTGCCCTTCTTACTCCGCTGACCTGTCTGCCTCCATGACTTGTTCTTTCCTCCTAGGCTGTGGGATCTCTGAGACAAAGCTTGGGCATACATCACTTATCTTTTGTACCAGTCACTCTCTCTGGCACACAGTAGGTCCTCAATGGATGTTTTCTGAATGGATGTGGTTGTGTTCCATAAAACCCTTTTTCTCAGTACCCATGATTGGAAGGCAGTCAGCTGAGTGTATCTTACATGTAAGCAGGGCGTCTTCCTGTTTTTGGAGGACAGAACCCTTTTATCTGGAAGAGGGCTCGGTACTTGTGGCTGTTTGCTTTTTCTTGTTGATCCAGGACATGGATATAAATGGAAGGCCAGCTAGGTCTCATTTTGAGGAAGTATATCACTCTGTAAGGAGAATTCTGAGCCAGCACCAAGGCTTGTTGAGATCAAGAGCCCAGATCAGTTGGTGATGTCTTCTGTGGGGCTAGAGAGCAGTGCAGGACACCACACACACCTGTGCTTCTCACTGTAGGAGGTGTGCATATGTTCTCATCTTTCCTGCTTAACACACAGAGAAGCAGAGGCAATACAACACTGGCATCCTTCACTTCAACCGAAGTTAAATTAAAGACCTCTGAGCTTGCTTTGTGCAGAGTCCTTGAGAGAGGGATTTTGGCATAGAGTCAGGGGTAAGGAATTGGAAAGAAGCTAAAACTTGTTTTGGCTTTTGTGGTGCCAAAATCTGCCTAGGAGCAATAAGCAAAGAGTTCTTTATTAAAAAGCAAATACTCAATTTAATACTCTTATGCCTATAATACCATGTTTTCATAATATCTTTAAATGACCATGGTATCTTAACTGTAAATATCTTTCCAACTTTAGTTCTCAGATCAAGCACTTTATTTTGCCACAAAATATCAGATACACCAAGAGGCTGCCATTGTATTTAGAGAGATGATTACATGCCTGCAACTTTTTCAGTTATTTCAACTTGTCTCAATTTTTCTTCCCTGAAATAAGTTAAAAGCATATTTCTAGCTAATGGAAGCACATCCATCACCACAATTGTTTCTGGAGGTGGGTAGAAGAGTTGAGAAGAAAGTGGAGTGCTTGTATTTATAAATACCTTCAGATCTAACATGTGTTCCAAGTATATTACATTGCATTCCAAGTACATTGCATTTTGATGTGGAAAACGTCCCTTCTCTTGTTGCTGCTGCTTCAGTAATATCAGTACACTTAAAAAATTTGTGTAGGTCACATCGACAAGGCTTCAAATAGTCTGAGACATTTTATTACTTTAACAGTGGATTCATTCATTCGTATGCAGGGCCACACCTTAAGGTCAGTAGAAAACAGATCTTTCTCTGTGAATAACAATTTATTCTCTTGTAAATGCCTTTGGCTAACATAAAAGGTCAACTGGAAGATTTTTTTTATTGCCCAAATCATAATCTCCTTTGCTCATAGGGCCCCTCAGACTGTATATCTGGAGAACACCAAGGAAGGTAGAGATCTTGTCATTTTTTCCACAGATAGAGGGAGGTATAGAAGGAGTGTATGTAGCAGGAATGATTGGTACCCCCTGCGTCCTTCCAAACTCATCACTTCACATTGTGCAGTCCAGATGCTAAGGATGCCAACTGTAGGTATTCACGACTCTTGGTCTGAAGGTCATCTCTAGTTACCTAAGCCTGCTTTCCCATGGGAAGGGCCAGAAATGCTGGGAGTTAATATCCTTCAGGAGAAGGATTCCCTCAGTCAATGACTGAGAGAAGCTGGTGGATAAATGCCATCGCTTCCCCGAACCCAGGATCGGACAACTCTGAGGAGTATTCTATCTACTTTCCCAGATGGCTCCAGGGGATGGAGCTGCAGTTGCCTGTAGCAGTAACTTGCTCAATAATGTGCCATTTTGCTGGCTGCTTCTCCTTCTCTAATTCACTTACCTGTTTCCCTGTGGGTATTTCCTAGAGTCACCTCCCAAATGAACTGCTTACTCTTTAGTCCTTGTCTCAGAGTTAATTTTAAGCCCATTTAAAGACAGTAAGTAAGTTTTTTAGTTTGAGTTAATGCTCCAGTGTCTTACCAAGGCAGAGAAACAAGCAGGCAGAGAGAGAGACCCACACACACATTTCATTTTGATTCTCATAGTAAATGTCTGAGGAGATGCAGAAGGTGGAGAGGTATGAGGCATTTACTAAGCCAAGGGCAAAACCAGTTACTCTAAGCAGTCTGAAGGGGATGTGCCTGGACTTCTGGGTGATCTAAAAAAATTGACCTTTTACAAAAGTTTTATGTAAGAGCAGTGGGAGAGATAAAACCTGTGAAAGAGCTGCCTTCCAAAAGAAAGAAAAATGTAAATAAAAAAATACAGACCCACTTTAACACTGAGCCAGATTTCTGTTTATGTCCTTTGAGATATTGCTAAATTCAAGAAGTTTTTGTGAGAAACAGAAATCAATGGAAATGTTAAAGTACCCAGGAATATAAGGAAGCACTGGGTATGATGAGATCCCTGCTTAGCCCAACAACAACAAAAATCTTAAGATCTGAAGTGAAATGTCTCTATCAACTATGTATCTGAACCAGACTGTAGAATTTTGTCAGAAAACTCCTACAAATTGGTCTTGATAAAAATCAGTGTTCTTATAACTCTTGATTGGTTTTATTCATTTGAGGCATAAGTAAGATAGTGTTCCATTCAGATTAGAATAAGTCTGCTGTTATATTTGGAAAGAGTTTCTTTTACTTGGAACTTTATGTAGACCTCAGTAAATCTGAGAAGAGTCATTGAGAAAGTTATGCAATGTAATTTCACACATTTCTGAAAGAATTATCTCAGAGTGACATTGGCAAGATGGTAGACTAGGAAGCCTCATGCCCTCATTTTCCCATGGAAACAACAAATAATAATAATGTACCTAGCAAAATACTTTTGTGAGAACTCTAGAAACCAGTTAAGCAGCTGCAGCAACCAAGCAAACACCTAACCAATGAAAAATCACCCTCATAATGGTAGGAAATTTTGTGACATTTTGCTCAGCTGCTCCCCCACCTGCTCCCCCACAGGGTGTCATCAGAACATGCAATTCCCAGCTCCTTCCTTGAGATGTAAGGAAAGAAATGAAACTTTCTCAAAACATTCTGGCTTGTTTAAGGACTGTTTGATGGACTGGTTTTTGGCTCTTGTCTCAAGGCATTGATGGGAACTGTGGCATAATTTGGATATTAGGTTGGAGGCTGTTGGAAGCAGTAGAAGGTGCTATATGGCATGAGAGAGCTCAAGGGGAACTTCAGGCCCATAGGCACTTGAGTGCAAGAGATGCAGATCAACACAGCACCTAAGGATCCAAGAAGAAGCAGGAGTGAGAATATTTAGGAAATTGACTTTAAAGCAGACATACACACACAAACACACACACACACACACACACACACACACACACATATGTATATATATCAGAGCACTGAAACAAAAGCACACAAAAAAGAATATGCATCCCAAGCAAAAGTTGGAGAGGCCCCTTAGCATTCATACCAGGCTGGTTAGTGAAGGTCTTTCCCTGCACAGAGCAAGTCCACAAAGACTGGCAGTGGTGGCTGTTTTTCAAATGCCCAATTTCCAACAAATGTTTACAAGGCATACAAAAAGAGAGAAAACACAGCCAATTGAAAGGAACAAAGCAAATCTCCAGAGACTGATCCTAAAGAAACATGAGCCTCTGGCCTACTTTAAAAAGATTTTCGAACAACCATCTTAAATATGTGCAATGAGCTGAAGTAGAACACAGAAGATTAAGCAAAATCAGGAAAACGATATATAAACAGAATTCAAAAAGGTAGAAATTAAAAAAAAACAGTAATTCTGGAGCTGATAGATACAATAACTGAATTGGAAAATCTGCTAGAAGAGTTTGACAGCAGACAAACAGGCAGAAGTAATAAGTGAACTTGAAAACAGGTCATTTGAAATTATTAAGTTGGGGAAGCAAAAAGAAAAAATAATAAAGAAAAGTAAACAGGGGCTAAGGGATTTGTGGAACACCATCAAGCCGACCAATATATGCATTTTGGAGATCAAGGAAGGAGAAGAAGGAAAGGGGCAGAAATTTTGTTTGAAGAAATAATGGCTGAAAAATTCCCAAATTCAAGTACATAAATTGATACACAAATATAAGAAGCTCAATGAACTTTTTTAGACAAATCCAAAGAGATCCACCCTGAAACACGTTATAATCAAATAGCAGAAAGTCAAAGACAAAGAATTTTCAAAGCAGCAGGAGAAAAGTGGCTCATTATATAAAAGGGAGCCCCTAAAAGATTACGAGATAATTTCTTACCAGAAACTTTGCAGGTCGGAAGGCATTGAGATGATATATTTAAAGTGTTGAAAGGAGGAAAATGCCAACCAAGAAAGGAACAAAGTAAATAATATATCTGGCAACATCATTCCTTAAAATAAGGGAGAAATTAAGACATTCCCACATAAACAAAAACTGGAGGATTTAATTACTACTAGGCCACCCTACAAGATTTTTTAAGGGAAATCCTTCAAATTGTAACAAAATGATGCCAGATCATAACTAAAAGTTATAGGAACATTTGAAGATCTCGGGTAAAGGTATAATAAATATATAAACACATAGAAAAACCTATATTATTATAATTTTGGTTTGTAACTCTGCTTTTAATTATTTTATATGATTTAAAAGACAAAATCATAAAAATAAGTATAAATCTATGTTAATGGGTACACAATATATAACAATGTAATTTGTAACATCAATAACATGAAGCGGGGACAGAACTGTAACGGAGTAGAATTTTTATATGTGATTGTAGTTAAGTTCTTGTCAGTTTAAAATAGGTGGTTACAACTTAAGATGTTTTATGTAATCCCCATGGTAACCAAAAGTTATAGATTGACAGAACGGATTATAAAAGAGGATATCCAAATATATGTTTTTAATAAGCAATTTACTTTACATCTAAGGACATATATATGTTGAAAGTAAAAAAAATAGAAAAAAAAATTCCATGAACATATTAACCAGAAGAGAGCTGGGGTGGTTATACTGATAGCAGATAAAACAGACTTTAAGTCAAAAACTATTGCAAGAGACAAAGGAAATTATATAATGATAATAGGGTCAATTCTCCAAGAAGATATAACAATTAGAAGTGTGCCTGTGTGTGTGTGCATGCGCATGAGTGCATGTGTGTATGCAGCAAATATCAGAAGTCCTAAATATACGAAGCAAACGCTGACAGAATTGGAGGTAGAAATAGATAGCTCAATGATAATGGTAGGAGGCTTCAATACTCCTACTTTCAATAATGGAAAAAGTCCACCAGACAGAAGATCAGTAAGGAAATAGAGGACTCGAACAACATATACAGCAATGGTACCTAACAGAGATAGGTATCACAGTCCACCTAATGACAGCAGAAGACACATTTTTTCAAATGCATGTGGAATATTCTATTCTCCAGGATAGACCATATGTTAGGTCACAAAACAATACAAATAAATTGAAAAATAATGAAATCATGCAATGTATCTTTTCTGATTGCATTGAAACTAAGAAAAAGAAAGCAAAAAATCATTAATTTGTGGAAATCAAACAATACAATCTTAAATAACCAATGAGTCAAAGAAGAAGTAACAACAGAAAGTAGGAAATATCTTGAGGCAAATAAAAATAAAAGCGCAATAGAACAAAATTTATGGGATGTAGCAAAAGCAGTGCCGAGGAGGAAGATTTATCGCAGTTAATTCCCATATATAAAAAATAAGATCTCAAATTAATAATCTAACTTTATGCCTTAAAGTACTAGAAAAAGAAAGCAAAACTAAATCCAAAGCTAGTGGAAGAAAAAAATAGATTATAAGAGATAAACAAAGTAGAGAATAAAAAAGCAATTCAGAAAAATTGCTTCTTTGTAAAGATTGATTCCTTGTAAAGATCAACAAAAAGGACATAGCTTTGGTTATATTGTTTAAGAAAAAAAAACAGGACTCAAACAATTGAAATCAGAAATAAAATAGGGGAAAGTCCAACTAATTTTACAGAAATCTTAGAAAATTATAAGAGAATGTGATGAACAATTGTGTATCACTTAATTGGATAATCTACTTAAAATTATAAATTCCTAGAAACAACTTAACGATGGCTGAATAAAGCAAAAACAGAAAATCTGAACAGATATATAAACAGTAAAGAGATTGAATCAGAAATCAAAAACCTCTACACAAAGAAAAGTTCATGACCAGATGGTTTCACTAGTGAATCCTGACAAACATTTAAAGAAGAACAAACACCAAAGTGCCTCAAACTCCTCCAAAAAATTGAAGAGGAGAAAACACTTCCAACCTCATTTTATAAGGCCAGCATTACCCTGATACCAAAGCTAAACAAAGATACAAGCAGAAAAGGAAAGTACACATCAGTATCCCTTATCCATAGTGATGCAAAAATCCTCAACAAAATACCAGAAAACCAAATTCAACAACCCATTCAAAAGACTGTACACCATGAGCAAGTGGAATTTACTCCTATGTGCAAGGATGGTTCAATATATGAAAATTAACTGAGGTAATACACCACATTAACAGAACGAAGGGAAAAAACACACAATTAGCCGGGCGCAGTGGCTCATGCCTGTAATCCAAACACTTTGGGAGGCTGAGGTGGGCGGATCACGAGGTCAAGAGTTTGAGACCAGCCTGGCCAATATGGTGAAACCCCATCTCTACTAAAAATACAAAAATTAGTCAGGCATGGTGGCGCCCGCCTGTAGTCCCAACTACTCAGGAGGCTGAGGCAGAAGAATCGCTTGAACCCGGGAGGCAGAGGTTGCAGTTAGCCGAGATAGCGCCACTGCACTCCAGCCTGGGCAACAGAGCGATACTCTGTCTCAAAACAAACAAACAAACAAACAAACAACCACATTATTATCTTACTTGATGCAGAAAAAGCATTTGACAAAATTCAACATTTTTTCATGATTAAATAACTCAACAAACTAGAAATAGAAACTACTTGAACATAATTAAGGCCATATATGAAAAGCCCACAGCTAAAATAATACTCAGCAATGAAAGTCTGAAGTTTTTTTTCTCCAAGATAAGAAACAGGACAAGGATGGCAGGATGGAGGGGTACTGAGTGGGTGCTGAGCCTCCCTTTTGGTTTAGTGGAAGATATCATTTGTTGATTTTAGAGTCCAGGTTGGAAACCAGCTCCCCACTGGGCAGTCACACGGATACATGGCTATGTTGTGTTGCAGCATCCAAACCCTCCTGGCTCTTCTGAGGGTAGCTCAGTCACTGCTTTTCCATCTTTCTTCTGAATTCCAAGAACACTTAACGGAAACCTAGTTTATGTCTTATTATTTGCTGCATTTTATTTTTCCTATAAGTTCTTTACTAGATTTTAAGCTGCCTTACAGCAAGATTTGTATCTTGTACTTGTTTTATATTCCTCCCCACTACCATGTCTAGCTCAGTGCTGGTCACCCAGGAAGAGCTAACAGATTTCTTTTGCCTGCCAAGCAAGCCTCATGTTTCTGAAAAGAAATGATCTACTGAGCCTAAAACATTGGGCCCTGAAAAAAATAAATTAATGACATCTTTGAAATGGAATAAAAAATAGAATTCCAAAAATAAGGGAAAGAAACAAAATGAGACAGTAAGAAATCAGAGTGAGTAGGAAGTGTAAAAAAGTTGGAAGATATAGAACCTCAAATATTTTTAGAGGAAATAAATTTGAATGGCTTTAAAAACACCCTATTAAAATGTATATAGATACTCAGAGTATACATAAAAAGTAAAATCTAATGCTTCACTGTAAGAAAAAAGCTTTGCTATTTATAATATAAATTAAAAGTAATAAAAAGAATGACAGGTAAAATGTATTCAGTGCATACTATACACTAGGCATTTTCCCACACACTTTCACATACACTGTCTCAACAGGGACACAGTCAGATGGAAAAGTGGCCACAGTAATACCCTGGAGCTGGGGAATTGGATAATTAGATTCCAGAGGCCTCACTGTTAACCACTATATTATTTTTAGATAGAAATAAGTTTAGAAATTGAACAAAGAAATTTAAAGGATGGACAAAGAAAATACCACAAAAAGAAAGCAGCAACATCAATATTGATATCACATGAGGTATCATTTAAAGTCAAAGGTAAAATCTACCGAGAGAATGAAAAGCTCTTGAATGTTTATGTATAAGTGCATGTATAAATGTCAGTGACGCATCTGCAGCAATGACTGTTAGAAATGTAAGAACCTCATAAAAACAAGATAGAGGCACAGTGTTTAACAAACTCCTTGCAGGAGTGGCCAAACATATTGCTAAATATAAATAAAAATGCAGATCACTTAAAAACTGCATTAGCATACTTTATTTAAGAGATACTTTTAGCATTTTTGCTGATGAGAGAATACATTTTGCAAATGCTCATGAAACATTGGCAAAAATTGATCATGTTTTAGAGCCAAAGGAAATTTCAAGAAAGCCTCAAAGAGTGGTATTCTCTAATCACAGTGCAATTAAACTAGTGTAATAGTTAACTTTATGTGTCAACTGAACTGGGCCATGGGGTTTTATTTCTGGGTATATCTGAGAGGGAGTTTCTAGATGAGACTCACATTTGAATTGATAGACTGAGTAGAGAAGATTGCCCTACCCAATAAGGGTGTGCATCTTCCAGTCCAACCACAGAGAACCCAAATAGAACAAAAAGGCCGGGGAAGGAGTTTGTTCTGTCTGCCTGGCTGCTTGCGCTGGGATACTGGCTTCCTCCGGCTCTTGGTCTGGGACTGATGCCATCAGCTCTCCTGGTTCTGGCCTTTGGACTCAGACTGGAACTTGCAACCTGAACTCTCTTTGTTCTCAGGCCGATTGGTTCTGTTTCTCTGGAGAACCTTGACTAATACAATTAGAAAATAAAAGTAAAATTTCCCGTGTCCCCTTCCTCTATCACCAATATAACCACCCCAAGTTAAAAATAATAACTTAAAAAAAAACCTTAGGTTAAGCTAGACATGACAACTAAAATTATGGCTTTGTTAGAAGTTAAAGACAATGAGAACACTATATGTTGGTCCAAAATTATAAAGAAAACCCATAGCATTCAATATTTTTGTTAATGAGGAGAAATGTTTAAAAATATATTAACCAAAAGTTGCTTAAGAATGAAGAATTGTACAACAAAATGAACCAAAGGAAGTTAGAGGAAAGAATTTATAAACACCAAGTAGTCATTACCTAACTTAAAATCACCAAAAATACCCACATAAGCAAACAGTAGAACTGATAAATGAATCCAAATCCTCTTTCCAGGAAAGACCAATAAATAAATCAGCCTCTTACACATCTCTTTAGGAAAAATATGGACAGCACAACAGACAACACCACAAAGCAGAAAATAAATGTGAGGGTAGATATAAAGTATTCTTTAAAAGAATATTTTATATAAATGTCATCCGGAACGTTTTAAAATTCACAAGAATTTAATGCTTCTTTAGGAAATCATAAATTACCAAAATTTTACCCAACAAGAAGCTAAAAAGTACACAGATCAATCACTGTAGCAAAGGCTGAAAAGTGTCCAAATCTATTTCTTCAAAAGGTTCCATGTCTAGATCGTTTTATAGAAAAGTTTTATCTGGGAATAGATTATTTCTTTACATGATAAACTGCTCTGGAACTATTCATTTTATGAGCATATGAACTAACAGTGAAACCTGAACAAACTAATTCCCCCCAAAACAGAAAACTAAAAGCTAGTTTCACATATGAATACAAAGGCAAAAACAATAAATAGAATACTAGTACATCAAAACTAGCATTATATGAAAAGAATCATATTTTAATCAAATAGAGTTTCTTTCAGGAAAAAGAGGCAGGGTCAATGTTTAACTTCTGTTTAACCTACCGCAATTCATCAAGAGGATAAAGAGGAAATTTTTTTAAAGAATTTTGAGAAATCATATAATACATTCAATATTTATTTCTCATAATAATACATACCAGAAAGCAGAAAGGAAAGCCCTCAACATGATAAAGGATATTTATCGTAAATTACAGTGACACCATGTTCAACAGAACAGCAGTGAGACTGTTCCTAGCACAGACAGCGCAACAGCCAGGCTCACCGCAAGTCCACGCTTTTTTTTTTTTTTTGAGATGGAGTCTCGCTCTGTCATCCAGGCTGTAGTGCAGTGGCGCAATCTCGGCTCACTGCAAACTCCGCCTCCCGGGTTCACGCCATTCTCCTGCCTCACCCTCCCAAGTAGCTGGGACTACAGGCGCCCGCCACCAGGCCCGGCTAATTTTTTTGTATTTTTAGTAGAGACGGGGTTTCACTGTGTTAGCCAGGATGGTCTCGATCTCCTGGCCTCGTGTTCTGCCCCCCTTAGCCTTGTTCAACATGCTTATGCCTTATTTGAGATAAGAGAAATACTTTGTTTTCCCGGGAATACACTTGAGGAAATCTGGAGGAAAATGAAATTTATCACTGTATATTTTATAGACGAGCTATTTGTTAATAGTAGTGTTTATATTGTGATTATTTAAGCTTTTATTATTGTTTGATTACATTCTGTCGGTGGTCTTTTTCATGGGGCAGGTTTCCTTGTTCATCTTACTAGGATGCAAACTTGTACATAATATTTCATCTCCTTGAGGACTCGGGAGTGTGAAGGGCCCTTGTGGGTTTCTGCATAGATTTTGAGTAGCTTTGGGTCTCAAACCAGAATAGTAAATGCATTCCCTATTAATGTCTGGAAGGCTGTTTCTGAAGAAATAGGGTATTAGAAGATTTCACAACTTCTTCAGGGAGCACAGCCTCCTAGTAAACTAAATTTCATCAGAGTTAAGCGAAACAACTTTTTTTAGTTTATAAGCATGCACATTCCTTTACAGTCATTTTTCAGCTGGATTCTGACAAACTAAGTGTAAAACAATCCTATCATCAGTTTCTACACCTGGAAATTCCTTATTTTTCTAGGCTAATATGATTATACTGTTCCTGGAGGTATTTTACACTTAGTTCTCAGCGAAGAATGTCTTGATCTGAAAACCTGGGTCAGAATTTGAAAGCCTCCCTTCATTTTTATAGCAGAAAAAGTTTACAGAGTCATTTTCATGTGAGTTCAGAGAATGCTGCTTTCTAAAATTCTTCAGAAACAAATTTTCGATTCACTGTCTGTGCTTTGTCAACAACAAAAATCAACTTTGTGTCTGATTCTTCGTTATTTCCTGCCTCCATGATAATTAGAAGTATATATGTATGTATGTATGTGTGTACATGTATGTATTTATAAATTTATTTATGCTACTTACTTCCAGAAAAGACTAGAAGCAGCCTAATGGCAATAACAACAAAAGAATGTGGACAATGATACTGTTAAGATAAGTTTTTAAGAAATATTGAAGCCATTATTTTTGGTGGTGGTGATTCGGGGACAGGCAATGATGAAGATAAATTGTACCAAAAATATGAGCCCTCCAGTCAGTTGTACTATTGAACATGAAATGTAATTAAAAATCTCATAAGATCAAATAGAAAGGGAAAAATGGGTTGCCCAGTTTCCTTTATTTAAAAAACCAGTCTACCACTTTGTCAGGAAAGTAAAAGTTTTCCCCAAGCGTTTCATCTCTTAGAAGTCACTTTCCTTTGGATCTTCAAATGAAATAGAATGACATACAAACAGCTGGTCGATAACCATTTTGAAAGTCAAGCTCGATGAAAGACAAGAGCACAGAGTAAATCCCAATTCTGTGGACACGTTTCCAGAGAGACCTAAGATAATGGCACTGGGGTGGAGCTGTCTCCTTATCTGACCTGACATGGCATAAAGCGTGGGGCGCCTGAAGAAGCGGAGCAGTGTGTGTGTTACACAAGCTGTGCAAAACACAGACAGTTTGGGGCTGAACAGTGACAACAGAGGATCAAAGTGTTCTGGGAATTACTAATCACATTTCCCTAAGCAAACACAGTTCCAGAAACACATCCTAGCTCCAATTCCCTGGTGATTCTTTGCCCTTTCCAAAATCATCTTTCACATGTAGACACGTGACAAATATTTATTGAATAGATATCTCACATTATATCAATAGGTCATTCTAAGAATGACCTGTCTTCTCTCATCACTTTCTTTTTTGCATAAACTCTTGCCTGCAAAATAAAAAATTAAAGATGCCCCCTTGAAGCAAGAGAGAAGTACTTAATTATATGACATTTATTTCTTGGGGGTTGCGGTGAAGTGTTCAGGCTTTCTGTTCTTTATGTCTGAATAGTGCCAGGCTATTGCATGTCATATGCATGAGCAGCAATCAACTGAAGTGCCTGCAAAAAGGCTTGCTTCTCCTGAGAAGCACTAACTTAACAGGGTACTGTCACTCATTTTTCCCATGAGGACGCATGGTGATAGAGGCTCAAGTGGGGAATGAAGGGCACTGAAACATCTGACCAGAGACATGCTCTGACTCTCAGAGGACAGCGTTTCAAGTCACTGGCAGTTCATTATTTCCATTTACTGAAGCCTTCCCTTCTTGGTATTTCATTTTTCTGAGCGAGGCTGATAGGAGGCAACTGCTACCTTGGCCTTCTAGGGACTGGTCCCTTTTTTGAATAATCTGCTTCCTATTTAAAAAATTAGTTTTTTAAAAATTGCCTAAAGATTGATCATTTTTTTCTTTGTGCTCATCATTCATTTATTCATTTATTCAGTGACTTTACTGGCATATATTGAATGTTAAGAAGGTTTTATGCATTACAGAGTCCCAGAGAGTAAAATGCAGTCTTGCTCCTCGGTAATACCATGGTAGAGGAAGCATGGACATGAGGAGTGACCAAGTGTGGTGGGAGCACAGAGAGAGAATAATTACTTCCATTGTGGGAAATTACAGACAGGCTCACATAACCTTAGACAAACCAAACTGTGGGACATTCCACAAAATGATTGATGAGTGCTCATCATGAACGTCAAGAGCTTGAGAAAAAAGACTGCAGAAGCATTACAACTTGCAGGGGACTGCAGAAACACAACAATTAGACCTGGCCTTGGATAGCACGGGGGTTAGGAGTGCCATCCCCCTGCATAGTAGAAAATCCAGGTACAACTTTTAACTCCTGCAGATCTTAAGTACTAATAGCCTACTGTTGGCAGGAAGCCTTGCTGACACCATAAACAGTTGATGAACACATTATTTTGTATGTTTCATTTATACTGTATTCTTACAATGAGCTAGAGAAATGAAAATGTTATTAAGAAAATCATAAGGAAGAGAAAATAGTAAATGAATATTTACTATTCATTAAGCAGAAGTGGATCATCATAAAAGTCTTCAACCTCATCGTCTTCACATTGAGTAGGCTGAGGAGGAGGAGGAAGGGGAGAGAGGTTGGACTTGCTATCTCAGGAGTATCCTAGGCAGGAGAAAATCCACTTATAAGTAAACCTATGCAGTTCAAAACCATGTCGTTCTGGAGTCAACTGCACATGCAAAGTGAGATTCTGGATTGGAACACAGAATAGTCCTTTTTTAAAAGGACATTTTTAGAAAGACAAGTGAAATTTAAATTAAGTCTTGGCTTAGTTAATAGTATTGAACCAATGTTGATTTCTTGGTTTTGATCACTGTACTATGATTACATAAGATTTTGGCATTACAGGAAATCTGTGTGAATAGTACAGGTATTCTGTATTATTTTTATACCTTTTCTGTAAGTAAGTCTAAAATGATTTAAAATCATTTAAAAATACAAGTTAGAAAAACTGGCAAACTTCCCAGAGGAGGTATTATTTACATTGACCCTTAAAGAATAGAATTTCAAAGGGAGAAGTGAGGGAAGAAGAGACCAGGAAGAAGCAGGAAAGAACATGCTTTCCAAAGAGGTGAGCTGTGGTTGTCCTGGAAATATGTGGAAGGAGACATTTGAAGTAATAGTGTAAGAAAATGCAGTTTGTATGGTTTGCAGGTGATCGAGAGGTGAAAAGTCATCCCTGAGCAGAGCCATAACGTGACTAACAATATCATTCAGAAACAAAGGCAGAGTGAGAAGAGGATAGATTAAAGAAGGGCAAACTTAGACTCAGTGAGACCAGGTATTTGGCTGCTGAGATAATCAGAGAAGAAAAGTTAATGTATCTCAACCAGGATCATGGTGGGAGGCAAGGCAAGGCAAGGAAGGCTTGAAGCTCAGTCTTTAATGACCTTTAAGAGTAGGTGAGCAAGAGGACTTGCTTAGCACCAGTTCAGTGGCCCATCCTACTCATGGCCTCTGTTTTCTAGTCATTATCTGTGCTTTATTGGTCATAGAAAGAGGCAAGAGCCTTACCAATGGAAGGTGTTGAGTCAGGAGAGGAGTCTAGTGTCCTCTGGACCCTGTCCCTCTTTTTTGGGTAGACAATCTGGAACAAAGGAACCACCAATTTTCTGTTTGCCAAACTTCCCATAAAAGTGTGAATGAATCAGATTCATAAGGAGATGATTTCTCTTATTTTGAAATGTGGGTTTAACATTTTTAGAGGAGAAATGGCTTTATAAAATGTGTTTTGCTCAACTGAAAACATTTGAGGAAAAATAGGAAATTAAGGCACTGCCATGGGCTCTTCAACCTTATCTTCTGGTATGTCAGATTTCAAAAGATAACCATCTTCTTTGTCTAGAGATTTTCAGAGTTCAGAGTTGAATCCAACATTGCCTTTCTAGAGGGCATTAGTGAGCCATCAGAATGTCTAGGGATGAAGGCCCTGGAGGCCACTGCCCCCACCCACTCGACACCTCTAGTGACATTTAAGACTGGAGTGGAGAGCAAGTAGTCCCCTGCAAGCTGTAATGGGTCCGCAGTCTTTCTCTCATGCTCTTGAAGTTCGTGATGAGTACTCATTAGTCAGCCTCACGTCAGTGCTGATGTGAGGCTCTGGACTCAATTTCCTGGTCTGAGGTATTCCTCTTGCAGTTGCCTTCTGTTCAGCCAGAAAGGCAGACAAAGATGGCAGCAAGGTGTCTTCAAAACTCTAGAAATTAAGTTATCAAATGAAACATAAACAATTTTTGAATTACAGAATTGAGAAAAAAAAAAAAAAACTAGTGAGCCCTGTCTCTGCGAGAAGGTTGTCATCTTTGGAAACTTTTGAGGTTGAGAACCAGACCCTGAGACATGGCAGGCTATCTGAGGACAGACCAGCATGTGAGACATTGTGGCTGTGAGCAGCTGGCTTTTCTCTGGTGACAGCCTTTGCCCTCCACCCCAGACCTAAATGTCAAGAGGAAGCAGAAGTTTGGGCAGATGATGGAACGTGGTGATGGAAGGCTGCTTTGATTGAGACTTATATAAACTTCACTGTTTCCTGGGAACGAACAGGGGGAAAAGAAAAAAAAAAAAAAACACTGACCAGTCTCACACTTCACTGAGGGGAAAAGAAGCAAATGGCAATAATACAAGTTAAGTAGACACAAAGGAAAAGGAGAGGGGAAGAGAGAGGGAGAGGGTGGAGTTCTATGTGATTCTTGAATGTGCTGGTGTTGGAACAGAGATGGGTGGGGATTCAAGTCCCTCTCCAGTACTCACTGTCAGTGAGGACAAGCAGCTGCCCTCACTGACCACAGACCCTGCATCCATAAAGTGGGGATAACAGAAGATGCTCCTCACCAGACTGTGCAGGAACAGAAGATGTGTCATGTACTTGGCACATGGCTGAATACAGAAAAATCTTTAAAAATTTGGGGGTAGAAATAGAGGGAAAGTTTTGAGAAAATTTTCACCACTTCAGAAACTGGGGAGAGCTAAGACCACAGACAGAAGACAGAACAGTGGAGGACATGGGATTCTTCTTCCGCCTTCTCTCCCAGGGGCAGTGAACGTGCCTATGTCTTGGAAATAGGAGGGGGGTCAAATTTCCTCTCTGTCCTGGGGGACTCTTTTGCAGACTTAGGCAAGTGATTTCATGACATCTCTGGCTCCCACTGCTTGCTGCTTTCCTGCTGGGGCCACAGGTAACTCAAGTTTCTGTGGTGGGCCTGTTGGGTTCTCCTTAGAGTCTGGGTTGCTGGAGCCATGAGCCTAAACTGTATCCTTCCTGGAGATCTCTGCTACCAGTTCATTGCTGAATCATCCTTGTGTTCATGATTCAACACCCTTCAAAGAGGTCATTTCTCCTCATACAGTTTTTGTTGCTGAATTTCCACCTGGACACGGTTTATTATCAACTCTTACCTACGCTCTTTTATCCTCCCTGCTTCCTACCTCCTGCTCCCTTTTATCCTCTTCTTCAACAAGTTTCTCTTTTTGACTATTCCTACTTGACAATTACTATGCAAAGCATTAATTATTAACATTTGACATGTTATACTGAACTGAAATCAGCACCCAAGCTGCCCCAGCCAGCCAACTTTTGGGAGTCAGCTACTCATGAAACAGCTCACTTGCCTGATGAGAGACTCACGGCAGCTGCAGTCTGGGAAGGAGGGCTTGGCACGGCAAGGGTGGGCTGGTAATGTGTTCCAGGGAAACCAGCTGTGTCTCAGACCCTGACCAGCTCCACCACAGAATTACTCCCACTTGTTCACATCAATTAGAAATACTGAATTTCTTAGTGGTGTCTGATATTTTATTTTTCTTCCAAGTCAACTTCCAAAGGATAAGGATACTATCTATTCTTTCTTTATTTACAAAAACTAACACTTAATGCACGGAAATTGAAAGAAAAACAAGAGCAAAAATCAAAAGGTCCCCAATTTCACACTCAAATGAAACTTGTTGGCCTGGTTTTTTTTTAAAAGTCGTACACATGCATAATCAGAGAATTCAGAAAGTATAGAAAAGTTCAGAGTAAAAAGTAAATCTTTTCTACTGGAATCTAGTTCTTCCCCTAAAATAATTATATTATACACACATACATGCTGTTTTCAGATTTATTTTCTTTGGTTAGATGATTATTCATTCACCTTCTGTCTATTTATGTAAGTATTTCAGGATACACATTTTCTGTGAGAGAGATTAGCAAAACTCCATCTGTTTTTATATGCCATGCTTCCAAGAGATTGAGTCTATCCATTTTCAACTTTATCACCTGAAATCAGAGCTTCATTCTGTACTATTTCTACTTTAAATTTATTCAGAATTTTTCTGTGGCCTAATAAGTGGACAAATTTTTTGTACACTGTTCTTTCTCTGTGGTTAGAGATACATACTGAGATCTGTCTCTTGGTTAAATTTTGTTATTATTTTTGATCCTCCACACCATATTCTCAAAGTGTGACCCCAGGCCCAGCAGCCCAGTAGCATTACAATGGCCTGGGAACTTCTCAGATGCAAATTCTCAAGTCCCCTTCTTCTCTACTACTGAGGCAGAAACTCCAGGGTGGGCCCAGTGATGGGTGCTTGAGCACATCTGAATTCGGAGACTGGGTCAAGTTTCAGAGCCACTGCTCTACCGCATTGATTAATTTGTGAATTTGTATCCACTTCATCAATCATGACATCATATAGATGACTTAGTATCTTACTACTTCTGTTTTTGGTTGATTTATTCTAGAAGTGCCTAGATCATATGTTTTATGGGTTTTTGTTTCTTCTTGTTATTTGGTACATAAAAAGCATTGCATTCTCAGTGTAACTGTGTTAATAACCCAATTTTCTCTAGTTTATCACTTTCTGATGTAACTTCATCCTTGTCTAATATTTTTATGGTGAACTCTAGGTTTCTTTTTGTTAGCATTTTCCTGGTTTATCTTCATCATTTTCACTTTATGTGTCCCACTTGTATGTACCTCATTCTGCAAGTCTTTTCTCCAATAGGCATGTTATCATGTATACATTTATTAGCATTATTTTATCTAAATGCATTACTCGAGTATTACTTTTTATCTTTTACATATTATTAGCTTAACTTTTGGGATTTTAATTTGTTTTCAATATATTCTTTATTCTCTCATTTACTCTAGGAATTGCCTTTCTTTCATTCTTTTTCAGTGTGTATGGTGTGTGTGTGTGTGTGTGTGTGTGCCTTTTGGTAATTTGGAGGATTAATAGTATATTTTAGTCTGTCTGGTAGGTGTTACCATGTTACACTTAACCCCCCATGTCTTGATTTAAGAAATGTGGGCAGCCTCTACAGATTATCCTCCCTGTTTTTGCTGTCTAGATTGTTCTCATTTCTTTTTGTGGCTCCCTTTACTATAGCAATATACTTGAATCTTTCTTTAACTTAAGGAGTATAAGGAAAGAGTCCTTCTTTGTTTTCTTCTTTGGTGGCCAAAGAAGAGCTGGAAGGAGTCTCCTTTCCACCATAACAGTAAGGCCAACCAGTCCCCAACCACTGTCTTTAGACTGGTCCCAGCCTGGTCTCTGTGGCGAAACACCAGTGCACGGAGTCCCTGGAGGGAACAGCTTCATGAAATGATGAAATACCTCCATTTGACAAGTAAATTGCACTTATTAATCTTATAATTTTCTTTATCAGTTTAATCTATTCTTTGGCATGCATGACAAGTAAACAGTTTTCATTTCCAAATGATAAATATGGGGAAGTTAGAGGCTTTTGTGGTGACATTAAGTCCTCAGAGAAAGGAATGACTCATGATTATGCCAGCTGGAAAAATGTCATTGTGGTTAGACTCATTTTATCAGTTTTTGCTAAGAAATGTCAGCATGCTTTTTCTGTTGTTTGTTACGGGTACTGGATGAAGAATGGGTTTTAAACCAACTCAGAACTAAATACTCCCTTACATAGTTGTCTAACATTTGTAGATTCCTTCTTTTAAAAGTTTAAATTTAATTCAGTTGAACTTTTCACAGTCAAAATCACCATTTTCTCACTGCTTCATCCCTCCCCCAGCTCGTAATTAGTCAGAACTTCACGTTCTTTTTCCTCTGTGCTCCACACTCCCAGTCCTCCAAGTCTGAAAATAAAGGTCTCCACTGGGAAGTTTGGAGAGACGCATAAACTATCTGCCTAATGGCAGCATCGAGGTGGGATTGTGCTTAACAGACCAAACCACAAGTAACAGGGAAATCTTGTCTGTTCAGCTGGTGTCCTGAGTAGGGACCCTAGTGTTATCACCTTCATAAAAGATCTTCCTGAAAATTTCTGTATTTCTGAACAAAAACAGCAGAAAGTTTTGCTTTTCCCATGAGATCTGTGCTCATAACAGCTTCCTTGTCTATGTCTATTGCCTTGTTCTTCATGCTAACACCTTTAAAAATGCAGGGACACTCCAAGAGCGTAAACGACTCTCTCAAGGTACTAGGACTAAGAGACGGTGCAGAGGGGTCTTGATGAAGGGGTTCCATTATTCCAATCTGCCTTGGTCTTCTGTGAGCAGCCACTCCTGATGTCTGGGGTGATGCAGGCTGGGCAGCTAGTAGTATGGAGTACCCCCTAGAAGAGGAGAAAAGATGGAAAGGATTTCTCTCACTCTTGATCTGCTGTCTATGTTGCCTGAGTGACCTTGGGTGTGAGTGTGACCATTCCAAAGAGAGTAAACATAGAAACAGCTACGGTTGTTAAAACAGAATTGTCTTGACAACAGCTGATGGAAAAACCTGCTATTTACACTACTTTTGTGGGCGGTAGAGTATTCAATGTTGTTTCATAAAAGTAATGCTGTAAAACCAGCTTCTGTTTCTGCTCTCCAGGGGCCAGATTTGTACTTCGATGAGCACACTTGGGTGCACGTCCTTCCCCTTGTAACAGATGTCATGGAAATTTGCTCATATCTTCTCAGAACTCATTTCTACAAGCAAAAGCTTTTGTTCTGGATGTAGGAACATACGTGCTTTGTTTGCATGTCAAGCCCGAAGTGCCAGAGAAGAAATACACCTCTGAAAAACAGCCTTTGACAAATGATGAATGGGTTTTGCCCCTCAGGTGGACTGACTCTAGGTCACCGTCAGATGTCCCACACAGGATGAAGCTCCATTGCCTTCGTATTAACTTCTTGACAAAGAATCCTTGGCCAGGCGCAGTGGCTCACACTTGTAATCCCAGCACTTTGGGAGGCCAAGGTGGGTTGATCACTTAAGGCCAGGAGTTCGAGACCAGTTTATCCAACATGGTGAAAACCCAGCTCTATTAAAATTACAAAAAAATAGCCAGGTGTGGTGGCACATATCTGTAATCCCAGCTATGTTGGGAGGCCGAGGCACGAGAATTTCTTGAACCTAGGAGGCGGAGGTTGCAGTGAGACGAGATTGCACCACTGCACTCCAGCCTGGGCAACAGAGTGAGTCTCAAAAAAATAATAATAATAAAAATAAAATACAAGAATCCTTCATGGGCAACTTGAATTTGTAAGATTTACCAATGGGGAAGAAGTGAGTGGGAAGATGACTGTGATAGTTACTTGAGGCAGGCGACTATCTGGGAGGCTAGAAGAAGAAGTATGGATGGACTTATAATGCAGGCCGAGGAGCAGGTCAGATACCAGAGCAAACTGAAAATGAAATGAATTGTTTAATGGTGTGCCGAGTTCTCCGACTGTGCCAGGATTTAAACAAAAGATGAAAAGTCATAGGACAGCAGTTCTGAAAATGAGAATCAAACAGTGGGTACTTAGCAGCTGTAACTCTAATATCTCTTTCATTGGTGATATTCTTGGGTTTAGTCTCAGCTACTTGATGGGTAGGTAATGTGATTACCAACCCCGCACTTTTGTCTTCTTGGTTCTGTACTGATGTGTGTAAAGCATGGCCTTAAATAGACATAGTGTGTCCCTGTGGAGCCCTGGGACAGTTCCAGGGTCAATAAATGTTTTTTAGCTTCTCCAGGTCCTGGCACCTTGCACTCAGACTGCTTGTGAAGATTGCTATTCAAGTCTTTGTTTCTCTTTGATGAATATTTTCTTCAAGCCCAAACTGTAAACAAGGACCATGCCACGTATTGACCACTGGCATCCTCATCACCTTGCACTGTGGCTGGCCCATCACAGGTGTTTAGTAGCTGTTTATGGAACAAAAGGAAGTGAGCCTTAACATAGGCTCTGAGGCTACAAAGTTGAACATGATACATCTCTTTTTCCTTCAAGAATCTCATATCAACCAATGATTTCTATGCAACATCAAAGTAGGCAGAGAACAGGAAGGTGGGCACCTGATAAAGGGAGAAGAACATCAGAAAAGACTACCACAGGAAGCTAACAATTGAGATGTCTTAGTGTAGCATCCCCAGTCTTTAACATGCATGAAAATCACCTGGAGATGCTGTTTAAATGCTGATTCCGAATCAGTGGTCTTAGGTGGAACTCAAGCGTCTGTATTTCTAACAAGCTCCCAGATGGTGTTGATGCTGCTGGTTAGCAGAACACTCTTTGAACAGCAAGGTCTTAGAGGGTCAGTAGGTTTTCAAAGAAGAATGAGAATTACAGGAAAAGCAAAGATCTTAGAGGCATGGACGTATATGAAGTTTTAAAAGATGGTGAGTTTGGTAAGAATGGATCTTAAATTATGTGGAGGAGACAGAAAAAGAGAAAGTGTGTGAGGGGGACCACAGATGAGAAAGCAGAGGCCATTTTAGGACAAGGCAGTTTATCTTTGTCTCATTTTTAACCTTATAGGCAATAGAGAGCCACCCTATGCTTCTAAGCACAGAATGGCTTGAGCATCTTGAACTTTAGATGGGTTGCCTGGCAGCTGTACAGTGAAGCATCAGTGGAGTGGAAGTGAGAGTGGAAAAACTCAGGAGTTTTGAGTTGTGACCCAATCTTGGGATGTAAATGAAAGGCAGTCATGGTTTACAAGGGGCTGTAGTGATGGAGAAGTAGGGGAGGTATTAATCAGTGTTTAAAAAATAGAATCAACAGGACTTCCTAATGCAGAATTTAAGAAAATGTGTAGAGATTAATACAAAAATAACACTCTGATTTCTTTCTAAGGAGCCTGATTGAATGATTGCATCATTGATCAAGATAGAAAGTACAGTAGAAGGGCACCAGGAAGACAGTGAGTTCAGTTATTGATTTCAAGGATTCTGAGGAACATCCAGACTTGTAGATAGGTTCACACACATGCACATTCACACACATGTGGGATTAGGGGAGCATGAGCCACACATGGTGATTCAACCCCCTTTCACAAGAAAAAATAATAGAACATGTTACTATCATAACTGAAGAATACAACAGCTTCAAAGATGTCTTCAACACAGCTGTCTTGGAGCACAGGGTTGTGTGTGTACACTGGCTGTTAGGAGTGCTGTTGCTTAGATACCAAAGAGGCACATTATCTGGATGTTTCCACAGCTGTGTCCTCAACTAGCTTTTGGACCTCAGGCAAGTCTCTATCTTGCTGGAGGCCACTTTTCTCACCTTTCTTAATTCTCTTTATGTAAATCATTATCAAATATAGAAGCAGACATAGTCACACATCATGTCTCCTTTAACAGATCAACATTGAAAAGGAAGCCCAAGATCTCAAAAACAAAACAAAACAAAACAAAAACAAAAACAGAAACCAGCATATTGACAAACTATCTTATTAGGCATGATTTCCCCTTAGCTAATACTGCTGTTGTTCTTTCCTGCTCTATCTGACACTACCACCCTTAAGACATAGACCTCCCCAACTCCTCCGCAGCCTAAGTAAGCACTTCCTCATCCATGTTCTGATAAAAATTCATAAATAGCATAGTGTTTGGATTACCCAAAGCATAAAATAAACACACTTGAGTCTATAATATTACAATATAAATAAACGACTGAATAAATGAACAAATGGAGAGCAGAGACAAATCGTCCTTACAGAAGAATTTCAAATAATATAGAAGGTGCTTTTCCCTTCAACAAGTGGAATGTAATCTTTCTCCTCCATTCAAATGTGAGATGCACTTAATGACTCACTTCCAAAGAGCAGAGTATGGAAAGGGAAAATAGTGCACCTAGAGTAGAAAATCCTGGCGGATACCACCTTAATCAATGGTCAAGATTAACAGCACCAGTGATAAATCGCATTGATATCATGTACTCCCTGATATGATATAATAAGAAGGGTACTACACTTCGATCACATTCTTTCCTAAAACCTATATTCCTAGTCTATTCATAACCAAATGTAGAAAAGCCAAATTGAGGTGCAATCTATAAAATATCTGACCATCATTCCGCAAAATTGTCAAGTTTGTGAAAAACAAGGAAAGGCTGAGAAATACAGAGCAGGAGTCAGAAGAACTAAATTCAGTGGGCGATCCTAGAGTAGAAAAAGAACATTAATGGGAAATCTGGTGAAATTCAAATAAAGTAGAGAATGTAGTTAATAATATTGTACCAAAGTTAATTATTTAGTTTTGAAAAATGTACCATAGTTAATGTAAGATGTTACTATTATGGGAAGCTGTGTAAAGGGTATACCAGAAGTGTCTGTACTGCCTCTGCAATTTTTCTGTAAATTTAAAATTATTTAAAATAAAAAAGTTTATTTATTACTTATTAGATTGTAGCTCTGACTCAGACAGAGCAGTGTGTGGAGGCTCACATCATGAATTTTAGCTCCAGAACGACTGCAGGAATAAATTAGGAAATCCAAGAGGACCCACGGATCCTGTAAAGGAAACAAATTGCTCCTGCAGGACCCAGGAGACACCCCAAATACCGTGAGTGCCCATACTGTGGAAGTGGGAAAGGGGGATCCTCTGCCCCTGAACACACACCCCCACTGGGGAAAATGAAGGTCTAGTTTACAGGAGAATATTCTGGTCTTACCTGGAGCTGAGTCAACGTAGACAGCTGAGTGAAATACAGGAGTAGAGGAAGCAGCAGGAAAGGCCCTGTGAGCTTGCTGGGTCCCCAAGCAGGCCATTCCTGCCTGTCATCACAGGGATCCTTCAGGAGGGTGGCCAGAGGTGTGGGGAAAACGCCACAAGGAGAAGGAAATCCCCAGCTGAACTTTGTAACAATTTGAATGGGCGGAGAAGCCTCCTGGCCAGAACTTGGGGAGGGCACGAATCCTCCAGCATGCAGACTCCACAGGCAGGGAAAGAACTAAAGTCCTACTTTCTGTTGCAGCTGGGAGGTGGGTAGCCTGGGGCAAGTTCTCAGGCCTGCTTGCCCACTGCCTGGAAACAGGCTTGGTGCTGTTAGGGGGAGCATGGTGGAAGTGAGACCAGCCCTTTCGATTGCGTGGGAGCTGGGTGAGACCTGTGACTACTGACTTTCCCCAACTTCCCTGACAACCTGCACGACTCAGCAGAGGCATCCACAATCCTCCTAGGAACATAACTCCACTGACCTGGGAACCTCACCCCTATCCCCAGCAGCAGCTGCAGCAAGACCAGAGCGAGGAGAGTCTGAGTTCAGACACACCTAGCCCCACCCCCACATGATGGTCCTTGCCTACCCACCCTCGTAACTGAACACAAAGGGTATATACTCTTCGAAGTTCTAGGGCCCTGCCCACCACAAGTTCCTCTCTATACTACTGCAGCTGATACTCTCGGGAAAGTGCCACCTCTCAGCAGGAGGCCAACCAGACCAAAAATAGAGCCAAGTGGGGAAAAGTTGAAAGCATGCCCTCTGAGAACTGGAACAAGACAGAAAGTCAACAAAGAAACAATGGATTTAAACTATATCTTAGAACAAATGAACTTAACAAATGTATACACAATATTCCATTCAACAATCGCAGAATACACATTCTATTCAACAGCGCATGGAACTTTCTCCAGGACAGACTATATGATAGGCCATAAAATGAGCCAATAAACAGACCAATAGTTTTAATAGCCAATAAATAGGCCAATAAATTTTAAAAAATTGAAATTATATCAAGCACTCTCCCAGACCACAGTGAAATAAAACTGGAAATCAACTCTAAAAGGAACCTTTGAAACCATGCAAATACATAGAAATTAAATAACCTGCTCCTGAATGATCACTGGGTCAAAAACGAAATCAAGATGGAAATTTAAAAATTCTTCGAACTGAGCAACAATAGTGAGGCAACCTATCAAAACCTCTGGGATACAGCAAAGGGGGTGCTGAGGGGAAAGTTCATCACCCTAAATGCCTACATCAAAAATACTGAAAGAGTGCAAACTGACAATCTAAAGTCACTTCTCAAGGGATTAGATAAACCAAACCCAAACTCAGAAGAAGAAAGGAAATAACCAAGATCAGAGCAGAACTAAATGAAAATGAAACAAACAAGCAAAACAATACAAAAGATAAATGAAACAAAAAGCTGCTTCTTTGAAAAGATAAAGAAAATTGATAGACCATCAGCAAGATTAACCAAGAAAAGAGGAGAAAAACTCCAAATAACCTCAATAAGACACAAAACGGGAGCTATTACAACTGACACCACAGAAATAAAAAAGATAATTCAAGGCTACTATGGGCACCTGTATGTGCATAAACTGGAAAACCTAGGAGAGATGGATAAATTCCTCTCTAGTAGGAAAGATACAACACTCCTAGCTTAAATCAGGAAGAATTAGATAACCTGAACAATAACAAGCAGCAAGATTAAAATGGTAATCGAAAAATTACCAAATAAAAAACAGTCCAGGATGAGATGGATTCACAGTAGAATTCTACCAGACATTCAAAGAAGAAATGATACCAATCCTATTAACACTATTCCACAATATAGAGAAAGAGGACCCCCCCAATTCATCCACTTCATTCTGTGTAGCTGGCATCACCCTAATATCAAAACCAGGAAAGGACATAACCAAAAAAGAAAACAAGACTGATATCCTGATATCCTTGATGAACATAGATGCTAAAATCCTTAACAATATACTAGCTAACCAAATCCAACAACGTATCAAAAAGTTAATCTACCATGATCAATCGGGTTTCATACCAGGGATGCAGGGATGGTTTAACATATGCAAGTAAATAAATGTGATACACCACATAAAGAGAATTAAAAACAAATTTGTATGATCATCTCAATAGACGCAGAAAAAGCATTCGACAAAATCCCTCATCCCTTTATAATTAAAACTCTCAGCAAAATCGGCATAAAAGGGACATACCTCAATGTAATGAAAGTCATCTGTGACAAACCCATAGCCAATATAATACTGAATGGGGAAAAGTTGAAAACATTCCCTCTCAGAACTGGAACAAGACAAGGATGCCCCCTCTCACCACTCCTCTTCAACATAGTACTAGAAGTCCTAGACAGAGCAATCAGACAAGAGTAAGAAATAAAGGACATCCAAATCAGTAAAGAGGAAGTCAAACTGTCACTGTTTGCTGATGATATGAGTGTTTATCTCGAAAACCCTAAACACTCCTCTAGAA
Organism: Homo sapiens; assembly: GCF_000001405.40. Lineage (NCBI taxonomy): Eukaryota > Metazoa > Chordata > Mammalia > Primates > Hominidae > Homo > Homo sapiens. Next base: position 22,914,432 of record NC_000020.11, on the reverse strand, counting down.
GGCTCCCAGAACTGATAAAAGAATTCAGTGGAGTTTCCAGATACAAAATTAATGGACACAAATCCATAGCTCTTCTATATACCAACAGCGACCAGACAGAAAATTGCATCAAGAACTCAACCCCTTTTACAATAGCTGCAAGAAAAGTAAAATACTTAGGATTATACTTAACTGAGGAGGTGAAAGACCTCTACAAGGAAAACTACAAAACACTGCTGAAAGAAATAATAGACAACAGAAACAAATGGAAACACATCCCATGCACATGGATGGGTAGAATCAATATTGTGAAAATGACCATTTTCACATGGTCAATCCCCATTTCACAGTGCAATCCCCATCAAAATACTACCATCATTCTTCACAGAATTAGAAAAAAAACACTAAAATTCATATGGAACCAAAAAAGAGCCCACATAGTCGAAGAGAGACTAAGTGAAAAGAACAAATCTGGAGGCATCACACTACCTGATTTCAAATTGTACTATAAGGCCATAGTCACCAAAACAGCATGGTACTGGTAGAAAAATAGGCATATAGACCAATGGAACAGAATAGAGAACCCAGAAATAAACCCAAATACTTACAGCCAACAGATCTTCAATAAAGCAAATAGAAACATAAAGTGGGGAAAGGACACCCTTTTCAACTAATGGTGCTGGGATAATTGGCTAGCCACATGTAGGAGAATGAAACTGGAACCTCATCTCTCACCTTATACAAAAATTAACTCAGGGTGGGCACCGTAGCTCACACCTGTAATCCCAGGATTTTGGGAGGCCGAGGCGGGTGGATCACCTCGGCCAGATTGATACCATCCTGGGTAACATGGTGAAACCCCATCTCTACTAAAAAAAAAAAAGAAAAAAAAATTAGCCAGGCATGGTGGCACGTACCTGTAATCCCAGCTACTCAGGAGGCTGAGGCAAAAGAATTGCTTGAACCCAGGAGGCGGAGGTTGCAGTAAGCCAAGACCATGCCACTGCACTCCAGCCTGCGTGACAGAGCGAGACTCAATCTCAAAAAAAAAAAAAAAAAAAAAAAAAAAATTCAACTGAAGATGGATTAAAGACTTAAATCTAAGACTTGAAACTATAAAAATTCTAGAAGATAACATTGGAAAAACCCTTCTAGTCATTGGCTTAGGCAAGGATTTCATGACCAAGAACCCAAAAGCAAATGCAATAAAAACAAAGATAAATAGCAGGGACTTAATTAAACTAAGGAGCTTTTGCACAACAATAGGAACAGTCAGCAGAGTAAACAGACAACCCACAGAATGGGAGAAAATATTCACAATCTATTCATCTGACAACTAATATCCAGAATCTACAATGAACTCAAATAAATCAGTAAGAAAAAAGCAAACCATCCCATCAAAAGTGGGCTAAAGACTTGTATAGACAATTCTCAAAAGAAGATATACAAATGGCCAACAAACATATGAAAAAATGCTCAACATCACTAATGATCAGGGAAATGCAAATCAAAAGCACAATGTGATACCACCTTACTCCTGCAAGAATTGCCATAATCAAAAATCAAAAAACAGTAGATGCTGGCATGGATGCGGTAATCAGGGAACACTTCTACACTGCTGGTGGGAATGTAAACTAGTACAACCACTACAGAAAACAGTGTGGAGATTCTTTAAAGAACTAAAAATAGAACTACAATTTCATCCAGCAATCCCACTACTGGGGATCTACCCAGAGGAAAAGAAGTCATTATTCAAAAAAGATACTTGCACATGCATGTTTATAGCAACACAATTCACAATTACAAAATTGTGGAACCAACCCAAATGCCTATCAATCAATTAATGGATAATGAAACTATGGTATATATATACAATGGAATACTACTCAGCCATAAAAAGGAATGAATTAATGGTATTTGCATGACCTGGATGAGATTGGAGACTATTATTCTAAGTGAAGTAACTCAGGAATGGAAAACCAAATATCATATGTTCTCACTGATACATGGGAGCTAAGCTATGAAGATGCAAAAGCATAAGAATGATACAATGGACTTTGGGGACTTGGGGGAAGGGTGGGTGGGGGGTGACGGATAAAAGATTACAAATAGGGTGTAGTGTATACTGTTCGAGTGATGGGTGCACCAAAATCTCACAAATCACCACTAAAGAATTTACTCATGTAACCCAACACCACCTGTACCACAATAACCCATGGAAAAAAATATAGGCTATATATAATTTATTAATTACTGAATACATAAGGAAACTCAGAGTTAGCTAAAATTAGTAAAACTAATGTTTTAGTATGAGGAATTATATTAAATAAGTTATATATTCATACAGTATATATACATTATATTGGATAATTATTAAATGCAATAGGGGATAGCCAAAAATATTTTCCATATTCTTTTTGATACTTAAAGCAATTACTATAGAATCAATATAAATTTTTTAATTTTAAACTCTTAATCACTATATGTTCCTTGCTTATCAATTTTTTTACCTCAAAAAATATTATTTTTGCATAAAATATATACTCAATAATTTAAAAATAAGAACTTATCAGAAAACGGCTAATTGATTTCATACTGAAATTGGTTTCTTATAATATCTGATGATTTCTCATTTAAAATGATGATTTTCATTGTTAATAAATGGGTAGCATTTAGGACTGGGTCCCAAAAATGTTTATGCAAAGCTCTATTATGGCACAGACTACCATATTGTGAATTTTTAAATAAATCTTTCTTCCATGCCAGTGAAAGAGTTTCTTGAGGATAGACAGAGATTGTATTCATATTTATCTCTTCCTTCATCCCCAGACTGAGCACAATGTCTGGCATCAGTGATCATTTTGAATAAATAAATCACATTAAGCATATTCTTCTGTATTCCTCTATTGTCTAAGATGGCCATTTTTTAGACAATAGACATGCCTTTGCATCATGACTACTGAGCTCACCCTAAGCTCAGAAGTATAACAGTGATGCTAGTGACTAAGGACACATTTTTGGCAGTTTACTTTTAAAACAGTGTATGGTACTGCAAAATTACAATGCAGGCCAGGCAAATGTAGGTTGTGAGTGTGACTTCATCAGGAAATCAGAGGACACAAGTCAGAGACCAAGAAACACCGTGAAGGGCAACTAACATATTTCACTTGGACAAGCGTTGGCTCAGTCGCTGGGACATCGTTCCCAGAGACTTAGTAAATGGGGAGGAAGCTGTGCTGGACCCTGGCCATCCTTCACACACGTTCTGCCTTGATGCTACCTGCCCTCTACCCCTTCCCTGCCATTACCTGTGTGAGTCCAGCTGTTCCCAGGATGGCTTTAATTAAAATAATATTGACCATTGAAACAAGTTATAATAGCAATTGTTTGTAGTGTTGATGGCCACAGAAAAGGAACAATTGAATGTAATCCTAATACATCAACCAGGAAAGAGACCAAAATGTAAGCTGAGGGAGTTGTTCTCTGTGGGTTTGTGAGATGGTGAGGATGGGTCAGCTTACTCATAGCAGGGAACAGTAAGGAAACAATCAAACACAAGCATGCTGGCTGGCAAGGCTGGGACACCCCTGCAGGCTCACAATTCTAACAAACGGTGTCTCTGTCAGGTGGAAGCCAGAGGTGTAGTATTAGAGGAAAAAAATAAAATTGGGTGCAAAACAGAGGACTTTAAAAGAGAGGTCGAGAGGGCAGAAAGGGCAGTGCACCTTTCTGGACTCTCCTCAGAAGATCTACACAAATGGACCTCCCTGGGTCTGTGGAGCACTGTGGACGTCCTCAGTGCACCCCCGTCCAGTTTGAATACATGCACGTCTCCCCATGAGCTTCTTCCAGCTCCCTCAACTGTCCATCTCCAGTCTTTACAGGGATTTCTCCTCCCATTCTCTCCTTAAGTGACCCCCAAACTCATCACGACATCTGTCCCTGCTGATAATTGTGAATAAGTAGATACTGCTATGTATATTCCTCTGGGTTCTTACAACTTGAATGGCAGCTTCTTAGATCAGAGCCTCTCTTTTCATCCAACTCACTCTCCAGGATCAGAGCCATCTCCACGCTGTGACTCTCAGATGAGCCAACCCTTCTCTTCCAAAACAGGCATAATTTTAGACTCATCACCTCTATGTTCCCCTAGAAATCAAGTGCCCACAGCTCCACACCTTTTACTGCAGTCACCCTCTATGTTCCTGTCATAGCATACAATTAAAAGCCCATATCTCTGTTACTTCATCTCTCCCAGTCCCTTCAGAGTCAAATGTATAGAAAGTCGTCTATACCCACCTCACTTTACGCTCACTTCTCAGTCACATGGAAACCATCTTGTATCCCCACCCCTCTACAGAAGCTGTTCTCCCCAAGTCACGAAAGATTTCCTTGCCTTGAAATGTAACGTAGGATTTTTAGTCCATAGCTGAACTTCATCTTGGCAGTGTTTTATATAACTGCTTCTTCCCTTGCCCTTTGTGGCATTCTCATTTTCCTGGCTTTCCTCTCACCTCTCTGGCCATTCCCTTTAGGCCTCCTTTGTTGCTTTCTATCCGCCCTTTAAATGTAGTTCTCATACTTCTCCTGGCACTTGTCTCTTCTCACTCTCTGCTCAAATGAACAATGTTTCCCTGAAACATTTTATCCTCTTTTATGAATGCATTTAGCCTCTGTATATATGGATTATTTCCAAACTCAGCACATTCCCCTCTCCTAAACTTCAGACCCATATAATACCACTGTGTAACTGAACATTGCTATGTGAACATCATATAGTAGCTCAAACACAACAATGGCAAAACTGAACCCACCAGCTCCTCCCCCAGCTTTCTTCCCCTGTTCCATCCTCTTGCCCATCTAGTTGCATGAGTCATGGTTTTAGGGCCATCCTGGGTTCCTCCTTCTCTCACAACTAGCACCTCTAAATAGGCACATATCCTTTTGTTTCCACTGTCCACAAATCCTTCAGATCCATCCAGTCATTTCATTCCCACTGCTAATTCCATTCTTTCTTGCCTGCCTGCCTCTAATAGCTTCTTATGTGATCGCACAGCCTGCAGTCTTCCCCCCACTCCAATCTAATTGGATCTATAGACATAAATCTCTTAAAATGTCAATACAATCATTGTCCTTTCCCATGTAAACCCCTCTGTGATTTTCCATTGTTCTTAACATAAAGAACACAGCTCCCAAGGGTCTTAGGTTATAGTCCATGTTGCACCTAAACTTTCCCCTTTCACTGCCCCATATTTTACGTTGCAGCAAAATTCTAGGAAATCACCTTCCAGGAAATTCTTTTAGTTTCGCTCAAGCAAGTCATGCTTATTGCCCCTCCCAGCCCTGCCAGATCTTTAACCTGGTTCCCACACTGCTCTCCAACACCTGCCATTGCTTTAGTGGACGGGTTCCTTCTTTCCTTTCAGGTTTCATCTTGGCTCTCATTCCCTGGGGTGATTCCCCTGGTTCCCCAGTCCTGGGTTTTGTCTTAGGTTAGCTTCCCAGAGAAGCAGCTTCTGAGACAAGGATTCCAATGCAACAGTTTATCTGGGAGGTGACCCCCAGGAAATGCCAGGTGAGGAGTGGAGAATGGAAGAGGAAAGAGAAGCAAGTGGATACAGGGTGTTTTCACACAGCTTACCACCATGGAAAATGGGGCTTTTTCCCACTGGAGACCTCAAAGAGAAGCATAGAGCCCTTCTCCAGAAGGGTGAGGAGGTTGAGGTATTTTCTCACTGACTCCCCGACATCACTGGTTGAGCTCAGCTCCCTGCTGCATGACTCCCTTGGCACTGCCTGCCTGCTCTACCTGCAGGTGGAGCCCCTTTCTGAGCCAGAGACAGCATCAGGAAGTCACTGGGGCCCGCAGCAGGAAAACATCAGCATATATGGGAGTGGGGAGGGCACCAGGGGCACCTACAGTCTGCTGTTATCGCACTTAATCACTGTTTATTAGAATTGCCTTTTGACTGTCTACCTCTAAGTCTTAGGACAGCCTTGCTTTATAAAAGAAGAATAAATAATAATGTTTGGGGGAAGTCAAGTGTAGACATGGAATGCAAGGCGGGTTGAAGCAGATAAAGACAAGCTGGTGTCAGCCGAAGTAAATACACAAGTGTAAGTGGTGAGCTTCAAAAGACAGTGACCTCAGAGGGACTGGAGAATTGGAGTGGAAGAGACTGTATTCATAAATGACACAATGACAGGACGTGGGGTGATCGCATTTAGGGAAGGAAAAGGAGGGAAGGTCAAAGATGAGTCTCCGATTTCTAGGCTGGAGGGATGGAATCACATGGAAAGCAGTGAAGCTTGGAATCTGGTTTCCATTGCAGCTCCTGCTAACCTCCTGCTGGGCACTCTCAGGGTGATCCCCAACACTGGAAAACCTCTGTTTTCTCATGGTTTTCATAAAGAGACTAGAATATATTTTTAAATCTCTGTATGTCTTTAACATGCTATCATCCTGGGTTACTCATAGCAATTGGAAACTCACATTACTAAATAGAGTGCTGGACCATTCTCATTGAAAAACTTGCCTCTAGTACTGATTTAGGCTAGCGGCCTGGGATTCCTTTACATACCTGTGCGACGCTACCCAATGGGAAATGTGCCAAAAACATTACAATGAGCATAAAAGTGCCAATGCTTAGAAGTTCTTTCCTTAATTAAAATTAGAGCTAGTTTTAGAGCTCCTTATAACAACATTACTCTCTGCCCATTATTTATTCATTGGCTGTCTTGAACTATATGTCCTTGTAAGATTCAGAACATTTTTCCCTTTCACTTTCTGTAATAGTTATCAGTGAAGAGCTGTAGGGTAAACACACCTGATAGCAATAACTTGAGCATACCCTCAGAATGACCCTGTATGGGAGATGAGATGCACCTGAATGTGTGTTCGGAGCTAGGGAATCTGAGGGTGGTCAACCTGGAGATTCGTTCATTGCCTATGTGTGACATCTGAGCCCCGGGTCCATCCCATGAAACATGAGCCATCCAGGGGATTGAGACCCTGAGTCTCAATCTTGGGTTAAATGAAGATTCCCAGGCCAGGTGTGGTGGCTCACGTCTGTAATCCCAGCACTTTGGGAGGCCGAGGCGGGCGGATTGCCTGAGGTCAGGAGCTTGAGACCAGTCTTGCCAACATAGTGAAATCCTGTCTCTACTAAGAGTACAAAAAAATTAGCCAGGCTTGGTGGCGTGTGCCTGTAATCCCAGCTACTTGGGAGGCTGAGGCAGGGGAATTGCTTGAACCAGGAAGTTGGAGGTTGCAGTGAGCTGAGATCGCTCCACTGCACTCCAGCCTGGGTGACAAAGAGAGACTCCATCTCAAAAAAACAAAAAAAATGAAGATTGCCAGGTGCAGTTCATTAAGGGGAGGGAGTTGAATGAAAATGCTGTATAAACTGCATGGTTTTTGCAACCAGTTACCGTTCTCATGTCCAGCCTGCCACCACTAAGCCATGAGAATATCTTGTCCAGCCTGCAGACCCTGGACTCTCTCCCCTGGATGTAAGCCCCTAATAATACCCTATGTATTGTTTGCTGGGTCTGGGTCTCTTCTTTGGCCTGTTGAACCTGGTGCCTTACCCACTGAGGTTAGTGGGGGTTGGTGCAGCAATGGCTTAATGCATATTTGCAGCAAAGCATGATGTCATGGTTTACTTTAGAAGAAAATGGTTAGAAGCAAAGGAAACTTGTTTAGAAACCCATACCATGGAAGCCTACTTCTTTCCTGCATCTGCCACAGTGACTGGTAGGTTCTTGGATCCTGACATTATTACCAAACCCATCAGATCCCCAACATAGCCAAATTAGTGAGGGCTCCTAAGTCGGGTCTTCTCAATTTCTAATTCCTTGATTAAAATTCATCTCGATCTTCTCTTTATCACTTTGGCCAATGTTCCAAAGTGGAAGTATCTGTACAAGTTTCCCATCAGCTCAAAAAGGGGTAGAGATTCCAGCTCCACCGGCAAGGACTCTGTCGCTTGGGGCACATTCCCCCACTGTCCAATCTCTTCTGCCTTATAGGGTTGTTCTGGAAATTAAACCTGATGATACTAGAATGGCATTAAGAATATGTATGAATTTTCATTCATAGTACAACATCTTCCTTATATTGGCTTTCCCAGAAATAGAGCCTGAAGTAGGGGCTTGGGAACAAGCAGCTTATTTGGGAGATGATCTCAGGAAGCACCCATGCAGGAGTGGGGAAGTGAGACAGGGAAAGGCAATCCAGGATGCATGAATGAGCAGGCCACATCTGTGACAACCGGGCCTCAGTCCTGATGGGGACTTCTGAAGAACCAGGTGGAACATGCCTGAAAATCGTCTCATCTCATGTGTGAGGGAGCTGCATTTTTATTTTCCAAGTCCTGTCCCTCTCTGCTTGAGAGCTGTTCCCCAGGGCACTAACTCTTCAGCACTTCTGACCTGGCTCGCAGCTGAAGTTAGTGGTCTGAGCGCATCTCAGATGTGAGCACACCTAAGCAAGACCTCAACGGAGCCCCAGGGGCCCGCGGCAGGAAGCAGTGGAGCTCGTGGGAGGGTGAGCATCTCCGGCTACTGCTCTCAGTCTGAGTGAGCAGCCGAATCATCTGCAGGGCTGGCAAACACACAGACGGCAGGGCCTCTATTTCAGGATCTTATCCAAGAGGTTTGGGGAGAGGCCAAAGTCTGCACTTCTCACAAGTTCCCAGGAGATGTTGATGTGCTGCTGGTCGAAGGACCACATTTGAGCAACACTGGCCTAGTAGAAAACAGTAAGGCTTCAGTGGTGTCTGCTACAGAAAGCTTACTAGTACAATCTTCAGAGCAAGAAGTCTGCAATTGCGGATGGTGAATGAAACTCGGAGAGGAGGGGATCGTGGAACAAGAAAAAAGTGGGAAGTGACCACACACAGCATCTCTTTTCTCTCACTCTTAGAGAACATGATTTCTTGGCAGAGTGGATAAGCTGTAAGTTTCCATTCCTGAGTGTCATCTTCACTTATAATGGAGTTTTTAAAAATCATGCTGGATCTGGTAGACATAGTGGTCTTAATGTTTTCCAATAGCCACATGTATAAAGAACAAGGGTCTCAAGTGTGGCACACTTTTATGGGTGTGTCCAGATTTCGACAAAAATCTCTCAAACTTTGTGAACAGATAAAGCACTATAATACTTGTAATCACCATCTTATTCATAGTAAGAGTGCAAGAATATTTCTAAAAGTGCCTCAGCAGGAAAGGAAATTGGTCAGTGTTTATTCATGATACTGCTGATTCCACCCTCCCACCCACTCATGCAAGCCTGAAGGAAGGCCCTGGCAAGGTCAGGCTCTAAGGGTCTGGTAGCATGACTTCCAGCAAGGGCTGGGCAAATGGCCTTCACACCAGGCCGGCAGCTCTGAATTGAGGAATGTCCTTGACTCAAACTGTGCAAGGTGATGGAGTCTGTTGAAGTCTTGGGTGCTGTGCCCTCATCATCACCTCTCATGCATCACTGCTGGTGATGTGTGGAACTTGGCCTGGATTCAGTGGTCTCCATCCTGCGTCCAGGCAAGATGGCTTCCTGGGTTGCTTTGGCCTTGTGCATGCGGCAGGGTCAGGAGGCCCCTTGAGTTTCCAAAACCGCCCTCACCTACAATCGTGTGTCTATTGGGGGTAGGGGAGGACCAGAAGATTGTACTTCCATTTGTCATGGAGAATATTTTTGCTGGGAGTCCCAGCAGTCCAACTCCTCTCTGTGAGTGGTAAGGTGCCCTCTGTGGTCTCTGTGTCCTTTGAGCCTATTCTTCAGGCTCTCTAAATCAGGACAATATGTTATCTATGGTTTTCCAATGCTCCTTCAGCTGGAAACGATTCTTCAGAGCCTGAGTCATCCATTCAAATAACCCAATGTTTGTGAAACCCATTCGTATAATTGCTGGTCTTAATTATGAACATTTCTGGATCATCAGGGAAGAATTAAATCTTCTTCAGCTGAAAAAGAGTGTTTAATATAGTTACATTTACAGTGTGCAATTAATCAGAAAGCCCAGTTAGCCAGCATGCCATACCCCCCACCATTAAAGACAGGAAGGAGGTGAATACGCAGAGTGAGTTGGAGGCGTGGAAAATGAAGCCAGTTCCACAATCTTTCCTTAGATTAGGTGCGGTGGCTCACGCCTGTAATCCCAGCACTTTGGGAGGTCGAGATGGGCGGATCACAAGGTCAAGAGTTGGAGACCAGCCTGGCCAACATGGTGAAACCTTGTCTCTACTAAGAATACAAAAATTAGCCGGGTGTGGTCGTGTGTGCCTGTAATACCAGCTACCTGGGAGGCTGAGGCAGGAGAATCGCTTGAACACCGGAGGTGGAGGTTGCAGTGAGCTGAGATGGCATCACTGCATTCCAGCCAGGGTGACAGAGCAAGACTCCATCTCTTAAAAAAAAAAAAAAAAAAAAATTGTCCTTATTGTTCTCATGAAAATTATTTTTATCTGAGCACAAATGTTTCCAAATTTCAAACAAGAAACAATTCTTTAATTTTTACAGTGGCTGAGAAATCAATGTTTATAGCTTATAGCAGAATTCTGCCAGCCACTGCTGCTTCTGATACACAAGGAAAAACAGATTACTGAAGGAGATCTTTATTTCCTTTCAATCAGTCTACATTATTTTAGGAGACAACAGAAAGATGAAGTAAGTCTAACATCAAAGGAAAAAACAGATGAGGATTTTGTGTTGTCTTACTTAAGGTCATTTCAAACTGTCCCACTTGAATCCTGACCTGTGTCTTTAGTACTGACCACACATTTCCAAAATTTGAAATTTTGCTTTAGAGAAAAATTTAGTTTTGTAAGAAAGCCTGGGTTTTCTTTCCTTCTTCCCTCACATTTCTTTTAGTTTATTTTCTTTAATTTATAAAAGACAACCCATCTTCTTAACTCTCTTATGGGAGTGGGTGGGCAGTCTTGGCAACTAAAACATTGTGTTAAAAATCAAGAAAAGAGAAAAAATGCCAGAAAAGAGTTTTACACTGCAATGAATTAGATAGTTAAGGCAATTACAGCCTGAAAGACCCAAACACCCAAGATTGATGTCTTATCATCCTTTAGAAAGTTAAAAACAGAATTAGTGTGCCTTTGGCAAAAAAAGAAAACAATATATATCTTACATCAAGAACACAGGCAAAAAAAAAAAACCAAACAAACAAACACTTTTTTGAGTATTCTTTTAAATAAAAGAGGAAAAAAAAGTATATTAAGTAATAGAAACCCCTTGTTTGTGGTGATGGTTTCACAGGTGTCTGTATTTGCCCAAACTTGCCAAATTGTGTGCATTAAATACATGCAGATTTTGTATATCATTCATACCTCAGCAAAGGTGTTCAAAAAGTATTAGACAAGTATTATCACTTCTATTTTGACGAGACATGGCCTTCTGGCTCTAGTCATTTACTTGTTTATTTTTCTTTCCAGCTTTTAGGTTTGAAGTACCTGTGCAGTATTGTTACATGGGTAAATTGTATATAGCAGGGGTTTGGTACACAGATTATTTTGTCACCCAGATAAAGAGCACAAGTATTCAAGAGGCAGTTTTTCAATATTCACCCTTTTCCCACCTTCTATCCTCAAGTAGGCCCTGGCCCCAGTGTCTGTTCTTTTTCTCTTCTTTGTGTCCCTGTTACTCAATGTTTAACTCCCACTTATAAATGAGAACATGTGGTATTTGGTTTTTCTGCTCCTACGTTAGTTCACTTAGGATAATGGCCTCCAGCTGCATCCATATTACAGCAAAGAACATGATCTCATTCTTTTTTATGGCTCTGTAGTATTCCATGGTGTGCCACATTTTGTTTATTCAGTCTACCATTGATGGGCATTTAGTTTGATTTTATGTCTTTGCTGTTGTGAATAGTGCTGGAATGAACATATGTGTGCATGTGTCTTTATGACAGAACAACTTATATACCTTTGGGTATATTATATACCCAATAATGGGATTTCTGGGTCAAATGATAATTCTGTTTTACATTCTTTGAGAAATTGACACACTGCTTTTCACAATGGCTGAACTATCTTACATTCCCACCAACAGTGTATAAGCATTCCCTTTTCTCCCCAGCCTCACCAGCATTTGTTAGTTTTTGACTTTTTAATAGCAGCCATTCTGTCTGGTGTGGGATGGTATCTCATTGTGGTTTTGGTTTGCATTTCTCTAATAATTAGTGATGTTGAGCTTTTTTTCATGCTTGTTGGCCATATGTACATCTTCTTTTGAGAAGTGTCTGCTTAGGTTCTTTGCCCACATTTTAATGGGGTTGTTTTGTCTGATTCTGTGAAAGATATCTTTGGTAGTTTTGTATGAATAGCTTAGAATCTGTAAATTGCCGTAGGCAGTATGGTCACTTTGGCAGTGCTGATTCTTCCTATCCACGAGCACAGAATGCCTTCCCATTTGTTTGTGTCATCTCTGATTTCTTTCAGCTGTGTTTTGTAATTCTTATTGTAGAGATCTTCCACCTCCATGGTAAGCTGTATTCCTAGGTATTTGTATTCTCTTTGTGGCAATTGTGAATGAGACTGGTTCTTGATTTGGCTGTCAGCTTGGTATATAGAAATGCTGCTGGGTTTTGTTTATTGATTTTGTATTCTAAAACTTTGCTGAATTTGATTATCAGATCTAGTAGTCTTTGGGCAGAGACTATTGGATTTTCTAGGTATAGAATCATATTGTCTACAAACAGAGACAGTTTGACTGCCTTCTTTCCTATTTAGATGCCTTTTATTTATTTCTCTTGCCTGATTGCTATGACTAAGACTTGCAGTGCTATGTTGAATATGAATGGTGAGAATAGGCATCTTTGTCTTGTTCCAGTTCTCAAGAGAAATGCCTCCAACTTTTGCCCATTTAGTATGATGTTGACTGTGGGTTTGCCATAAATAGCTCTTATTATTTGGAAGTATATACCTTTGATGCCCAGTTTGTTGAAGGTTTTTAACATGACAGGATGCTGAATTTTATTAAAATCTTTTTCTGCATCTATTGAAATGATCAGGTGGTTTTTGTTTTTAGTTCTGTTTATGTGATGAATCACATTTGTTGACTTGCATATGTTGAACCAACCTTGCATTCCATGAATAAAGCCTACTTGATTGTGGGGGTTTAGCTTTTTGATGTGTGCTGGATTCAGTTTACTAATATTTTGTTGAGGATTTTTGCATCTATTTTTATCAGGGATATTGGCCTGAAGTTTTCTTTTTTCATTGTGTCTCTGCCAGGTTTTGATATCAGAATGATACTGGCCCCATAGAATAAGTTAGGGAGTAGTCTCTACTTCTCAATTTTTTTGGAATAGCTTCAATAGAATTGATACCAACTCTTATTTATGCTTCTGGTAGAATTTTGTTATGAATCCATCTGGTCTAGGGATTTTTCTGATTGGTAGGCTTTTTATCACTGATTCAATTTTGGAACTCACTGTTGGTATGTTCATAGTTTTAATGTCTTTCTGATTCAATCTTGGGAGGTTGTATGTTTCTAGGAATTTATCCATTCTGGTGGGTTTTTTAGTTTGTGTGCATAGAAGTGTTCATAATAGTCTCTGATGATTTTCTATTTCCATAGGGTTGGTGGCAATGTCCCCTTTGTCATTTATGATTACTTATTAGAATCTTCTCTTTTTGTTTTTCTTTATTAGTCTAGCTTGCAGTCTATCAATATTATTTACTCTTTTATAGAACCAACTTTTGGTTTTGTTGATCTTTTGTATAGTTTTCACCTCTCAATTTTGTTCAGCTCAGCTCTGATTTTGATTATTTCTTTATTTCTGCTAGGTTTAGGGTTGGTTTACTCTTGTTTCTCTAGTTCCTTTAGGTGTGATTTTAGGTTGTTAATTTGAAATCTTTCTAACTTTTTGATGTGGGCACTTAGCACTATAAACTTTCCTTTTAACATTGCTTTAGTTATGCCTCAGAGATTCTGGCATGTTTTATCATTGTTTTCATTAGTTTCAAATAATTTCATGATTTTGGCCTTAATTTCATTGTTACCCAAAAGTCATTCAGGAACAGGTTGTTTAATTTCCATGTAATTGTATGGTTTTGAGAGATCTTCTTGGTATGGATTTCTGCTTTTATGGTGCTATTGTCTAAAAGTGTGGTTTGTATGAGTTTGGTTTTTTTGAATGTATTGGTGGATCTAGCTATTTAGTAGGTAAGCAAACAACTCACAGGACACTAGCAGTCTGCTTCCTCTGTAAGACCAAGCTTGTGCTCTTGAAGGTATCATCTTGTTTCAACCACACAGTAGCCTGTGAGCTCAATCTGTGCATTGATGTTTCACTAGTGAGGAAGTGGAGGCCTCCAAGTCTCCCTCCCAACCATTAGCACCTAGATTTCTTACCTCCCTGTTTCCTCTGGCCACCAGAGTTTTCTCTGCCCAAGCATGACAGGCAGGAAGTGCTGGAAACAGTGACTCTCCAGAGCTGCCCTCAACTCAGTGGCTAGTGGGGTGGAGGGTAAGGACCCCAGCTCCCTCCCATTTCATGTGGGATGGCTCTGAGGTGTGGTAGCAGATTTCTCCAGCAGAACCAAGCTTCAGCTACCTACCGGTCCCCTGCTTGTTAACAAACACTCCACTAACTGGCTTTCCTACCTGATCTCTCTTCTCCACTTTCCTACCAGTCATCACCTCCCAGATAAGCTACTTATACTGTAATCTGTGTCTCAGGATTGGCTTCTGGGAAAAACAGAAATGAAAATAATGTTCTCTCCCTCTTAGAAAAAGAAAAGACTTGTCCTAACAGACAAAAGTTCCCTTCAGTGGCAGTATGGGGGCTCTAACCAATTGTCCTACCACCTTTCCTGTACAAGGGCCTGGAAGCATAGAGCCCAGCACTTCTGCTTCCTACTACAGCACTTTTCCAAGTCTGCTGTGCTCAAGTCTTTAAACTCATTGCAACTATAAAAGCAGAGGGTGGCTTTTACCTTGGCCTAGAGGAAAATAATGCAGAGTTAGAAACATGCAAGGGAGAGAAGGAAAGAATAGAAATGAATTAGCTTAGAGACCCTGCCATTTCTCTATGCCCATCTCGCTATGCTGTGGATACTAGCATGAACATTTGCTTGGGGGAGGACGGGAGTGGTTGATGGCAAAGATTTTTTTTTAATTTTTATTGAAGCAATTTTTCTTATATGCTCTGGAAAAAAAACAGGTATGACTGTGGCTAATCTGTTATTCTCAGGCATGGTGGATGCCAAGAAGGGACTGTAAATCAAGGGCAGCTATCAAACCCAAAGAACCTAATAATCATGTCCTGGAATATTTCATGTGAATACCCATGTGAAAACTTCTACTCTTTGATTTCAACATCATTAAAGTACTAACTAGGCCTGAAACACCATAATTCAGTTCAGTGGGAAGGAATCAATGTTGACTCAGAAATAACTTAGGAAGAAAAATTCTACAGCATGCAGTAAAGAGATATGCAGGGACTTTGGATTTTCTCTTTTACTTTAAGACAGATCTGGAAAACTCAAGACTGAGGTGAGAACAGAAACACATACCATGGGTGAACTGGAAAAGTGAATGTAAGCCTGTCAGTGTCCCAACTCTTGGGTTGGGAGCTTTTTAAAGACTTTGCTTCAGGAGAGCACTTGCTCTTCTCTCATGCCTGTAGCTGTGGAGGGGAGTGAGAGGAGATAAAAGATGCAGTTGTATGGCATAGCTCATCTAGATGGAAGTGAATTTTGAGAAACAATACTTTGTAGACACAATGTCACTTGATTTAGTCCATTCTGGGTTTGGGTAATAAAATGCAAGTTCACGAATTTTATTTTTTTTGTTTTATTATTATCATTATTTTGAGACAGTCTTTCTGTGTCATCCAGACTGGAGTGCAGTGGTGTGATCTCGGCTCACTGCAGCCTCTGCCTCCCAGGTTCAAGAAATTCTCCTGCCTCAGCCTCCCAAGTAGCTGGGATTATAGGCATGCGCCATCATGCCTGGCTAATTTTTTTGTATTTTTAATAGAGACAGGGTTTCACCATGTTGGCCAGGTTCATCTTGAACTCCTGACCACAAGTGATCTGCCCACCTTGACCTCCCAAACTGCTGGGATTACAGGTGTGAGCTACCGCATTCTGCAAAGTTCATGATTTTTTAAATAAATGAGAACACTTGTTTATTACTGAAAACTCAAAGTTTGTAGATAATAAATTACAAAGCTTCAATAATTTCTGTTCCCAGAAATCACCACCATGAGCTGTTTAGTGTCTGCCTCCTTAACTTCCCACCCCTTCCATATCAATGAGACCAGGTAAGGTGTGCAATTTGGAGTCCTGTGTTTGTCTCTCGTTATTGATATCCTCAGGACTTCTTGTGTTATTAAGAATTCTTATGTTATTTTAAAAACATTTTTGTGTAGGTAACAGAGAGAAGACAATATGAACGTTACAAGGCCCCAACCCTCCAGGGAGCTTGCAAGATTGCTGGGGATAACATGTGAATTCCTCCAAGAAAAAGAGGCAAGTGTGCAATGCAAGTGTGTGGAATGGGATAAGGGGATTTTGATGAGGATGCTCTTATTCTTAAAAGGAAGTTCAAGAAGGGTACCAGACCGAATATATAAGCAGCTGGCTCTCAAAGACTGAGTAGGAGTAGACACAAGGCATATTCGATGGAGCCACAGCACCTGTGTGGCAGAGTGTGTTTCTCACATGCG
This sequence comes from Homo sapiens, assembly GCF_000001405.40. Classification (NCBI taxonomy): domain Eukaryota; kingdom Metazoa; phylum Chordata; class Mammalia; order Primates; family Hominidae; genus Homo; species Homo sapiens. The sequence continues at coordinate 22,897,762 of NC_000020.11, read as the reverse complement.
GCCACAACAATATATCTATCACTCATGTTCTTTCTTCAAAGTGACTTTGACACTCGTCCCATTGAGAGGTAGAGTCTAGGTCTCCTTTGGCACTTGGAATCGAGAGAGCTTTTGTGACTCTCCTGGCCATAAGAGTAAGACAGAGATGACCTTATTGACTTCCAAGTCTAGGTAATTAAAAACCAACTCAGCTTCTACCTTCCTGCTGGAACACTCATGAGTGGTGCCCTGAGACGCCACATAAGCAGTCTGACGGCCCTGAGGCCACCATGCTAGAAGGGAGCCCACATCATCCCATGTTGGGAAACCACATGGAGCAGTCCCGAAACCACATGAACCGACAATGCTGTCCAGCTAGCCCTCAGCCTCTCTAGCCCTCTGATCCCCCAACCTGTTCCAACTCCAGCCAAGAGACTGAGCCAGAACCACCTGCCCAGCTCTTCCTAAGTTCCAGACCTACAGAAACTATGAGAGAGTAAAGTAATTGTTATTGTTTTGAGCCACTACATTTAGAGGGGATAAGCGAGCAGAAACTACATGAGAACATGTGGAAGGATGTGGGGCATCATGATTCTACTCCTTCCCCATCAACAGACCCTGAGAACAGCCCACCTGCCGTCTTTGGCATGAGTGGTTTGCACAAAACTGAGTTGCCATGGAAAGATGTGAGCTGGTGGGCAAGGGGCTAATTGTAGGTGTGTGGCCTGGTGCTGACACGTATTGACTGAGTTTTTAATATTTTTAGCACTACTCAAGTATAAAAGGAGGCCTATGACAAACGCAGCATCAATCTTTGTATATCATAGCCTAAGAATCTAACACAGACTGAAGTGTGGAAACTAGAAAGAACGGGAAGTTGTTGGGTGCAGGCCAGCAAATGATGAGAGTGATGCATCTTGGGAGGGATGCCTGCTATATTGAATGAGACCTTCCAAGGATGGCTGGAGGCTGTCATTTGATTTTTTTAATTGAAAAGTGAAATTGTATGTATTCATTGTGCATAGAATGATGTTTTGAAGTGTATCTGTATTGTGCAATGATTAACTCTAGCTAATTAACAAATGCATTATTTGGGGGGTGAGAACACTTAACATCCACTCTCTTTGTGTTTTTTAAGAATGCTGTATATCACCATTAACTATAGTCATCATGCTGTACAATCGATCGCTTTAACTGATTCCTCCTGCCTAACTGTAATTATGATTTTAAAGGATCAAACCTCCCTGGGTTGTGAGTTTGGCCCTTTTCCTGCTTTAGAACTCCTGTAAAAATCTGTGTTGTGGCTGGGCGCGGTGGTTCACGCCTGTAATCCCAGCACTTTGGGAGGCCAAAGAGGGCGGATCACGAGGTCAGGAGATCAAGGCCATCCTGGCTAACACGGTGAAACCCTGTCTCTACTAAAAATAGCAAAAATTATCCCGGCGTGGTGGTGGGCATCTGTAGTCCCAGCTACTCAGGAGACTGAGGCAGGAGAATGGCATGAACCCGGGAGGCGGAGCTTGCTGTGAGCTGAGATCGTGCCACTGCACTCCAGCGTGGGCGATAGAGCGAGACTCTACCTCAAAAAAAAAAAAAAAAAAATCTGAGTTGTGGGGGCATGTTTGGAGTAGCATTATAATTTTTTTCAATTATAAAACAATTCTTGTTGACTTTTAGAAATTCCTAAAATATTTAAAAAATGAATAAGAAACCAAACATTATCAATAATCCTATCACCCATGGTTACCATTTTTATGTACTTGTTTCCAGCATCTTTCAGTGTTTATACATACATTAATACATATCTACTTAGAGTAATGCATGTTTTCAATATTCAGAGGAAAAAATACTTCCATAACATTCAGTCTAACACACTAGCATTTGCTCAGTAAGTATGTAAATGCACAGATAAATATGATTACTTATCTATAATGGAAACAGTTTTATAAGAGTTCTATTGTCTATATAAGCTATGATTTTCCTTTTTTTCACTTCACATTATGTCATAAGCATTTATGAAGTGAGATCATGCAGGGATAAAGGATGGAACCTCAGCGCCTTTCATCTCTGACTTGAGTTCTGACTCTGCCTCCATGCCCTTTAGTTACTATCTGAACCATGGGGCAGGACAGGTTTCTAACAGGCCTTGTGCCCTGGGACATGCCACCCATCTCTGTGCTGTGGGAAATTCTTTTGATGCAATGATAGCCTCCAAGTAACTTTGAGGCAGCTGCCCCAGAGGTCATAAAACAGAGTGGCTTTTAAAAACACAGTAAGAAGCAACAGAAAAGTGATGGGGTAAGTTTCACGCTCCAGATGGAGCACCAGCGGGATGAATGCACCCAGTTACTGTATTCCTATGTTTGCTCCTTCATTTTCCTGCTGATGGGGAGTGACAAGGACCAGAGGGAGGCTCAGGAGATGGAGGGGCCTGTGTGTCAGGCCAGCAGCTATAGCTCCCAGTGACCTGCAACCAGTCATGACTCCTGTCTGTGTGTTTTGGGTGACAGACACACGGAGCCAGAAAGTCTGTCACCAGTGGGTGGCTGGGTTCAGTTTCAGATCTCATAAATGCTGGTTACCTCTCTGGCCCTCCCATCCCTTTCTGTCACTTGGGAGCACACACACACACGATCAGCTTGAGTCACTGAAGTCTTTGTGACTTGCAGGCCACCTGCTTCTGCACTTAGATTTATCTGTCACCCTTATTTGATTATTTATCTTATTTTCTAGAGCAAAGTTGAGTATTCTCAAATAACACAGAAAATACATGTCATAGTAGGAAAATGGCCAACTTCTGGATCCCAAGCACACTGACAAGTCAGAGCGGAGTAGATGAGGGTTGGTTGTCTCTCACCTACTTAAGGGAACTTCGAAGTCAGAGAGTGAAGGAGTGCAGGGACGTCAACAGCACTGCAGCCAATCATGAGGTGGCATCTCCTGGGCTGGGGATTTCTGTGAACTCGTGAGGCCAGGGCAAGAAGAAGCCATTTGGGGCATTATTAATCTGTTTTAAATCTTGATAATGGAGATCTTTATTATTTTTAAAGCCTGGCTTGATGACATTTAATTACAAAAAAACTCATTGGACTTCTCTCTTAAAAAAGGCTTATACCAACTTGTCCACCAAATCTCTGTTCTGAAGACTTCTAGTGCATCCAAACTAAGGTTGTTCAACTTTTGAGACACACGTCTTTTAGAGATGACCAACTAGTCCTAATTATAAAGAAAAAAGACCTGACCTCAAACTTACTCCTATATTTGAACTTTACATTTCAACAATTAAAGGAAATATGCAATTCTTCCTTTCCTATTTTTTATCTTTATTTTTTTTTTTGCTAGTGCACCTGGTTTAAGTTAGGTTAACACTCAAAGGCCAAGTAATCCTGTTACGCACCAGGACATTTTCAGATTCATGCTTAACTCAAAGTTTAGGAGGCCTGGGTAATGAGAATGACATCAAAATCATCATCACCCATTAATGAGCATCCAAAAAGTAAAGAAAAGAAAAGAAAGGAAAGAAAAATCAAACTGCTTAAGAGAAGAGGCTGGAGTCAGGAGTTATAGAATCATAGAATGTCCAGGGGACTCTGTGCTGTTCAAGAAGAAGGATGGTGTGGGAGGAACCTGTGGCGGGGTGCTTGTAGACCTGGAGGGCAGGGAAGACATGCAGCTCTGCAATTAAGATTTCTGCCAACATGAAGAAGTAGCCAGCTTGACTTTTGTCCAGACGGTTACATGAGGAATGCTGTTCCTGTCTGCTCCGCCATGACCATGCTAGCCAACCCAACCCTGGCGGGCGTGCTGAAGCCACTGTGGGCCTCGGCTTCATCAGCAGTGAACGCTAAATACAGTCCTAATGGAAACCTCTGAACTTGACTCAAATTCAGTATTTCCATGAGGGCTCTGGTTCGAACACCAAAAAGCATCCATAATTCAATTCAGACACCACAATTAAATTTTTGATATTTTGGCAGAGGGCTGTATTAGGCCACACTTGCATTGCTATAAAGAAACACCTGAGACTGAGTAATTTATAAAGAGAAGAAGTTTAATTGGCCTACAGTTCTGCAGGCTGTTCAGCAAGCATAGTGCTGGAATCTGTTCAGCGCCTAGAGAGGCCTCAGAAAACTTATCATCATGGAGGAAGGTGAAGGGGAACAGGCACTTCACATGGCAAAAGCAGGAGTAAGAGGGTGGGCGGGGAGGTGCCACACACTTTTTAAATTACCAGATCTTGAGAGAACTATCGTGAAGACAGCACTAAGCCATGAGGGATACGCCCCCATGATGCAAACACCTCCTACCAGACCCCCCCTCCAGCACTAAGGATTACAATTCAAAATGAGATTTGAGCGGGAACAAGTATCCAACCTATATCAAGGACTGTACTGAATTTAATTAAGTGAGAAAGTTTGTTGAATAATTTAAAGAGGCCACATAAACAACATCAGAGAGCGAGTATCTTTCAGGCTTGGAGATGCACTGTCTGTAGACAGTTTGCTGTTCACAGATGGTTCTTAGCCACTCCTGAATGTGACTGTGGTGGGTTACTGCTGTGTGTGATGCATAAAGTCCTAGAAACTGCATATATCCAAGAGAAGCAAAGCTGCATTGTCTGAAACAAATTTTGTAACTCAAACTTTCTACTAAATTAAACCAAGTGTTATGATTCAAAAGAAGAATTTTCTCTGTGTATTGGTTTAACATATAGTTGTAGGTATTGCAGAATTCAGAAATTCGTCTTTGGAGTGTTCTGACATTCACTGGTATTTATCACTTCTTTTCCCTCTATATTCATTTAAGAATCTAAGACTTCATTGTCTTAGACTAGGTCCCCTCCTAGAGGCAAAACCCAAAATGGAGATGTGGATGAATATGGCTTATTTGGGAGGTGGTCCCAAGAAGCACTAGGATGAGCATGGGGAAAAGGACACAGAAGACAAGGGAGCGCCATTGCTCCAGTCATGACTATGGACACTCAGGATGCTAAGGAAAATGGCACAGGACATGGGTTGTCTCATTGAGGGGAGAAGAGGCTCAGGTGTCTACCCACCAGCTTCCACCCTCATTACTTGAGGCTGTGTCATTGCCATCTGTTTTGATATAGAGGATTCTTATCCATTCTACTCAGGATTTCCTTTAGTGGAATGAAAGGAGGGAAAACAAAAGTGTGTTTTGTTATACTCTGCCTGTGTTTCCATAGCTGTATAATAATGCCTAGACTGCGGGGCTATTTGGAGTTGCATTAATACTTTTAGTATTTTGAGACACTCCTTTTCCCAAAAGTTTCCTCAGTGGTAAAAAAGACAGAAAATATAAAGGTAGACTAAAAGCTTGTAATGATTTTACTGCACCAGAAAAAGAAGTTCAAACCCAAACTATGATGTCCAACATCCATTTTTAAAGTCTGAAATCAATTCCACAAGCAGAGAATGGGGAATGCAGGTACGAAAGGGTCTTTGGACTTGAGCAGACCACGAGCTTCATAGAGGCTGTCTCTGCAGCTGTTAAAGTGTTGCAGATTTTAGGAGGGAAGTTGATTCTCCTCTAGGGAAAGTACTTGTCTAAATGGTTTCTCTTGCTCAGGTGGTATTGAAAGTCAGGGGCAGGGATGGGTGGCGCCTTTTGAGAGACACGTTCACAAAATAAACTAACGAGCAGTCTAAGAAGCAGATCACACAGAGAATGACCAAAGAAACAGAAAATATTGTTCTCAGAAAATCTAATATTCATGGGAGTTATGAAAAGTCTAGTTATCAGAAGCACTGTCTTGTGCAAAGGTGTCTCTGGGTTTTGTGCAGCTCCAGAAGGTAAAACAAGGACGCACAGGTGAGTGTTATGAGTATGGGTCTAGCAGGAAAGGGCTCTAACTCCAGGACTGCCTGACAAGAAGTGAGATCCTTGAAGTTTCTGAAACTTCTGGTCTGTTCCTGCTGCAAACCAGTGTAGATATTCTAAACATGGAAGCTCAGAAAAGTCCATTTTTTTAAAGAGAGACAGGTCTTTCTCTGTTGCCAAGGCTGGAGTGCAATGGCACAATTAGGGCTCACTGCAGCCTCAAACTCCTGGGCTCAAGCTATCCTCCTGCCTCAGCCTCCCCAGGTAGCTGGAAACCACAGGTGCACATCACCACAACTGGCTACTTTTTTATTTTTATTTTTGTACAGACAAGCTCTCACAGTGTTGCTCAGGCTGGTCTTGAACTCCTGGCCTCAAGTGATCTTCCTGCCTCGGCCCCCCAAAGTGCTGGAATTGCAGGCATGAACCACCATACCTGACAAAAGGTGATTCTTCAGCATGTTTTATTTTTTTGTTTTGTTGCATAAAAGTGGGTAGGGAGTAGGGGAAACTAGTGGAAATCTCTGCAGAGAGAAATTGCCTTTCCTCAAGATATGGCTCCTATACTTAATATTTCTATTTCATACTCAATGTCAGTCTTTCCAGAGGAGTGTAGAGCTTATGCATTCCAACAGGTGCCAATCATGAAAGCATAAAATTGGAGGATGTGGTGGCATCTCAGAGCCAGCTTAAATGCAATGGGAATAGCTTGTGGTTGCTGCTGCGGGCCCGGGTCTCCTTCCAATTCACCTTATGGAAGCCTTTTGTGAAGGGCTGTCCATCTGTTTTATCCTAGGTCCCAGGGAGTTCTGGCAAGGTGGCCCAGATGGAAAACAACTAGGAAGTGGTGGCTTAGCTTCTCATCTGGCAAAATGACAGATTGCAATCATCCCAGTTCTCACACTTGGCAGCCTTGAAAGCCAGCAACCCTTCCTTGGAGTCATGCAGAGTCACAACACGAGTGGCCACTCACAGCTCAGAAGACAGTGTGTTGTAGCAGGCCTTTGTTTATGGAAGTCACTTGGTCTGGGCACTTGGGATTTCATCGGCTTTGGCCAAATGATTTTTTAATGTGCAGGGAGAGGTGGGCTGAGGACAAAGGAAAGTTAAAAAGAAACCAAAGCTGCATGGTGTTGGGTTGCAGGGATGAGGAGTAGGGATGTTTAAGGGCTGAGGGTGAGAGGAGAGTGTTCCAGGCCTTGCTTTGGAGGATCTGTCTGTGAGAGGCTCTGCGGCAGGAGAAAGTGTGACTGGAAGAAAAATTGTTCAGAGTGGCTGAGGTCCAGATGGAGGTGCAGGGCAGTGAGACAGGCAGGAGAAGTGTGGTAGCCAGGCTTCTGGGGATCATAAACTCTTTAAGAATTCAGATGGTGTAGATATGAAGATGCTGGGACATTCTCTAATGCTCAAGCTTAAAGATTCTTTAGCTCAGGGTGAAAAATTCAAGTCAAGAAAATTTTGTTTTTTCTCTGTAGTGTGAGTGAGTTATGTCTGGCTCCGTGAACTGTGCATGCGTGTTTATGCATGTGTGTGTATGCATATGCATGTGTTTGTATGTCTGTATGTGTGTGTGTTGGGGATGGAGAGGAAATAAGAGGCTCTTAGGGTAGAGGAAAAATAATTGATTGAGGGTTCAGGAGAGAGCACACCAATGTCACCCTATCACATCTTTTTTTTCCTTCCTGATAAGTCTTTTTGTTTCCACCGAAGAAACTATTTGCAATCTCTATGAGCCTCCATCACGAAGATGTCAGGGGTCCTCTGTCCTCAGCCTTTCCCCTGAGGATTACTTGGGACAGAAAAAGCAGCAAGGGTGAGTGTGGATACCAGTGGACATTGTCCTCTGGCTCCCTGAGGGCCAGACAAGAGAGGCTGGGTGCTGGATCTGGCTACTCCCTGCAAGCCGTGGAAGTGCTCTCAGAAGTTTTAATGCAGGAGGGATTGGAACCATGCGACTCCAACGTCCTGTCTGCCCAAGGGGAGTGTGCCCAGCCTTCTGAGCAGAGAAACTTTCAGAGAAAGAACTTAAACAGTGGGTCTCATGCAAGTGATAGAGAACAATCTTGGATTTCTGGATTCCAGCCGGCTAAATTATTTCTCCAAATCCTCGACAACTTAATGGGTGACCTGATGTATTCTAGAAAAAAAGCCACTGAGCTAAAAAGTGCCTGGGCTTTGGTGGGTGGTGGGTACCTTTTGACCCCAGGTGAAGTGGGCTTGTAGAGAGGGTATGATATGAACAGTCAGTGCAAGAATATACCTGGGCTTCAGTAGTTGGGTTCTGTGACTTCAGTGGGAAGGTGGCATTGAGCTGCCTGTGTAGGCCATTGTAAGTGGAAGACAGCTCTCCAAGCCTCGCACTGGGCTGTCTCTGACTTTTGGTTTCCTGATTCTGCCCCCACCCAATGATGAGCACTGAATCAGATCTTTTCAAATGATTTTTAAACTGTGGTGTATTTGATACACATAATCACAGCATGTACATATGTATCATAAAGTACAGAAATAAAATAGAAATTAACATGCCCACCACCCAGTTTAAGAAACAGATCACTTGTTCCCAGATATTCCACCTGGGCCCCATCACTGCCCGCCCCCACCCCCAGAAGTAGCCACTGCCCTGAAGTAGTTGTCCTTTTATTATCAATAGGCATTTGGGTTCTTTCCAGGGTTTTTGCTATAAGAAAAACACTGTGGTAAAGATTCTTAGACACACATCACAGAGCAAATGGACCAGAGTCACCAGTATATACCACCAGGTCTGAAAATTGCTTTATGGAAGGGCATGTGCAGCTTAAACTTCCTAGATAATGCCACGTTTTCATGATTTGTACTTCAACCAGTAATTTATAACTGTTCCATATTGCTCCATGGCCTTGCCAGGCACTGGGTGTGATCAAATCTCTTAACTTTTGCCAACAAGTGTGTGTGCAATGAAATTTACTCTTGTGTTTCTCTGGTAACTAATGAGGTTGCGCGTTTTTAATGTTTCTTGTCCACTGTGTTTTTTTTTAATCTGTGAAACGCCAGTCCATATCTTTTGCTGTTTTTCTCCCTTGAGGCTTTCTTTTCTTGATATTGATCTGAGAAGCTCGTGGGCTCTCTCTCTCTCTCTCTCCCTCTCTCTCTCTCTACCCCCCCCACCCCCAATCTGTTTCCATTGACCTGTGTGGCACACATTTTTCCACTTTCTGTTAATGAAGAGAGAAGTTCTCAGTTTTAAAGCAGCTGAATGTGTCACTGTTTTCCTCATGGTTTATATTTCTATATTTTCTTGAGAAAATCTTTGCTGACCCTGAACTCCCAAGGATACACTCTTCTATGTACTTCTAAACATGTAACATTTGCCTTATATATTGAAGCCTGTAATCCACTAAGGTGCATGGTGTGAAACAAGTGTGCATGCTTGCTCTTTGTTTAGATATGAAATTGCCCCATCCTGTTTCTGTGGATCAGAATCTCAGCTTTTCCTTATGTTCCATGGCTTGATATTTTTTTCTCTATATATACTGAAATCTCACTCTTATTACCATACGTTTATAATATTTTGATATCTGGAAACGCATCTCTTCCCACTTAGTTCTCTATCTGCAAGAGCCACGCCAACACTTGCTGCTGTTAAAACAAAGTGCAGGCCTCCTGGAAAGGTAGACTTCCCAACTCAGCTGACAGCTTTTGCACTTGTTTATCTCCTGGGATTCCTGCTGTCACTTGATTCTTGACACCAGGGTATTTATCTTACCTTCTCGTAAGAGCTGCCATGCATTTAAAAGTATTTGTTAAAATATTTTTCCAGCATTTATGCACATTTTATTCCAGATGAGTTTAGTCAACCATTGGCAGAAACCTCGATTGATTCTTAAATCACCACTACCAGCTGATAGCAGATGCACTTGAGGAATGCTCCTTTGGAACAACACAATTAATTCTGCTGTTCTCATGCTGGACCTGGCAACACATGGTACAATAAATGTTTTATGAGTTTTCTAGTTGGCTTTAGTGATAAAGTGAAATTTTAAATGCCTGGAGAGAGTCCAGGATATTTTAGCCAAGAATGCTTCATTCTTCTTTTTGTCACCTCTTCTAGCTTTGAGTCAGTCCAAGCTCTAAGGAAGGTAGAAGATTTCCCCAGAACTAAGTGAGATGACCTGGGAGAGAAAATGGTGGGATGCCTCCTAATGCTTGGCCATACAAACGTGTTCACTAGACTCTCAAATTGCCTCCAACCCTGCGGGGGAAGTTGTCTCATCAATCTGCATACAATCTACCTGTCCACAGGTAGGGTGATTGACTTTGTTGTTGAGATATGACTTGATCTCCGAGCACCACTGAATACCTGGTCAGCCAATGCAACCACTCACCAGTGATTAGAGCAGCTTGCTCAGCACTGGGGAACACATCGTCAGTCTGTAACCCAAGAGGCACCCAGCACATTCTCTTAAAACTGCTTGACAGTGCCCAGATGGCACAAGCCTCTTGCTTAGGTCAATCCTGGCTTTTGCGTTTGGTTGCCATTATCTCCTTCTAGACCCACGAAGCTGGTTTCCATAGGTAATGAAAACTGTAGCAGAGCCATCAAGTGTCAAGACAGGTCTACACAGCCTCCCAAGGCCCTGGACACCTGCTCAGAAGCCTCACCCTAGACTTTCCCGAGTTCCTGAAAACTAGCTGCCTTGTGGGCTTTTTCCACATTGCTGAAGGATTTTATAAGAAAATATGTTTTACAGAGGTTTGCAATCCTATTTTCTGACAAAATAGACTTTAAACCAACAAAGATAAAAGAAGACAAAGATGGGAGTTACATAATGGTAAAGGGTTCAACTGAACAAGAACTAACTTTCCTAAATATGTATGCTCCCAACACAGGAGCACTCAGATTCATAAAGCAAGTTGTTAGAGACCTTCACAGAGAATTAGACTCCCACACAATAATAGTAGGAGACTGTAACACCCCACTGACAATATTAGACCGATCATCGAGACAGAAAATCAACAGAGATAGTCAGGACTTGAACTCAGCTCTGGATCAAGTGGACCTGATAGACATCTACAGAACTCTCCACTCCAAATCAACAGAAATACATTCTTCTCATTGCCACATGGCAGTTACTCTAAAATTGATCACATAATTGGAAATGAAACACTCCTCAGCAAATGCAAAAGAACTGAAATTATAACAAATAGTCTCTCAGACCACAGCACAGTCAAACTGGAAATCAAGACAAAGAAATTCACTCAAAACCATACAATTACATGGAAATTGAATAACCTGCTCCTGAATGACTTATGGGTAAATAATGAAATTAAGGGAGACATCAAGAAGTTCTTTGAGATGAATGAGAATAATGATACAACACCAGAATCTCTGGGATGCAACTAAGGCAGTGTTAAGAGGGAAATTTATAGTACTAAATGCCCACATCAAAAAGCTAGGGAGTTCTCAAATCAACACCCTAACATCAGAACTAAAAGAACTAGAGAACCAAGAGCAAACAAACCTCAGAGCTAGCAGAAGACAAGAAATAACCAAGCTCAGAGAAGAACTGAAGAAAATAGAAACAACAACAACAACAACAACAACAACAACAACAAAACAACATTCAAAATATGAATGAATCCAAGAGCTGGCGTTTTGGATAAAATAATAAAATAGATTGACCACCAGCTAGACTAATAAGGAAGAAAAGATAGAAGATTGAAATAAACACAGATACATGGGGGGATTATTACCACTGACTCCAGAGAAATATGAACAATCATCAGAAAATATTATAAACACCTCTCTGTACATAAACTAGAAAACCTACAAGAAATGGATAAATTCCTTGACACATACACCCTCTCAAGACTGAACCAGGAAGAAATTGAACACCTGAGCATCCTGGTGGGAAAGAAGTCTTAACAGAAGAAGTCTTAAAGGAAGAAGCTGGAGGTGACGCTACTGCAAACTTTGAGGATGTTGGGCACTCTACAGATGCTAGGGAATTGTCCAAAACATATATCATTGAGGAGTTCCATCCAGATGATAAACTTAAGTTAAGCAAGCTTTCAGAAACTTTTATCGCTACTGTTGTTTCTAGTTCCAGCTGGTGGACCAACTGGGTGATCCCTGCCATCTCAACAGTGGCCGTTGCCTTGATGTATTGCCTGTACATGGCAGAAGACTAAACAACTCCTCAGAAGCCAGTGCAGGAAAAGCCTGCTTTGGACACAGGAGAAAAGAAGCCAATGCTAACTACTTCAACAGACAGAAACCTTCACTTGAAAAAATAGTTTTCATGTCTCTTTCTCTTTCTTCAGGCATTAGAAACAAAACAAAAATAACTGTCCTTTCTGCTGTTGAATTTTTCAAGTATGCCTTTTTATTCATCTACTTTATTTTGATGTTTCCTTACTATGTAATTTGCTTATTATAAGCATGATCTTTTAAAAATATATCTGACTTTTAGAGTAAAAAAAAAAATAACAAGTTCTGAAATGATAAATAGCCTACCAACCAAAAAAAAAAAAAAAAAAAAAAGGCCAGGACCAGATGGTTTCACAGCTGAATTCTACCAGATGTATAAAGAAAAGCTGGTACTATTTCTACTGAAACTATTCCAAAAAAATTGAAAAAGAGGGACTCCTCCTTAACTCATTCTATAAAGCCAGCATCATCCTGATACCAAAGCCTGGCAGAGACACAACAAAAAAAGAAAACTTCAGGCCAATAACCCTGATGAACATTGATGCAAAAATCCTCAACAAAATACTGGCAAACCAGATCTAGCAACACATCAAAAACCTTATCCACTGTGATCAAGTAGGCTTCATCCCCAGGATGCAAGGTTGGTTCAACAAACACAAATCAATAAATGTGATGTATCACAAAAAACAGAACTAAAGACAGAATCCACATGGTATTCTCAAAAGATGCAGAAAAGGCCTTCAACAATATTCAACATCGCTTCACGTTAAAAACTCTCAATAAACTAAGTACTGAAGGAATATACCTCAAAATAATAAGACCTGTATATGAGAAATCCACAGCCAGCATCATACTGAGTGGGCAAAAGCTGGAAGCGTTCCCCTTGAAAACTGGCATAAGACATAAATGCCCTCTCTCACCACTCCTATTCAACATAGTATTGGAAGTTCTGGCCAGGGCAGTCAGGCAAGAGAAAGAAATAAAGGGCATCCAAATAGGAAGAAAGGAAGTCAAACTGCAGAGGCATGATTCTATATCTATATGATTCTATATATAGAAAACCCCATTGTCTCAGCCCAAAAGCTTCTTAGTCTTATAAGCAACTTCTACAAAGTCTCAGGATACAAAGTCAATGTGCAAAAATTGCTAGCATTCCTATACACCAACAATAGTTAAGTTGAGAGCCAAATTGAGAATATCATTCCATTCACAATGGCAATGAAAAGAATAAAATACCTGAGAAAACAGCTAACCAGGGGGATGAAAGAGAGAGAACAAGGAGAACTACAAACCACTGTTCCAAAAAAAAACCAAAAAAAAAAAAAAAAAACGAATAGATGACACAAACAAAATATTCTATGTTCATGGATAGGAAGAAACAATATTGTTTAAATGGCCATAACTGCCCAAAGCAATTTATAGATTCAATGCTATTCCTATTACACTGCCATTGACATTCTTCACAGAACTAGAAAAAACTAATTTGAAATTCATATGGAACAAAAAATGAGTCCAAATAGCTAAGGCAATCCTAAGCAAAAAGAATGAAACTGGAGGCATCATGCTACCCAACTTCAAACTATACCACAGGGCTACAGTAACCAACAGCATAGTACTGGTACAAGAACAGACACATAGATTAACAGAACAGAATACATAACCCAGAAATAAGACTGCATGCCTACAACTATCTGATCTTCAACAAACCTGACAAAAACAAGCAATGGGGACAGAATTCCCTATTCGACAAATGGTGCTGGGATAACTGTCTAGCCATATGCAGAAGATTGGAATTGGAACCCTTTCTTATGCCATATACAAAAATTAACTCAAGATGGATTAAAGACTTAAATATAAAACCCAAAACTATAAAAACCCTGGAAGACAGCCTAGGCAATACTGTTCAGGACATAGATATGAGTAAAGGTTTTATGATGAAGAAGCCAAAAGCAATTGCAATAAAAGCAAAACTTGATAAATGGGACCTAACTAAGCTAAAGAGCTTCTGCACAGCAAAGGAAACTATCAACAGGGTAAACAGACAACCTACAGAATGGCAGAAAATTTTTACAAGTTATCCATCTAACAAAGGTCTAATATCCAGCATCTATAAGAATTAAACTAATTTGCAAGAGAAAAACAACCTTATTAAAAAGTGGGCAAAGGACATGAACAGACACTTTTCAAAAGAAGACATACATGTAGCCAACAATCATATGAAAAAAAAAAAAGCTCAACATCACTAATCATTACAGAAATGCAAATCAAAACCACAATGAGATACCATCTGACTCCAGTCAGAATGGCTACTATTAAAAAGTCAAAAAAAACAACAGATGCTGGCAAGGTTGCAGAGAAAAAGGAATGTTTTTACACAGTTGGTGGGAGTGTAAATTAGTTCAACTATTGTGCAGCAATTCCTCAGAGACCTAAAGACAGAAATACCATTAGACCCAGCAATCTCATTACTAGGTATATACCCAAAGAAATATAAGTCATTCTATTATAAAGACGCATGCATGCATATGTTTATTGCAGCACTGTTCACAATAGCAATGACATAGAATCAACCTAAATGCCCATAAGTGATAGACTGGATGAAGAAAATGTGGTACATATACACCATGATATATTATGCAGCCATAAAAAGGAACAATATTTGCCTGGTGCGGTGGCTCACGCCTGTAATCACAGCACTTTGGGAGTCCGAGGCAGGTGGATCGCCTGAGGTCAGGAGTTGGAGACCAGTCTGGCTAACATGGTGAAACCCTGTCTCTACTAAAAATATAAAAATTAGCTGGGTGTGGTGGTGGGTGCCTGTGAGCCCAGCTACTTGGGAGGCTGAGGCAGGAGAATCACTTGAACCCAGGAGGCAAAGGTTGAAGTGAACTGAGATGGCATCACTGCACTCCAGCCTGGACAACAGAGTGAGACTCCATTAGAAAAAAAAAAAGAAAGAAAGAGAGAGAGAGAGAAGGAAGGAAGGAAGGAAGAAAAGAAAAGAAAAGAAAGAAAGAAAAGAAGGGAGAAAGAGTGTTATGTCACTTGCAGGGACATGGATGAAGCTGGAGGCCATCATCCTTAGCAAACTAGGGTTGGAACAGAAAATCAGTCACTGCATGTTCTAAGTGAAGCTAAATGATGAGAACACATGGACACATAGAGGAGAACAACACACACTGTCAGAGGGTGGAGAAAATAACTGCTGCTACTAGGCTTAATACCTGGATGATGAAATAACCTGTACAAAAAACTTCCACAACACACATTTACGTATGTAACAAACCGCACATATACCGCTGAACTTAATAAAATTATTTGAAAAAGAATTAATCATTTAAAAAATCTGCTTTAAATAGCTGGGTGCCTTACCAACCTGGAGTTATTCCTCGGCAAATCTTGGATAAAACTCCCTAAGATAGTTTAAAATTCTTTATAATTAATGGATTGAGGCGGGTTGATGATAATGAGTATTATTTATCCTATGATCTTTTCCTTTCTTTTTGGAAGGGCTCAGCCTTCCAAATTCAACCCTGCTTTAAGATATTGTGAGGTCTGTAATTTAGGAATACTCTAAAAACCTCTATAAACCTCTGAAGCAATTTTTCTTTCTTTCTGAGTTTGCTACAATTGGTTCATGGCAATTGTTGATTATGGATAGAGTTTCAAGGACAATGCTGTCTCCAGACTGGGACCTCTGTGTCCACTAACAAAGGTGCAGGCAATTTGACCCATGTCTGAGGACAATATTAAACTATTTTCCTGAGGGGACCAGATATCCAAAGGACCTTGCTTCTATTCTTCTGGTGCTGGTGAAAATAATTATCTCATCTAAATAAACAAATGCTGTTATATATTTCACATCCTCATTAATCTTTTCCTTTACCTCAAGGCCTCTTTGTAAATTGGTAAAAGCCAACAGGGAAATGAAGGCAAATTGTGTCTTTATTCTAACCAGCTAAGGACACTCTTCGAGTCCTTTACTTAAAGCTACTGTTCCTTAGCAAGCAGTCCAAGGTGTCCTCAATTCAAGCAGAAATGTGCTAATCTTCTTTAGCATTTTTATGGGCTTTGTGCTGGCTATATTCCTTCTTGACCATGACAATGGAGGATTTATAGTGCTGTAGGATTCAGATATTATACTCTTAATTAACCTCTGTTCAATGTGTTTTTGCAAGTCTTCGATATTAGACAATGAACACGGCTTAGATTTCTCTGGAAAAAATGTTATTCTCTTCTGTCCTGTATTACTCACAGTCTGAAAACAAATTAAATCCCATCCCTGAAGTATTCTTTTCCATGTATCCTTTTCCTTCCACTGTCCATTACTGAGGAGCTATCAAAATAAAAACTCTCTGACTCCATTTGGTGGGGAGGGCTTTATACATACCACCCCGAAAGATCAATTACTGTGCACAATTACTGTGTGCCTTTGTTCAGCCTTCACCTTTCTGAAGTGTCTGCACATGGGAGGCAAATATAAAGAGTAGTTAGGTATTCGTTTCTGCATGCTGCTTGACATACTGGGCTAGAACTCTGAAAAGAACCCTTGGGACAATCCTGAGCCTTCCATCGGGAACCTCTGAGTCTTCTTGTTTATAACCCTTCCTAGCCTGGGAAGTTCCCATCCTGCCTTCCTCCATCCTTGGAGCAGATGCTACTGATGCTGTGCTCAGATCCTTCATTATCATTCATGCATTTTGCTCCCTGCTCTAGGCTTCCACTGGCTGGGGAGACATGCTAGGCCCACATGCAGGGCAGGCCAAAAGTGATGGGAGGTTAATGCCTTGGGAGAAGACTTCAACGATAAGTGAAAGTTGATAGATAAATGCCCCAGCTTCTCTCACCCTCCGATGGGAAAATGCTCCTAGAGGTCTTCATGGATATAGTTCCAGTTCCCCATGAATGACCTGCTCACAAAAGCACACTACATTGGCTGGCTTCCCTTTCATGTCATACTCCCCCTCCCATAGCAGTATTTGTTGGTATCACCTCCCATGAAAGCTTATTCTCAAATCTTTGCTTCACAATTGGCTTATGGGGGAACCAACCTAGGACAAAAATTGAGGAATGGAAGTTGTCTCCATCAGCCCTGACATTCCCCAGCTCCTGCTTCGGTGCTTACCATACATGCTATCTTCCTTCTTATCATTTCTGCATCCTCCCTTACAGATGACCACACAGGCATGGTTGGGTGGGTTTTGCTCCTTAAGCCAAATTGGCCCAGGCTGTCCTGCCTCTACCTCAGGTAGTGGCTCAGCTCTCTGTCATTTATTGTCAAGAACACACCTGTCACTTGTGACCCACTATTTAGTACTTTTAGTTCCAACCTCTTATATTTTTGTAGGCACTTCACTTGAGGACCTACTTGATGTTCTGGGAAAAATAAAGTGCTGGTTGGCTTGGTGTGACCCTATCGTGGTAGGGCTCAGGGAAAACTCAGCTCTCCTACCACTTTCCCACTTTCTTTGAGTGAGATAGCCTTTTCTTCTTCATGATACTAGATCCAGGTGGATCCCTGTGTTGAGGTTACCAGGGCCCTGTTTGTTCAACTGTTGCTTCTTAAGGGAATTTGTGGTAGGTAGAATAGTGGTTTCTATCCAGCCCCAAGATGTCCACAGCACAGTCCCTAGAACCTGTAGTGTGTTATTTGGCATGGCAAGAAAAACTAAGGAAACAAAATCAGCTTGCAAAACAACCAACCTTGAAATATGGAGATCATCCTGCATAAGCCAGGACAGCCCAGTGTAATCACAAGGTTTTAAAATGTGGAAGAGAAGGAAGAGGATAAAAGGTGGAGTGATACAATGTAAGAACACAACCTATTGTCGCTGGCTTTGAAGATAAAGAAAAAGGGTCACCAGCCAAGAAAGAGGATGGCCTTGTGAGACTGGAAATACTAATGAGAAGGATTCTCCCTGGGAGTCTCGAGAAAGAAATGCACTTCTGCCAATATCTTGATTTTAGCTCAGCAAGACCCATTTTGAATTTATGAATGATAAAATGTAATTTGTGTTGTTTTAAGCCATGAATTTGTGGTAACTGGTTATAGCAGCTTTAGACAATGAATACAGGCTTGGGAAGGAGTTCTCCTGCACTGCTACCTGAAGCTGGACGCTTCCATTGCAGCTCCCATCTGACCTGCTATCTCCACACTGGTGCTAGCTACTCAGATGTGGCTAGTGTCACCAGCCTGTCTCTGTCTAAGATTAGCTCTTCCTAACTCTTTCTGTGGATACTTGGTTACTTTCTGTCCCTACCTCTTTGGCCAGTTTAAAAATAGAAGATGGACAGAACCCGGTCAGATTTTATCTCCTTAGGTGAAGGACAGAGTTTTAGACTTGAACTAGCTCTATATTTTACTCAGTCTAAGTGGAGTGGGTATGCATTTTCTGAATCAGATCATCATCTGGACAGGGCTTTCTCTGCAAAAGTCCTCAGGCTTTAGTATGTCTACATCAGCTAAACGTGTATTCTCCAGCCTTCTGGTAGTCACATGTATCTGGTAATCACAAGAGAAAAGGATGTCCTAATTGCCCCCAAATGATTTTTGAAGGACACTGATACCCAAGTCTGTGGACTGATCAGATATTCCACCACCCTCAGTTTTAATCCTAACTATACGAGTTCTGTTCTCAAGACGTGTGTTTGCCATTGTCCTATCCCAGTGACACATTCTAGTGATGAGGTCCAGTCTCCAGGCTAATTGGAAAGAGGCCTAACTCTGGGTAGGACTCCTCTTCTGAATGTGATGGATCAGTTAGGATCAGGCTCCCTCCCTCCTGGAGCAAAGCCATTACTTGTCAAAGGAGTGTATTAGAGAATGGGGATAATGAGGGATGAAGGAAGGGGGACTTTTGAACATAACATTCCAGTCCCTCTACTTTTCATTCCCAGGTCTGATTTTAGGGTCAATGGACTGGGTTACTTCATATAAAATTCCATCCAGCTGCAAACCAAACATAACTCAATGTTTTAATTTGGTCTTGATGAAATTGCCCCTTGTCTCTGGGTTCTGACCACAGGTGATAGCTCCCCCTACCTGAGTGAAATGTCCACCTCTGTCCCCATGCACCATTCTTCCAGCAGTCCTAGCAAGTTGGCCAATGCCCAGTAGCTTCATTCCAGGCTCCCTTTGGAGATGATTTTGTTTCATGAGACTTTTTAGTATTTGGATGAAGCAGTCATTCCTTGGGGAAGGGCAAGTGTTTTACCTTGGGCCTTCTGATCCTGTATTCCTAATAACTGCATCTTCCACGTGCACACTCCTAATATGGGTGAAGGAAACCACACTCCAAATCTACATATCGAAGTCTTCCTTCTTGTAGGCAGACTTGTCTTGCAGCTAGGGGCATCTGAACACAGCTTCCTTTGCCACCAACCCTGGCCTCATGCCCAGCTACAAAAGGGGTTACTAGAGCAGCTGTGATTTATGCCGATTATTACTTCTTTTATGCATTCCCCTTGAAATATTATATGAAAGTATTGGTGAAAGCTAATTGTTAAGTTTTGAGAAGGGAGGATAATCTTATTGACATCCCCTGCTTAATAGGCAGCCGATGGAAATTTGTGTGTCTTTTGTGTTAGGAACTTTCATCTGGAAAAAGGATGGGATGGAGGCTGCCCAGCGAAAAGGGTGGAGTAGATGATTTCTATGTAGACCTCCAGCTCCACTTACCACTCACTACTTGACTTGTGCCTTTTCTAACATGCTCGTGACGCCAAAGGCTGACCTATGGAGACTACATGGGGACTACTCAGCAGGCTCCTTTATCCTCGGACTTCTAGGTGGTTTAGATTAATGGTGAACACAAGAAGGAGGGCTGAGGACAAGAGCAGAGTGGAGCAGAGGATTTCACTCCCCAGGTCCCCCCTTAAAGGTTGCCTCTATCTAAAGCCAGCACTCCCATGGTGGGTGCCTCTTGTATAAGCAGGTGCTCCAGCTCTGTATCTGCTCCTTGCTGCTCCCCAACCTCAGGCCCAAGTGGGTAACATCTCCCCAGCTGAACCTATCTTTATGAGTTTTCCGCACCCTGAATCATGCCATTGTAAATGGCCCATTATTAAATTTTCCTTAACCCTTGGGGATGTCATCTGTTTTCTGCTAGGACCCTAACTGATACACAGTCCTTTCCAATGTGGCAGGTTGGTGATGTTTTCCTTACTAGAAATAGACACTTATTCTGGACATGGATTTTTCTTCTTTGATTATTAAGATTTTTCAAGCATCCAGCATCTGTGAATTTATACAATGCCTTCTTTACTGCCATTGGACACCACTTCATGTTGCTTCTGATCAGGGAATCTCTTTTACAAGAATACAGGTCGAGGCTGGGCGCAGTGGCTCATGCCTGTAATCCTAACACTTTGGGAGGCCAAGGCAGGTGGATCACTGGAGGTCAGGGGCTTGAGACCAACCTGGCCAACGTGGCGAAACCTCGTCTCAACTAAAAATACAAAAATTAGCCAGGTGTGGTGATGTGTGCCCATAATCCCAGCTATTCGGGAGGCTGGGACAAAAGAATCACTTGAACTCAGGAGGTGGAGGCTGCAGTGAGCTGAGATCATGCCACTGCACTCCAGCCTGCACCCTGCATGACAGAGCAAGACTCCGTTTAAAAAAAAAAAAAAAGAAAGAAAGAAAAGAAAAGAAAAGAAAAGAAAAGAAAGGCAAAGAAAAGAAAACAGGTTGATTGGGCATCATTATTGCTATGTTGCCATGTACCCCATCACCCTAAAAAGTTGTCCTGAATGAATACTGAAATTGCCTGTTTAAAACTCCATTAAAGATACAGCCATGTGACAAAAACCTTGAGGGCTGGTGGGTTATCCTACTGAAGGACCTGATGCTCTAGACCAGTGACCAATATATAGTACTGGTTCTCCCATAGCTGAAATTCACATTTAGGAGCCAAGAGATGACAGCAGTAATGGATCCTCTCTGTTACTGCTAATGATCTACTTATAGAATTCTTGCTTCAGTCCAGAAAATTCAGCCCTGCTGTTTTAGGGGTCTGAAGAGAGAGGGCCGATTCAACCAGAAAACACAATGGCCCCACTGAATTGGAACCATTTATGTAGCCACTGAACCAAAGAGCCCAGATGTCGATCCTGGTTATCAATAGGAATAAGGTTGCTGCTTCTCTGTAAGGAGGACTATGTCTGGAACCCAGTGGATTTTCTAGGAATCTCCTAGTATCCCTATATTTAGCAATAAAAGCAAACAGATTTATGCAATCAAATTAGCCAGAAACAGTAATCACTCAAACTCTTTAGGAATAAAAGTTTGGGTCACTACAAAGGCCACTGAAGTGCTGGCTGAGGACAAAAGGAACATGGAATGGGTAGCGACAGGAATAAGTATCTAAGTATCAACCCTAGTCTTATTGCCAAAAAAGAAATAAGCATTATAGTAGAAATGCTAATTTTCTTCTTTGTATTCTTGTGATTGTATTTATAACATCATCAGTGATAAGTCATATGTATGACTTGCACCCTTGTTTGATGTGTTGAGAATAGCACTTCAGCTCTGTTGTCTCCCCACAAACTCACAACCTCCATCTAACCATGAGAAAAACAGCAGACAAACCTAGATTGAGGGGCATTCTACAAAGTGCATGACCAGTACTCCTCAATGTCAAGGTCAACAAAAACAAGGAAAGTCTGAGAAACTGTTGCAGAACAGAGAAGGCAAAGGAGAGATGATGGTTAAATGTAACATGGTGTCCTGGGTGGGATCCTGGGACAGAAAATGAACATTAAGGAAAAACTAAAGAAATTTGAATAAAGTGTGGAGCTTAATGCATAAATATATACTAATATTGATTGATTAGTGTGACACATATACCCTATTAAGGTAATATGTGAATAATAGAGGAAACAGGGTTTAGGGTATATGGGAACTCTCTGTACTATCTTCACAACTTTTCTATAAGTCAAAAATTACTTTAAAAGAAAAAAAGCCCTTCTTGTTCACAATATGTCCATATACAAGGACATTTATTAAAAACATTAGCATGTATTCCCTTTGGGGAAGGGGAATAATAGTGATTATAAGAATACAGTGCAAAACAATGAATGAATCAATCAACCATCAATAGAAATAAGAGGAGGGCATTGCACAGACCAGCAATGACAATGTGCATGATTGAACTGAATGCTCATCAAGTCAAGTTTTGTATTAAAAAATGGAACCTTTGGGGGGCTAGGGGTAAGCTTAGAGATTTTCACACTGCCCCTTCAACACTTCAGTAGTGATAATTTCTGCTGTTTTAAACCTTGAGATACAAATAAATAAAGTTAGTGTCAGCTTTGAGTTCTCTTGTACCACCAGAGCCAAAGTGCAGGGTGCACAGTGCAGGGTGGACTGTAACGTTGCTGCTTTAGCTTCACTGCACTTCACTTCACTTTTTTTGATGGCTATAATTAGATTCCCTACTTCTCACACTACTGATAATTGCAGCCACTCAGGGCGGGTGTAGATGTGGATAGAGTGATGGGAGAAGTGTGGTGATTCCTGAAAGGTATTTGTGTAAGATACTGTCCACATTGAACCCAGTATAAAGCAATAATAAGTAGGTCAGCATTTAAAATTCAGTGCTAGCAAAAGAAACTAGCATCAGAGTGAACAGACAACCTACAGAATGAGAGAAAATTTTTTCACTATACCCATCTGACATAGGTCAAATATCCCGAATCTTCAAGGAACTTAAATAAATTTACAAGAAAAAAACAACCCCATCAAAAAGTGAGCAAAGGATATGAACAGACACTTCTCAAAAGAAGACATTTATGCAGCCAACAACATATGAAAAAAAGCTCATCATCACTGATCATTAGAGAAATGCAAATCAAAACCACAATGAGATATCATCTCACACCAGTCAAAATGGTGATTATTAAAAAGTCAAGAAACAATAGATCCTGGCGAGGCTGTGGAGAAATAGGAATGCTTTTACACTCTTGGTGGGAATGTAAATTAGCTCAACT
Source organism: Homo sapiens (assembly GCF_000001405.40). Taxonomy (NCBI): domain Eukaryota; kingdom Metazoa; phylum Chordata; class Mammalia; order Primates; family Hominidae; genus Homo; species Homo sapiens. The sequence continues at coordinate 22,874,766 of NC_000020.11, read as the reverse complement.
ATTGTGGAAGACAGTGTGTCAATTCCTCAAGGATCTAGAAGGATTCCTCAGGGATTCCTCAAGGATCCAGCAATCCCTTTACTGGGTATATACCCAAAGGATTATAAATCATTCTACTGTAAAGACACATGCACACGTATGTTTATTGCAGCACTGTTCCCAATAGCAAAGACTTAGAGCCAACCTAAATGCCCATCAATGATGGACTGAATAAAGAAAATGTGGCACATATACACCATGAAATACTATACAGCCATAAAAAAGAATGAGATCATGTCCTTTGCAGGCACATGGTTGAAGCTGGAAGCCATCATCCTCAGCAAACTAATGCAGGAACAGAGAACCAAACACTGCATGTTCTCACTCATAAATGAGAGTTGAACAGTGAGAACATGTGGACACAGGGAGGGGAACAGCACACACTCGGGCCTGTTGTGGGGTGGGGTCAAGGGGAGGGAGAGCATTAGGACAAATACCTAATGTGTGCAGGACTTAAAATCTAGATGACAGGTTCATAGGTGCAGCAAACCACCATGGCACGTGTATACCTATGTAACAAACCTGCACATTCTGCACATGTATCCCAGAACTTAAAGTAAAAAATAAATAAATAAATAAAAATAAATAAATAAAATTCAGTGCTCAGATTCTGAGGGACACTTTGACTGATACAATAAGTTACATTTTCTGTGGGCATAGAGCTATAAAACACATAAGCCTTTTCATAAATGATGCTCATTTATTTTCTGTTTCATTTGTTTGATGGGAATTTGCCAGATAAATAAGAGTTTGTCTCTCTTTACTTATTCTACCTCAATTTGACTCTCATGTTTTGTAGTTGTATGGTTATTAAATATTAAGAAAAAAGGTGATCTTAACAAAAAAAGATGTGTAATAATTGGGTCTATTTCAAAATTAAGAAAATTAATAGCTTTAGGCTAAAACTCCATTCTCAAATGAAGCTTTTGAAAAATATTCTTTTGTCACCACCAGGCCTGCCCTAAAAGAGCTCCTGAAGAAAGCATTAAACATGGAAAGGAACAACTGGTACCAGCCACTGCAAAAACATGCCAAATTGTAAAGACCGTCAAGGCTAGGAAGAAACTGCATCAACTAATGAGCAAAATAACCAGCTAACATCATAATGACAGGATCAAATTCACACATAACAATATTAACCTTAAATGTAAATGGGATAAATGCTCCAGTGAAAAGACACAGACTGGCAAATTGGATAAAGAGCCAAGACCCATCAGTGTGCTGTATTCAGAAAACCCATCTCACAGGCAGAGACACACATAGGCTCAAAATAAAGGGATGGAGGAAGATCTACCAAGCAAATGGAAAACAAAAAAAGGCAGGGGTTGCAATCCTAGTCTCTGATAAAACAGACTTTAAACCAACAAAGATCAAAAGAGACAAAGAAGGCCATTACATAATGGTAAAGGGATCAATTCAACAAGAAGAGCTAACTATCCTATATATACATATGCACCCAATACAGGAGCACCCAGATTCATAAAGCAAGTCCTTAGAGACCTAGAAAGAGACTTAGACTCCCACACAATAATAATGGGAGACTTTAACACCCCACCGTCAACATTAGACAGATCAACGAGACAGAAAGTTAACAAGGATATCCAGGACTTGCACCAAGCTGACCTAATAGACATCTAAAGAACACTGCACCCCAAATCAACAGAATATACATTCTTCTCAGCACCACACTGCACGTATTCCAAAACTGACCACATAGTTGGAAGTAAAACACACCTCAGCAAATGTAGAAGAACAGAAATTATAACAAACTGTCTCTCAGACCACAGTGCAATCAAACTAGAACTCAGGATTCAGAAACTCACTCAAAACCGCTCAACTACATGGAAACTGAAAAACCTGCTCCTGAATGACTACTGGGTACATAACAAAACGAAGTCAGAAATAAAGATGTTCTTTGAAACCAATGAGAACAAAGACACAACATACCAGAATCTCTGGGACACATTCAAAGCAGTGTGTAGAAGGAAATTTATAGCACTAAATGCCCACAAGAGAAAGCAGGAAAGATCTAAAATTGACAACCTAACATCACAATTAAAACAACTACAGAAGCAAGAGCAAACACATTTAAAAGCTAGCAGAAGGCAACAAATAACTAAGATCAGAGCAGAACTGAAGGAAATAGAGACACAAAAAAACCCTTCAAAAAAATCAATGAATCCAGGAGCTGGTTTTTTGAAAGGATCAATAAAATTGATAGGCCGCTAGCAAGACTAATAAAGAAGAAAAGAGAGAAGAATCAAATAGACGCAATAAAAAATGATAAAGGGGATATCACCACCAATCCCACAGAAATACAAACTACCATCAGAGATTACTATAAACACCTCTATGCAAATAAACTAGAAAATCTAGAAGAAATGGATAAATTCCTCGACACACACACCCTCCCAAGACTAAACCAGGAAGAAGTTGAATCTGAATAGACCAATAGCAGGCTCTGAAATTGAGGCAATAATTAATAGCTTACCAACCAAAAAAAGTCCAGGACCAGATGGATTCACAGCCGAATTCTACCAGAGGTACAAGGAGGAGCTGGTACATTCCTTCTGAAAATATTTCAATCAATAGAAAAAGAGGGAATCCTCTCTAACTCATTTTATGAGGCCAGCATCATCCTGATATGAAAGCCTGGCCGAGACACAACAAAAAAAGAGAATTTTAGACCAATATCCCTGATGAACATCGATGCGAAAATCCTCAATAAAATACTGGCAAACCGAATCCAGCAGCACATCAAAAAGCTTATCCACCATGATCAAGTGGGCTTCATCCCTGGGATGCAAGGCTGGTTCAACATATGAAAATCAAAAAACATAATCCAGCATATAAACAGAACCAACGACAAAAACCATACGATTATCTCAACAGATGCAGAAAAGGCCTTTGACAAAATTCAACAACACTTCATGCTAAAAACTCTCAATAAATTAGGTATTGATGGGACATATCTCAAAATAATAGCAGCTATCTATGACAAACCCACAGACAATATCATACTGAATGGGCAAAAACTGGAAGCATTCCCTTTGAAAACTGGCAAAAGACAGGGATGCCCTCTCTCACGACTCCTATTCAACATAGTGTTGGAAGTTCTGGCCAGGGCAATCAGGCAGGAGAAGGAAATAAAGGGTATTCCATTAGGAAAAGAGGAAGTCAAATTGTCCCTGTTTGCAGACGACATGATTGTATACCTAGAAAACCCCATCGTCTCAGCCCCAAATCTCCTTAAGCTGATAGGCAACTTCAGCAAAGTCTCAGGATACAAAATCAATGTGCAAAAATCACAAGCATTCTTATACACCAGTAACAGACAAACAGAGAGCCAAATCATGAGTGAACTCCCATTCACAATTGCTTCAAAGAGAATAAAATACATAGGAATCCAACTTACAAGGGATGTGAAGGACCTCTTCAAGGAGAACTACAAACCACTGCTGAACAAAATAAAAGAGGACACAAACAAATGAAAGAACATCCCATGCTCATGGGTAGGAAGAATCAATATCGTGAAAATGGCCATACTGCCCAAGGTAATTTACAGATTCAATGCCATCCCCATCAAGCTACCAATGACTTTCTTCACAGAATTGGAAAACACTACTTTAAAGTTCATATGGAACCAAAAAAGAGCCTGCATTGACAAGTCAATCCTAAGCCAAAAGAACAAAGCTGGAGGCATCATGCTACCTGACTTCAAACTATACTACAAGGCTACAGTAACCGAAACAGCATGGTACTGGTACCAGAATAGAGATATAGATCAAAGGAAAAGAACAGAGCCCTCAGAAATAATGCCACATATCTACAAACATCTGATCTTTGACAAATCTGACAAAAACAAGAAATGGGGAAAGGATTTCCTATTTAATAAATGGTGCTGGGAAAACTGGCTAGCTATATGTAGAAAGCTGAAACTGGATCCCTTCCTTACACCTTATACACAAATTAATTCAAGATGGATTAAAGACTTAAATGTTAGACCAAAAACCATAAAAACTCTAGAAGAAAACCTAGGCATTACCATTCAGGACATACGCATGGGCAAGGACTTCATGTCTAAAACACAAACAGAAATGGCAACAAAAGCCAAAATTGACATATGGGATCTAATTAAACTAAAGAGCTTCTGCACAGCAAAAGAAACTACCATCAGAGTGAACAGACAACCTACAGAATGGGAGAAAATTTTTTCAATCTACTCATCTGACAAAGGTCTAAATATCCAGAATCTACAATGAACTCCAACAAATTTACAAGAAAAAAACAAACAACCCCATCAAAAAGTGGGCAAAGGATATGAACAGACACTTCTCAAAAGAAGACATTTATGCAACCAAAAGACACATGAAAAAATGCTCATCATCACTGGCCATCAGAGAAATGCAAATCAAAACAGCAATGAGATACCATCTCACACCAGTTAGAATGGCGATCATTAAAAAGTCAGGAAACAACAGGTGCTGGAGAGGATGTGGAGAAATAGGAACACTTTTACACTGTTGGTGGGACTGTAAACTAGTTCAACCATTGTGGAAGTCAGTGTGGTGATTCCTCAGGGATCTAGAACTAGAAATACCATTTGACCCAGCAATCCCATTACTGTGTATATACCCAAAGGATTATAAATCATGCTGTTATAAAGACACATGCACACGTATGTTTATTGCAGCACTATTTGCAATAGCAGACTTGGAACCAAGCCGAATGTCCAACAATGATAAACTGGACTAAGAAAATGTGGCACATATACACCATGGAATCCAACCAGCCATAAAAAATGATGAGTTCATGTCCTTTGTAAAGACATGGATGAAGCTGGAAACCATCATTCTCAGCAAACTATCGCAAGGACAAAAAACCAAACACTGCATGTTCTCATTCATAGGTGGGAATTGAACAATGAGAACACATGGACACAGGAAGGGGAACATCACACACTGGGGCCTGTTGTGGGGTGGGGGGAGGGGGGAGGGATAGCATTTGGAGATATACCTAATGTTAAATGATGAGTTACTGGGTGCAGCACACCAACATGGCACATGTATACATATGTAACTAACCTGCACGTTGTGCACATGTACCTAAAGCTTAAAGTATAATAAAAAAAAATAAATAAAAATATTGGGTTACTTGAAAAAATTTAAACACTCATTCAAAAACTCGTTTTAGGTTTATAAAAAAATTGCACAGAAAGTAGGGAGAGTTTCCACATACCCTCTCCCCACCCCGGAGTCTTCTTTATTAATATCTTGCATTAGTGTGGCATACGTATTACAAATGATGAGTCAATGTTGATACTTTTTTTTTTTTTTTTTGAGACGGAGTCTGGCTTTGTCACCCAGGCTGGAGTGCAGTGGCACGATCTTGGCTCACTGCAAGCTCTGCCTCCCAGGTTCACGCCATTCTCCTGCCTCAGCCTCCCAAGTAGCTGGGACTACAGGTGCCCACCACCACGCCCAGCTAATTTTTTTTTTTTGTCCTTTTAGTAGAAACGGGGTTTCACCATGTTAGCCAGGTTCGTCTCTATCTCCTGACCTCGTGATCCACCCACCTTGGCCTCCCAAAGTGCTGGCACTATAGGCATGAGCCACCATGCCTGGCGGATACATTATTATTTTTAAAAGTCCATGGTTTACATTAGGGTTTGTTCTTTGTTTTGTATAGTTCTATAGGCTTTAGAAAATGCATAATGTCATGTATCTAACAATACCATAATCATTTCCCTGCATTAAAAATCCCCTGTGTTCCATCTACTTACCTCTCCAACTCTCTCCCCAAATGCCTGGAAAATTAACTTTTCAGGGAAATCACTTTTATTATAGATAATGGGCCTGTGTAATAAGTTTTATAAAAATTTTTAAAACCCTATAATTTTAATTTTTTTAGAAATAAAGTATTATTTCAACAATAAAGCAGTATGCATACATACTACAAAATATGTACAAGATCTATATGTTAAAAAACAAAGTACTGTTGAAAGAAATCAAATTTATATCCACACACAAATCTGCACATGAATATCTATAACATCTTTATTCTTATTTGTTAAAACTTGGAAGCAAGTAAGATATTCTTCAATAGTTGAACAGATAAACAAATTGTGGTTTATAATGTGTGATACATTCATTTCATACAATAAAATATTACTCAGTGAACTGTGTAACAAGGTCCCAAGATACAAGGTCAACATCACATGATAAATCCTCTTAGTGTTTGCTTGTCTGACAAAATCTAGTTCTCCTTCACTTCTGAAGGATAATTTTACTGGATGCAGAATTCTAGGTTGGTGTGTGTTTTTTATTCCCCCCAAGAGTTTCAGTATTTAGTCCACTCTCTTTTGGTTTGAAATGTTTCTTAAAATAAATCTGATATAATTATTTTTCTTGTTTCTTTGTAGGTAATGCTGTCCCACCTCCCACCTGGCTTCTTTGAAGGTTTTCTTTTTGTTTCTGATTTTATGCAGTTTGAATATGATATGCCTAAGTATAGATTTTATTGGTATTTGCCCTGCTTGATATTCTCTGAGCTTCCTGGGTCAGTGGTCAGTGTCTGTAATTAGTTTTGGAAAATTATCAGCCATTATTACTTCAAATATTTCTTCTCTTCATTATTTCTTTCTTTTTCCTTCCTCTGATATTCCCATTACATGCATGTTACATCTTTTGAAATTGTTCCACGGTTCTTGAATGTTTTATTCGTTTTCCTTTCATTCTTTTTTCCCTTCCTTTTTAGTTTGGGAAGCTTTCTAGTACCATGTGTTCAGGCTTACAGATTCTTTTGTCAGCCACACCCAGTCTACTGATGGGTTCATCAAAGGCATTCTTCATTTGTGTTACAGTGTTTTTTATTCATTGCATTTAACTTTAATTTTTTTTAGCGTTTCCATCTCTCTGCCTACATTATCTATTTGTTCTTGTACATTGCCTAATTTTTTTTACAAGAGCCCTTAGCATATTATCATAGTTATTTTAAATTCCTGGTCTAATAATTCCAAAATCTCTGCTGTATCTGGGTCTGGTTCTGATGCTTGTTCTTTCTCTTTGGACTGGGCTTTTTAATTTTGTTTTGAGTTTTGTCTTTTAGTATGCTTTGTAAATTTTTGTGTTGAAAGCAAAGATGACATATTAACTAAAAGAAACAAATAAATAGGCTTTGAGTGTGGGGTTTTAAAATTCATCTGACTAGAAGTTAGGATGTCTTTTATTTGCTTCAGTTGTAGGTGTCAGAGGCTAAATATTCCCTGATGTCACTTTTTGGGTATCCCTTGTTGTCTTTCTGTTTCCCCAGAGACTTCTTTTTTTAAAAAATATGGTCCGACATTAACAGTTTTTTCAGCTGTTATCTTCTGTTATTCACTGGAGCCCTATTGAAGTGGTGGTAAATTGTGTGGAGAGAGGAAGCTTTCTGTAATCCTATGATTAGATCTCAGTCTTTTAGTGGATCTGTGCCTCTGAGTTGTTATGTGCACAAATGCTTCTCAGCTCCCCTCACCCCCTTAGATAGAACAGTGAGGTTAGAAGGGGCTAGAGTTGGATATTGCCCTTAATCCATGTTGAGTAAGGCTCTGATAAAACAGTTTTTGTTTTGTTTTGTGTTGTTTTGAGGGCAGGTCTTTGTTATGGAGAACAGAATACTCCGGGCATATTTCCAAATGGTTACTTTTCCCTTCTCCCAATGGAATTAGGAAGAAAATATTCTCTGATCTTCACTCTGAGAACATGGTGAAATTCCTGGGGATCAGATTCATGAAAGTGTGGGTCCCCATAAGGCTGGGTCTCCAGGAGAAAACTCTCAGACGTCAGCAATTAGTCTATTACCCTTTAAGTTTTCCTGTGAGTCACTGGCTGCAGCAGCACTCTCTTCTCCCAGTAAGCTATGATTCTCTTTATTTGCTTGCCTCTACAGTTTTGGGGACAGCATTCGCCCTGTGACATTAATATTCTGTTGAATCTTAGAAGAGAGTTGATTTTCAGTTTATTCAGCTTTTTCCTTTTGTAAGGACAGAAATGATGACTACCAAACTTCTTATATGCCATCAGATTAGAAGGATTATTTTTTTAAGATAAGAAATAAAATGAAGAAAACCTCAACAGTATTCATCATCACAAAATCATTACTTTTTTGTATATGAAAATCTTAACTAAATACAAGTAAACTACTGAGCAGTGAGAGGTGAGAATATAAGAAAATTTATTATGGATTGTGCCAATATAGAATAAAATTAAATAGGATCTGAAACCTAAATTTTGAAAGAGTAATGAAAGAATAGTGAGCAAAACTTGATTCAAAAGAATCATATGACATTTCAAATATTACATTCATCTCCCCACACACTTGACACATGAGGAACTAAGACAATGGGAAATGAAATGTATTGGCCTGGACAGAAAAGTTTTTAGGAACATATACCCAGGTAGGAACATTGGCCACTCATGGACTCTCCTGCTCCCCAAGCAAACTCTGAAACTGATCTTGAGCTTACTCTTGTTTCTACTATATTATAGTGGATCCAGTAGTTCATGTAATGTCTTTATGTATCTGTCCCTCTCTCACCTTTGTGTTGTTTTCCTGTGTTGACTTCATTCTCAGGAATGCTTTTTCTATGGAGGCAAAACTGCTATTTTCATTCTCTGTCTATATAAATAAATGTATGCCTCCCTGTCTCCCAGTGCCCCTTTTTCTCTCTCTCCCTATTTATGCACTCATCCATCCATCCACCCATCATCCACATGTTTGACTGCCTCTCAGTCCCATGGTCACTCAGTCTTTCTCTCTTTTTTCTTATCTTTCCCTGTTCATCCTCTGTTGAGAAAGGAATTGATGGAGTGACAAAGACTGACAAAGATGGGTCTGGTGGGTCTTATGGTGAAGAGTGCTAAAACATCATGTCAGGAATCAAATTACTACATTTTTATAACTTGGGATGCCAGTTCTATTTACAATAAATATGTTTTTATCTGTATTTAATTTATTGTGTGCACTGGAACCAATTTATGCACACAGCTTGCTCTCATGTGTTTTGTACTATTTTGAGATCAAGTGTCATACCTTGAAATGTAAACTCACACCAGAGGAGCCTGATGTAGCCCAGCCCAGCCGTGGGCACCAAGTCAGCTCAGGTTCATACACTACAGGATTATTTTCCTTACTGCTTAACTGTCTGCCATGGTGTCCAACACCTGCCTAACAGCCTCTTGGGTCACCAGAGTCGGGATATTACCTCCTGCTTTCATGCTTTAAGCCTGGTGTACCTTGAGGATGCATTTAGCCCTCTGTAGCTGCCATATTCACTCTACCTGTGGTCACTCTGTCTCATTTCAAAATGTATATTTTATCCCTACATAAACTACAGTGCAAGAAAGGATCTTATTTTGCTATTTTTGGACATGGTTTTCTGGAATTCCATGAAAGTCATTTTGCAGTGACTTCCCTCATAGAACTGTAAGATTCTCATCTAACTCCAGAGTCACTGCATACCTGACTCATGAAGACCTTTTCTGTCTGCATGAGCCCCTTAGATGCTCCTTCTATTGAACTCAACCTGAGTTTACCTTCCACTCTGGACATGGGTCAGGGCTCTGATTCTACCCTCCAGAGGAAGGGCAGCCCCTGCTGCCCCTGTTCCATTTCTTGGCAGCTATTTGGGGTGCATGGTGTGTGGTGTTTGCTATAGAAGGATGCCACTGAAAGGTTCTTCTAAAGAGACTAGGGGTGGCATTGCTGAAGCCAGGAAACTCTCTTAGGGGTGGTATTTTAGTTTCTTTTCCATAGCAAGGCCTGAATAAAGGCCTGCATGAAGGGTAATCTTACATGTCTTCCCTCCCTTCTTTGTTTTTATTTTAAAATTTCTTAAAGAGATAAAACATTTTTCACAGGTCAATTTTCCTAGAAGCAAAGCCCAAGGTAAGAATTATTTTGAATTATTTACTAAATGAGCATTTTAGGAGAAGAGATAGGAAAGAAATGAGGTGGGGCAGAGGAAAGGGCCAGGTGAAAATGTGGTGTTGCTGGGGTCTAATCTCAGCGTGACCCTACATGTAGCATGACAGCACTATAGGTTTATCCCACTTCAAAGCAAGGGGACCAGTCTTTTGTATTCCTGTGTCAGATACCAATGGATGTGTATGCTGCCTGATATTTCAGGACAAGTGGAAACCATTGGCCAAAGGCAGTTCTTCAGAAAAGTATGCAGCTGTGAAATGTTAGCAGCCCACATGCCCAGCAATTGGGGATGAGTGCAGGGTCCTGATAAAGGAATCTGGGTTAACACAGGACAGGGCACAAATTACTGTTAGGAGAACCCTGCTTTCTTGCTTTTTTTTTTCTGTTATGCCCTGAGAACTTCTGTGCATGTAACGTGTCCTTGTGGAATAAAGGTTCATGAGCTCAGAGACTTTACATCTGAAAATCAAAACAAAATCTTTTTATGTCAAGGGTTGCCCTGCTTGTCCCCATCATGCCCAAGATAGTGGTGGACGCAAGGCGGTAACCTTAAAGTGTGTGTTGTTGAGTGGCTAGTGCACTTGAAGGAGAATGGCTCAATAACATCTCCAGAGCAGCTGTACATCCCAGTGGGTGGGGGGCAGTGGAGAGGTCATGGGGAGACAGTGGGTGGTCTTGCACAGAAAGTAACATGAAACTCTCAGTCCTGCCGACCACGAAATTCATTTGCAGCTCAGGGTCCAGCCAGTTTATGCTTCTTCACATCAAAACGTTTCAGACACAGCCAGGATCATGGAAAAATCATTGCAAAACTTGAGAGCCTTTAGTTTCAAGCAGCCAATTCCAGGAATATCCACAGGCAGCTGGCATTTTGCAGAGCATTAGGGGGAGCAAATCACTGGAGAAATTAGTTTACAAACTTTTTTTTTCAAAGTGAATGCAGAGCATAGTCATAGTCAGAGAATAAGGACTTTTTGCATACAATAATAATGTCCTTGAAAAAGCAATATAACAGCCCAATAAAGATCAAGGTGGGCTAAGAAATACATGGGGTTCCTACAAGAACAGAACAAAAATAAGTGAAAGACCAACTGAATAAGGATGGAAATTTCTGTGTCTAGGAAGAAATAAATGCTTTCCACAGAGCTCATTAGAGTCACCTTTTGCAGTTATTGAGCATATTTGTGTTTAAATTAATTGGATGGTGAAAAACACATGGCACATTTCCCTAATTCAGATAGCATAAGATGAAAGACAAAGAACCAACTCAATAACAGATTTTTTTTTCAAGAGAGGAGCATGACATAAAATGTAAACTCTGAGGGTAAGATGCATCTCAATTTCAGGAATATGAAGAATGTGAGGGTGGAAGGGAAGGGTGTGTGTTGGAATCAAAATGTGGGAATACAATAGTTTTCTTTCTGAAGTGCAAGTTTAATAATGCTCTAAAGTTTTATTATTTCACAGTATTTGCAGGTAAAGAAAATATGTAACTTGTTTTTTCCTCACCTGAGTATTATAGGAAGGATCCTAGTGTCAGGACTGGCCAAAAACAGGGCAGAGTCTCATTTTTTTCAAGGCCTATTCCTGTCTGGACTTTTGTCCATTAGAATGGGACAATAGCCATTTTCGTGTTTGGCATCTTCATGCAGGCGTCAGGAAGCTGAATTACAAAAAGGAGCTCAGAGCCAAAGAGACCTGAGAGCCTGCCCTGGCCACGGCAGCTCTTGAGGTCTTTGGTTTTCCAGGAAAAGACGTCGCGTGGGCCCGGGAGGCTGCGCTTCCAGGAAGGACCCTTATTATAAAGTTTAAAGGCAGGGGCTGCCGTTCCACATTCCTTAAGCTAAATTCACACTTGGGACCTTCAGCAGTGAATATGTATTTCCTTAGAAATCCCTGGGGTTATAATATTTATAGCCAGAGGTGGGGCTGTTCCATCTGGGAGGGTGTCTGATCCTTCAGCAGAGTTGAAAACCAATGTATACCCAGAGCGCATCCATCTTCATAACCACCCTGCAGGTTTGTACGAACAGGAAGAACAAAGGGCTTGACCAAATACTTATTGTGAATTTTCTGTGTGTTTAATGATCATCAGCTGTTGGTGAAAAAAATGAATAAATATTCAAAGCACTTTCAAGTTTTAATTATCTGTGTGAAGCCAAAGGAGTAAGGAAACCACAGTCCTTCAATTAAACACTCACAGGTAACCCAAACCTGTCACCTGTTCACTTTTCTGCCAAGATTTTTCTATACTGATTGCCTCAGGTGTGAGTGTGAATTGTGGAAAATGTCTAAAATGGAGCCATTAAGCACATCAGTACCAAGTGCATTTGTCTTAAAATACAATTTTGACACCTACTCTGTAAGTCCCAGAATTGGCCTTGAAGGTGAAAGGCGAACCAGACATTGTCCACCTTTGTCACCCTGATGTGCGCAGAGGCTGAGGGGACCTCACTCTTTCTTGCTGAGCTAGAAAAAAATGTGTGCGAGTCCAGGGGAGGGTGCCGTTTTTCCATCCTTTTCAGAAAGGATATTGATCATATCCTTTTCCTTCGTGTCATCACAGGGGCGGCTGCTCCAGGAAACCCGGCTCCTCCTTGATGAGGCTCAGGAACATGATTCCAGGGCAATGCACACCACATCCTGCCCCTCCCTGCGCATCCCTGAGGCTTCAGCGCCGCTCCCCTGGCTCCAGGCACATCTTGCCAGAAGCCCCTCTGTCCTGCAAATCAGCAAGACTTGCCTGGTCTTTTGATGGTTGAAAGGGTTTTTTTTTTTATTTTTTGCTCTGCAGAACATAAACATTCTGCCTCCAGTGTGTGTGCTGCTGAATCTGCTCCCCACATTACTGTAAGAAAAATTGTCCCCAAATTTACATCTGTGCATTAAATGACTCAGTGGTTACCCATTGCTGCTATATAACTTAATACTGACCTCGAGGGGTTGTTGTTGGAATAAAAGAGGCCTGTGTGAGTCGGTGTAGCTCATAGTCGGCACGCACTAGTGTGACATCACCCTCTTTGCTCCAGCTTCATGACCGGCCTTGCTGTGTTCTGACACCACAACTTTCAGTTGCTGATAATTCAGACTTCATCCGGACTCCTGATACTCCTGCGCTCTTTCTCTGGGTTAAGGACCAGGATTGCAGAGGGCATCCTCAATGGAAAGAGAATGCAGGTGGCTATGAACCCTGCAAGGTGCATAAAATCAAATTTATGGGCATAGAAAACAAAAGGAAGGCTGGAGATGGTGGCCTGTTCTCTCCGTGTGGAAACCCTTTTGTGAGTCACTCTCATTACGCTTCAGTTCCTCACATGACAACATTCCCCAGCAGCAAAGCAAATGGGTTCTTCAGCAAGATGGTGCCTTGTTTTGATTACTGGGGATTACTTAAGCCATGAAGAATAGCTTCCATGCTAGTGTCAGTAATGAAAAAGCCGTGGAGATGATGTCATTATTACTTATTTTTGAGCCCCAGTAGAATATTTGTTATTTGTTAGAACACCAGACCACGTAGTTTCTTACCACAGGGACTTCCAGTCTCATACCGTGTATAATGCACTCACCGTGTACAGTACAATAAACCAGATGATATGTCGTAAAAAGGCGGTCATCCTTACTTGGAGTTTCCCACTGCTGATTCTATTAACATTCAGTACAGACCCTTCATTCCAAAGATAGGCATCATACTGTCAGAGCCTCTTAGCGTGTTTACCAAGCTTGCCACCAGCTCATCAGCCCCCTTAACTTCCAGGAGTGGATCTGAGGAGCTCTGTGGTTTGCTCATGGTTACCTCTCCACCCTGGCCATGGTTCATTGGGCTGTATGTGGACCCTCATGCAGCTGCGCCTGTCGGGGTCCTGTTCTGAGAGTTCAGGACGGGACTCAGATGCCCAATCTGGGCAAGTCTCTTAAATGGAAGGAGCAGGGTCACATCTTACACCCACCAAAGCTCTCTAAAATCAGAGAGAATAAATAAGATGTCCAGAGGGAGGCAGCCCTGGCTGTGTGCTTGGTTTTGATCCTTTATAAGACATGGTCTCAAGTCTGGAGATACAAATTTCCCCTTTCGACTTAAGCTAGCTCACAGTGGTTGTTCCTTGAAAACAGAGTCCTTATCCAGTGTCTCCCACCAGCTCCAAAGCTGGATGCAAGAACATGAGTTTGCTGGGTATGCACATGAGCCAATGGTGCCGCCAGACTCTTTGAGCCCTCGGTGGCCTACCGTGGGGCCCTCAGGACCATTGGCTCAGTCTTGCCTCCTACAAATAAATGTTAAAAGCAGGCCAGGAAAGTAGTAATCTATACATGGCCCAGCAGTTTGGAAGTAGTTTTGCCCAAATGTGTGGTAGCCTACAAAAATCTAAATGCTCAGGGGCCAAGCCACTGACACATTTTAGATTTCTGCCATACTCAGAGAAATGTCAGATGCTGAGGGCTTTTCGGTTGCCTGCATACATTGGACATTTATGGATTTCTCTGTCCCATGTCTTGCAGCTCTTACTACCCAAGCCCTGTATTTTTACCCCTTCTACTTGTTACCTAGTTTGATTATACTGCTCATTGAGTTAGAGAGAGAGAGAGATAGGGAGGAAGGGAAAGAAAGACTAGAACCCAAGATCCCCTACTCCCACTTCCCAATTAATTCATTATTTGCTCATTCAACACCTATTTTATTGTGTTTCTGCTATGAGTTTGCCACTGTACTGGGCCTCTTGGACATAGTGGAGAACAACATTGGTGAGGGTCTTGTTTCCATGGAGCTTCTACTCTAGTGGAGACAAATATTAAGCCAATCATTACTACACAGAGGGAGAAGGCAATTGGTCTAAACTGGAGTAGAATCCATTGGATAGAGAACTCCCTAAGGAAGTGAAGCTTAGGCCTGAGCTCTTAAACATGTACAGAATTAAGTGGGGCCAATATATTTGTGCAGGATGTGATGGAGTGGGCATTCCAGGCAGAAGAAACAGCATGTGCAAGGGCCCTGTGGTGGGAGATGGCACGGTATGCTCCAGAGTCTGTGAGAAGGCCAGTGTGGCTAACACAGAGATGTAGGGAGCAGAACGAGGGAGGCCAGGCTGGCAACAAATCCTGGCTGTACCCAGGCCATTGTCCATGCCAAGGATTCTGGCTTTTGGTCTAACAGTGGGAAAATGGAAAGTCACTGAACTGGTTTAAGCTGGGGGATGAAGAGAAAATGTGTGTGCCTGAAATGTGCCAAGGTCCAAGTAAGAAATAATTGCAGCTTTGACTAGGAAATAACTGTGGATGTAATGGGAAGGGGAGAGAATTCAGAGTTATTTGGGGGCAAAAGTGATTGGATTTAGAAATGGATGGTATATGGGGGATGAAAGAGAGAGAAGTGTCAAGGATGGTTCTCAGGTTCAGACTTGCAGGACTGATGCAAGCCCCTCCTGAGGCCACATGCTTCTCCCCACCACTCCCTCCACAGGCACAACAATGACATGCAAAATAAGAAAGACTGTCTGAAAGTGGATTAGTACACAGAGGACACCAGCCAGTGCACCAAATACCCAGCAGCCCCCAGGGAGCCCCAGCATGGGTGCAGGGCATGGAAAGGCTCTCCCCACCAACCCCATGTCCACCACTGTCTTTGCCTTGTGACCCTCTTTGGCCAAGGAGTTGAAAAGTGAGGGCAGCAGTTGTAAGGGGGTTTGAGCTGTCATGCAGGAGGAGAGTACCCCTAGCTCCCATAGCCACTGAGAGTGGATATGGCAACTTAGGAACCATTGTTAACATGATTCTCCGTGTTTCAATCCTGACCTAGGCCAAAGAGAACCACAGGCTCTGAGAAAGTCCAGAGTTGAACACATACTCTCAGCAGGTTGGATTCTGAGCCTTAAAATGTTCTTTTATTTTTCTCAAAATTCAGGATGTGGCTTTGAAAATAAACAGATAGGTATCCTATAAGAATTAACACAGCAAGAGCCTCAGAGATGCTTCACCCTGCAATAGCATCTAGAGCTGAAGGTGTGAGTTCAGACTTCTCCACCTCTGCCCCTGGGACTTAAACCCTGGCCACCAGTCCCCTGCACATTGGCCTTCACTGACTCCCTGAGCATACTCGACCGTTCCCTACCCCAGGGCCTTTGTACGCACTGCTCCCTCTGCCTGGAATGTCATTCTGCTCTTCGTACTGCTAACCCTTCTCAATCTCCTGGACTCAGCCTAAACATGCCAAACACAGAGAGGTTTTCCTGGACCATCTGACCGAAAGGAGTCTCTGCCCCCAACTCTGTCGCTCTCCCTTATCTTAGTTCTTATTTCTACTTGCCGAATGATAATCACAATTTTCAATTATTTTCTTCATTAGCTTATCTACTTTTGTGATTGGTGTTTTTATTTTATTTTTTTAGCTCTTTCACAGGGATGTAAACTCCAAAGGGCATGCATCTTGTCTCCCTGGATTACTGAGTGTGCACTCAGCACCCAGCACTCAATGCCTAGTGCCTAGTCCTAGGTCTCAGTGTTTGTTGAAAGAATGAGTGAATTAACACACTGATGAATGGGTGGGCAAAAGGATGAACAAGAGAAAGAACAAAGGAAGAAATGAACAAACCCAGCTCTACCCTCACCCATGCTATTATTCTGACACCAAGAAACTTAGCAACTGGTGAAAAGAGAAGCCCACAAACAGGTATTTGTGAGTGTGTTGATAGGATTATGCCCAGGGTGCTATGGGCACCAAGGAGGAACCTAATTATTTAGGTACAGATGTAATGCAATCCCAAATGTCAGGCAATCCCCATTTTCCTAGTGAGAAGATATTTTTAAAAGATGTTTTGAAAACCACACTAATTTGGTATATGTGAATAAAATAGTCAAAGGTACACTTGTAATATTTTGTTCATTAATTGCATTACAGATACATGTTTAAAGTCACATATTATCTAAAATATTAATGTCCGGTTACTGCTCTTCTTTCACACTTATATTTTATAAAATTATTTTTTAAGTCTTATTTTGAAACAAATATAGATACATAGGAAGGTGCAAGGAAATGTACTAGGGTAGTCCCACACATTCTTCCCCAGCCCTCTAGTAGTAACAACTTAAGCATCCATAGTGCAAAATTAACTGCAGGAATCGACATTTGTACAGTCTATAGAGCTTGTTCAGATTTTACTGGTTTTATATGCACTTATTTTTGTGTATGTGTATGTGTTGTGTGTGTATGTATTGTGACTGTGTGTAGCAATTTGCAGTTTCATCACATGTGCAGCTGAATGTAACCACCAACACAATCAAGAAACCCCTACACCAGGCTCCCTCCTTGTGCCACCCCCTTATAGGTGTTCCTACACTCTCCCTCCCACCCCAACCCCAGACAACAACCAACCCATTCTCCATTTTTATCGTTTTACTTCATGAATGTCGTATAAATGGAATCATGGAGTATGTCGCATGGAGTATGAAATGATTACCACACAAGCTAATTAATGTATCCATAGCCTCACATACTTACATGTGTGTGTGTGTCTATGTACTGTGAACATTTAAGATCTACTCTCTTAGCAATTTCAATTATACAATCCAGTCCTATTAACTGTAGTCACGAATGCTGTACATTAGGGCTCCAGAACATGTTCATCTTGTTACTGAAAATTTGTTATCTTTTGACCAATTATCTCCCCTTTTTCCCCACCCACTGCCCCTGATAGCCTCCATTTTACTCTGTTAATATGAATTTGACTTTATAAAAAAAAGATTCCATATATTAATACAAGTGAAATCATGCAGTATTTGTCTTTCTGTGTCTTGCCTATTTCACTTAGCATAATATTCTCCAGCTTCATCCAACAGTGTAAAAGGGTTCACATTTCTCCACATCGTCTCCAACATCTGTTGTTTCCTGACTTTTTAATGATCACCATTCTAACTGGTGTGAGATGGTAACTCACTGTGGTTTTGATTTGCATTTCTCTGATGACCAGTGATGATAAGCATTTTTTCATGTGTCTGTTCACTGCATAATGTCTTCTTTTGGGAAGTGTCTGTTCATATCCTTTGCCCACTTTTTGATGGGGTCGTTTGTTTTTTCTTGTAAATTTGTTTAAGTTCTTTGTAGATTATTGATATTAGCCGTTTGTCAGATGGGTAGATTGCAAAAATGCTCTCCCATTCTGTAGGTTGCCTGTTCATTCTGATGGTAGTTTCTTTTGCCATGCAGAAGCTCTTTAGTTTAATTAGATCCCACTTGTCAATTTTGGCTTTTGTTGCCGTTGCTTTTGGTGTTTTAGTCATGAAGTCCTTGCCCATGCCTGTGTGCTGAATGGTATTGCCTAGGTTTTCTTCTAGGGTTTTTATGATTTTAGGTCTAACATTTAAGTCTTTAATCCATCTTGAATTAATTTTTGTATAAGGTGTAAGGAAGGGATCCAGTTTCAGCTTTCTACATATAGCTAGCCAGTTTTCCCAGCACAATTTATTAAATAGGGCATCCTTTCCCCATTTCTTGTTTTTGTCAGGTTTGTCAAAGATCAGATGGCTGTAGATGTGTGGTATTATTTCTGAGGCCTCTGTTCTGTTCCATTGATCTATATCTCTGTTTTGGTACCAGTACCATGCTGTTTTGGTTACTGTAGCCTTTTAGTATAGTTTGAAGTCAGGTAGCACAATGCCTCCAGCTTTTTTTTTTCTTTTTTTGCTTAGGATTGTCTTGGCAACGTGGGCTGTTTTTTGGTTCCATATGAACTTTAAAGTAGTTTTTTCCAGTTTTATGAAGAAAGTCATTGGTAGCTTGATGGGGATGGCATTGCATCTATAAATTACCTTGGGCAGTATGGCCATTTTCACGATAATGATTCCTTTTATCCATGAGCATGGAATGTTCTTTCATTTGTTTGTGTCCTCTTTTATTTTGTTCAGCAGTGGTTTGTAGTTCTCCTTGAAGAGGTCCTTCACATCCCTTGTAAGTTGGATTCCTAGATATTTTATTCACTTTGTCGCAATCGTGAATGGGAGGTCACTCATCATTTGGTTCTCTGTTGGTCTGTTATTGGTGTATAAGAATGCTTGTGATTTTTGCACATTGATTTTGTATCCTGAAACTTTGCTGAAGTTGCTTTATCAGCATAAGGAGACTTTTGGCTGAGATGATGGGGTTTTCTAAATATACAATCATGTCATCTGCAAATAGAGACAATTTGACTTTCTCTTTTCCTAATTGAATACGCTTTATTTCTTTCTCTTGCCTGATTGCCCTGACCAGAACTTCCAACACTATGTTGAATAGGAGTGGTGAGAGAGGGCATCCCTGTCTTGTGCCAAGTTTCAAAGGGAATGCTTGCAGTTTTTGCCCATTCAGTATGATATTGGCTGTGGGTTTATCATAAATAGCTCTTATTATTTTGAGATACGTTCCATCAATATCTAGTTTATTGAGAGTTTTTAGCATGAAGGCTGTTGAATTTTGTTGAAGGCTTTTTCTGCATCTATTGAGATAATCATGTGGTTTTTGTCTTTGGTTCTGTTTATGTGATGGATTACGTTTATTAATTTGCATATGTCGAACCAGCCTTGCATCCCAGGGATGAAACAAACTTGATTGTGGTGGATAAGCTTTTTGATGTGCTGCTGGATTTGGTTTGCCAGTATTTTATTGAGGATTTCCACATCGATGTTCACAGGGATATGGGTCTAAAATTCCCTTTTTCTGTTGTGTCTCTGCCAGGCTTTCGTATCAGGACAATGCTGGCCTCATAAAATGAGTTAGGGAGGATTCCCTCTTTTTCTATTGATGGAATATTTTCAGGAGGAATGGTAACAGCTCCTCTTTTTACCTCTGGTAGAATTCTGCTGTGAATCCATCTGGTCCTGTAGTTTTTTTGGTTAGTAGGCTATTAATTATTGCCTCAATTTCAGAGCCTGTTATTGGTCTATTCAGGGATTCAACTTCTTCCTGGTTTAGTATTGGGAGAGTGTATATGTCCGGGAATTTATCCATTTCTTCTAGATTTTGTAGTTTATTTGTGTAGGGGTGTTTACAGTATTTTCTGATGGTAGTTTGTATTTCTGTGGGATCGGTGGTGATATCCCTTTATCATTTTTTATTGCATCTATTTGATTCTTCTCTCTTCTTTATTAGTCTTGCTAGCAGTCTATCAATTTTGTTGATCTTTTCAAAAAAGTAAGTCCTGGATTCATTGATTTTTTGAAGGGTTTTTTTGTGTCTCTATCTCCTTCAGTTCTTCTCTGATCTTAGTTATTTCTTGCCTTCTGCTAGCTTTTGAATTTGTTTGCTCTTGCTTCTCTAGTTCATTTAATTATGATGTTAGGGTGTTGATTTTAGATCTTTCTTGCTTTCCCTTGTGGGCATTTAGTGCTACAAATTTCCCTCTACACACTGCTTTAAATGTGTCCCAGAGATTCTGGTATGTTGTGTATTTGTTCTTATTTGTTTCAAAGAATATCTTTATTTCTGCCTTCATTTCGTATGTACCCAGTAGTCATTCAGGAGCAGGTTATTCATTTTCCATGTAGTTGTGTGGTTTTGAGTGAGTTTCTTAATCCTCAGTTCTACTTTGATTGCACTGTGATCTGAAAGACAATTTGTTGTGATTTCTGTTCTTTTACATTTGCTGAGGAGTGCTTTACTTCCAATCATGTGGTCAGTTTTAGAATAAGTGTGAGGTGGTGCTGATAAGAATGTGTATTCTGTTGGTTTGTGGTGGAGAATTCTGTAGATGTCTATTAGGTCCACTTGGTGCAGAGCTGAGTTCAAGTCCTGGATATCCTTGTTAACCTTCTGTCTCATTGATCTCTCTAATATTGACAGTGGGGTGTTAAAGTCTCCCATTATTATTGTATGGGAGTCTAAGTCTCTTTCTAGGTCTCTAAGGATTTGCTTTATGAATCTGGGTGCTTGTGTATTGGGTGCATATATATTTAGGATAGTTAGCTCTTCTTGTTGAATTGATCCCTTTACCATTATGTAATGGCCTTCTTTGTCTCTTTTGATCTTTGTTGGTTTAAAGTCTGTTTTATCAGAGACTAGGATTGCAACCCCTGCTTTTTTTTGCTTTCCATTTGCTTGGTAGATCTTCCTCCATCCCTTTATTTTGAGCTTAAGTGTGTCTCTGCACATGAGATGGGTCTCCTGAATACAGCACACTGAGCGGTCTTGGCTCTTTAACCAATTTGCCAGTCTGTGTCTTTTAATTGGGGCATTTATCCCATTTACATTTAACGTTAATATTGTTATGTGTGAATTTGATCCTGTCATCATGATGTTAGCTGGTTATTTTGCCCGTTAGTTGATGCGGTTTCTTCCTAGCCTTGATGGTCTTTACAATTTGGCGTGTTTTTGCAGTGTCTGGTACCGGTTGTTCCTTTCCACGTTTAGTGCTTCCTTCAGGAGCTCTTGTAAGGCAGGCCTGGTGGTGACAAAATCTCTTAGCATTTGTTTGTCTGTAAAGGATTTTATTTCCCCTTCACTCGTGAAGCTTAGTTTGGCTGGATATGAAATTCTGGGTTGAAAATTCTTTTCTTTGAGAATGTTGAATATTGGTCCCCGCTCTCTTCTGGCTGGTAGAGTTTCTGCCAAGAGATCTGCTGTTAGTCTGATGGGCTTCCCTTTGTGGGTAACCCAACCTTTCTCTCTGGCTGCCCTTAACATTTTTTCCTTCATTTCAACCTTGGTGAATCTGACAATTATGTGTCTTGGGTTGTTCTTCTCGAGAAGTATCTTTGTGGTGTTCTATGTATTTCCTGAATTTGATTGTTGGCCTGCCTTGCTAGATTAGGGAAGCTCTCCTGAATAATATCCTGAAGCATGTTTTCCAACTTGATTCCATTGTCCCCATCACTTTCAAGTACACCAATCAAATGTAGACTTGGTCTTTTCACATAGTCCCATATTTCTTGGAGGTTTTGTTCATTTCTTTTTACTCTTTTTTCCCTAAACTTCTCTTCTCACTTTATTTCATTAATTTGATCTTCAATCACTGATACCCTTTCTTCCACTTGATCGAATTGGCTATTGAAGTTTGTGCGTGCATCACATAGTTCTCATGCCATGGTTTTCAGCTCCATCAGGTCATTTAAGGTCTTCTCTACACTGGTTATTCTAGTTAGCTGTTCATCTAATCTTTTTTCAAGGTTTTTAGCTTCCTTGCGGTGGGTTTGAACATCCTCCTTTAACTCAGAGAAGTTTGTTATTACCGACCTTCTGAAGCCTACTTCTGTCAACTCGCCAAAGTTATTCTCTGTCCAGCTTTGTTCCGTTGCTGGTGAGGAGCTGTGAACCTTTGGAGGAGAAGAGACCCTCTGGTTTTTAGAATTTTCAGCTTTTCTGCTCTGGTTTCTACCCATCTTTGTGGTTTTATCTACCTTTGGTCTTTGATGCTGGTGACCTACAGATGGGGTTTTGGTGTGGATGTCCTTTTTGTTGATGTTGATGATATTCCTTTCTGTTTGTTGGTTTTCCTTCTAACAGTCAGGTCCCTCAGCTGCAGGTCCGTTGGAGTTTGCTGGAAGTCTACTCCAGACCCTATTTGCCTGAGTATCACCAGTGGAGGCTGCAGAACAGCAAATATTGCAGAACAGCAAATATTGCTGCCTGATCCTTCCTCTGGAAGCTTAGTCCCAGAGGAGCACCTGGCTGTATGAGGTGTCAGTCAGCCCATACTGGGAGGTGTCTCCCAGTTAGGTTACAGGGGGGTCAGGGACCCACTTGAGGAGGCAGTCTGTCCATTTTCAGAGCTCAAACACCATGCTGGGAGAACCACCACTCTCTTCAGAGCTGTCAGACAGGGACATTTAAGTCTGCAGAGATTTCTGCAGCTATGCCCTGCCCCTAGTGGTGGAATCTACAGAGGCAGGCAGGACTTGAGCTGTGGTGGGTTCCACCCAGTTCGAGCTTCCCTGGCTGCTTTGTTTACCTACTCAAGTCTCAGAAATGGCAGACGTCCCTCCCCCAAGGCTGAGTAATATTTCTTTATATATGTATACCACATTTTCTTTATCCATTCCTTTGTTGACAGACACTTCTTTCCTGCTTAGCTACAGTGAATAATGCTGCAATGAACATGAGTGTAAAATATCTCTTTAAGATTGTGATTTATTTCCTTAAGATATTTACCCAAATGTAGGATGGTTGGGTTACATTGTAGTTCTATTTTTCACTTTTTGAGAAACCTTCATACTGTTTTCCATAGCGATTGTAGCAATTTACATTTCTGCCAATAGTGCACAAGGATTCCCTTTTCTCTGCATCTTTACCAACACTTGTTATCTTTTGACAGTTTGATAATACCGTCTTAATAAGTATAAGGTGGTATCTCATTGTGGTTTTAATTTGCATTTCCCTGATGATAGTGATGTAGAGCATCTTTTCATATATATGTTGAACATTTGTATTCTTCTTTGGGAAAAAAATGTCTATTCAGGTCCTTTGCCCACTTTTAAATCTTTTTTGTTACTAAGTTGTATGAATTCCTTATATATTTTGGATATTAATCCCTTATCAGATATCTGGTTTGCAAATATTTTCTGCCATTACATAGGTTGTCCTTTCGTTTTGTCGATTGTTTCCTCTGCTGTGCAGAAGCTTTTTAGTGTGATGTGGTCCCAGTGGTCTATTTTTGCTTATTCTGTCTGTGCTTTTTGTGTCAAATCTAAAAAATTATTGCTCAAACCAATGTTGAGGATCTTTTCCCTTTGTTTTCTTCTATGAGTTTTAGAATCTTAGGCTTTATGTTTAATTCTTCAATACATTTTGAGTTGATTTTTGTGCATGGTGTCAGATAAGGGTCTAATGTCATTAATCTGCATGTGGACATCTTCTTGTCCTAAAATCATTTATTAATGAGATCAGCCATTCCCCATTGTGTATTCTTGCCATTCTTGTCAAAGATTAGTTGACCATGAATGTGTGGGTTTATTTCTCAGCTCTCTATTCTGTTCTGTTAGTCTATGTGTCTGTTTTTATGCCAGTACTATGCCTTTTTGATTACTATTGCTTTGTTATATAATTTGAAATTAGAAAGTGTAATACCTTCAGCTTCATTCTTGCTCATAGTTACTTTGGCTATTTGGGGTCTTTTGTGGTTTTATACACATTTTATAATTGTTTCCTATTTCTGTGAAAAATGTCATTGGCCTTTTGATAGGGATGGCATTGAATCTGTAGATTGCTTAGGGTAACATGGACATTTTAACAATATTAATTTTTCCTATCCATAAACAAGAATATCTTTCCATTTATGTATATCTTCTTCAACTTCTTTTATCAATGTTTTAAGTTTTCAAGGTGTAACCCTCCTTGGTTAAATTTATTCCTAAGGCTTTTCAAATGCTATTGTAAATGGGATTGTTTTCTTGATTTCTTCTTCAGAGTTCATTGTTAGTATATAGAAACACTACTGAGTTTTGTATGTTGTCTCCTATCTTGCAACTTACTGAATTCTTTTATTAATTCTAATGTGATTTTTTTTTGGTGGCATCTTTAGTCTTTTCTGTATTTAGAATCATGTCACTTGCCAACAGAGAAGACACAGTTTTACTTTTTTCTTTCTGGTTTGGGTGCCTATTATTGCTATTATTATTGCCAATTGCTCTGTCTAGGGCAATTGAATAAAGGTGGTGAGAGTGAGCATCCTTATCTTATTCCTGATTTTAAATGAAAACCCTTAAACTCTTTGCCATTGAATATGATGTTAGCTGTGGGCCTGTCACATAGGGTCTTTATTGTGTTTAGGGACATTCCTTCTCACCTTCTTTAAATGTAAACATTACTAATTAGTCAGTTAAGGCCATGAGGAAACCCTGTCCTAGTCTCTGTTCTCTTCCTTTACCCTGCCTGTGCAGAAAGAAGGTCACAGAGTATAACTGATGGTGCTGTTCAGGTCAACTATGCCCTCACTGATTTTCTGCCTTCTGAGTCTGTCTATTGCTGATAGAGTTATTGAAGTCTCCAACTAATAATACTGGATTTGTCTATTTCTCCTTGTAGTTCTATCAGCTTTTGCCTTGAATATCTTAGTATCCTGTTGGAAGCATGCATAGCAGGATTTTTATGTATCTGTGAAGAATTGATCCCTCTATCATTAGGCAATGACTCTCTTTAGTCCATGATAATCTTCCTTGCTCTTATGTCTATTTTGCCTGAAATTACTATAGCTACTCCCACTTTCTTTGGATTAGCATGTTATATCTTTATAACATGTTATAGGTAGCATGACATATCTTTCTCTGTCTCTTCACTTAAAACCTGAGACTTTATATTTAAAGGTTTCCTGTAGACACTATTTATCTGAATCATGGTTTTTAGTTCATTCTGAGTCTCTGTCTTTTCATTGGTGTATGTAGAATGCTCATATGTAAACTGATTATTGATATATCTGAATTAAAAATTACTTTCTATTCTTCCATTTGCTCTTGGTTCCTTTTTAAAGTTCTCCCTCAGATTTTTCTTTCTCTTGTTTTGATTAAGGATTTTAAATAATTCTATTTTAGCATACAAATTATAATTCTCTTAAAATTTTATAAGTAATTTGTTTGGAGTTTGTAATATACATTTACAACAATCTAAATCCACTTGGAAATAAAATTGTACCACTTCACAGGTAGTGCAGGCACCTTATAACAGAGTAATCCTAATTTCCTCCTCTGGTCCATTATAATGTTGCTGTTATTCATTTCAGTTATCCATATTATATAACTACCCAACACATTGTTGCTAGTATTACTTTGAACAAATAAGAATAAGATTCAGAATAAGAAAAATAAATGATTTTGTTTTATCTTGATTTATTCATTCTCTGATGCTCCTTTTTACGTAGATCTTAGTATTTGACTATGTCATTTTTTTCCTCTAAAGAAATTGTTTTAACTTTTCTTGCAGAGTAAGTCTGCTAGTGATACAACCTCTAATTTTTTTTTTTAACTTTTATTTCAGGTTTGGGGGTATGTGTGAAGGTTTGTTATATAGATAAACTTATGTCCTGGGGATTTGTTGTACAGATTATTTCATTTCAGTTATTTTTTCTGTTCCTCTCCCTCCTCCCTCCCTCCATCTTCAAGTAGATCCCAGTGTTTGTTGTTTCCTTCTCTGTGTTCATGAGTTCTCATCATTTAGCTTCCACTTATAAGTAAGAACATGCAGTATTTGGTTGTCTGTTCCTTCATTAGTTTGCCAAGGGTAATGGTCTCCAGGTCCATCCACATTTCACAAAAGACATGACCTCATTCTTTTTCATGGCTGCATAGTATACCATGGTATATATGTACCACATTTTTTTAATCCAGTCTGTCATTGATGGGCATTTAGGTTAATTCCACATCTTTGCTATTGTGAACAGTGCCACCATGAACATTCATGTGCATATGTCTTTATGGTCGAATTCTTTATATTCCTCTGGGTATATACCCAGTAATGGGATTGCTGGGTCGAATGGTAATTCTGTTTTTAACTCTTTGAGGAATCTTCATACTGCTTTTCACAGTGGCTGAACTAATTTACCTTCCACCAATGGTGTATAAGCATTCCCTTTGCTCCACAACCTCACCAGCATCTGTTATTTTTTTACTTTTTAATAATAGCCATTCTGACTGATGTGAGATGGTATCTCATCGTGTTTTTGATTTGCATTTCTCTAATGATCAGTGACATTCTCTGATTTTTTATTTGTCTGAGAAAGTATTTATCCTTCGTGCTGAAGGATAATTTTGTTGGATATAGAATTCTAGGTTGGTGGATATTTTTTCTTTCAACACTCTGAATATTTCACTGTACTCTCTTCTTGCTTGCACAGTTTCTAAAGAGAAGTCCAGTGTAATTCTGATCCTTGTTTTTCTATATGTAAGGTATCCTTTTTCTTCCGGCTTTTTTTAAGACTTTTTCTTTGTTTTTGATTTTCTAAGTAGTTTCCTTAGAGTTTGCAATATGCATTTACCACAATCTAAATCCACTTTCAAATAACACCATATCATTTCACATGTAGTGCACCATATAATAGAGTAACCCCAGTGTCCTCCTCTTGTCCATTATAAGGTTGCTGTTATTTATTATGGATATCCTTATACTATCACTACCCAATACCTTTTCTCTTATCTTTGGGCTTCCCTAAGAACTTGTTTTTAAATACAGTTTATACTTTGCAGCATTTCAACTATAAGCCACTGTTATTGCAATAGAGCTCTTTTGGTGTGGTGATAAAGTATTGGGGAGGAGGAGTGTTTTATAATCTTATGATTAAATCTCAGTCCTTTAGGCCTATGCCCTGGATGTGACTTCATATGGGCTTCTTAGTGTTTCCTCTTCCCCACTTAGATGAGACATGCTGAAGGGGGCTGGAACTGGAAAACTTCCCTCCCCCTGAGGTTATATGCTGCTCTGGTAAAGAATTTCCCTCTGCTGTGTTGGTCTTTGTTAGGGAGAAGCCTCTATCTGTAGGTGTATTTTCAATGCTTACTTTCCCTACTTCCTGTCAGAAACAAGTGGGTTTTTCTTGGCTTTTCACTCAAGTGGTGGGGCCCCTGGAGGTAAAACCCGTGAAAGTATAGGGATCCCCTAAGTCTGTGGCCCCCAGGAGCTTCTTACTCTAGTCTAGTCTAGTCACACTCAGCCTCCAGCAACCAATCAAAATGACCACTTAAGTGTCCTCCTAGCTTACTACTCCAGCAGCTTCTGCTTCGGGTAAGCATATCTTGGCTGTGACTTCCTGGGTGTGCCTCCCTCTTCACATTTCAGGGTGGAGGGTTTGCCCTGTGACCTCAATTCTTTAATGGGTCAAAGAAGCACTGTTGATTTTCGGTGTGTTCAGCCTTCTCTTGTTATAAGGGTGGGAGTGGTGATTTCCAAGCTCTTTGCATGTTGCAGCTGAATCCAGAAGTCCTTCACTTGGGTTTGTTTTGTTCCTTGAAGACCACTTAGAATGGAATTATTCCCACCCACCACAGTCTATACCTAAGGCTCAGTCTCTGCAAGCAACAAGAGGTTAACAACTTTTAGCTATCTCAGCAGGCTCATGGGCCCTTGGAGAATAAAGCTGGGTTGGCTCAAGCAGAAATGGAATGTTTGTGCTATTGAAGGTGAAGAAGGTCAATGTACTACGGCCTGAAGGGGAGATGGCTTCACGGGCAGGTGAGGACTGGGAAAAGCCACTATCTTGGGAACACTCCAGACTTCCTTGTGGTCAGGATGGGGTCAGAGAGCATGAGCCACTCCTGCTGGACTTCGGCAGGAGTAGGTGCAGCAGTACCCACTTTCAAGGCCGTGATTATGTCTAAAGGGAAGGAGATGCTGTCAGCAATTGTCACCATGACAACCATGAACTCATGCCCCTTATAGGGCCCTGAATTCCTGATGCTCATGAACAACCTCAGAGAGCAAAATGAACATATTAGAGTAAAATTAGCTTTCATTCGATTTAGAAAAAATGCAGAGATGTGGTATCTCTGCATCCTTCATCCTTAGTGTGTGATTGATTCATGCTTCTACATTCAAGTGGTACTTAGAAAATATTTTCTCTCCTACATATACTGTTCTGTTTATATCCCCTGTGTCCTGCATTGGTGTCCTTTTCCTACCAGAATTATAAATGCCTGCACATAGTTGCGTGGACTCCTGTCAAAAGTGAGTGGAATGGGAAATTCATGTGAGGAAGAGGGAGGCAGTTAAAACTCTATGGTGACAATACCTAATGGGGGTTAAAGTGTCCTTTGGGGAATGTGTTTGGGACAGTGTGAGGTAAGAACATGGCACAGAGAAGCAGACTGGCCCCCTCCCTGTTAGAAAATCTGAAGAACAAAGAAATTCCCCAGGTGGGTATTCCAGAAGGCATCTAATAAGAAGTGAGGCACAAACTGGGCAATGGTTGAATGTGAACCGCATCTAAATCCCCTACATTCTGTAGCAGGGCTCTACAATCCTACGTTCCCAGGGCAAAATCAGGACATTGTCCTTGGAATAATCAACACATCCTACACAACACCAGCTAAGGCCCAGCCGTGTTCATTGTACCTCTCTAGATAAATGCACACAGTGGCTATGGCTTTATTGGTCTACAAAGAGCTCATGCAATTACAGCTGCTGGTCCAGTATCCACGCCCTATGACTGAAGGGAAGAAGAGGTGATTGGGAGATTCTGCCATTATTAATGTGCGCGTGTGTGTTTAAAGCACAGAATGCCAGTAAATGAGCTTCTCTTTTACAAGCCTAGATGTCAAGTGTACTTTATTTGATAGGCACCATATAAATGCTAAAGGAAATTAAAATCCTGGAAAGAGCTGAGACTGCTAAATGCTTATCAATCCTAACCTAATTAGAGTTTAATGTGAAAAACCAAATTTATCTGAAATCTCTTAAATTGCACATGATTACACAAGGTTAAGCAAAAATAAATAAATAAATAACCACACAACTTCAAGAATCACATAATATATACTATGTAGTCCCCCAAATCCCCACACATAGACTGTCTTCCAACTGGCAAAGTGTGTCTTTTTGCTTTGAAATCAAATTTTTAGTGGATAGGTGTTAGTGAAATTGAGAATATTGCAAGTTATGCTAGTATAGTGGTTACACAGAGACACATTCATGTTTCTTTACATCATGGTTTGCCAAGTGCTGTCACATAAATCTCACTAATCCTCCAACTCTATGGCTTACATTTCTTAGAGAGGTAATAGAATTTTATGACAGTCAAATATTTTGCCACTTGAATCTCAAGATCTTACTTACAATTATATCACACAGGTCTGCTTCCTTTAAAAACTGCAATGCTGGTGTTATATGCACAATTTGTTTTAAATCTCAAACCAAACTTGAGAGGTTATTTCTCCCACTTACGAGTGAGGAAACTGCCCAAAGACCTCAAGTTCCTTCCCTGTGGTAACACGGCTTGTAAGGGACTGACCAGTACTGGAGTAGAAGCTGGCTCTCATTCAAAGGTATTTCTACCCCAAAATACTTTCTGTGTGTAAGTACGTATATGTAAACATGAGTCCTGTGCAGTGTTTTAGGAAGCCTCCCTAAAGTATAATAAATGAAATGGCATCAACCAAACATGGGAATGCTCATTCCCTGAGTACATGATATCAGGTTGTGGGCTTGACTCAGCAAGCAGCCTGCTGGGGAGAGGATGGGTGCACCCTCTGGTGCCAAAGAGGCCCAAGGTGCTCCTGTCCCCTCAAGAGGTCCCCAAGCCCTGCACTGTACCCGGGCAGTTCCATCTCAGGCTGTGCTTGCCACAGAAAGATGCACCCGAGGCTGCCTTCTGTAGCATCTTCGTTCCCATGAGGCTGCTCCCAGTGCTCACCACTGTCCCAAGTTCACAGGCATAGAGCTCTGAGTGGGTGAAGGCCCCCGGGGAGACCCTCTGTATGACTTTCCTAGGGCCACTTTAACTAAGTATCAAAAACCAGGAGGCTTAACACTGTGGAAATGTAGTCCCTCACAGTTCCAGAGGCCAGAAGTCCCATAGGGTGCTGGCAGGGTCACACTTTCTCTGACAACTCTAGGGTAGGACTCTTCCTTTCCTCTTCCAACTTCTGATGTTTGCTGGCAAACATTGGCATTCTTTGTTTTGTAAACCGATCACTCTAGTCACATGGCCACCTTCTCCCTGTGTGTCTTCATGACATCTTCCCTGTGTGTCTCTGTACCCAAATTTCCCCTTTTTAAAAGGACAACAGCATACTGGGTTAGGACACACCCTAATGATCTCATTTTAATTTAATTACCTGTGTAAAGACCCCATTTCCAAATAAGATCAAATTCTGAGGTTCTGGAGGGTCAAGATTCAACGCCTTTTTTGAGGAGGATAGCATTCAACCCACAACACTGTCCTTTCTGAACTCACGTCTGGAAGAACATCCCTGTCTGTCGAGAACTCTACCGATGCTTCCTTTCAGCAACTGTGGTTGATAAGAATGAAAACCAGGATCCACATAGTGGATCTTTTCTCTCATTCATCATTTGCTCAGTCTTTTCAACTTCACTTTATTGTGCACCTGAAGTTACAACTTAAAGTCAAGGTCCTGACTCATGAAGTGCAAAATGAACCGAGGCAGGAGGATAGCTTGAGCCTAGGAGTTTAAGACCAACTGGGCAACATAGCAATAACCTGTCTCTATTGAAATAAAAAATAAGAGTGAAAAAGTGAAGTTAGTAGTTATCACAGAGCAAGGCTGAGCTCTTGGTTCTTCATGACACCCTTTGCAAGTGCTCATTGCTAGGTCTCCATCCACACCAATCTGTGATGACACGATTCACAAGACATTAGAAGAGAAGCCAATGACTGCTCACACACAGCCTCCCTATCTATAAATTCAGGGAAAGAGTAGTTGATTCCAAATGCACCACGAAGCTTTTGCCTGAGGTCACAAAAGTAAACTTGAGGCATAGCCAGTGCTAGTAACCCAGGGTCTACCTCCAATTTTGCTTTCCTCCACTTCATTGCTAATAGGTCACAAAAAACTGTGTGCCACCCAGGAAAGTCAGGAGTGCCTTGCAATTGCAGAAGCTGAACATGAACAGGAACCTACGCACGGACAGCTCCTCCCCTGCACACCTGAGAAACCCTCTTCCTTCTGTTTCCTTGATTCCTGACTTGCCTTGGACCAGGGACGCTGGCCTCTTCACTTCCTCCAGAGCAGCTGCTCTTGCTATGTCCCTGTGAATGTCCCACTGTGGATTCCACTGCCCACCTGGACTGGGGGAGCAAGCCTAGAACCTGATCACACTGCCTGTTAGAATCAATCATGTCCCTGGCTCTGTGACTCCATCCTGCCCCATTACATGAGATGGCACGTGTGAGGCACATGTTAGGCGCCTGAGAAAGTTCAGCTCTTGTTGCTGTGGTGATGAGGATGTGACAGGCCGGATGTCCAGGTATTCTTGCATAATCACTTTCAAGATGTCACTTTGCCAATGAGCTCGCTGCCATCTCATGCTTTTCCCATTTGAGTAAGCCTATTTGTGTAGACAGTGCACATAGGCAGGCTGCCACCCATGCTCTGTGGCTTGTTACGTGTTTAATTTACATATTTAGGGCCCCATATTCAGTCACATTTTGACAGATGTTTGTGATTCTTGTAAAACCAACTCCATCCAGCCACCTTGCTCCCAGCCCTACTATCCAGGACTTTGGCTGTAGCAAAATTCTAGAGCTGTGCCTTGTGTTTGTATTACGTTTCACTTCTCTAAAATTTTCTCTTGTGATCTCATGCAGCATTTCTTTCTTGTCAATAACAGTCTCAGAGTCTAAGGTAGAGACAGAGCCAGGCTGTCTAGCTCCCCTATCTGGGCTCTTTCTAATACCACATACCCTTCCCACCCAGGAGCCCCTGTCTGTGCTGTTTTGCTGAGGGATGCCCAGGTTTATGAAACCATTACCCCAGTTGACTTATTAAGGGCACTCCTTTTAAATGATATGATCACTCAAGTTTTCTGACATTCTCAGTTAGGGCCCATTTGGGAGTCCCCGTAGAATCCACTCCAATCTCCTGGGTGGTATTTCTGGGCCTGACTTAATCTTCCAGGCCCATGGCTGTGTGTCAGGAGGAGTCCCTTCTCCCTGCCCATCAGCTGTGCCCTCTTGTGTTGATACTTCTCCTTTCCAGAGCCATCAGGGGTGGAGTGGGGAGAACAGAGAAGGAGGAGAGGAGTGGCAGGAGGGATAGGAGGAAAGTAAGATGAGAGCCAGAAGCAGAAGGGCCCCCATATGGGAGACAGCAGTTGGGGTGGGTATTCTGGGCAAGGGAAGCCCCTTCTCATCATCTACGCATCTCACTGCTTAGAAGCGCAGTGGCTGCTATTTGGCAGTGAGCTGCTTGTAGAGTTATTTGCAAAGGTTCAGTGTTTTTGTTATTTAAGGAGCTGCAAATAAACCTCCAAGGTCCTTAGCTCCACCATGAAACATGCAGGTGAGCATTCCCTCGACTTCACGTGTGAATGATGGCACGGATGGAAAAAAATGGAACAGAAGGTACTATTTTCCATTTCTGAGTAATTCAAGATGAGAAATGGCTCTTTGTCCAAAATCCCTTGCATGGGTCTACTGGTAATTCAGCAAACAGAGAATGTGCTGAAGATTACTTAGAAAGACCACCTGCCATCATTTCATGAAGGTTTGGAAATGTAGCTGATCATGTTGCCATAAAAACATCCTCGGAATAATGGGAGCCCTTTGAAGGCTTTTTTCTGCCAGATCCGGGGCATTTTCTATTAAAGACAAAACAGAACACTGACCCTTCCGGGTATGGTTTCTGACTTTTATAAATTGCTTGTTTGATTTTTAAAGGTTATTCCTACAAGCAGACTTGGTACTTTAGTTGAGCCTTCTCAAAAGAAATTAATCTCCCAATTTATAGAGTGGTTTGTGTTTGCAGTTTAGTCTTAGAGTAGAATGAGACCAAGTGTATGCATAGCTTCTCTAAAGTCAACAGAGCGGAGCCCCAGAGACAAATTCACAGTTGCAGGACAAATGAGAAGAGGAAAAACAGCTCCTTGCTTCCTTTCTGAGGATGAAGGAAGTCTTTGGCTTTAGACAAAATCCTGCTGCTTCTGACTGCAGCCCCCAGGCAAGGACTCAAGTCATAAATAAATGCCAACTTTATCAACACCAAAAACCACTGTGGGAGACCTTAAGATTCCACCAATAAAGCTCAAATCCTGTCAAGTACAATCCTGAGCTACTTCAATATTGATCTTGATATTTATAAGGGAATGCTTATGATTTGCTAGCACTTTGTACTCTGTAGAGTCTGTGGTGTTCAAGGAAAGGGTTTTTATTTCCTAGGGAAGTCAGGTTTTAGGTCCATGTTTGTTTGTTTGTTTTAGAAATTAACAATGTCTTATTAGCATCCAGTGTTAAGATAATAAAGGTTTCTATGCTAAAACATCAGAAATGGTGTTAGCTGATAATTAGGTGTTAGGACTCAGCATGTGAGAAAAGATGACTTAGTCCTCTGCAAGTTGTACTGTCACTACTGTGGGCATTTCTTCAACATGAAATCCTCTCTGTGCTGCCTTTAAGTGGAGAGGATTTCTTGTTTAGTTGTATTAATAAACATAGCAAACAATGAGTCCCAGGCTAGTATAAACATCATTTTCAAAGTATTGACTGGCGTCTTTGTTATTTTTGCTTTCAAGTAGACTGCATAAAGACATTATTGGCTTGCTTCTGCTGATTCTATAAAATAGATATTTGCAAAATCTGAGGCTTGAAACAGGCAGATAGCAGCCCAGAAACTTGATTTTCTTAGTTTTCTTTCTACTACTGCATTGTCTCACGATTCTAAAAACTGGTAGCAGAGCCCAGTGTGGCCATCTCTTCTGTGGTATTCACTGGGAGTCACAGAATTGTGGGCAATTCCTTTGTCATTGTTTTCTTTGTTGTAGGTTTCAGGAGAAACTTTATTAAATTTATAGGTTTTCTTTGAAGTCTTGGATCCTAGTAAAAATAAAAAGAAAAATGTACTTATTGTAAGGAAAAAGAGCACTCATCTCAGTGAGAAAGAAACTGATGGTGTAATAGAGCATATGATTTCAGGATATAAACCATAAAGTCATATTTTTATTCTTCAAAATGGCAAACTTTTACATCTTTACCACAGCAGGCCTGATGAGCTCAGCCTGCTTTCTCCTAGCTCTTTCTTCCTTACACCTTGTTTTTTTTTTCCTTTTTAATACTCACTAAAGCTTTTCGTTATCTATTATAGCATTTTTCTTCTAATATCAATTTGTACTTTTATTTATAAGCAGCAAAAACAATTTTTCCTTAGCATTTCTTTATTTTCTTCCTATGTTGTTGAAAACTTGACATTACAGTGGGTCAGTTCCTTCAATAGCTGTTGAAAAGCCTTAACAGTAAAGTGTAATGGATAGTACCTGCCTGGCCTCGGCCAAGCCCAGCTGTTGCTCTTGCAGGAGGCAGACCTAGAAGAGGGGACTGAGACAGTGTTCCCAAACATG
Organism: Homo sapiens; assembly: GCF_000001405.40. NCBI lineage: Eukaryota > Metazoa > Chordata > Mammalia > Primates > Hominidae > Homo > Homo sapiens. The sequence goes on along the minus strand of NC_000020.11, from coordinate 22,839,818 downwards.
CCTGTCCCTGTTGTCAGAGCTATTCTGCAGCAATCCACTTCATTTCATACATTTCATATCCCATTTTAATTCCTTTAATTAAAGTAAAATTAAAATACCCCTACTGTATACTCGATGGAGTGGTTTCATGTTCCTTATCTTATTTAATTCTCATAAAGTTATTAGGCAAGCCTGATCACTCCTGTTACACACATTTTGTTCCTGGGCTCAGAAATCACAAGGCCCATCTAAAGTTATACAACTCAAAGTGGCAGTTACTTGTGCTATAGAATAAGGTTTAAAATGGATACAATTCAAGCTTTAAAAATGAACACAATTCACACATTGTAAATGTGTTTTCATTAAAATTTGGGTGAGCTTGTTACCCAGATTGTTGACAAAATACAAGGTGTTACTCAGTAACTCACAGCAGCCAGCACTTATCAGGCACCCTAGGACACAGGGGCGCCTACAAGGATGGCCTGGCCCTGCTTAGGTCTTGCTGTCTGGCTGTTGAAAAAGCCATTAGGAGAGGAGAGGGACTCCTGAAGATATTAAAACACACCGACATCACCATGAAGGGGTCACTAAGGATGGAGAGGAGGTGTGTTTCAGAGATAGAAGAGGAAAAACAACAGGATGTTTCAGTTATATTGGATTCGTGCAAAAGTAATAGCGGTCTTTGCCATTATTTTACTTTTGCACTAACCTAATAGCTTCATAAATATTTATGGTGGTGCATATTTCCTGAATTTAACCCATACACATACACCCTAAAATATTCTATTTGACAAACATTTCTCCAGATAGTGCAACAAGCTTCCATTTAATGCTATGGTCCACCTCGGAGAACAGTCTATTAACCAAAGTCTAAAAGATAGACAAGTACCAGTCTTATTCATCAACTCACATCTCTAGGAAAGATGATAGATCTCTTGGCTGGGCGTGGTGGATCACACCTGTAATCCCAGCACTTTGGGAGGCTGAGGCGGGTGGATCACGAGGTAAGGAGTTCAAGACCAGCCTGGCCAAGATGGTGAAACCTAGTCTTTACTAAAAATACAAAAATTCACTGGGCGAGTTGGCAAATACCTGTAATCCAAGCTACTTGGGAGGCTGAGGCAGAAAATTGCTTGAACCCAGGAGGCGGAGGTTGCAGTGAGCCAAGATCGCACCACTGCACTCCAGCCTGGGCGACAGAGCAAGACTCCGAGAAAAAAAAAAGAATGCTGATAGATCTCTTAGGCTCTCATTCCAGGGCCAGCAGAGCCTCCTATCTGGACAACCTGTGTTTAAGCCCAGTCCCCATGACTGCCCTGACTCAGTGAAAGGAAGAGCTGGTCACCATCTGTACAATAAGTATTCCCTGTTGAAAAATGTCATTGGATCACCCTTCAACTTTTTTTATTCAGAAATAAAGCACCTTTATCCTTCCATCTAGGTTGAATTTTCTAAGGATCTAGATTCAACTTACAGAGCAAGGAAATCCTGACAGATTTCTGGCAGAAGATGAGAGAAGAAGCCAACCTTCCACTGTCAGTCCTGCCCATGTGAGCTGGGTCAGCAGAATGTCCAACAAAAATGGCCATGTTGATGGGGCTCCAGGTCCCTCCAGCCCAACCCCAGGTGAAGCTGTCACTCAGGCAGCCCCTACATATGTGTGGAGCATTCTGGGGTTCAGAACCTGGAAATACAGTGCTGGGTTTCTCATGAATGCTTTGTAAACAGCTTTCCCTATCCAGCCCCGAAGTGTAAGCTGCTTAGAGAGGTGCCCTTGCAAAATATTCTGGCTCTTCCAAGTTTGCTCCTTATACTTTCTTAGTCAGACATATCATAATGCCCGGGACCATGGTGCCCAGGAAATGAGTAAGCTGGATTTTGGTGATGGAACACTGTAATCTTATTGCTTTGTGTTATGCTTTAGAAAATAATAACATGGAGTCAGCAGCCCACAGGTGCATTTTTAGAGAGGTGAGGTAGAACGATGCCCATGCACCTTCTGTAAGTGCATGCCTCAAGACATCATAGAGTACAGGTAGGTGTCACAATGGGGGTTGCATTTTGTCTGTTTTCTCAAAGGAAGGGTGAGTACTCATTTGGAGCCACAGAACAGAATTTCACAAAGCATCTCCCATCTATGGATGAGACATGGAAGGGCTTCTGCACAGATAGGGTCAGGTTATAATCTCTAGGCCATGTAAAGGTATCAAGACAGCCTCTGTCTTAGGCTGGGCTCTCCAGAGGCAGATCCTGGTTTGTTTGGGAGCTCCAGGAAGCACCAGCAGGAGAGTGGGGAAGTGAGAGAGAGAAGTCAGGAGAGCGTGGGGTCAAGCAAGCTGCCATTGTGGACACCTGGAGCTTAATCCCACGGAGACCTGGGGTTATGATGTTCATAACACTCTGCAGAGTTGTCCCACTCAACAGTCAGGGGACCTGAATATTTAATTATTATTTTCAGCCATAACCGATCAAAGGCTATTCCCAGGCATTAACTCTGGTCCTTTTAGCCAGTCCATCACACAGGCCGGTCAGAGGACTTGCAGCCCGGGAAAGCCAGCAGGTTGAAGGTCTGGTGGCTCTTGTAGCAAGAAGCCATCTGCAGGTGTGGACACAATGAAGGCAATGGGCATGTAGGTGAGAACTATCTACATCTACTGCAGTCCTGTCTTAAATGCCTCCATCCCACCCATGTGGCAGAGGCTGAAGGGGCCTGAAATAGCACAGTAAACACCAGACACATGCAGCCAGCACTGCCCTCTCCTAGGAGCCTCTTTTGACCTTGTTTTTTTGAGGCCTTATGTGCTGGTAATCTGCTGAGTCACTGAACTGGGCCAAGGGAAAGAAACACTCTCAGCCTCAGAAAGTCAAGAGTAGGTAACTAGAATATGACACTAAGGAAATGTGCTATTGTCAAAGCATGTTTGAAGAACTATGAAACTCCGGTTAATAAAGACTGAAAAAAATGTAGAGGGACACAGGAGTGGTCTCTACCAGTTCCTTAAAGAGAGTTGATTTTCTGGAAGGTTTCATTTTAAATTAATTGACCAACAGAATAATGTTCTGTGTTCTTAGATCCTGATATGTCTTTGTATCTGATGACTGTATACAGTCAATGTAAGTTTTCTGTGTTTCTGGAATATTTTGGAGCTAATGGATGAGGACAAAATGGAAACACGGGACCTGGTAGGTTCAACCCAGGATACAGCAACTCTTTCCTCTACAGCTTATAGGAAAAACATATTATAAAAAGCTGTCACTTGTTGGAAAATTGCTAAAGTTTGTTGCTCATCCATCATTCAACAAGTAATTGCAAGCAGTTACTTTCTTAGTCTGTGGCTCTGGGTCAGAACTTGAATGCATTTGTCACCAAGTAATTATCTAGTAGCCTTGGGCTGAATTCCATGGGATGCATTCCACAGTTCAATGTAAGATATGGCCCATCCACTTGAGGAGACATAAGTTTAAATAGAAGGAAAAGAAGGAAGGCCAGCCAATAACTAAATGTTGTATGAGAATCTGGTGACCACAACTAAACAAATGGTCAGGAAGGACACAAGCAAGGGTGGATTTTTAACACCAGTGTCTGTGGTGATGCTGGATGCACCGTCTAGATCTCCCTTGAAAAGGGCTTCTTCCCACAGCTGCTGGAAGTGCTGCTGCAGACACCCTCCTCCCCTGTGCTCCTGCTAAAGAGCTGTGCTCAGGGTCAGATGTTTTGCAGGCTCAGCTCCATCCAAGGGCTTATGGACATGGGGTTCAGCCCCTGCATCCTAACTCGGGACACTTTTAAAGGGACATTCCAGGTCCAACGCATACCATGGGGTCAACTGGGGCTTCCCCTTGAGACTGCACTACAGCTCAGCTCCTCTGTCTGCCCAATGCTGCTGTCTTCCCATACCTTCCCTTTCACAGGTGTTGATCCCAAGATTCCAGTATCCTAAGACTCAGGATCCTAATAAACTTTCCACGTGCATTCTCCATTTCAGAGCCTACTTCTGAGGAACCCACAACCCAAGATAACGTTGTTTCAAAACACATTTCTGGTGTTGAGACGACCCCCTTAAAATCTGGCAGTGTCTTTCTACTGCACGTCCTATCTATTCGCTAATCCTAAACTCAGCCTGCAAGGCCCTGCAGGATCTGCCTCCCTCTCCATCAGCCTCAGCCTTGTCACAGGCCCTCCAGTGTTTCTCAAGGATGGTGAACATTGATTTGTGTGGAATGAATGTGCAGATGATTGAATGAATGAATTGAAGAAATGTGCTGGGATCATCTTTCCTCAAGGCCTTCCCCTCCCTTTCAAGTGCTTAATTCATGCGCTTCCTCAAGGTCCTAGCTCAAGCTGCTCTTCCTCCAGGAAATTGACTCTGACCTTCAGACTAGGCCAAGTTTTGTGACCTCACGTTACCTGTTATTTTTTCTTCATCCAGATAACCATTTGTAATTCTATACTTTTATGTACTTAACATCTGCCTAGATCAGCCAGACCACAAGCTCCACAAGGGTAGAGCTCCTCTATGTCTCTGCCCATGTCTTTATGTGTCTGACAAAGTGCTAGCCACACTGGGAGCTCAACTAGCATTTTCTGAAGGTAGGTAGAATAGAAGAAAGAAAGAACAAAAGGAAGAAAGGGAGAGAGGGAGGGAAGGAAAAATGAAAGGAAGAAAGCAAAGAAGTGGGGAGGGAGGAAGGAAAGAAGAAGGAAGGAAGGAAGAAAGAAAGGAAAGAATGGAGGGAAGAAGGAAGGGAGTAAGAAGGAAAGAAGAAAGGAGGCAAGGAGAGAGGAAAGGAAGGAGGGAAAGAGAGAAAGAAGAGAGGAAGAAAGGAAGGAAAGAATAGAGGGAGGGAGAGAGGGAGGGAGGGAGAGTGTAGGGAGGGAGAGAAGGAGGGAGGGAGAGAGGGATAGAGGGAGAGAGGAAAGGAGAAAGGAATGGAGGAAGAGGAGGGAAAGAAGAAAGAAAGGAAAGAATGGAGGGAAGAAGGAAGGGAGAAAGAAGTAAAAAGGAAGGAGGGAAGGAGAGAAGAAAGGAAGGAAGGGAGGGAGGGAGAGGGAGGAAGGGAGGAAGGAAGGGAGGAAGAAGGAGGGAAGGAAACAGGGAAGGAAGAAAGGAAAGAATGGAGGGAAGAAGGAAGGGAGGAAGAAGGAAAGAAGGAAGAAGAGAAAGAGAGAAGAAAGGGAGGGAAGGAGAGAAGGAAGGAAGGAAGGCAGAGAGGGAGGGAGGGAGGGAGGGAGGACAGGGAAGGAGAGCCATGATATAAAACAGAGTCACAGCATTGTTGGAACAAATGTCATGTGAGAGTTACCATTGAAGGATAAGCAGAATCAGGATGGTGCAAGTGGAATCAAGCTTTCCAAGCAAGGAAGAACCCTGGAGGGAAACCAGGAAAGACACTGCGGGCACCGCAAATGCTGAGATGACCAAGGAAACCCAGTGAGGCGAAGGATAATACAATCTGAGATGAGCTGGACAGGTTGGGCCTTGAGGCCAGACCTCAGAATGGCTGCTGTAGGTAAAAGGAAATACTGCTCAGTGGCAGAGAGGGTTTTTTAGCTGTTACAAATACTATTCATTAAAGACTTTTTAAATAATAGGTTTACGTTTACAGCTAAATTGAGAGGAAGATACAGAGGTTTTCTATGTATCTCCCGCCCCCTCACTCACAGCCTCTGCCATTATCTACGTCCCCCGCCAGAGCAGCGCATTTGCTGTAACTGATAAGCCTATGTTGACACATCACTACCACCCAGTCCACAGGTTACCTTAGGGCTCACTTTCGGTGCTGTAGCATTCTGACAAATGCATAGTGACATGTATCTGCCACTCCAGTATCATACAGAGTTGTTTCACTGCCCTAAAAAATGCTCTGTGCTCCATCATTCATCTTTCTCTCCCTCCCCTAAGTCTCTGGTAACCATTCGTCATTTCACTGTCTCTGTGGTTTTGCCTTTTCCGGAATGTCATATAGCTGGAATTATACAGTATACAGCCTTTTCAGATTGTCTTCTTTCACTTAGTAATATGCATTTAAGTTACTTAAATGTATTTTCACGGCCTGATAGCTCGTTTCTTTTTAGTGCTAAACAATATTCTGTTGTCTGGATGTTCCATAGTTTATTTACCCATTCATCTACTGAAGGACATCTGGGTTGCTTCCAAGTTTGGGCAACTATGAATAAAGCCAAGTTTTGATAACTATGAATAAAAGTCAATATCCACACATCTGCACACAGATATTTGCGTGGATATTAACTTTTCAGCTCCTTTGGGAAAACACTAAAAAGTACAATTGCTGGATCATATGGTTAAAGCATGTTTAATTTTGTAAAAAACTTCCAAGCTGTCTTCCAAGGTGGCTGGACCTTTCTGCCCTCCCCCCAGCAATGAATGAGAGTTTCTGTTGCTACACAGGCTCACCAGAATTTGATATGTTGTCAGTGTTCTGAATTTGAGCCTTTCCAATAAGTATGTAGTAGTATGTCATTGTTTTAATATTTAATTCTTTGCTGACATAGGGTGTTGAAAACCTTTTCATATGCCCATTTGTGTATCATCTTTGTACCTTATTTGGTGAAGTGTTCATTCAGGTCTTCAGCCTACTTTTTATTTGGGTTGTTCGTTTTTTTCTATTGACTTTTAAGAGTTCTTTGTATATTTTGAATAGCAGTTCTTTAAATATTTCTCCCAGTCTGTGGCATGTCTTCACATTCTCTTAACTGTGTGTTTCACAGAGCAGACGTTTTTAATTTTAATGGGGTTCAACTTTTTTCTTTCTTTGTGTTATATCTAAAAAGTAATTGCCATATCCAAGCTCATCGAGATGTTCTCATATGCTGTCTTCTAGGAGTTTTATAGCTTTGCATTTTACATTTATGTCAATAATCCATTTTGAGTTACTTTTTGTAAATGGTGTAAAGTCTGTATCTAGATTCATGGTTTTGCGTGTGGATGTCCAGTTGTTTCAGCACCACTTGTGGAAAAGACTGTTTTTGCTCCATTGTATTGCTTTTGCTTCTTTGTCAAAGGTCAGTTGACAGCATGTATGTGGGTCTATTTCTAGGCTCTGTATTTGGTTCCATTAATCTATTATTTGACTATTCTTTCAACAATACCACACTATCTTTATTACTGTGGCTTTATAGTGGACTTGAAGGAAAGTAGTATCAATTCCCCAGTGTTGTTCTTATCCTTCAATATGTATTGGCTATTCTGTGTCTCTTGCCTCTCCATATAAACTTTATAATTAGTTTTCCAATATTTATAAAATAATTTGCTGGATTTTGATTAGGATTGCATTGGATATATAGTTTAAATTGAGAAGAACTGAAATATTGACAATTTAGTCTATTTATGAACATTCTTTTTTATATTTTTTATTTTTTTATATTTTAATATTTATTTCATCAGAGTTTTGTCATTTTCCTAGTATAGTTCTTGTACATATTTTGTTAGATTTATATCTAAGTACTTCATTTTGAGCGCTAATATAAATGATTTTTTAAAATTTCAAATTCTACTTATTTATTGCTGATATGTATGTAAGAAAGCAATTTACTATGAGAGAACACAAACAAATGGAAAAACATTCTATGCTCATGGATAGGAAGAGTGAATATTGTGAAAATAGTCATACTGCCCAAAGTAATTTATAGATTCAATAGTATCCCCATCAAGCTACCACTGACTTTCTTCACAGAATTAGAAAAAAACTACTTTAAATTTCATATGGAACCAAAAAAGAGCCCATATAGCCAAGACATTCCTAAGCAAAAAGAACAAAGCTGGAGGCATCATGCTACCTGACTTCAAACTACACTACAAGTCTACAGTAACCAAAACAACATGGTACTGGTACCAAAACAGATATATAGACCAATGGAACAGACGCCTCAGAAGTAACACCACACATCTACAACCATCTGATCTTTGACAAACCTGACAAAAACAAGAAATGGGGAAAGGATTCCCTATTTAATAAATGGTATTGGGAAAACTGGCTAACCATATGTGGAAAACTGAAACTGGACCCCTTCCTTACACCTTACACGTAAATTAACTCAAGATGGATTAAAGACTTAAACGTAAGACCTAAAACAAGAAAAACCCTAGAAGAAAACCTAGGCAATACTATTCAGGACATAGGAATGGGCAAAGACTTCATGACTAAAACACCAAAAGCAATGGCAGCAAAAGCCAAAATGCACAAATGGGATCGAATTAAGCTAAAGAGCTACTGCACAGCAAAAGAAACCACCATCAGAGTGAAAAGGCAACCTACAGAATGGGAGAAAATTTTTGCAATCTATTCATCTGACAAAGGACTAATATCCAGAATCTACATAGGACTAATATCCAGAATCTACAAAGAACTTAAGCAAATTTACAAGAAAAAAAACAAACAACCCATCAATAAGTGGGTAAAGGATATGAACAGACACTTCTCAAAAGAAGACATTTATGGGGCCAAAAAACTTATGAAAAAAAGCTCATCATCACTGGTCATTAGAGAGATGCAAATCAAAACCACAATGAGGTACCATCTCACACCAGTTAGAATGGTGATCATTAAAAAGTCAGGAAACAATAGATGCTGGAGAGGATGTGGAGAAATGGGAAACCTTTTACACTGTTGGTGGCAGTGTAAATTAGTTCAACCATTGTGGAAGACAGTGTGGCGATTCCTCAAGGATCTAGAACCAGAAATACCATTTGACCCAGAAATCCCATTACTGGATATATACCCAAAGGACTATAAATCATTCTACTATAAAGACATATGCACACGTATGTTTGTCACAGCACTGTTCCCAGTAGCAAAGACTTGGAGTCAACCCAAATGCCCATCAATGATAGATTGGATAAAGAAAATGTGGCATAAATACACCATGGAATACTATGCAGCTATAAAAAAGGATGAGTTCATGTCCTTTGCAGGGACATGGATTAAGCTGGAAACCGTCATTCTCAGCAAACTAACACAAGAACAGAAAACCAAACACCACATGTTCTCACTCATAAGTGGGAGTTGAATAATGAAAACACATGGACACATTGATGGGAACATCACACACCACAGCCAGCCAGGGGGTTGGAGGCTAGAGGAGGGATAGCATTAGGAGAAATACCTAATGTAGATGATGGGTTGATGGGTACAGCAAATCACGATGACACGTGTATACCTATGTAACAAACCTGCACATTCTGCACATGTATCCCAGTATTAAAGTATTTATTATTAAAGTATAATAAAAAAAGGAAAAAGAAAAAAACCAAAACCTCAGTATAAGAAGCCATCATGGAACTGATGTACTATGTAAGCCAGAGCCACCCTTTGTTGGAACTCACCTGATTTTAATAAACTTTCTTATTGTTAAAAAAAAAATGCAATTTACTTTTACACATCAGCCTTGTATCCTGCAACCTTGGTGTAATCATGTATTAGTATCCAGAATTTTTTTGTTTTGTTTGGGGGAGAATTTTCTAAATAGACAATTACGTCATCTGAAAACAAAGACAATTTTATTTCTTCCTTCCTCATCAGTACACTTTTATTGCTTGTTTTATTGCATTAGCTAAGAATTTCAGTGTGATGCTGAAGAGGAGTGGTTAGAGGGAGCATCCTTGCTTTCTTCCTTATTTTACTGGAAAAGATTCTAGGGTCTCACCATTAAATACAATGTCAACGAAGTGTTTTGGTAGATATTCTTTATTGGGTTGAGAAAGTTCCCCTCTATTCCTAATTTTCTGAGAGTTTACTTTTAATCAAGAATGAGTATACAAATACTTTTGAAAACTAGACAAGAGAAAAAGTTGTAAAAATCTGTTTGTAGAAAAAAAGATGCCATCATCTATGCCAAATATCTACTTAGAAAAATCCTGTTCTTTTGGTTACAGAAAAGAAGTGGAGGACTATCACCCTGCACTCCATCCATACTACAAAGCTCCTAGAGCTGAACTGTGGACTGTGCATTTCTTTGGCCAATCAGAGTGTTTCTTAAAGAAAGCACCACACCAGGGTAAGTGCACTGCGGATGAAGGATCTACATGTGGCCTTGAAGACATTATTTTCTGCTCTCAGAGCAGACATTGTGGTGAACTTAAAGTGTCACCTTTACTTAGCACCAGCATTACAGGGATTCTACAAATAATGAACAATCATTTATAAAAGTGCACAGTACTGGACATAGATGTAAACTCTCTAATGTTGTTAGCCATTATTCCTATAAATGAAGAACAGATGTGTTGAGAGTTAAACAAAGGTTTCTTTGAGGAATGTTGTTGTTGTTGTTCATCACCAGGAGACTATAGACTCTTGTAGAGGGGAGAGAGCGGGAGGAGGGGAAATGGAAATTAGAAGTTGATGGAAACACTTCAGTTCCTGTTGTCAGTGTTACTCCATCTCACAGGGACACACGTCTTTTACGAAGACAACCCTGGAGCATGTGCTATCCAATTTTGTCATAGGGAGGGGGCTGTGTGTGTGTGCCAAAGTTGATGTTCTTGGTATGAGCTTCCCATGCCAAGGGGACAGGGCAGTGTACTGGGCATCAGATTATTATGACCAAAATTTCTTTAAATATTAGTTGGTTAACTATCACTTCAATGATGCCATGTAACAAACCACTCCAAAGGCTTATAACAACAGTCATCAGTTATTTCTCAAGGGTCTCTGCTAACTGAGAGTCAGCTAATCTAGGCTGGGCTGTCTAGGGGCTTGGCTCTGCCCAACATGTCTCTCACCTTTCTCCTGGGATCAGCAGCTAGGCTGGCATGTTCTCATGGCCATGGCAAAGGTTCAGGGAGGAGAGTAGAAATACCTCATTCTATTGTCCCAAGCAAGTCATATAACTACACCCAATGGCAAGAAGTATGGGAAATATGCCCCAATTCAAGTGGGAAGTACATCAAAGTCACATGGCGAAGGCCATAGAGGGTGAAGAACAAGGACAATAATACAATATACCCCAGTCCTTGTGGGAGAGTAAATGGTAGACTGACCTACAAATCAAGCTGCTGAGAGCAAGAGAGAGGAATAACACTCTTCAGGCTCAGAAGGTCTCAGCCCCTTGAAAAGTCTCTACTGAAATCCTAGACATTTAATTCTGGTAGAAGAATCCAGGTATCAAGAGGGCAAAAAACAGACAGCAGGGGATGCCTCGTTCCCCACCAGGTGGAGGTAAAGGGGATCTCAAAAACTAGCAGATAACAGGTTCACATTTCCTCAGGTATGCCGCGGGTTAGTGTTGCCCAGGAACAAAGGTCTACGTGCTGCTTCCTCCAGAGCCACTGATCTCTAGCAGGTGGGTAAATGCTTGATCCAAGACTTCAGTGTGTTGGGGGCGCTAACTTCTGAGATAGGTTTTCTCCTTGGTTGCTCTGCAGTTTGCTAGGGATTTCATTCTGCCTGAGAACAGGAGTTGAGCCATCCCCAGGAGCACTGAGCCCTGACTCCAGATCTCCTCCTACCAATTTCTATATTCAACCAACATTTATAGCACTGTCCGTGTGCCAGGTATAGAAGGTGGGAAGGCAGAGTTCCCTATTAGAGAAGAATGCTAGGAGAAGACTGCTCCCACACAGTGCATGGTACAATCTCAGAGGTGTGTGCACAGGTCAGAGGAGTGAGCAGATAACTGCTGCGGGATTCAAAAGGGTTTCCCAGACAAGGTGAATTGCATCTTGAGAGATGATAGAAGCATTCCAAGGAGATGAGGGAGGGTGCTCTACATACATTCCACAGCATTCCCTGTGCACACAGATAGGGCGTGTCCCCACATGATGTGTTGGGAAAGGTGAGGGCACCTCGATCAGCAGAACATAGAGTGCACAGGCACCAGCCTTCTGCAGATGACTGAGTGGTGGCAGGTCACACAGGGCCCTTATGCTGCAGGATGGGGATCTGGACTGTCTTCTCCAAGCCATGGAAAGTCACTGAAGGAGGATATTGGTAACTATAACTTTTTCAAGCCTAAAACCCAAGGGTGGGCCCTGGCATGCAATGGAGTGAGGAAAGCTGACCTCACATTATCCTAAAACTGGGATTCCACTGTAGCAGGCTGGGTCACTGACTTAAAAACAGGTCCCTGGTTTTTAGGGATAGCAAGGAAGTCCCTGTGACATCATTTCTTTAAGAATCTATATGCAACTTTTCCAAGAACTAAACTTCTGCTTTTCTCCAGGAATGGGGCTGGCTGGGTGCTCTCTGCCAGTGGCTATAATTCTCACTATAACCCTATGAGGCCAATATGATTATTCATAACCATTTTATAGACAAGTAAACTGAGACAGACTGTCAAGTCACTGCTCCCCTGATAAGCAGATCATAATTGCCAGGTTGGGGTAGTCGGGTGGAGACTTGTCCGCAAGTTCAATGCAACCTGCAGAGCCGTCTTCGCTGAAGCTCATGATGGCCACTTCCTCCTCCCACAGGGCTTCCTCCTTGAGGGTCCTAAAGCTTCTTCCAGTCTCCAGAAGCCAGCAGAATTATGCTCTTCTCACCAGAAGGATTATTTCCAATTAACGTTACATTAGAATTAATGCACAATAAAATGCTTATCCATGTTGAAAAGGATACGCTGTACGACAAACCCATTTCTCTGAAGGACCCCAAGGTGTAAAGCATCACCAGCCTTCTGCAAGGGGCTGGTTACTGACTTGGGAAATATGGGACATGTGTGAGAATGTGCTCACTCATCTGGTCTGAGTTGTTAAAAGCTGCCTCCAAGTGTCCTGTAAGAAAGGAGGACTTGTTTACTGAGCCCAGGAGCCCTGGCTCCAGCCGTCCCTGTCCAATGTGGGAGTGGATGGTAGCTCTGACACCTCCATGGGATCCGGGGCCACACCCACCAAGGTTCACTTGGAGGAACAGGCTCATGTCTTCAGAGAGCTCAATGTGCCTGCAGCCTACTTTGCTTGCATCTCTTTCCTCGGTCAAGCCCTTTTCTGAGGGGAGAGCGGAAAGCCAGGGCGTCCCACCTGGCCTGGATGTAAACCACCTTGGAGTGGATGAATGAGGTTTTTCTTCAACCCAAACCATAGGGAGCTCATGGCTTTTGTTCTTATCTCAGCCTCCAGAAAGTTAAAGGAGCATATCTACCTGCTCTGCCTTGGTGGTGAACCTCCACCTCCCATCTCATGTGGCCCAGGAGGGCCCCTCTCTGAGGGACTGTGGCATTTCAGGAAAGGTTAATTGAGCTGAAAATGAGGTGGAATGCTCTTTTCCAGGCTGTACTCACTTGTGCCTCCCACTTGCCAGGACAGGCCCAGAAGGAAACCATAAAATGACTCCATCCTGTCAGAAATTTCAACCGTGGGCTGGAGGTCATTCATTCCTCGTGATTGAAGAATGGCTTTGAGCCTGCTCATAAAGAATCTTAAAAAAATAAAATCCAAGGTCAGGTGCAGTGGCTCATGCCTGTAATCTCAGCATATTGGGAGGCCGAGGCAGGAGGATCACTTGAGGCCAGGAGTTTGAGACCAGCCTAGGCAACATGGTAAAACCCTGTCTCTACCAAAAAATACAAAAATTAGCTGGGCATGATGGTATGCACCTATAGTCCCAGCTACTCGAGAGGCTGAGGTGGGAGGATCACTTGAGCCTGGAGGTCAAGGCTGCAGTGAGCCTTGATCGCTTCACTGCACTCCAGCCTGGGTGACAGAGCAAGACCTTGTCTCAAAAGAAAACAAAAACTCAGCCTCAAACAGCCCCACTGTAGTGCCTTCCAGTGGAAATACTCGCTGATACCCCTCCATTTCCCCTGTACATATGACCCGAACACATCTCTGCTTCTCACATCCACAGTGAGGGCAGACAGCAAGAGGCCCAGGGCCCTGACAGAAACCCTCCCAACATACCCTTTCAATGAGAGCTGTTCTTTCTAGATTTGAACAGAGAACTGAGAATTTAAATGAGAGAAATGTCACCCAGAGTCCTAATTACCTGGTCACAGGTCACAGCAGTCCACGAGAGACAAACAGGAGAGCTGGCTCTTTCTGGGGATCTGGAGGAGGATTTGGCATTTTTGTTCACCATGGTGTGCCTTGCAGAGGCGGAAACTTGGCAACTGTTCTGCCCGGACCGCCCCTGCCTCAGCCTCAGGGCAGAGGACTGGCCTGCTTCCCTACAGATTCCAGAGTGATGGAAGTGATGGAATGGGAGCAGCCAGGATGTAAATGGAGGCTCTTCCCCATCTCTGAGTCTGCTCTGCCCTAAGATGAGCTCACAGAGAAGGACTTGTAGGTGTCCTTTTAACTCAGAGATCTGCCTTTGTCCTCAAGCTTCCATTTGCCTTTGCCACATAGAAAATGTAGGAAGATCATCCTCACTCATAGTCAAATGCACTGTGGTCTTAGTGTGTTCCCAAAGAGTGAAGCCTGAGGCTAGCACTGGGGGCAGGGAATATACTTGAAAGGTGACCCAGGAGCACCCTGAGGGAGTGGAGGAAGGAGACAGAGAAGGGAGGAATGCTAACAAAATAGGGTCGATGAACAGTTAACTGGACAAAGAAAATGTTGTACATATAGAATACGCAATGCTATGCAGCCATAACAAAGAATTGAATCATGTCCTGTGTAGCAACATGGATGCAGCTGGAGGCCATCCAGCTTTGCTCACTAAGTGAACTAATTCAGAAGCAGAATATCGCATATTCTTACTTATAAATGGGAGCTAAAGAATGGGTACACATGGACATAGAAATGGAGAGATAAAACTATGAGGACTCCAAAAGTGGAGAGGCTGGGAAGGAAGTGGGGGTTGAAAAATTACCTTTTGGGTACAATGTTCAATATTTGGTTAATGGATACACTAGAAACCAAACCTCCACCATTACACCTGTAATACCCATGTAACAAACAAGGACGTGTACTCCCTGAATCTAAAATTTAAAAAAAATAAAAATAAAAATAAATAAATAAAATGGGGTGGATGAGCTGCTACTTCCATGGTCACCTGAGGCTACAGAGTGGCTGTGCAGATGCCATGACTTAGAGTTGTCCCACCAAAAGGAGGGGTGAGGAAGTCAGGGTCTCACCCATCCTCATTGTTTGAGCACTGTTACAGGAGGTGGGGGTAGGTCCCCAGTCACTTGTGGCCCATCCACGTGGAGGCCAGAGAACACCTTTGGCATGTACAGGGATGTCTCAGGTTACCTCTGAGAATTTGAGGGATGTGGACAGCGCCAGGCAGCATCCGCTATTTCCTTTCTTTCTGACCTGCAAAGATTCTGCTGCAAGGTTGAACATAGAAATCCAGGTTGCAAAGAATTTAGTCTCCTACCACTAAACCTGTAATCACTGTATACCCAGGTGTCTTAAAGGAGGAAGAGAAAAAAGAAGCATTATAGTTGGCTCAAAGCATATAGTTGGCTCCAAGAGATGTCTGTGTGGACCCAAATCAAGGTCACCCATACCAGTCCCCTCCCATTTCTGTGAGAGCCCCTCAAACTCACCCATTCTTTAAGGTGAAGTTGGGCCCCCTCTTCCACAAAGCCTTGCCAGGCTACACAGCCACAGGGCTCTCTTCTCTCCACTCCCAGGACAGAAATGCAAGCAGGCTTCTGCGTGGGTGTCTGCCCCAAGGGACTGGAAGTGGCTGCTCAGAGTCTGAGGCTGCTTTCTGGCTTGGTGGAAGAAAGCGAAGGGATTGATTCAAGAAGCTACCAGGAAGGAGAAGAACAAAGGCAAAGTATTTCCAGAATACAACTCGACTGGCCTCTTCCTCTCCTTTATCAGGAAGCAGAAGCCTGGGGGAAAAGGACCTACACATAAATGCATTGGGCAGCTACAGGAGAAGAGATGCATGTGGTGCAGTGGCTTTGAGGCTGGAGGTATTGCTGTGCCGTAGGCAGGCACCACCTGGCCCAGCCCAGCACCGAAGTGTCTTCAACACATATTGCTGGAACTGAATTGTGTTTCATGGATTTGAACTGAGGAGGTGGATGAGCCAGGGAGGAAGAGGAAGGGCTCGAGGGATGAAGCCCAATGAGCTTACATTTTAGGCTCAAGCTGACCTCAAATCTAAGGCCTATGTAAAAAGGGCTGGTGATTCAGACTAATATTTTTACCCATTGACTTATTCTCCAGCCCCCTCACAGCAATGCAAACCAGATTTGCACCAACTCCTTGATTGCTTCAGAGGTCACGTTACTTACGATGCACGGCTCTGAGGGTTTCTCTGTGATCTTAGCTCCCTGTGGTGCTGGGGTTCTGATGACTGTCAGCTCTCAGACCTGGGCCGCCCTGGGGGCTGTCAAGTCACGCTTACTGAAGGCCTGATATTCTTCCATGTTGGAAAATACATTCTTAATTATCATTCAGAATGATCCTTGTTGCTGGGAATGGCAGGTAGGCTCTGGGATCCCACTTTTGCTGATGACATGGGTCTTCACACCCAAGCAGCCTGAATGGAGGGACAAAGGCAAGAAAAAGAGAACACTTCTCTGAGTAGAGAGAGAAAGGGGAGAAAAGGCTGCTGTTGCTTTAACAAACATGAATCGCAGAACAGCAGGCCTGCCAACAAATGTGGTTCCTATTGATCTATCAAAACAGAACTAGCATCTTGAGATTTAAATAAGACACATGCTTAATAGGGCAGCTTCTTTTGGCAAAGGGAGTGAGGATTTGCCTGTGATGCACATTTAAAAACAGCCCGCCCAAACTGAGGGTCGCGCTACGAACCTAACCTGGAGTGGTCAAATGTCCGGGCCATGGAATATAAAGGAAGGTAGGGGTTCTCCAGGTGAAGGGAGGCCAGGGAGAGGTCAGCAAAGTGCAACATGACCTTGCGGCTTCTTTCGCCTCCACCAGGGACTTTACTGGTGCAGTCAGTGAAATCTGAATAAGGTCTGTAGATTAGATAATAGGTTTGTATTGGCCTTAATTTTCTGATTTTGATAATTTTTGTAGTTAAGTGAGAGAATGTTCTTGTTTTTACACACACTGAAGTCTTTAGGCGTAAAGGGGAGGAAAGAGAGAGAGAGCAGAGAGTAAAAATGCTCACATTTGGGGTCTCCAAGTGAAAGGTATCTGGGAACTCTCTGTGTTCTTCCTGTAACTGTTCTGTAAGTCTGGGCGGCTGGTGGCCTTGCCCTCTTCTTGACCTGAGACCAGCTCTGGATACAGAGACCCACATTTTTTTTTTCATCCCTTTGAATTTTACCTGCCTGGTCCTGGGCCTGCTCTAGTCAGGGTCTCTGAGAGGACCTGGCATAGCCCTGGCCTATGGCCCCCAACCTCATGTCCCCTTCGATTAGGACACCTTGATATATGCCCCCGTTGTCCTGGTCTCCCCTAGCCCACCTGCCTGTGTTTCTGCTGGCTGCCCACATGCCACCTACTTGCATAAAAGAATAGCTCCCTTCTCCCCCTTCCTCACCCCTGCCCCATGTCATTGTGAGACTGCTAGTGGAGCCCCTCCCTTCCTCACTGGGCCCAGGATGTCCGGCCACACTGGGTCTGTCCCACGCCCTGCCAGCGCCCATCCTTCCTGGGAGCCTTCAGTGCTGCTGACCAGAACTCCACTTGGGCTTCCAGCAGGCTGGTAGCCGCCTGTTGGAATGGTGGGGCCAGGCCACAGGGCAGACATGGACCCACCATGGCGGGCTGTAACTCCAATGAGCCTAATGAAATCTCATGCTTCATGAATCAGAAAGCTTTCTCCCATGCCCCGGGCTCCTGGGCTGTCTGCAGCCGGCAGCCTCCTGGTTCTGGTACTGTGGGAGTTTTAGCCTTTAGACCTAACCTTGCTTGCCAGAGGGAAAATTTCCAGCCTCCAGGGATCAGTGAAGTCAAACTCACATTGTCTATATCATGCAATCTAGTCTTTTCTTTCCCTCCAAGCAGATGTGGGTCAGTCCAGGGTGGGAAATACCCCAGCAAATATGTCAGGGCTCAGAGTTTCTGAGAAGGCTTCTCCCACGCCTGTGGCTGTCCTACTTGCTTCTGGGGGAAGCAGCCTGCAGCACATGGTCTCTCTTGCCCCACAGGCACACGGGCCCTTTCCTGAGGTGGAAGGGGCCAGAAGCAGCTGTGTGTATGGGGCTGTTCTGCCTAGGAGGCTATGCATTTTAAACTTTCTACATTAGCTCCAAATGAGGCCATGCAGGTCACTGTAAAAACCTCACATGTGTGCAAAGTAAATATTTAAAATATGCCACCCATTTTATAGCCTCATTTTGTTCATTTTCAAATGCGTTTGGAACCTGTGAAATGGAAACAGCCACAGCCTTGCTCATCCTCTGAGAGCCTCAGAAATGTCCACATGCACATGCGTGCAACATGCCCATGCACACAGACACAGGCCTCAGGCACAAACAGGCATTCACACTCACACACCCATGCACAGCTCTTCTTGATTAGCTTCAGGGTGTTCTTATTCTCCCATGGAAATGTAAACTGATACCAACTGTTCCTCTTACCACCCCCTTTAGTTAAGAGACTCCTGGGAAGGACGTTTCTGCTATTCCCTGCCTGATTAGAAGCCCACAGACCAACATTTTTTTTTAAGTGTGTGAACGTTCAAACGGCCTGCAGGCAAACATTCTCTTCTTTCAGCACTACAAAAGACACCATTAAATTGTGTGCATCAGAGTTCGCTGTAATCTAGAAAGCTCAGTACAGCCATGTCAGTCAGTCTCTGCTGTCAAGGCCAGCTATCCAGCAAGGGGCAAAAGGCTTTCAAAAGAATATGCCTGTAACTGCAACCTCTGGACTTGCCGATCTGTTACCCTGGGAGGAGGTGAGAGACTTCAATGTAGCCCTCCATAGTGTGTGGGTGGGGGCTAGCCTTGGGGGCTGCGGGTCATCAGCTCACACATGGTGAGAGTCTCCTTCGAGGAAGGACTGGCCATCCAGCCACAGGAGTGTGGTCAGCAGGGGCTTCCGCCAACTGCTCCTTCAATTCTGGCTCCACTGCACAGAACCTCCTCACATGAGGCCAGGCACAGTGGCTCACGCCTGTAATCCTAACATTTTGGGAGGCCGAGGCAGGCGGATTGCCTGAGCTCAGGAGTTCGAGACCAGCCTGGGCAACATGGTGAAACTCTGTCTCTACTAAAAAAAATACAAAAAATTAGCCGGGTGTGGTGGCGTGCACCTGTAGTCCCAGCTACTCAGGAGGCTGAGGCAGGAGAATGGCCTGAACCCGGGAGGTGGAGCTTGCAGTGAGCCAAGACCGCACCACTGCATTCCAGCCTGGGCTAAAGAGCAAGACTTCGTCTCAAAAAGAAAGAAAACAAAGAACCTCCTTGCTTGCATGAGGCAGCCTGCTGCTGGTGACAGGGCCAAGCAGGTATGAAGGCTACCACTGGGGCTACTGGGCCAGCAGATTGGAGGCAAAAAGTTAATGTGACTGTGACAGTGTTGATAAGCATGGATTGGTAAATCTAGTTTATTTACTGAAAAGAATAAAATAATAATAATAGAGTCACTCATAACCCTACTTCCAGGGATAAAAATTATAGTGTATCTATATATTTCTTTCCAGTTTTTTTCATGCCTATGTCTACACAGCTATAGCCTGGACATTTTTTCACAAATGTGAAATGATATGCCCCATCCATAGATTTGAATCTCGCTTTTACCCCTTGACATTCTAATGAGCATTTTCCCATGACGAGATGAAGATTTCTCATCACAGCTAAATTCTGATCCAAACAGCAATGAAAAAAAAGACTGGTCTTTCCAAATTACTTTCATGTATAGCCTTTATTTCTTGGCCCTGTTTCATAACCATGGTATAACTAGATTCCACCACTATGGAATGGAAGGAAGGACAGGGCCCTGGGGGCAAGGCAGGCACCAGGAACCCCCACCCCTTCCTGTCACCTTCTGGCCGAGTAAGTCACTGGCATTTCTACCTCAGGGGCTCCCTCTGTAGGGGATCAATCATGTACTATCTCTCTGAAGGTGGGAGATCACCTGATCTCTTAGGATCCCCTTCACTCATTCATTCACTCATTCAGAGCAATTTATTAAGACCGTAAGCCTGTTGCAAGGAAGACCCTGGGCTACAATGAAGGGCAGACTTATTTCTTGCCCCAAGAAACTATTTTTCCTAAAAGTATGATCCTTTCGGTTTATTCATACATAGTAACAGAAAAAGAAGGGACATGATCTCTAATACCTAGTATTAGATGTAATCTGGCCAAATTCCCTCTTATCACATACCAAGGAGTTTGGGTGGTACGCAAGGGTCTTGCAGTTAGTCAATTCTCACTCCATGTGACTCAATGTTCTTAGTGACAGGCCATGACTTAGAAACCGTGTATATGGCTTGTTTGTTACAATGCCTACCATGCTAGAAAGTCTTTCCCCAAATGTGCCCCCATGAAGTGCTAGTTGCATTGGAGGGTGAAAAGGGCATTGTAAGAAGGGCCTCAATGATCAAGTAAGTTTGGCTTAGGCTGGCTTAGGAAAGGTATGCCAGATTCTTTCCTGCAGCACTTGTAAGAGCTTTAACGTGCAACATGTTCTGTGAAACTGTCAAGGGGAGGAGGTTATGCATCTGTTTTGCAAAATTATTTCACAAGGCATAAACAAAACATAGTCAGGGAAACCCTGTTCTGGAATTGCACTGCCCCTTTCAGTGAAGCCGCTCTAATTCGAACAAAATTGCTGAAAATGCCTTCCAAATGACAAACTGTTTCTTAAAAAAAAAAAAAATCATTCTTTCTTAAGAACACACAAAATGTTTCCAACTTTGAAATCCAGCTCGACACATTTGAGTAATAAAGATTCTTCTCATTAGAAGCACCATGGGTCTATTAGGACCTAAGAGCAATTTGTTAGTATCTTAAGTAGATTGAACACCCTCTCAGCAGTTACATTTTCAATTATTTGTGTTTGAGATTTTGACTTATCTCGCAATAATTATTCTCCATTTCTCCCTGTTATTCATAGAACTCCCATGTCCCCAGATGTTTCCCAGACTCACTTGCAGGTAGATGAGGCCATGAGACTAAGATTTGGCAGAAGAAATTGATGAGCAAGAACATGTGCAACTTCCTAGTTTCGTCCTTCAAAGGCAGCTGTTTGCTCTGCACATTCTCTTTCCCTTTCCACTAGCTGGAGCACAGACAAGGCAATGCTGGGCCAGCTTTGAGCGTGTGATGGAAGCACCATTACTGAGCAATGCATTCACCGTTTGACATGCATAGAAGCCTTTACCATGGTACTGGCTTTGGAGGAAGAAAAAGAGGCTTTAGTGCGAGGTCAACTGGTAAGGAGACAGGAGGCACAGCTCAAATCTCTCTCCTTGGTCTGAGGTCCGGGACAAGTTTTCTGGGTCAGGGAGGACAGGTTTAGGTGCAGAAGTGCTGGTAGGGCAGGTTTCTTTTGGAGGCCTTCAAACTAGGCCATTTATGGTAAGGTATGGAATGGTAGATTTCAGCAGTGGATCTTCCCAGTTAATGGATCCCTCACTTCTGAAAGGGTTCCAGCATTCAAATTCTGGTCATGCCCTGGCCTTTTTGATTCTGCAAGGAGGATATGTTGGCTCTGGGTGTTGTTACAGGTCAGAGCTTTTTCACTACACATGTCTTGGCTGCCTAACTTGCAACTTCTTGGCTCTGTAACTGTACAATAACTTAAAATCCTGCTATTGACAGAGTAGGTCCAGTTAGAATGAGACTGTGCAGTTACAGCAACACTTCGGGGGCTGGTGGAGCAAGACATTAGAAGGAACCTGGGTGCCCACACTGCCGACTGACTTCTAGTATCCATCTGCCACCTTTTTCTTTAAGTAAGAGAACGTGCCTCTATCCTCTATCCCAGTCTTATTACATGGTTACCTGGCTCAGAACTGCATGTCCTAGATGTTGGTAGCTCCATGTGACTGAGTTGTGGCCAATGGTCTATGAACAGAAATGATAAGTGCAACTGCCTTGTTGTGCGTTTAAAAGGACACTGCTTCTCTTTTAGCCTTCCTGGCCCTTTCCACAACCTGGACTCAGCTATTTCAGTCATGAGCCATCTTGAACCATGAAGATGGAGGCACACCATGGGCACAGGAGAGCAAGGCTACACAGTGTCTGAGTTCCCGGACCATTTGGGGAACAGAGTCATGCTGCTCTCATGGATCGCGTACTCATCTGGACTTATGTCTGAGAGAGAAACACACTTCTGTTTTACTTAGGCTGCTCTTACTCTCTCTGTTTTAAAGCATCTAGACCTATATTTTAGCTAATATACCTCCCTTATGCTTCACTAATTTTTAGATTATTTTTATGCTGGTCTATCTGTATACTTTGGGACTGGTGTATGAATACTAGTGAACTTACTTGGAGCCATAAGAAAATCAGCTGTTGTCCTTGAAATATTGAAAATGCTGAGGTCCTAGTAATCCCATTACTGGGTATATACCAAAAGGATTATAAATCATTCTACTATAAAGACACATGCACACATATGTTTATTGCAGCACTATTTACAATAGCAAAGACTTGGAACCAACCCAAATGCCCATCGATGATAGACTGGATAAAGAAAATGTGGCACATATACACCATGGAATAATATGCAGCCATAAAAAAGAATGAGTTTATGTCCTTTGCATGGACATAGATGAAGCTGGAAACCATCATTCTCAGCAAACTAACACAGGAACAGAAAACCAAACACTGCATGTTCTCACTCATAAGTGGGAGTTGAACAATGAGAGTGTTCAGTGTGTCCATGTGTATGGACACAGGGAGGGAAATATCACACACACCGGGGCCAGCTGGGGGTTTGTGGGTGAAGGGAGGGAAAGCATTAGGACAAATACCCAATGCATGCAGGGCTTAAAACCCAGATGATGGGTTGATAGGTGCAGCAAACCACCATGGCACATGTATACCTATTTAACAAACCTGAACGTTCTGCACATGTATCGCTTAAAGTAAAATAAAAATAATATAATAAACTGCCATACATTAAGATAAAATTAAATATGGTTCTCTTTCAAAAAAATAAAGAAAAATGCTATGGTCTTTTTTCACTTTAACTTAAAGCATGCACATATATATATATATATATATATATATATATATATGAAATTCAGGCCCATGTTTTGTGTAGCATTCATTTAAATCACTGTGAATTATCTCTCTTTAAGCGTGACCTCAATTGAATGTTGTGCTCTCCCTTTCCTATTTGTTTTTTAAATATTTTTATCTGGGTCTCAAAAGAGTTTTAAATACTCCAAACTTGAGCCAAGTACTAATGAGGGTCCATTTGCATTTCCCTTCCTCTGTCTTTTAGCCAGTCTTTCATTCTTGCTAACTAAAGCTGATGTGGTGCTTTTCTCTAATAACTGGTTCATATTCCTTAAGTTCTTTTCTTGGCTCATCAAAGTGAGCTGCAGCTGCTGGACAGCTAATAAACTGCCATGCCTTTTTATTTTATTCCTCTTTTATCTGCACTGTTAACCCAAATCTAGTTTTTATCCTAATTTATCTCCTTGCTTTTTGCATCTTCCAAATTAGAGTCATTTCTATTTCTCATATTAAAGAGTGTGAATTGCAAAGTATTATCAAGATGGAAGCATTTCGGGCTCAGGACCTTGTTTCCTCAACTCTCCATAGGACTCAGCGGTAATCCAGAGACAATGGCATCATTTCCAAATCCATGGAGACTTTGTTCATGAGCAGTGGACCAAGGAATCTCATTTCAACCCGCAGGACTGTTTCCTCCCTTGTTACATTTAGCAGAGTAGACATGGTCCAAGTGTACACAATTCGACTGTCAGTAGTTGGAATACACGTTAAAACTCTTTCATTTTCCCCAGTGAGTTCCTCATCCAGAGGCTGGCCAGGTTTTCCATAGGACCTGATCTAGCCGCACATATTTCCTGTCAGTTCTTCAGCTTTCTGGCTGCTGTGCGTGTGCTTAACATGCTGTGTGGAGAATCCACTTCCTTTCTTCAAATAAAACTATAAAATGTTTCTTCGCATAAAAAAGTAAAAGCCTTAGTTGCTTTTCTTTTACTGGACTTGCTTCTGCCACATCCCTCATTGTGGAAGACTCTTGGCTTTGCCTCCCAGAGCCTCCTTTGGCACTGAGGACTTGAGCCCCTGGTGGCTGAGTGTGATGTGGCTGGCAGCCCTCAGCCATTCCTGTGGAGGGAGGATGCTGGATTTTAGTTTCTTGCTCTCTCCTTTACCATCTTTATTCAGGGCAAGAGTAAATTTATAGGCTAATTCTGAAGCCTGTAGGTCCCAGGTTTTTGTGCGGTGGTTTCACCTTCTCTTTTTTACTGACCAACACCAGCAGCCTTAGGGGTCCTTCCAATGACAGTCATTCTTCCCCTTGGGTTCCCCACCCCACGTGCATGCTTATCTCAAAGACGGTGAAGCTGCAAGTTCCCTCACTCAATGCCACCTTCCTGCCTCCCAGTGGCATCCAGAATAATTCTTAGAATTTTCTGCAGCCCTGGCCTGAACGACCTGGAGCTTTTGTTTCCAGCAAAGGACTGTTTGCCCCGAGAGTGTGCACTGATGGGAGAACAAGGTGCCTTGCTGGCTCCAAGACCTCTGGAGGCCAGTCTTGTCATCACACAGTCTTTCTCACCTGCATCTAATTTTCCCTGCGTTTTGCAGCCTTTCTTCAGATGTTGTGTTCAGATCTTTTTCCATTTTCCTAATTTCTTGACTCTGTTTCTTGTTTTCTTCAAGTCTAGGAAGACAGGAGGGCCAGAGACATCCTGCTTTCTTTCCACCAGCTCTCACGAGGCCCAGCCAGCTCCTTGGTGATGAAGGGCCACATTGTCATCAGTGCCCCACAGTCCCTGGCACAGATCTTGTGTGCTGCAGATCACGTGGGCAAACCTGCACCTTCCCATCTCCTCCAGCTGCTTCCTCACTGTCCTCCAACTGCCCGTGCCTACAAGAAAACATCATGCAGGTCTCTTTGTTATTTAAAATTTATTTTTATGTTACTGCAGAACAGGTACATGTGCGACACTTGTTTCACAAAGTGCATTGCCATCTTCATGTTCTGTCATGCTTTGAAGTGTTTATAACAATGTCATAAGCAGGGACACTGGGATGCACACATGAATTTGCCTCCTCCTCTGCCTGCCCTTGGCAGCATGGAGCGTCAGTCTCTCAGACTGGGTATGAGGTCTTCAATCTGGACTGACGAGGTCCACCCCAGCTGCATGCGGGCTACTTGCTATTCACCGGACCTGTGTTTATGTTGAAACCTAAATCCACAGTTCAAACTCTTAACCACAAAGCTACACCCGTTCCAGGAACCACTCTCTCTGGGCTTCCCACAAGCACAGTCTTCCATTACAACTAGGTGAAAGAAAAAGCAATCAAAATATATTCAATTTCTCTTTGCTCTTTTGCTCTTTCTGTCTCACCCCTCTATTTCCATTAGTGCCCTCCTGTTTAGTTGAAGCCTTGAGAGTGCTCTCTGGCTACCCACCTTAGAGCTTAGTTTTATTTTTTATCCCCCAAAGCCACAGGGAGAAAAGCCAAGCCAAGGCCAATGTTAAAGTGTCTGTTCCTTGCAAGAAATGCAGGGAGACAGCAGCGGTGAGCACACTGGCCCAGGAGGGAGGACATTGAGGGTGAGCTCGGGCTCCTCCCTGTTGCTCTGTGCCTGCCTTCCTGTCCTCACCTGTAAAATGAGAGGCTTGAACATTGTGATACCGGTGTGCTGGTTCATCATTGTACAGCTGATATTGCTTTTGTGCTCCAAACTATCAGCTCTCCAGTTGATAAAATCATGGGGTTGTTTGGGGAATGGTACTTAGCTATTAAATAATAGCAATGAATAAATATATATAAAGGATTATATTTAGCCTAACTAAAGAGACTGAAGAACTGGATCAATGCTTAGTGAACATGGGCAGCCTGCTGCACCATGCTGTGCCTATTGGTTGGTGGGGAGGAAGGACTACCATGTGGCCAGGATGGTCTCAGACGGCCTCAACCCAGGTCTTACTATTATTATTTTTTAATGTGCAAGCAATCTGAAGTTTCCAGAAAAGTTTCAAGGGCAAATCTAAGAAGACTTCTTTCCCTGAACCATTTGAGAGTAAGTTGCAGACATGACACCATACCAGCTTCCACCACTCTCATAACCACAATACAACCATCAAATCAGAAAATCAGCATTGACGCCTTCCTATCACCTTAGAGTTGAACTCCATTCAGATGTCCAACTAAAGTACTCTGTAGCAAAGGGATACAGATCAGAATCACCAACTACATTTAGTTGTCACATATCTTTTGGTGTTTTCAACTTGTGAAATGTCCTTCGTCGTTTTTGACTTGCATGAACTTGATGAGTTTGAAGAGGTCAGACCAGTTACATGGTAGGATGCCCCTCATTTCAAATTTGTCTGATGTTTCCTTGGGATTATATTCAGATTATGCATCATTGACAGGAATTCCAGGGAAATAATGCTGATCCTCACCTCATCTTTTCATGTGGTGGACAATTTTGATTTGTCCCATTGTTGATGGTATAATATTTTTGAGGGCTTGGCATTCAGCTCCTGGGTCATCCATCCATCCCAGGCAGAAAGCAATGACTTGGGTTGCTCATCTATTACGCATGTGGTAATACACCCTCCTCTTCACTGGGACAAGAGAGGGGATAGTGGGAGAAGATTATATGGAGTTTGGACACATTTTAAACTTGATCTCGTAGTCTGAGTCTGTGGGCTTACAGACCAAAGAATGGCACTACCCACAATTTACCTGACGAAAAAGAAGCAGGCTTGGATACTTTATGTTTTCCAGTGCAAAGTTGTTTTAATAGTGACAGAATAACTTTAACACAAAATTTACTGTCAGTTTATCAACATTTAGTTTATTCCTATTGATTCTCACTTGTGGCAAAAATGTAAATTACCATTCGCTTTCTGTGTTTAAAAGAAGAAATAATGCCTTGACTTTAAAATTGAGAGTGCTTCTTCCCAGGAGTGGAAAAACCGAATCCAACATAACTTCTGGGGTCTGAAGTGGAGGGAAAGCAGCAGGGGCTTAAACCCATGAATTAACTTTCAAAGAAAAACAATTCCAACAGATCCAATGAAACATTCATTTATTGTCAAATGATAGCCCCTTAGAAAAATCTGCCATCTGAAGTCTCATGAAATAGGATTACTAGGACTCCTCAGTTCCTGGCATTCAATTATCAAATCAGCAATTTTTAAAAAATATTTGGCTCAAACCTTGGAAAACTATGCAATTGTACAATTTGCAATGACACAACATAATTGATCTAAATGCCAGAGTAAAACACAGGGAATGAATTGTCTTTTAAAAGCTGGACCAAAACAAGTTCTTCTATTACTAGTACTGCTGTTAAGTAAGAAATACTTATTCAATTACTCGGGGAAGTAGAAAGAAAGTTGAATTCAATCACCACATCCAATGTGTTGGATGTTAACCTATCTCCTGAAGGACACCCCTTTCAGACTAGACCTTAGTCTGTAGATCAAGGAAGCAAGATCCTGGCCTGGCAGCACCTAGCACATAGTAGGCATGTGATCCCACCCTGTATGAAAAAGATGAATGAATAGATTAGTTATTTTTAATGCTAGGGGCTCCAGTGGTCAGGGTTGTAAAACACTAAGGGGTAGGGCTTCTTTATGTTTCTCTTGGAGCGTTTACTCCTCTATTCCTGTCTGCATATGACCACTTACTCAGCCAAGCACACACAGTCATCAAGCCCATTATGTACTGGTCACTTTGCTTACTATAGAGATACAAAGGGATAATCAGACAAGGCCCCTACATTTTGTGCTGGTCACTTTGCTTATCATGGAGATACAAGGAGATAATCAGACAAGGCCCCTACATTTGAAGAATGCAGAGGCATGGGGAGAAGAACAGATACATACATTTGAGGGATGCAGAGGCATAGGGAGGAGAAGAACAGACACATACCAAGTTACAAGCAATGGCATTAAGTGCCCAAAGTGAAGAATAAAGCGTTGCTAGGGAGATAACTAATGTCACCAGCTGGGTGACTCCAGGACAATCTCGTAGAAGAACTGACTCAGAAAAGTATAACTAAAACAGACCACCTGTTTATGTCCTACCCCTGTTCTTTGAGCATAACCAACTTCTCCCATGAAAGAGGTGCTTCTGGCTTTCATTCCCTGTTCATTCTAAGAGACCCTGCTCCTTTGACCATGATCAGACCAAGAGGGGGAGTGCACCCGACTCAAGAACCAGTCAGTATTCTCCTTGGTCAAACCAAATGCAAGTCACCACCACACTTAAGTGAAGGCCTAGGCGTCCCTACTGCTCCAGCTCCAGAGCAGCTCATGGTCCCTCCTGAACCTGGCTTTCAGAGGCTCCCTGGACTTTATGACACACCCTAGGACTCTACCTATAAATTCCCTCTGCTGTTTAAGTTTGCTTAAAGTTGAATTCTGTTACCTTCAAGCAAGAAACTAAACCTTGACAAAGTGCAAGAGGAAGCAAAAATTTACTTATCTCTGGCCGTGTGACAAGCACCTCACTTTATATCCATTATTTATTTATTGCACTGTGAAGTTGTTGTTATTACTCCCATTAAGACAAATGCAAACACGGAAGTTCTGCTGGGTTAGAACAATTATAGGTTGTGCCAGGAAGAGGCAGCAATGGAATGCAGCCCCCAGCTCAGGCCCAGGCATTGTCCTTCTGTCACTGTGTCTCCTGGGCTACAGACAAAGGGAAGGAACAGACAAAGAAGTTGTTTATCAAATGTCATTAACTTGAGGGACACAGATGCGTCGATCCTGGTTGATCTGCCTTGACTCTTCTTTCTTCATTCTTTTTTTTTTTTCATTGTTTTTCAGTGTACTAACGTTTCTCAAGAGTTCACTCTGAGCCAGGCCACGTGTCAGGCCCTGGGGCTGAAATAGGAACCAAAACACATATAATTCCCCTCTTGGACAAGTGTAGAATTGTTAAGCATGGCAAGTGCTATGAAGAAGGCCAAGAAGGGGCAGAAGGGGTTACTAGTGAAAGTGAGGAGAGACGCCAGGTGGGAGGTGCTGCTGGATCAGAAAGTCCTGTGCAGACTCCAGCCCACCATGGGCATCAGCTGTCGGGGCTCCACAGCAACTGGAAACACAGCCTTCAGTGGAGCCCAGACAACGTGGGCCAACACCTGCCCGTGTAACCTGAGTCCGATCTGCCCTGCTCTGACACTCAGATGTGCTTATTCTATATCCTCAGGGGTTGATGAGAAACAATGGGGCCTGGGGGTTATGGATGTGTCTGGGCCAGACAGGTCCAAGCCATCCTGGGCCCAACTGTGTCCCCCAGCTGCATTCTCCTCTTAGCCCCCACTGCTTACCCAGCCTATTTCCTGGGCTTCTCCTGGAACCCCTGTTTCCTGCCAAACTTCTAGCCTTTGAGCTTGGACTGTGCCTCTTTGTTATTCCTGACAAGCTTTGGAACTCCCTTTCCCAGGAAATCGAACTAGGTTTCCTCTTTTTTCATCCAACTCCACCGAGCATCAAACTCTCCAGCTGCCCACACTGAAGGCTGCTCCAGTGGACAGCCACAACCCGCCCTCCTGCCCCTTCTTGAACCAGGCAATTCCACCCACCGGCCTGGAAGTACTGGGCCTGACAAAAGGCCCCTGCTGTATCTCATGCCTCTCATAATGGTCGCCCACCATAACTTCAACCCCAATTTTGGGTGTTCTCCAATAGCCAGTCCATGACCTTTGTCCTGGCGTGGCTCTTCCTGGCATGATCTCCTCTCCCGGACAGCTTGCACGAGTCCCAGGAAACCTTACAACTAAGGCCACCCAGTTTATGACCCAACTTTGAGCCCACTTCATAGATAGAGCTGGAAGGAGAAATGGGCATCACAGGTCTGATTTGGGGTCAGATGGGTGTTCTGAACCCGTATGGCTGAATCAAGCATCTCTGCATGAGATCTGCAATATGAGATCACAGAAATAGCTACAGCTGATCCCACACCATCAATTATGGATTGATGAGACTTCCAGCTCTCCCTTCACCAGCTCTGTCAGGACTGCCTGTCACAGGCTCATGGGATTCATTTAAGGAAAATTCATTTAAGATTGAGTCCAATCTAAACTTTTCTCTCTCAGTGCTGTTTTTGATGACTATTTCAGTGTCCATTCTAGTCCTGGCACCTGTTGGGTAGGTGTGGGGCCTCTTCTCAGGCAGCCACAGACCAAGGGGAGGAAGACTCTGTGCTAATCATGTTTTGCTGTGTAACCAAGAACATCAACATCTCAGTGACTACAGCAGCACACACTTCTTTTTCTGATTCCCAGCTCAAAAGTGTGGCTCTTCTTGGCTGAGTTTGGCTGACTTCAGCCGTGCGCCTCTCCAGGCTGCAGGTGGGTGGGTTTGGGTCTGCTCTGTTTGGGGATCCACCCTGAGGGCATGCTTCTTATGTGATGGCAGGAGCCTAGGGGCTGATCGCACCTGCACAGGTGCATTGCACATCTCTGCTTCAGCTACTTCCATTCACATTGCATTGGCTACAGCAAATAAGGTTATGGCTACTCCATGTGGCCACGATGACGGTTTTGAAAGCGAGGCCTGACAAGGGTCCATGACAACTCTACTGGCAAAAGTGGCTGCACAGGGGGCCTCTTCTTGGTCCAGCCATGACAGCGACATTTGAAGGAACTGCTCATCACCATTCCAAAGGGCACACAGTGAGAACTGCAGATTGCAGCTGGGAGGGATTTAAATATCCATAGTGAAGGCTTTCATTATCTTTTAGTTATTTAGTTTTAAGTAACAACTGATGTGTTAGATTCGCTCTGAGCCAGGCCATTAAGGAAGAACTTTCCAACTTTGGCCTACAGAGGGGAAAGAATGAACACCGCACAGCTCAGGGCAAATGGGAAGAATTGAGCCTTTTCGAAAGTGCACTAATGTTCAAGGGATTTACTCTTGGTCACTTAGAAGAACTGAAACAGACTTCCTGCCCTATCTTCCACCTACTTGGCTCCCAGTGAGGAGGAAAGCATCTCACATGCCCAAGTGGCTCTGTCAGAGTAAATCCAAAGTCATCAAAGGATAAATATGACCACAAAGGAAGTTTCTCTTGCCTTTTATTTTCACTCACTCCTGAGCCATTGGCCTGCCAGGGATACTGCTGAGTAATTAGTGAGTACTTAGGAAGCCTTTGAAAAGCACGGATTCATCTCATAGACCCTTAAGTTCCAAGGGAACTTAGCCAACAAGAAAAGCAGTGATTGTAGCTAATGTTCTAAGACATCCAAATGTATCCCAGGCACTTCACATGAGCCCTGTCACATAATCCTTACAGAAAAGCTAGGAGACAGGCATTCATATTATTCCCACTGGTGGATAAGGGGACATCCAGGCTGGAGGTGGTGAAGAGACTGAATAGATTCATGAGGGTGAGTATGCTGCTCCACTGAAGGTCCAGGTGGTTGACTTGCAGGCAGCTCCTCCCTTTGAAAGGTGTGATTCTCAATCAGTGCCTTCCAGTGTGAACACTGATCTCACCCATAAAATGAGGGGCACTAAGCTAGCACCCCCAGCCTCAAACTGATGCTTCTAAAGGCTGGAATGACTTGTGCCATAGGCTGAATGAGGTCCCTCCAAGGTGTCTATGCCCTAAACTGGTGTCACCTTATATGGCAAAGTCTTTGTGGATGTGATTCAGGATTTTAAGATGGGAGATTATCCTGGATTATTTATGTGAGCTCTCAATACAATCACGGGTATCCTAATGAGAGAGAGACAGAGGCCACGTGACCATAAAGGCAGAGAATGGAGTGATATGGACACAAGCCAGGGGAGGCTGGCAGCTGCCAGAAGCTGGAAGAGGCAAAAAATCTGTTACATTAAGTTTCCCCTAAAGCTGCCTCCTCACATATTTAAGTTCAGCCAAAAGGTTTCCCTGTACACATTGAACTGTCACCTAACTGGATGTGTAAACAAACGGCAACTTGTTCTTGTATCAAGTAGCTAGTTTCAGCCAATCACAGCATCCGAGTCTCAGCCAATCACAGCATCCGAGTCTCAGCCAATCACAGCATCTGAGTCTCAGCCAATCACAGCAGCCAAGCCTTCGCCAATCACAGCAGTTGGGTCTCAGCCAATTACAGGCTACCAACTGTTCAAACCATGTTAAATTAGGCAAACACAGAGCTGTAATCAATCCAGCTATTTTTTTCTGTACTTCACTTTTGTTTTCTGTGCCTCACTTTTCTTTTTCTGTTCACAGATGTTATCCAACCATGTGGCAGTTCCAGGAATCACTCTCAACCTCTTCTTGTTCTGCAGGCTTCCTGATTGGAGAATCGCTCTTTGCTCAATTAAACTGTTGAATTTAATTTGTAAAATATTTTTCTTTTAACAGAACAGATTTTCTCCTGGAGCCTCCAGGGAGAGCACAGCCCTGATAGCGCCTTGATTTTGGCCCAGTGAAACTGATTTTGGACTTCTGGTCTCCAGGACACTTAGAGAATAAACTCCTGTTGCTTTAAGTCATCAGATTTGTGGCAGTTTGTTACAGTAGCCTGAGGAAACATGTGTGCTAACCAGGTTCTAATATTTTTTTATTCAGCAAATATTTACCAAGGGCTTGGTATGTGTCAGTAGTTGGGGATCAGAAATGATTAAAGCTTAACTCCTGCTAGTCTCCCCTGTGGAGGACAGGGAGAGCTGGGGAGAAAGACGAGGTAGAGGGCAGGGAGGAACCTGCACAGAAGTGGCTCTGGGTGAGAGTTCATAGCCACTATTATTGCAAGATACAGTCATCGCCGATGTGTGCATCAGAAACCTGAGTGTGAGCTCTAATTCTGCACCCAGTAGCTGTGTGACTGTGCAGAAGTCATTTAAGTCCACTAGGGTGCACTTATTTCATCTGAAAAATAATGATAATGGCTTCTGCCTCAACGGAGTTTTAAGATTATTGGATGAAAGAGTGAGCCCTGACCAGGGGCTCAGACAGTGGAGATGCTCAGTGAATATGATGCTTGGAGTGTCCAGATCCACAGAGTGTGACTGCAGTCTCTACACATGTAATTTGACAGGAGCAAGGGAACCTTCTTACCGTCAAGTGCCATTGAACTGGAATACTTACTATCAGACATTTAGTTTTTATCAAGTTCCTTTTCAGAATCCAAAGTCCTGGGAGATGTTACACCTTCTGTCAATAGCATCTAAGCATGGACAATTAGTAGCTACTTTCCCAGCTACCAGCAGAAAGCCCTGAGCACTACAAAGAATCAGACAGTTAAAGGTGAAGAAATGACTCAAGGGCAGGACAGACTGAAAGCACAGGTTGCCCTATGCAACGTGCCAGTTGCTGGCAGTTAGTCCTCAGCCGCCGAAGATAGGGTTAGGGTCTCCAGAGTATATTGTTATAGACAAGTGTTGAAGGAATGGGTCCTCAAAAAAATCCAGTTCTCCTATCACTATGTTTACTTGGGATGGCCAAGAAAATCATCTGTCTTTGGATGCTGTGGGCTAAGAACAAGGAGATGGCAGGAAAGGAAAGCGAGGTCCCTAGCCTGGGCTGGAAAGTTTCCCATCAGTATTGATAGTGGCAACTGTTGGAGAAGAGGAGAAAGAGTCTTTTTAGAAATATGGAAAATCATCCACATCCTGCTTCTAAATGCTTTTAGGGGCTGAAAGGCTGCAAGCGTTTCAAAGCCAAGGAGATAAACCTTCTCCAGCAACAGACTGCTCTGAATGTGTTTGTGTCACACTGCCCTGCACAGAAGTCTTCCTGTGATGTGTGCTGGAGCCAAAAACACCATGGCTGTGGTTCAGAAAAATATATGACACACAGCACACATCCCCAGGCTGCACACCCATGATAGGAGTACCCATGCAAAGTCCCGGAGGTCACAGAAGGTCTTTACAAGATGACAGTTCTACATGGTGAACCATGTGTCCACTCTGATCTCTAGCCCTCAGACCTGTATAAGACACAAAGTTGCCCAGAATTATAGTCTAGGTGTCTACAGTTGAGCTCCGGAATTAGAGAGGTTGTCATGGTTACTCAGGTTTAGGAAGCAATACCTGGAGCCACCTCTAAAGGTCATTCATCAGGAAAAGTGGGGTCAAGCCTCCAGCCAGAAGTCTCCTGACCACAGGAAGCCATCATCAAGACAGCAGGAGTGGGTTACCAAGGAAACAAGTTGATGGTAAGAATCATAAGCATACAGGAGAATTCCGAGACCCAAATCTTCACCACGAAAACTGGCTGATGTGCAGAAAGCCTTCTGGTGGATCAAGACTCAGCCTATATCGGGACAGGCCAGCACACTGCAAACCTTCCACCACATCCCCCCTCACATGTCCATGGCAGGCGTCATTAGTCAGTCATAGCAGTGTTGCCTTCTTGGCTCAGTCACAGCCTCAGAATCCTTCTTAACACATTCTTTCAAGCCCCTGTACCCAGGAGAGCTATCCATGGTGCTGTCTCAGCACTTGACCTCAGATTCTCCCTTGCCTGTGGCTTCAGCTTACTGGAATTGTTTGGCAAGCCACAGCAGTTCTCGCAGCTGACTCTGCCTTCGCCCAGCCCTTTCTGTGCTGCCTTAGCAATTATTCATCTCCATCTCGACCTGTCCACCATGCCTCTTGCTAATCTCCTGCATCTGCCCTGGCTCTTTCCAGCTGCCTGACCACTTTTTCTGCTTTACATCAGTGACGACTGCCCCTCACCTGCAATGGATACAGCCCCGCCCTTCCCAAAACTCTGGTGCAAAGGATGCCCACATCTCTCTCCAGGCAGAAAACACAACTGAGAGGGCCACTCAAGTGAGAGTTCTGACTGACTGCTTCACTGACTTGCTCAGTATCACACAAAACAGTCAAATCTGATGTCACCCAGCCCTGTTCATGGTAATCCCCCTGACCCCATCCCATTTGATGGGGCTTGGTGAGGCTGCATGTAGGTGCCATCCCCACATGGAGCCAAGTAGCCAACTTTGGGAAGAACATTCTGAATTTCCCCTTCTCTGCCCTGTTAACTTCTGCAGACAAGCCTGAATATTTCTCTTCACTGCTGGTCTCTATTTTGGCTCACACTGGGCTCCAAGTACCACATGGGCATGCAGGATGTTTTCATGAGCCTGTTTCACTTAAAAAGGACTTTATCAGTTCTTCCTCCATTTCTAGTGGAGCGGTTGCAGCTGTATGCAGCTTTTCAATTTTTTCCTATTTCTGAAATCATCCCCCATACTTTTCAAGAAACTTTTACATTCTGGAGAAACTGGAAGCTTTAAAAGAATTCTGGGTTCAGACATTAGGGCCTAAAATAAGCTCTTGTGGCCTCCATGTAATCAAGCTAACACAGCAACAAAACACTTGTAGATGAAAAGAAAGTAAACTTATCCCAGGAAATAAGATTAACGGCAGACCTGACCTAAGCTGTCCCTGACTTCAGATTCCATTGTTCAAACCCAGGGCCACTACTCCTAAGTGATTACAGTAGTAATCCAAAAACTCTAAAACTGGCATCACTCCCCTAAGTGATAGGCACTGTTCTGGATTTACATATTTAGTTAATTGAAAGATCACCATAGCTCTATGAGGCAGGTACAGTTAGTGTGCCCACCTGAGGATGAGGACAACAGGCAAGGGAGAAGGACAGACTCTGCCCGGGCCTCATGGGGGGAGGGGCAAGCTCTGTGCTCAGGCCCCATGGGGGAGGGTGGACTCTCTGTGCCTAGGACATCATTCAAGGAGGGAGAGTATTGGCTGAGTCAGGCTTCATGGTCATGTGATTGGTCCTAGAGCTACCTGGACCACCACATAGCACAAGATGTTGAGAAGAAGCTGGGAAGTTTTGGAATGAAGTAGATTTGTCCAGCTATCCAAGAGGATCACACTTAGTGACTTTTGTCTAATGGCAGGTAAGGGACCATTCCTGACTATGTTGAGGTCATACATCCAAGGCGAGGGTGAAGCATTCAAAATCCTTACTGGGGAGTCAGGTTAGATCCGA
Organism: Homo sapiens; assembly: GCF_000001405.40. Taxonomy (NCBI): domain Eukaryota; kingdom Metazoa; phylum Chordata; class Mammalia; order Primates; family Hominidae; genus Homo; species Homo sapiens. The sequence goes on along the minus strand of NC_000020.11, from coordinate 22,803,919 downwards.
AGGCACAGCACCTTCCAACCCTGGCAGGCCTCTGTGTTTGTGGCGAGCTCTCAGTGGCCATGTCCTGCTCCATGTAGAATGAGCCACATGATTCTTCTCTCCTTCGAGTTTCCAACACTTATGAAAGCCCTGCTTCACGGGGTCAGGTTATATCACAGAAGGGAGGTTTGTAGATGCCTTAAGCTGCCCCTCCCTGATGACACTGGGTGCTCTTTTCTTCATGAGTGTGTGGTGATTGTGCTAAGTTTGTATTAAAATCTCACCCACGATTGCCCAGCCAAGCAGTAGGGTTTGAAGTGTGGTGCCTTCACATTTCACAGGCCATTTGAATCCTCTCTTAACACAGCTCAAATACTGCAAGTCAAACTGGCCCGCTGAAATCCCAGACAGGACTGAAGAAGGTCGTCCAACAGCAGAGCACCCTGTCTGATCCTGCCTGCAGGTTTCCCCCGGTCTGAGTCCCTTCCACACATGGGTTTCACCTCTCTTAAAGATCTGGCTTTCACACTGACCCACAGGCCTGGAAGAAAGATACTGAACCTCACAGAACCTCACTTTTCTGATCTTAGAAATGGGCAGAAAAATGAATGTGTTTGAATCTCTGGCCTCTGGTGGTTTGCAGATGGCAGGGCCTCAACTGATGTGGGTTCCTGCTCTGAGCAGGGAGAGTAGAGGAGGAAGCATGGCTTTTATTCCTGGCTTGATTTTTCTTAGTGTCCTCCCAGACCAGGATTCCACACAGAGAGCTTCATGAGTGTGCTTTCAGCTCGAGCCCCTTTCCCTCTGCCTTCCAACACCTGCCCTGGCAGGACCCCTTCTCCTCCTTTAGTCAGTGCATGGTCCCGGGAGGCACAAGTAATTCTCATTTTGGTCCGAGCAAGCCACTGGGGAACATGAGCTATGGGGCTGTAGTGAAATTCAGATCTGATCTACTCCGGAATCATGAGTGCACCTCTGAGCCACAGAGTGAGAAAGCTGCCAGACCTCTCTGCCTCCATGCTCAGAGTGTGTTGCATGCAGTGTGTTGGACTCGCTGGTCTCCAGAATCCAGGGTCCTGTGATGTTCTCTCCCCACCTGCCTCACTCCTTTCTCCTCCTGCCCTTCTTCTTCTCCCTCTCTCTTTTCTTCCTTCTGTCCTCTCCTTTCCTCTCTTTTCTTTCTTCCTCCTTCTCTCTCCTTCTCTTCTTCTCTTCCTGCTTCCTCTCCCCATTCCCTCCCTCTCTCTTTCCTCTCTTTCTTTCCTGCTCCCTGTCTGTGCCCAGCTCCATGAAATGAGACTGGGCTGGTTGTGTTCTGTGATTTGACTAGCAGGTAACTTGTCTTTGTGTTCATCAGTCCTGACAGGTTGCATGCTGAAGCATGCCCGAATCTGAATGCATCTTTCTCCCCTCCTGCTACTGCCCCCTCCTGCCACTGTCCTTTCCTTGTGTGCGGACATCCCTGCAGACTTCTTTGCTTCCATCTGAGCCTGCCAGTCATTCTGTTTACCTCACAGCTGTCAACATGACTTACAGAAATTGCAAATTGGATCCCTCCCTTCCCTTGGCAGAAACCAAGGGCTGACCACCTCCTCCCACCCCCAAGAATAAGGCCTAATGCCTTTCTCTGTTTGCAACCTAACCCCTGATTCCTTCCGGTTGTGTAGTCAAACAATCTCCAAACCAAAGAGACAATATCACTTTCAAGTCTAATTTATCAATATGAAAACCAATAAGTCCTTTGATGATGTCAGGCCACACGGATAAAAAAAAAAAAGAGAAAGAGATTTAGAAAAAATAATGATGGACATTAAGAAACATTTAAAACCTGTTGAAATGTCAGAACCCTTGGAAAGGAGGCTACGAGTGATATCAACAAGAAGGTAGCTTCCTAGGGTAGAGAAAAGAATTACAGAACATACTCACTAAGTGGCACAGGTGGAATTGTCAGTGTTACTGAAATTGGCTTTGAGGAAACGAAAAGAACTGAGAAGAGAATCAATCCTTATTAGACACAGTTTTTTGTTTCATCCTGATTATGAATCACAGGCAGCACTACCTGCGTCCAAATGTCTCTAAGTGCCTCTGTCTTGTGGAAGGGTGGTTATTTTGGGTATCTCTCTTTTGAAACTCAAGTGCCAAGTGCTGAGAACTCGAAGCCCAGGTTCCATCAATCTGTGGTTTCCCAGAGGCTGGGTATTCAGGGACAACAGCTGGAAATCATTAGGCTCTCAAAAGAGAGCTGACCATAAAATTGCAGGCCACCCTAATTGTTCTAACACTTAGTTGCAGGCAAAAGAATACCATTTCCTGCACATGTTCTCAGGCAAAAATCCCTGCCCAGATGAGACTGAATTTCCAAACGGGCAGAAAATGAACCCTTGCACACCACAGCGAAAGGAAGTCCTATGACGTGTGGGACAGCGACCCCGAACCTAATCCTGACCCTGCTCTTCATCAGCTCTGGGACCTGACATTAGTTCTTCCTCTCTCCAGCCCGAGTGTCCTCACTGGTAACAGGCAGTGACAGGGGCTCCTTTGATCTTTAACTCTTATCTGGGTTCCTAAAAATGATTTGCAGTACATATAGGATAAACACATGACAAGCTAAAAATAAATACAAAAAATGGATGGAGTCGGAAGGATGAAGGAGAAAGGCAGCAGTGTTGGAAATGAGGTTGATATAAGAAAAAAAAAATAACAGATGGAATCAAGTCAATACTTTGCTAGAAGCAAGTCACCAATTTTGGACTTGATTTCCCCAGCAACCTGTGCAAAGAGAAAGGCAATAAACGGTGAATGGTAGCCCAAAGCTACCCATTGGTAGTTTAACAATATCACTCCAGGGCTCTCTCCCTTCCCTGGGTCATTTCCGCACCACCCACCTAGGATGAAATTTAGGTTTGAATGGGATTGTCACTGAGCACAGTGACCTGCAGCCAGTTCACTAACGCACATGACAGGCTCAGCGCACTGGCTCCTGCAGCTGCTCTTTAGCGCTGGTGCCTTAACCCCAAAATGTAAAATGTTAATATCATACAACTTTTTATAAAATTGCAGGGTACTTGTAGCTCTACGTGTGGTGCTCTAGGCTCAGTGTGGATGGTGTGAACATTTCAACCCCCCTCTCTGCCCTCAGGAACTTGAACATCTGTTTGTGGAGTCAGATCACAGCACTCCCGATTTGTAGGGGTGATATACTGTCTTAGAGTGGGTCCCCCCAGAAACCAAGGATCTGAGTGTAAATTATTTATTTGTGTTATGCCAGGAAATGCAAATAGGGAGGGGGAAGTGAGTCAAGGAAGGAGGCAAATTCGTCGTCGTCGTGGGTTCAAGGTGGAAAGAGAGTCATTACAAAGGGTTGTGAGCAGAAAAGAAAGGAGAGGCCTTATAGCAAGAAGGAATTATCCCCCAGACACCTCCCCGTTACAAAGTCAGTCATCAAGTCCTATTTTTAATCATAGTATTCATTGGTAGAGAGAGTGGAAAAAAACTAAAGATAGTATGGTGCCATGGGGGCCAGTGAGCAGAAAGTGTGACAATAGGTGGGTTGGTCTCCAGTGTTGGATGGGGGAGGATAGTCAGAGAGTACATTCTGTGAGTGCCCACTGGCTGGGATACTCAGCTGTCTGCAGGGTATGCAGTCAGTGCCACACCCATATCCTCAGGCCCTGCCATCTCAGACCCTGGACACAGCAACATTTAAATACATACTTTGCAACTATGTATGCTACAAATAAACCTTATTGTAATGGGTCATTCTGAGGACTATTTCCTTTTTTATGGTATTATCAGGGAAAAGGGGATTTTCTTTTGTAGACATGTGGTGAGTATCTTTATGTGATTTATATAAGTTGTTCACACGCTTTGTGTCCCTAAACACTTCATATCTCTTTGTTCTGATTCCATGCCCACCAATAGCCTTTTTGATTCTTTGTTGGCATCTCAGATGCTCTGATTCTGAGATGGAGATGACCACTGGGGAATAAGCACTGTGCTTAGAGCTAGATCTAGAGCAACTGTGGAGACCAGTGAAAGAGCTTGGACTTTGGGCTCCAGCCCTGTTTGCCAATTCTAGAACCTGGGCAATTACTTAGCCTTCCAAAGTCCTAGTCTCTTCAACGGTAAAGTGGGGATAAACATCATCATCCTCAATCTCCAGTTGTTTTGACAATCAAGACAAAAAAAGAACATAATTTTCATATCTGGTACATAATAAGGGCTTAGTGAATTGGAACGGCATTCTCATATATACATGAGGATTTTATAAATGTAAATAGTCTAAGTCATTACCTTTGATGATGATTAATCTTGGTGTTTGAATTTAGAACAGAAGAGCTACAAAAAATCAATCTAAAGTTACAGTAGAGGAAGAAAAACAAAGCAAAACGAAAACCTCTCAAATCACAAAGAACAAAACAAGAAAGCTTAGATGGACTTTTCATGTACAAGCCATGCTATTTAGCAGCCTCTGTTGTGGACCTCCATACCCTCTTCTCACTCGCTGTTTTCCTGCACCCCAACCCAACCGCTTCTAAGTGCAAGCATCTGTGACTCTGCCTGATGGGTTTTTCTGGTCTAAAGCTGGCATAGTATATGAGCTGAACGGGAGGAGAGGTCAGTGGAATTAACGCCCCAGGAGCAGACTCCATCCAATGACATTGGAGTCTCGATAAACGCCACCATGGTCTCCTCCTTCAGGTGGGACAACACTGAGGCATCTTCTACGCCATCTCCCACAGTACTTGGTCAGTCCGAGCCCCAAGTCCTGAGCATGGTCAACTGATCATTAGCACACCTGGCCTGGCTTCCTTCTCTGCCCTGTCTCAGTTCCCAGTCCCCACCAGAGCGGCTTACTGGGACCACTTTCCAAATTAACAACTGCACCCCAATCCTTGTTTGAATCTGCTTTTGAGGGAACCCATAGTAAGAGAGATAATATGTTCAGTAAAAATATTTCAGGTGACCATTATACATCTGGATTAAAATAGAGAACTTTTTTTTCCACTCAAATAGAAAAAATGACTTCTTGGGTAAAGGTTTTGCATAGGATTTAGATCATGGCTGTAGCAGAGCAACTCTGTTCAAATTCGTACTTTATAGCACACCACCTCAGGGATATTAGAATACCCAGCATAAGACATTCAGCAGGGTGCTTGGCATAGAGTAACTCTTATGGATTTTTAAATCACCTTTATAGAGGTATACTTTGCATAAAATAAATATAAGTGTAGTTTGATGAGTTTTGACAAATGCATACACCCGCGTAACCACTGCCCTGGTAAAGGCATTTCCTCAACCTCACAAAGTGTTTTGCTCCTTGACAATCAATCTTCACCCACTTCTGCCTCAGGCAGGCACCGATATGCTCTCTATCACCACAGTTCAGTGAATTTCAACTTTAAAATATTAAAGGTTGAATTCAGTCAAGTAGATAATAACGGTGTTTGGGGGATATAATTTGCTGAACTATGCTGTCTTTTTTTTATCAAAATCATTTTTTTTCATCACTTCTATGAGTAATGAAGAGAGAAAGTCAGCTTCAGAATTGCTGGGTTTCTCCTGACTCTAGTATGCGTGAGGGGAGAGGTGGAATGGGAGGGCAAATAAAAGTTGAGGTCAATTTGAAATTTGGAATGACCTCTGCTGTAAAATTTCCAGAAAAACAAATTTAAGACTCATTCATTAAATTAGGGAAAGCACCTTCAACTCTAATTTGATCTTTATTTTATCTTCTTGGAATTTTGACAGTCATATTGAATTATGGCCAGATCTTTAACTCCTATCTGGGTTAACCCTGGGAAGCAGGATCCACAAGAGATGCACGAGTTGTTCATCGAGCCAGTCAATTGCTCAGCAAATATTGATAGGGTTGCCCTCTGTGCACTAAGGGCTATCCTATATTCTGACAGCGAGAGGAAGCACCTCTTCATGGGCAGTACATGCCTGTGTAGATACGTAATAGCAAGTCAGAACACAGCTGAGCAAGGGAAAAGCCGAGGTTGCAGAGAGAATCTGGCCTGTATTCTCTTACGCAGGCCAGAAACAGGAGACATGATGGAGACAACCGCTGGAGAAGGGCTGTCTGTGAAGGTCATCTCTAAGCTGATTCTGAATGACCCAAAATGAGCTAAGAGGGCACAGATTGGAGGATCATAGCAAACAGAAAGCATTGTTTGTGCAAAGGCCCTGAGGCTGCAATAAGCATGTCGCATTTCAGACCTGAGAGCAAGTCAGGGTTGCCAAACATAGAGGGTGGGGATCAGGAAATGGGTGTTCAGAGGGAGGTCCATATCCCAGGGGGAGAGGGGTTAGAATTCATTTTATATTCTATGGGAAGCCATCAGTGGATTCTAGACTGATTACCATTTTCAAAACTTTACTCTGAATGTTAAGAGGGGTGATTAGATTGTAGAGGAGCAAGAAGCACAAGCAGAATCCACTCTGTCACCCAAGAGAGAGATGATGATGTCTTGGATCAGTGGTGCAGATGCAGCGGCCCGCTTCACATCTATTTGGAAGATAAAGTGAGTAGGATTTACTGACATCAAAGGTGTCTCAAGAATAACAACCACATTTTGTCATATAAGGTATCTGAAGTCCAGGAAGAGGTAATCTCAGAGATATGAGTTGAGAACTTGCCAACTTTTACAGGATGTCTAAAAACCAGTGGAGTGCATGAGGTCAGCCAGGAAGCATGTTTAGAACAAAAGGAGAAGGTGGCATTTTGTATTCTGCATTTGGAAGACGAAGAGAGGTAGAGGACAGCAAGGGAGATGAGAAGAAGTGGCCAGTAAGATTGAAGCAAAATGGAGACATCATGACATCATGAAAGCCAAAAAAATAAAGCATTTAAAAAATATTAATTTGGAAAAAAAAATATTAATTTGGGGAAGTAAATTCCAGAAAAAATGTTTGTGCTTACTAGTGACCACTCGTCACCAGTGACTGGTGTGAATCAGGCTGGTATAATGTCAAGCAGAAGAATATGCTTGAGTGGCTCCCTGTGCTGCCATCTTGTTCTCAACCCCACAGGCCCTGTGATTCTCCACCCTCCTTGCACTGTTCAGATTTTCTGCTTTGCACATAGAACACATGGTTCCATTTCAACATTTGCTTATTTTTCTCTTTTTATTCCATCCTCGTATCTCTGGAAAAGTGAGATTTGGCATAGTTAGCATGCAGCAAATGTTTTATTGGCTTCATGATCTCATGGTGTAACACTCGGGTTTAGTTGAAGAATCTCGAGTCCCAGTGCATGCACTTGTTGGGAGAAAATTTCGTGGTCAGCCAATAGTCATTCCTGTTTCATTTTACATGTTTGCTCTTAAGAAAACATTCTCTTATGCAGGCCAGAAACAAAGAAATATAGGAAGTCACAGGAGAATGGTTTTTGGAAATGATTCTTATTCAGACATATGGTATCATTCCTAACCCTGGATTGTTTTCCTCCTGCATTTGCATTTCACCTCTCTAGAGCTAATCTCTTTCAGTATTTTCTTAAAACCCACGTATGCTAAATGATAAATGCTGGTTAGGAGCAGAGTTGTTTTTGTGTTTGTTTGCTTTCCTGTTTTGTTTTTAAGACGTGCCCTTGGTATATAGTGACTAGATGGTTAAGTTCACCAAGGAGTCTCCCTGTTAGAACCGATTTTGTTTCTACATATTTTATTATTATCTTTTGAGGAGAAGCATATTTTTGTGGTTGCATAGCGTTGACCACTTGCTTTACTGATGATCCCTTAACTGGTGACACAAGGCATGTGATGTCATCAGGGAAAAATGCCAACCTCCAGCAAAACATTAGCTTCTCTATCCATGTTTGAGCAACTTGGAAACAATTTTCCCGATATGATTCAACTACAAAAAATTAACAACACAAACATTCCCAGTGGCGGCCTCTGCCCTTGTTCTATGGCTTGGCCTTTGCTTAGGAACGTGGGAGCCACTTGCTTCCCTGGGAAGTCTGAGGCAATTACATTACCTTGAGCCAGACAAAGAGAGACAAGAGACAAAGACATTTTTCTCTCACAGGCTCTGCCTTGCTCTCTTCTAAAGAAGAGTGCACTAACACTCCTTTCACTTGGTTTCTACTCACAGATTGTCACTTCCTCTCAGCGCTTATGGACCAAGGGACATATTGGAAGAACAAGACTCTGTTGCCTTGCCGTAGTTATTTGCACACAGATCATCAGCAATCTCCTTGTTACCAAACCTCATGGCCCCATCTCAGTTCTGCCTTCACTGGTGTCTCTGTAGCATTCGAAGTTATCTGACTCCTGGCTCTCCTCCCACCTCTCTCCTCCTTCACGAGCTCCCTTCCTCTGTCTGCTTCTTCAGTGCCTGTCTGGTTAAGTTCCTGACCTCAGTGTCGTTTCCTCCTCACAGTCCCCTTCTGGTGACATCCACTCCCATGGCTTCTCTCTGACACTTTGCTGGGTCCCCTGTTGGCATGCCAGCCTTGCTCTGTCTCTATACTCATCACATAAAACTGTCACTGGACTGGATGCACCTGGATGCATCCATTCATTTGCTTATTTACTTGCTCGTCCATTTAATTAATAGCTATGAATGCTTACTTGGGAGTGCAAATAAGAAGCACAACCCCTTTTCTCACCCACTGAGGCAGTGTTTGTGACCACAGCTACCTTCAACTCAAAATGGTCATCATAGCTCAGTATCTTGGGCCTTAAAACTGCTCACCTCTATATGAATGTTCCCCAGTACTCAAGACCTCAATCCAATCAATTCATCTCCAAACTCCGGCAATTCTATTTTCTGTTTCTTGAATTGGTCACTTTCCTTCATCATAATTTCTGCTACCACCACCCCTTGGTGAAGCTACTCCCAACTTTTGCCTGAATTAAGGTGACCCCACCCTTCTATATTCCTCTTTGTGGCTTTCTATTATTGTCTTAGGATAAAGTCCAGTTTCCCTAATCTGGTGTCTGGGGCTCCTAAGACTTGTCCCTACCACCTTCCCAGCTTCCTGCCTGGATGTTCTTTAATGAGATGCCACAGCAGCCACACCACAGACTCCTTTCAGTTGCCAGCATGCACTTGGCTGTTCTTTCACCTGATGCCTTTGCACACAGTGTCCCCCCGACTCCTCTTCCCCACTGCACTTCTGACCCTTGGCTTCTAGTCTTTTCCTTCCCCTTTTCAGTTGTTCTGTTGGTTTTCCCTTTTCCCTCCATAATCAGCTTCTCTTTTCTAACTATGCTCACTCTCCAGGTGATGTCATTCAGCCTCAGCACTTTAAAAAACATCTATACATTAATAACTCTCACTGTTATTCCCTTGCTAACTCCCACTTGTCCCTTAGGTCTCAAGTTCCACATCACTCTCTCTAGGATGCCTCCTTTAATTCTTCAGGACTGAGGTTTGGAAAAACCTCCAATTTTCCTCAGTCCCCACACTCACCCTTAACATGACACATTGTGTCATAATTGCAGTCTGCCTTGACCATGTGATATGCTGTATAAAGGCAGAGGCTCCATTTTATTCTTTGTTCTAGCACGGTTCCCAGCTCATAGGATATGCCCAGCAAATATTTGTTAAGTTGATGAATGAGATAACCTATTTTTAAGCCAAGTCACCTGGCAGGTTGTCAAGCAAAAGAGTATGCACTCTTGGAAAGGGTGGGGAACTATGAAGGAATGAAAATGTCCCCAGTGCCCTCTCTAAGAAGCAGGAAAGAGATTACACAGAGTGAGCCCCTGTTCTTCTTTCTCATCTAGAAAAGGATCACATTATCCTTAAAGCCATTTAGGAAATTCCTGAATACTGAAAAAATATGTGAAAGAAGAGAGCTCAGAGAAAGCAGCAGAAATTAGTTCTGCCTCTTAGCCCCCATTCACAAAGCAGGGATCTCAAAATTACCTACTACTATTTATCTAAGCTCTTAGATTTTTGTTAGAAATGCCCAGTTTCTCTAGAAATTAAATGTCAGAGTTGGCTGGACTTGAAGTTGACCAATTCCTGGAGCAGTTTTAATGTACAAATAATGGAACTTAGGAAGAAGTTGTATATTTAAAATACATATTTGCAAAGTCATTGTAAAGCACCTTTAAAATATGTGTTAACTGTTTTTTAACTGATTTTTGGGTCTTAGACTTCTGCACTATAAGCTTTGCACCAAAATACATTCCTAGGATAAAGAAATATCAGTTACACCATCAGAAAAGCTGCTCACTTTTTTCTACTTGACCCAAAGTCTAGGCAAAAGTGCCAGAGAGTTGGATTGACACAGGGGATTAAGGGAGTCCTGAGAAAATGTGTTTCCCTCCTCAAGTGATAGCTGTGGGAGGGTAACTGGACTACTCCAGGAAGTGAGTCTCCTCATCAGCCACCATCAGGGAGAGGAGGTCTTCCCGTGGTGATTGTGTTAGGCTGTTCTTGCGTTGCTGTAAAGAAATATCCGAAACTGGTAATTTATAAAGAAAAGAGATTTAATTGGCACACCGTTCGGCAGGCTGTACAGAAAGCATGGTGCCAGTATCTGCTTGGCTTCTGGTGAGGCCTTAGGAAACTTACAATCATGGTGAAGGCAAAGTGGAAGCATATGTATCACATGGTGAGAGCAGGAGCAAGAGAGCCAGTGGGGAGGTGCCATACACTTTTAAACAAACAGACGTCACAAGAACTCACTCACTACCACAAGGACAGCACCAAGAGGATGGTGTTAAACCATCCGTGAGAAATCTGCCCCCATGATCCAATTAGCTCCCACCAGACCCCACCTCCAACACTGGGGATTACAATTCAAAATAAGGTTTGATGGAGACATCCAAACTGTTATCAGTGATTCTGACCTTAATGCCTGGAGGAACACATGGCCTGCCTCACACCAGAAGACAAGAGACCTTTACAAAGATGTCCTGAGAGCCATGTTCTGCTGATGAATTCTGCACCTGCAGCCGGCATTGCTTCCTAGATTCAACCTGAATGCGGGGCTTCCATTTGGTTCCTTTTGTGCCTGGTTCTCAGCCAATACTTATGGTTTCACTACAACTAATAATTTCCATTTTGTATGAATAAAAACAGCACTTAGGATGATAAATGTTTATTGAAAGACTCAAATTTTCATTTACTCTACAATCCTGCAAAATAGTCATAGTATGCCCATTTTAGAGGTAAAATTATTCTCAAAGAGGATAAGTGACTTGTTCAAGATTATGTAGCTATAAATAAAGTAGTAAAGCAAAATTATTTAGTAACATATAGAATGCTAACTAACAATAAAATGTGTAACAGGAGTGCTCCTTTTTCATGGGGTTTCATTCTACACAGAGGATAATTAGCCTCTTAGACTCCCCACCCCTGTCCCTCATCCCCGGATTTCATATTCTCCTGTTCTTACTGGAGCACACATCAACCATGAAAATTTCTTGGGGAAAGTCCTGAAAACTCCAAAACAAGAGCCCTTTGAAATCTCCCATGATCCTTCACTCAGCAGTTAGACATTCACTTGACCTCACTCTATTCTGAATTCTCTTTAGGGCTCAAAACTTGATGGCTATGTTTCATATGATGTTGATCCCAGGCTTTTATGAAAACTTCCTCAAGATGTTGGGTAAGACGTTACTACTTCCAAGAATCTGTCTCCTGTCTGAGCAAAGAAGGCCTTGAATTCTTTTCCTGCAGGGGATCTGAGCTTGGCTCATGCAGTTAGAGTAGGATGAGGGACTTGCATTACTAAGGGTCTGGCTTGCACACAAAGAGAGAGAAGCTGACGGCCTGTGGCAGCCCTCAGGAAGTTATCATGAGGTGTGCGAGTGGGGGAGTCTGATTTCAACCCTTCTTTGCACAGGTAAGGAAAGGGAGATGACAATGCAAAATGACTCATCCACCACCAACAACAACTTGGAGGCAGAATTAGGCTCAGAGTTCCAGAAACTGTACTTCCCACTGCATGCTGGTGACAGGCTCACACTTGGGACTTGACCTGTTGAGGTTACTTTTTTCCCTGCATCAGTCAAGATATCATTGCCTTAGCAACAATATGTTTGGTCATTTGTTATGGTTATTGGTAGAATATTTTTACTTTTTTCTTTCTACTGGATCACTCCCAACATCATGCAAACATCTGGTGATTTCTCTTATCTTGAGAAAACCCTGTCTTAGCCCTATATTCCCCTACAAGTGCCACCTCATTTCCTTGCTGTCCTTTAAAAGAAATCTCACTTTATCTTCCCATTTTCTCTTGAGTATGCTCAAACAAAGGATATTCGAGTCAACTTGAGATGCCCCTGCCACTCAATCAATCATGTCCTACTTCTGGAGCTCCAGGCACTGTTTTAGACACTGGAGACAAATTAGTCTTTTGCTGATGACATCCATGCTACTAAATCCACAGCCAGGGCCCTGTTGTCACCTTCTTGGCCTGTCGGCATGAGCTAGTGCAGTGAGTCATGCCCTGCTCCTCAGCATTTCTGACCCTCGCATATATCTCCTGCACATCTATATTTATGTTCTTAGGAGATGTTCTTGGAAATGGAATTATTATTACTATGTGAGAAGTTACCAACATTCATTTTCTTAGCAAAAGGTAAAGCCGAATCAATACTACGTATTTGGAGAAAACTTAAATTCTAAGACATGTTCTCAAGACAGTGTAGACTTACCCTAATCTCCACAGCTGTCTATAGCTATGATACAATAACACCTTATGAATCAATGTATAATAAGGTTCTGTGTGGATTCAATAAGGTCACCATGGATTCAATTTTCTTCACTATGTGAATAAAAGCAAGAAAACAAATATTTGCATTTAGAAATAACTCTTACCTCACAAGCAGGAATAAGTAGGGTTTTCTAATGCTCCTTGGTAAGGAAGTATGAGGTCAGAAAGGCTGGGTCCAGCTCTTCCTCAGCTACTTATTAGATCTACAGCCATGAAAGAGTGATGACTCCTTGGCATCTCAGTTGTCCTTATCTTAAATGACGAGGTTGGACCAAATGGCCAAGGAGCAAAATTTTCGTTCAGCTATGAGAGGCTATGAGTCTACCAGAAATGATAATTTTCAAAAGCAACTCATTTGGTTTCTTCTACAGTTGAGTCCACATCAACCCAGTAATTCCACTATTAGACATTTACCCAAGAGAAACAAAAGCATATATCTGCAAGAACTCTTGCACCAAAATTCTCATGGTAGACTTGTTTGTAACCAACTCAAAGGACAAGCCATCCAAACATCTCTCAAGTGAATATACTCATGAACTCCTACTCAACCATAAAAAATAACTACTGATGCATACAACATACATAAATATTAGAGACACATTGAGTGAAAGAAGCTTAGCACATACTGTATGAATCCATTCACATGAAGTTGTAGAAATGAAAAACATAATCTTTTGGTGCTTGAAGTCAGACCATGGTTGCCTTGGGTTGGGACAGTGGATGCTTGACTGGGCAGAGGCACAGGAAACCGTCTTGGATGATATAATGTTCTGTGTCTCATACAGAGTGGTGATTATACACAGGTATATAAAACTGACAAAACTCATCAAGTCAAACACCAAAGAATAGGGCATTTTATTGCATGTATATAATATTCCCAAAAACATACACTTTAAAGCCCCATCCCCTAAGCACTGAGTCCAAATGTGGAATTGAAGAGTGAATTGGATGCACTGCCAATCATTGGCATGCTGCCTTCATTTTGAGGCACACATTTGAAGTTTTTGGGTGCACCCAGCTATGGGAGCAGGACGGCTCAGCCCAAGTAACAAGCTCCTCAGCCTGTGGTTCTGAATCTGGGCCTGGTCTCAGACTTCCCTGTATCCTTTGGGCAAGCTTGCTTTCCTGTCTCACCTCAGGGCTGAAAAACTGAGCTGAAGTGCTCAAATGCCTCAGAGCCCCCAGGTGAGTGGTGAAGCCCTTTTAGAGGAAATACCAAATGCAACTCTAGAATGGATGTAGCGGTGTAGCCTCCCAAAGTCCATTCTTAGTGGTTGGCTCACAGAAGTCCCAAAGCTGCCAATGTGCTTTATCTCAATTTTACAAGTGCTAAGTACTGGAATTTAAAGCCAAGAACAGTCCTTTCAGAGTACGAGAAACACATGTTTCCCCACAGATGGTGGGACCAAAGCTTATGACCTTTGGGGAGAAGTCTTCACAGCTGTGTGATTATCTGAGCAGTTTCCTACTGGGAAGGACATGTGGAGACCAGAGATATAAACCCTAAGCAAATAAATACCAATCTGGGTAATTCAAGTAGCCCTGGAAATCCATGGTGTGACTGAATTCTTCTGCCAGGGAAGGGAAAAGTCCACCTGGAAATGGTGCTGCTGTGTTTCCTTCGGCTCTCGGTCAGTGGACGTGAGGCATGTGTCAGTGCAGCAGCGAACTTGGAGAGAAGAGAGTTCTGCATCACTGAGAAATATGCAAAAGAGCAAAGGATAGGGGTAGGGAAAGTTCTGATTGTGAGTTTGTCCCTTCCATTGAGGCTGTTAGACCAGGAGCGGGGAACTAGTTCCACCAGAGGCCACCTGCCAAAACTGTTAATGTGGAACTTTGAAATTCACAAAAAAAGCCATGTCATTTGGCATGTGTTGTTTTACCAATGCTTTTCTAATTTATGTTGAATGCATTAAACTTGAGAAATAGAATAGCTCAGACTAAAAAAACAAAAACAAAAATCTCTTATAATCTCATTGCTCCAAGAAGACTTGGGTTAACACGTCAATGTATGACTTTCATATTCAGGCATACCTCACTAATCTATAGAAATACATTCTGAGAAATGGGTTGTTTGGTAAGTTTCTCCTTTTGAAAATATCATACCATATACTTATACAAACTTAGATAGCATAGCCTACCACATATCTACGCCATATGTTATGACCCATGCTCTTAGGCTGCAAACCTGTATAGCCTGTTACTGTACTGAATACTGTAGGCAACTGTAACACAAAGCAGTAGGCAATAGTAATCTCTCAACTTCATTACAATTTTCCAGGAACAACATCATATATGCAATCTGTCAATCAAATGTCACTATGTGGCACATGACTGTTTATGCAAATATAGAACATTACTAAAATGTTGCCACACTATTACATTGTTTTGTAGCTTGTTTTTCTTTATAAATTTACCATGATAATTCCCTTGTCAATAAATGTTCTCCTATAAGATTATTTTTGTTAGAAGCCCAGTATTCCATAGCAATGTATTGCAATCTACTTATTCACCTATTATTAGACCATAGACACAAGAAAAATTGATAGGAGAAGCTAGACTTGATATTTTTAAATAGTTTTTAGAATATCACTGACTAAAAATCAACTTCAAGTGATACCTTTAACAGTTTACCAATTAAAAGCAAGAACTTGTGGGTAACGACAGAGGGTGAGACCAGATTTCAAAGTTTTCCTTCTTCTAGAACTTAGAAGAAGGAAGTGTGGACATCACTATCATCATCAAATGGGTAAAAACCATCACAGAGCCGAACACCTAGAACAGAAGCCCCTCCCGACAAGACTGACATCCCCTCAGAGATGGGAAAACCCATGGAAATGCACTCTCTTGTTTCTTCCAGGTGGGAGAAAGGGGGAAGAGGAAACCATGGACAGTCAAAGCTACGGGTCTCCAGCTACCAGCAGTACATTAGCAAAACAAAGCAAGGAGAAACAACATCAGACCACCTCCTCTGAAGGGGCAGGAGTGCCTGGGAAGCAGCAGCACAGGAGGTCAAGCCCCTCCCTGAGCACAGGCAGCTGAAGGGGCTGCTGGGAGAGACTGAGGCTGGCAGGACGGACACTGCTGTATCCCTGGTGTGCTCCATCCTGAAGCACAGGAGAACTTCCCATGATATTAGAATATGCCTCAAACAAGCAGGGATAACATTGTTTCAGGGCTTCTAATAAAACAGAAGGTGAGAGAGCAGAGCCCAGGACTCACAGTCAAAGCTACTGAACTGGGGGTTGGCCAGCTTCTCACATTGCCCAGTGGAGGACCGCATCCTGTGAGCTCTCTGTTTAAAAGATTAAATCAAGGTAACTAATCATTACATAGAGTATGGTCCATCACCTACCTTAATTATACACCTTCATAAAGGCAAAGTCAAGGATGCTTGCAAACCCTTAGCCTTTGCATGACTGAAGGCTGGTGAAATCTCAAAGATGACTGAGTGACTGCACGAGTCTAGGCATTGTGTTAGTGAGGTATAGGCCAGTAATACAATTTACATAAATCTTCCTACACTTATTCATGAAAGTATATTTTTGTATTATTTTAATGAAATCACTGAATGTGTTTTGCAATTAGGATTTTCACCTGATGTGCATTCTTTCGACAGCCATAATCTAAAGCAGTTCTCCCTCAGGGTGGTTTTGCCTTCTAGAGGACCCTGGGCAGCATCTGGAGATGTTTCTGGTGTCACTGCTGGAGGCAGGGAGCAGGTGCTCTGGCATCTGGCGGGCAGAGGCCAGGGAACTGCCAAACATCCTGCAATATACAGCTACAGCTCTGCAACACAGAATTATCCAGCCAAAATATCTCTATCTCCTATATGTAGGTTTTTGTATCTAAAATATGTCAACATTGAGAAACCCTGATTTAAAGGTTTAGTAATGAGATTTCATTAAATTAAAGTTTTAATCACCAAATTTGTTTTTATCAAAATGTAAGTTGAAAAAAATGTTAAAACATTTAAAAATCAAAATGTATTCCTAAAAAGATATTTTTCCTCAATATAATCAACATTACCTATTAAAATTAAGAGATAAATACTACTTATAATCAGCAAATATAAAATAATAAACAAAATTTTTAAATAAATAAATATTTATATGATATTTACTTGCAAATACATACTTTTTATAAAAATGAAACTATTTGCAAACCTATTACTCACTGTCCATGGAGGCATCAATGTAAGTGTTTTCTTATGTCACACAGACCTACACGTATAAAGATTTAAGGTGTCAGAAGTCATCTGACACTACATATTTCCTCAGCTGCCAGAGACGATGGTTCCAAGAGCTGCATTCACCCCTGAACATCTCCAGAGCCACACATGGAGTGTGATGAGAGTGGACAGTGGATCCCAATGCTGTTGGGAGCCCCACTCAGTGTGAGACCTTGCAGGAGTTGCCCCATCTGAGACAAAGGAACCACAACTCTACCAGTTCATTTATTTTTCCCTGAGCTCTTCCAGTGGTCAGATCCTCCTTGCACCCCAAAGAGTGTCCATCTCCAACATTGGCCGGAGTACAGCCCACACACCCTCATGGCATTTGGACACAGTCCCATTTGGTTTTGCAGACCTGGAGCAAGAGAGAGGAAGCATCCCCAGAGGCCTGAATGCTGTTGGTTAGGGGAGCAGATGTACAGGATTGCAGGTTCCCTGGCACCAGAGCTGAGCCCCAGATCCCAAAGGACAGAGGTACGCTGTGTTCCTCAACACACCGTGCTGTTGCTTGGGAAAAGTGGGCTTCCTGAGCACGTTGCCAAGGCCCTCTTATCTGGGTGTGAGGGAAGTACCGCCTCAGAGGTTCTCTCTACTTCCACTTCTACCCTCACAGTATGGAGAAAATGGAACACACAATACCTAAACCACACACGGAAATTCCACCAGGAATGCTGACCATTCTCAGATAAGGTAGAGGGAGGCATAGCAATGCATTCCTGGGTGCAGGATGTGGAGTGGTGGTCCTGGTGTTGAGGTGTTGACTAAAGCATGAACGAGATGACAACAAAATAGGAAAGACACATACTTGTCTAAAAAAAGATGAGAAATGGCATGAAGAGTGTATGTTCTGGAAGAAAACAAACCTGGACATATTTTTTCTGGGGAGAATCTTAAGGATGTCAATTTAATACCACAAGAACACAAAGGCTAACAAGTAAACAACAGAGGAGATTACCCAAGGATAAATCAGAGGAAAGAAAGCAAATCGAGGGCCATAAAGATAGCAAATACATTTAAGCCACCATGAGTAGATTAGACATAGCTGAATATCAAATCACTAACCTAAAAAATACCGCTTGAGGGCCAGGCACGGTGGCTCATGCCTGTAATCCCAGCACTTCGGGAGGCCAAGGTGGGCGGATCACAAGGTCAGGACATCCAGACCATCCTGGCTAACAGAGTGAAACCCCGTCTCTACTGAAAATACAAAAAAATTAGCCGGACATGGTGGCAGGCGCCTGTGGTTCCAGTTACTCGGGAGTCTGAGGCAGGAGAATGCTGTGAACCTGGGAGGTGGAGCTTGCAGTGAGCAGAGATCGTGCCACTGCACTCCAGCCTGGACTACAGAGCAAGATTCCGTCTCAAAAAAAAAAAAAAGGACCACTTGAGATAAGCATAGTGAATATGGAGAAGTCACCAAGAGGCCAAGAGGTAAAAATAATCACATAACAATAGACACGGGATACGAAGGCGATGGAATGTAAGCAGAGAACCCGATAGATGGGATACAGCAAGTATCCAAACCTATAATACAAGAAAAACAAATTTGCAGAGCACAGGACACAACATACTCCTGGAAAATCTGATATGAAAAATCGTCCCAGCCTGGCTAAGTTCTTGAAAATCAAGGAGGAAGAAAGACATCTATGGCATCCAGGCAGAGTTATTGAATTATAAGGAAAATCTGGCTTCCATTTAACTTCCCCACTTGAACACTTGGTGCCAGAACACTCCATTGCCTGCTTACAGAGTGTGGGGCACTGTGTTGAACACTGGATATCGTCTACAGCCATACCACCCTGAGCGCCCCCAATCTTGTCTGAATACTGAGCATGTACAGGCACATCTGGGAGATATTGCAGGTTTGGCTCCAGTCCAGCACAATACAGCAAATCAGCTAATATTGCAATAAAGTAGTGAAACAAGGTTTTTGGTTTCCCAGTGCATATAAAGCTGTTTATACTATATTGTAGTCTATTAAGTGTAAAATAGCATTATATAAGAAAAAACAACCTACATCCTTTAATTTAAAAATACAGCCGAAAAATGCTATTGATCATGTGAGTCTTTATTTAGTGATTTGTAATCTCTTGCTGGTGGAGGGTTTTGCCTCAATGTTGATGGCCACTGACTGGTCAGAGTGGTGATTGCTGAAGGTTGAGGTGGTATGGCAATTCCTTAAAAGATGACAACAATGATGTTTGCCACAATTGATTGACTCTTCCTTTCAGGAAAGAGTTCTCTGTAGCATGCGATGCTGTTTGACAGTGTTTTATCCACAGTAGAACTTCTTTCAAAATTAGAGTCAACCTTCTCGAATGCTGCAGCTGTTTTATGAAGTTTATGGAATATTCTAAATCCTTTGCTGTCATTTCAACAATGTTCACAGCATCTTCACCAGGAGTTGATGCTATCTCAAGAAACCATTAAGTTTGTTTACTCATAAGAAGCAACTCCTCATCTGTTCAGGAATTTTTTAATTTTAATTTTAATTTTAGATCCAGGGACTACACATGCAGGTTTGTTACAAGGGTATATTGCATGATCCCGAGTTTGAGGCTTTTTTGTAATGAAATTCCAGCAATTTAGTCACATCTTCAGGCTCCACTTCTAATTCTAGTTCTCTTATTTTTTTTTTAACCACATTTGCAGTGACTTCCTCCATTGAAATCTTTAACCTCTTAAAGGCATCAATGGGTTGGAATAAACTTCTTCCAAACTTCTGTGAATGTTGATATTTTGACCTTACCCCATTAATCACAAATAGTTTAATGACATCTAGAATGATGAAGCCTTTACAGAGGTTTTCAATTTATTTCCAGAGGTTTTCAACTTACTTTGCCCAACTTAATTTATCCATCAGATAAATTAGATAGTAATTTATTTAATTATGGCAGCTACAGCCTTACAAAATGTATTTCTTAAATAATAAGATTTGAACGTTGAAATTAGTCCTTGATCCATGAATTGAAGAATGGATGTTTTGTTAGCAGGCATGAAGAAACACTGTCCTCATACATGTCCATCAGAGTTCTTGGGTGACAAAGTGCATTGTCAATGAGCAGTAATAATTTGAAAGGAATCTTTCTTTCTGAGCATTAGGTCTCAACAGTGGGCTTCAAATGTTCAGTAAACCCTGCTGGAAACAGATGTTCTGTCATCCAAGCTTAGCTGTTCCATATTTATCTACTCTGCACAGGCAGAGTAGATTTAGCATCATTGGCCCCTAAAATGTCAGTCTGTCCTTTGAAACTCTGAAGCCAGTCTTTGACTTCTGCTTAGCTATGAAAGTCCCAGATGGCATCTTCTTCCAAGATAAGGCTGTTTCATCTGCACTGAAAATCTGTTGTCTAGGGTAGTCAACTTCAACAATAGCTTAGCTAGATCTTCTGGATGACTTGCTGCAACTTCTACATCAGCACTTGCTGCTTCACTTTGCACTTGTATGTCATGAAGATGGCTTTTTTATTTTCCTCCAACCTCAAGAATGAACATCTGCTAACTCCCAACTTTTCCTCTGCAGCTTTCTTGCACCTCTCAGCCTTCATAGAATTTAAGAGAGTTCAGAGCTTACTCTGAATTAGGTTTTTGTTTGATTTTCTTTTGGTTTGATCTTCTATTTGGACCACTAAAATTTTCTTCCTATCAGCAATAATGATGTTTTACTTTCCTATCATTTATATGTTCTCTGACTTTTAATTTCCATCAAGAACTTTTTCTTTGCATTCACAGATTGCCTAACTTGGTGCAAGGGGCTTAGCTTTCCATCTATCTTGGCTTTCAACATACCTTCCTCACTAAGCTCAATTATTTCTAGCTTTTGATTTAAAATGAGAGACATGTGACTCTTCATTTCACTTGAACACTTAGAATCCATTGTACAGTTATTAATTAGCCTAATTTCCATGTTACTATGTCTCAGAGAATAGGGAGGCCCTAGGAGAGGTAGAGAGAAGGAGAAGGGAAAACGCTGGTCAGTGGGGCAGTCAAAACACATAAACGGCTGGGTGCGGTAGGTCATGCCTATAATCCCAACACTTTGAGAGGCCAAGGCGGGTGGATCACCTGAGGCCAGGAGTTCAAGTCCAGCCTGACCAACCTGGCAAAACTCCATCTCTACTAAAAATACAAAAATTAGCCAGGTGTCATGGTGTGCCCTTGGAATCCCAGCTATGCGGTAGGCTGAGGCAGGAGATCACTTGAACCCAGGAGGAAGAAGTTGCAGTGAGCCGAGATCATGCCACTGCATGCCAGCCTGGGTGACAGAGCGAGACTGTTTGAAAAACAAAAGCCACACAAACTATTTCTAGATTAAATTTGCCATCTTATATGGGCACGGTTCATGGTGCTCTAAAACAATTACAATATTAGAATCAAATATCACTGATTAAAGATCATCACAACAAATATAATAATAAAGAAAAATTTGAAGTATTATGAGAGCTAACAAAATTTGACACAGAGAAAGAAGTGAGCACATGCTGTTGGAAAAATGGTGTGGATTCAAGGCTGTCACACACTCCAATTTGTAAAAACTGCATTATCAAAGACATGCAACGAAGGGAAGCACAAGAAAACAAGGTATGTCTTTGTTCTCTCACTTAATACTCACGGGAATTGGTGGCAGAACATTTTTACTTTTGTCCTTCCAGAGACCCTCTCCACCCACCTCCACCCTCATTTCTGTCTCAGAAAAAGTGGTGTGCTAGTAAATGTTAAACAACAGGCTCTCCAACAAAGAGGCCCATGTTTGCAGTATTTGTTGATGCCTTTGATGCCTGTGGTAGACAGACTTCCATTATGCCCAGTTTCAAGCTACCAGGGTGGTGCTAAATAGTCTTTTAGTTTTCCTGTTCTCAAGGTTCCATTTGGGTTTGTCCATTCGAGACCATGACCCAAAGATAAGGAGGAAAGATGAGTTATGTGTTTCTCCAGCTCCCCCGCTTCTGGTTTTATCCTTTGACAATATATTTTAGCTCCTGTCAAGAGGCCCTATTCATATGTCCCTCCTTGTCCCTGGGTTTAGAAACTGCTCCTTCCTGTTTTTCACTCAGGCCTGGGGTGAGAGAGGTGTAGAGAAAGTCACTCTGCTGTCAGTAGCTGACACTTTGCAAATATTCCCTTATTAAACTGTCTTCAAATTACCAGTTTAACTATGCCTTTTCTTCCTTGCTATGATCCTGTCTAGAACATCATTATTGTTTCATTTTACAGATGAGAAAACTGAGGAATGAAGAGATTAATTAGCTTGCTAAGGATTGTACAGTTAGGCTGGGCTTAGTAGCTCATGCCTGTAATCCCGGCACTTTGGGAGACGAAGGTGGGTAGATTGCTTGAGCCCATGAGTTCGAGACCAGCCTGACCAATATGGTGAAACCCCATCTCTACAAAAAAAAAAAAAAAAAGAAAAATTAGACTTGTATGGTGGTTGGGGTGGGGGTGGGGCAGGCAGCTGAGATAGGATGTTCATTTGAGCCCAGGAGGTAGAGGTTGCAGTAAGCCAAGATGGTACCTCTGC
The DNA here is from genome assembly GCF_000001405.40 of Homo sapiens. Lineage (NCBI taxonomy): Eukaryota > Metazoa > Chordata > Mammalia > Primates > Hominidae > Homo > Homo sapiens. Next base: position 22,781,503 of record NC_000020.11, on the reverse strand, counting down.
ACTCCAGTTTGGGTAACAGAGAAAGACCCTGTCTCAGCAAAATAAAAGAAAGATTATACAGTTAGTATAGGAGAAAGCTGTCAAACCAAGTAGTCACACACAGAGTTTGAGCTCTGAGCCAAGAAAACTGCCTCACAATACAGAATGCATAGGCAAAGAAAGTGTAACCCAAAAATATCCTACGCAGCAAGTTCTCTTTTAGGTATAGAAGCAACAGACAGATATTATCAAACATAAAGGAAGACATGATTATGGAATCCATGGCACATTTTAAATAAACTTCTTGAAAATAAAATAAAAACAACTAGAAGATGAAATGAAGCATTATCACAAAAGCACAAGTGATAAACTCAAACACATTTCTATTTTAAGTAAAGAATCCTATTTTAAATAAAGTATGGCAATAGCCAGAAAAATATGATGAATGTGGCAATGAAAAATTAATGCATTTTACCAACAAATAATTAGAGGTAGAAGATGAGGAATGAGAGGAAGTATGAGTGTATCAATTTTCACATTTTTCCTTGTGATAGATATTCCTTATGTCTAATAAATCAAGAGACAGATTAACTCAACAAGTAATTATTAAGTGTGTACTAACTTTTGAGTGTGAGCTAGGTGCTAAGTGATGCTGGTGGACAGCAGCAGTCTCTGCTCCGAGGACCTTACTGTCTAGAAAGAGATGCAGATTGTCACCAAGTGCCATGAAGGAGAGAGACACCACAGTGTGACAGTGAATAGCCGGGGGGATCAACCCTGCTAGGGAGGTCAGGGAATGTTTCCTTGAGGAAGTGACAACCAAGCTGATATCTGTGAATTATTTGCAGAGTAATTCTCTGTGAATTACTCTGTAAAGTGTGGGGAAGAGGGTTCTAGGCAGAAGCGCGTATCGTGATATGCAAGGGCAGTGGTAGCTCTGAGAACTAAAAGGCTGGTAAGATCCACTGTGGGGAGAGAGAAGCAGCATGGTCAAGGATGTGCTGGAAGATGGGCACTCCTAAAAATTCTTTGGATGCAAAGCCTTGCAGGACACAGCATATATCATACATCGTGATCCTTATTCTAAGGATATCATCCACTGTGGTGACTTTAAGAAACATCTGCTGATTCTTTGCAATCCTCCCATCATGGAGCAGACTAGATCCCCTCCCCTTTAATTTGGATTGGACTTAGTGACTCATTTCTAATGAATACAAGTGGCAGAAATGATGCTGTGTGACTTCCCAGGCTAGGTCATGAAAGGATACCACCTTTACCTGGCTGATCTCCTCTCTCTGTCTCTCTCTCTCTCTGTTCCTCTCTGTACTCACCCTTGGAAGCTGGCCACTATGTTGTGAGGAAGCCTGGGCTGCAGGGAGACACTCCATGCAGGCATCTTAGCTAAGAGTCCCGGTTAGGTTTTCAGCCAACACAAGCATCAACCACCAGATATGAGTGAATGAGCCTGCAGATGGCTTTAGGCTCCAGCCTTCGAGTCTTCCAGTAGAGGCCTCCAGTCTCATGGAGCAGAGACAAACTGTCCCCACTGTGCCCTGTCTGAATTCCTGCAATGCAGAAACCAGCAGAAATCATAAATAAGTATTGGTGTTTTAAGCCATTAGTTTTAGGGTAATTTATTATGTAGCAAAAGATAATAGAGCAAATTGTTTTAAGCAAATTTAGATACATTGCTTAAAGTTACAAAGGCCTAAAATAGATGTGCAAGTGACCAAAACTAGAAGGAAGTACAGGGCTGTGGAAACCAGTGTGATGCCTGTGTTTTCTTTTATGAGATGGAGTCAATAGATACTATCTAAAGTTGATAAATCAAGAAACAAAATATTAAAATGTATCACATGAAAAATAAGCAATCTAAAGAGCAAAAAGCAGGAAGCAAACACTGTCGCACAGAAATAGAAACTGAAAAGACCAAGTGTGATTACAAATGTAGATGCAGAAAACATACATTAAATAATAGGACATTTGAATCACTGGCTATTTAAGGAAATAATGCACTTTGGACAAGTGTTGTAATAAGTAGCCCAATGTCAGAAAAACCTCTTAATATAAAGCACCATAGGAAAGAGCCAAGAAAAACAATTGGTAAAAGTTTGAGAAGAAGATATGTGTATATCCCCAGATCCCCAACTCACTCCTTCCTCTGATACAGATTCCACATAATCAAAGGTTTTACCATAATAAAAATACAGTATAAAATTATGGATGAATGTGTATCACCTTGGAGTGAAATAGGCCTTTCTAAGAAAATTTTGAAAATCTATGAAGGCTTTGAAGACACAATTGGTGAATATGACAACTTAAAAATAAAATCACTAACAAATGCAGAAGACAAAAAATTGAAAACAATCATAATGCATAAAAATGTTATTTTCTGAATTTATGGAAAGCTCATACAACTCAATAAGAAAAATCATATAACCCCTAAAGAAAAATGGAGAGTGGATATAAAAAATAGCTACAAGAAAAGAAGTACTTATGGATTATAAAAAATTAAAAGATGCTCCATCTCATGGCTGAAGGAAAGCAAATGATAGCAGTAGTGAAACACCATTTTTTGTTGTTCAGCTTGACAGAAGTCTGATAATACTGTGTGACGATGAAGAAAGAGATGCTCTAGACAGAGGAAGTTGGTGTGGCCCTCATTAGGACAATTTGGCAGTATTAACAAAATTTTAAACACACGTACTTTCAACCACACTAATATTTCCATGACACTCTGGTTATTCTATGCCACATTTGTTTTGCATGACAGTTTAAGATAAATCTTTGCCTTGATGGGTGACAGGATCCCAGACTCTTCTTAATTCCTAATCATGCACATCATTCTCATACCTGGGAACCAAGGTTCAGGAAAATACAAAGCAACTCACTGGATTTGATCAGTCTTTGCTACTGCCCCATCTGAAGGTCTTTTCTTTCCAATTTGTTTGGTAGAGGTAATTCTAAGGCTATGAACTAGATTGATGGAGGAAGGAAATCTTTACAGGATCATGGTCAGGATAGGTTTAAATTGACGATATAATGAGGCTTTCTAATGAAACATTTTGAAAATTAGCTGTGTCTTCTCCCAAAGAGTCTGTCTACGCAGCCAAGGTTAAAATCTTGGCTCTGATTATAGTGGCCCAAAGACTGCTGGGGAGAAGAATTGTTGGAGGGTTCTCTGGGATTATTCAGTTTGTGTCAGCAGTGTACATCTTAGATCTGCCTCAGAGTCACAGGGAAGCAAGCATCTACCATGAACATCTGAGACCCTCACATGTTCTTCTACAGGAATGGGTACTAACGACATATTAAAATCATGCTGGCACTGGTATATTGTGGTTGCTATGATTGATTATTTGTGTCCCTCCAAAATTCATGTTGAAACACCAATGCAATTGTATTAAATGATGGGGCCGTTACAACATGATTAGGAGGTGGTGGGATCAGTCCCCTTATAAAATGGCTTGGGGGAGTCTGTTTTACCCTTTTGCTCTTCCACCATGCAAGGACACAGCAAGAAGATGCCATCTTGGCCTATGGCTGTACCACCCTGAATGCTCCCAATATCATCTGATCTTGGAAGCTAAGCAGGATCAGGCCTGGTTAGTACTTGAATGGGAGAAGATGCCATCTTGGAAGTAGATAGCAGCCCTCACCAGACACTAAATCTGCTGGTGCCTTTAATCTTGGACTTCCCAGTCTCTAGAACTATGAGAAATAAATTTACATTATTTATAAATTACCCAGTCTAAGGTATTTTGTTAGAGCAGTAGGAATGGACTAAAACAGTGATCTTCTAAAGGAGAGAGCATCTACCTATGGGTCACTGGTAAAACATATCCTTTCCTCTGATCTGATATATGTCTGGACCATAGCCATGCCCAGGCCAGCTGCCATCTCAGAGGCATTGGAGAAGGCCAGCCATCAAAAGGCAACTCGTTGTTATCCATGAAATACACAGGTTCAGCCTGCCCAATGAGTTGTTCGAATATGTAAGTTGAAGATGTTCCATTGACATTGGCTGCTTATGGCACTTTTCCAAGGAGGATTGGAAGGAGGACCAGGAAAATCACTGGCTGCATTTTCTAAAAAGTGGCTCTTTATAATTTTATTTATCAATAATACAATATAATTATGAAGAGCTGTACTATGGGTAAAATGGGAAGTCTAGGGGCATGGATTACAGTAGGAGCCATCAGAGTTAATATAATACTGCCCTTCTTACACGGCCTCAGGAACCCCAGCCCCTGCTTCACCATATTGACCCTGCAGCACTGCAGTCTGTTCCTTCGCAGCTTCACACCACCCTACCCGTCACAACTGAACCTCCCACAGCACTGGGGTAGTGTTTGCTGCTGGGGACTTTCCATAGTAGAAAGTTCTGCCTCCTCTATGATGGCTTCTCTTGCCAGCTCTGCCTCAGGCAAGTTGCATGAGTTCTCCAAGCTTTCTTGTTCTGTCTCTGAGTGTGGGATAAAATCACAACTGCTGTGAAAGGATGTTGAAGCACCTAGTACATGCTCAGTAAGACGCCTCATGGCGTCTCCATCGATGTGTTGTACTTTAATTTTCTGTATGTGAATGGCTTATTTTCTCAGATGGTGAGCTACTTGAATACTGGTAAGGTGTGTAATCCTTCTTTTTATTCTAGATAAGGTTTTGATATCTTCTCAGTAAACACTTCCTGCAGATTGAATAAACAAGGTATTCTCTCTTCCCTATCTTCCTGGCTAGAAATATTTCCCTGCATTATGGAATGAGAGTAATCTCTGATGTCTGCTGGTCTTCATCAATCAAGGATCTTCACATGGTGGTGACACAAGAAAGAGACCCCAGAACCATGAACTTTGATGCCACCAGGAGCATCTGAACTTTGCTGCGGTCAATGGTCACAATGATGGATCCTGATTCATCATGACTCGTGGTGTCCACTTTTAGTCTGGCTCTGGGCTTGGCCATATGACTTGCTCTGGCCAATCACACATCAGTGACATGATGCAAGCAGAGGCTCAATAAGCTCATGTGCTTAGGGCCTGGGTGCTTAGTAGCCTCATGAGGAGCCAAAGGAAGACCAGCAGAAGAGCTGCCCCTCCACCACAGAATGAAGAATAAGGAAAGATGAGCATGCCGTTGTTGTAAGACACTAGATGTTGGGGTGACTTGTTACACAGCAATAGCTGACTGAGTATTAGCTTTGTTCCTTCCAGGTGGGCTTACTGGGAGTCTGGAGGCATGGTGGCTGGCAGATCTTCTTGTCAGCCTTGGACACTCTTGTCTGTATACTGGTAGAAAAATCCTGGGGAAGACTTCTGATCACTCATGCTAGGGCGACAAGTACATCAAGGTCTATTTTCTAGGCCAGGGCAACAGGATGCTGCGTTTGACTCCCCTGGTTTTATATTCCTGTCCCTGAGGTCAGAGAGTAAGCTCTCCAGAGAAGAATAAGCCAGGGTGGAGAGAAGCTTGGCAAGAAAAGCAGACATCTATTGTCAGGTGTCTGTGCCCCTGACTCATGGGTGAGTGGCTTCTTTGGAATTCATGAGTTGCCCTATGTTCTGGAACAGGATGAGACTGTCCAGGAACTATCTTATCAGGTATTTATGCAATCGGCATTCCTCTCCACTTGGAAAAGTGCACATCTCTACATCTCTGTGTGCCTTTCAGGACTTTCTATCCATTTATCATTTTCCTTTATTCCCATAGTGCTTTGGTCAGTGTTTCTTGGATGTCCACAAGGAAACTCTTCCTCTTTGAAGTATTACCTTCTCCTGCCCAGTCACCCTGCTGACGTGGGTCAGAAGAGCAAAGAATTTCAAACATGTTCACCAAAGCCTGGGATTATCTCTTTAGCTTTCATTTTAGAAACTTCCCTCCCATTTGTTTCTTATTTCTTCATAGCTCCTATGAATTGAACACATAAGCATGCACACAAATACACAAACACACAGGCACACACACACACACATGTGACACTCTCACAGTAATGCAGACACACATAGACACACATGCAGAATTGAGTGTGGAATGCATGTGTTGTTGGGGAGTGTGGGCTGCTTGCTCAAGCTAGCAGCCGCTTTCCACAATGACCCCACTGACCCTGCTCTTTGGGAAGCAGCATTTCTGCCTGCTAACTGATACATTCCTCTTCCAATGGATATTCTATCTCACACTGCCATACTGCTTACCACTTCTGAAAACTTGGTGCAGATTAGCTCCTCAATCCAAAATGGCCCTGTGGGAGAGGTATCAATGCCTCCACTTTTGTGTGCAAAGCAAACAAGTTTCAGTGCACTGAAGTCAAGTAGCAAACCCTACTGCTTGTCTTCTGGACACTTAAAATTCAAGTACAAAGCTGAGCTCACCGTAACTTTCCCCAACCCAGTATCTTATTTCTTGATGTTTCCTGTTTACCATATTTACCCAGTTGCTCCCACCCCAAGCTGGGCTGGCAGGTCCCCCTTCTCCCTCAGCCCCACATAAGTCCAGCAGCAAGCCCGGTGGATCCTTCCTTCAACAGGTGTCTCACACAGGCCCGGGTCCCTTCTGCTGATGTCTCCATCCTAGAGCAACCCAGCACCACCTCCTGCTACTGAAGCTGCTCCCTAATTAGCCTCCCTGTGCCCACTCCCCTCTCCATTGTTCTATATACAACAACCGAAATGAACTTTTCAGACTGGGTGTAAGCTAAGTTAAGCCTCCCCTCTGCATAAACCCTCACCGGCCTCCCTCTGCTCCATGAAAGCTCCAGTCCTCACCATGGTCCCAGAGGCCCCCTGTGGTCCAGTCCCAAATCTATTACTGGCCTCTTTACTCCATCTCTTTAGTTCGCAAGGGAATGAAAATTCCCTTCCAGATTTTCCCACCTGCTCTTCCTGGGGACTTCAGTCCTGGAACTCTGGTTCACACACTCCTCCCTCTCTTCTTATGGTTCACTCCCATGCCCCATTCTCAGAGGCCTCCACTTAGTCTTGTGCCCCCAGAGAGGTTTTGTGCCTCCACAGCGTGTTTCCAGAATTGCAGGTGCACTTTCTCCTCAGGTGCAAGGCCCCACTGTTCTGTATGCAGTCTGTGCTCAGTGGGCCTGGAATGAATGATGGGTTCAAAACCTGGAAATGTCTGCCTGTTTAGATGACACAAGAGGCAGCCCCCAGGAAGGCAGTGGCTCGGAGGAGAAGGACATCAGCCTGCAGGATCAGAGGGAAGAGACCCAATCTCTTCCCTGGCCTCCTATATTTCTCTCAATCCAGGGCAGCTGCAGGAGGGAAGGAATGTGATCACATAAGGCAAGATGTGTAGGGAGACTAAAGACCTGCTTCAAAAGTATGAAGGGGCGTTTCTGGTTGGAGGCCAGCCATGGTTTTCAGCAGGAAAAGGAGGTATGTGTTAACCTACTAATGAGCTTATATTCCCTGATGCTGACCCTGATGTGCACCCCAGGCTGCCTATATTTTCCACTTTACAAGAGTGTTTGGGCATCATTAAAACAATCCACATGTCATTAACCAAGAGTACACTAAGTGCCAGGCCAGTCCTTCACATTTCAAATAAGTTGTAAAACACTCCCCTTTTCCTTTGGGGTGTAGAAGCAGACTGTGGACCTCAATTCCCTCCTCCATGAATTAATGGATGTCACTAGATGGTCTGCACACTGCTTCCTCTCCCCCATACTGGGTTCTTCAGATTTCCAGCAGGCTGGGACGTGTGTCCCTAAGATGTGACACGGGTTCTGCAAGGCTTCCACAGTGTGCAGTTCCATGGATAAAATATCTTCCATGAAGACTTCTAGAAAACAATAGTGCATTGTTTCTACCCTCCCCAAAGGACTGGAGTTTCCCGATTTTCTCTAGAGTCCTTTGTTTTGCTGTTGAAACAGTCTGTAATTTACCATTTTTCCTCTTTCCTCTTATCCTCCAGATTTCTCCATTCTCAGTAAGACATTACTGGAGCAGTTGCCAGGAAATCCTGCTTTGAGTGCACTCACTTCCCGGCCCTAGGAGAAATGTGGTCAAGTTAATCATTCACTTTTCCAAGCCCTTCTGCAATCTTCCTTCAAGAAAGGAGATCAAACCATTCCCTCAGTGCTGGCTTTGAGTTTTCTGATCCTCATAAGGAGAAGACTAGGCTAAAACCATTCAAACGTTGACTTTGCCACCTCTTAATGAAGAGCCTTCATCCTTTCCTAGTGCAGACATTCATATCTCTATTCTTAGAGAGAAGTTCTAGCCTCACGGATGATTATCAGGAAACATTTTTTTGTCTTCCATGTTAATTGTGGAAGCTTATCTCAAGCTACATTTTATTAAGATAGGATTTAATATTTTATGCTAGAAAATCTAATGCTAAAATAACAACCTGTAGCTCTCCCTCAGGTCTGCAATCAGACATGGCTTCCCTAGTTTCTGGGAGGTTGTGTGGCATCACCAAGAAAGGAAGACTAAGGGAATCACAAAAACAAGCTCAGTAACGTGGGACCTTGAACTTAACACACAAACCCTCTAAGGCTGAGATCCTGATGAGGAAAATGCAGCACAGAACAACCTTCAGCACAGGTTTATGAGCCCAGGAGAGCTCAGCACACAGTGAGCAGCGGGCCAGGAGCTGGTGTGACTGAACTCTGCGTGTTTAAGTCCCTGCTACTTACAAAGAGGTGGTCACTGTGCTTTTCATGTACGTGTTCAGTAAATATCAGTGAATTGCATTCTTTCTGATATTAACAAACTATACGTTTTGTCTCCATAGATATCTGAAAGAGCAGCATTCTAGAACTCTTTAGGGGCCTAGCCAGAAGGTCGGATTTCTCACAAGTCTGCCAGCTCTTGCCAGCCGCCCTCCATTGCTGTGTGTCCACTGACTATTGTTGAGTGCAGTCTTCTTGCTCCTCGCATCCCTGACAGCATCTGCAGGAGATATACTTAATTTTCCAGGAAGCTGGCCATTTCTCAATCCATAAGAAATGCCTCTGCAGAGATCAGGAATCATTTGCACTTCCCACTGTTTTTTTTAATTTGGTATGTTTGTTTTCTCCCCCAACTCTAATTTGGTGTTAATTGTTTTGTTGTTGGTGGTGTTCCTTTTTCAGATTAATGATGAGGTTCTCTCAACATCTAACTCGGAGCAAAGTCTTCCCTTCCGTACTGTGTCTAACATCTTCTTGTCCTTTTGGGGACAGGGGGACTTAGGGCCTTTGGCATTGGACACCATGGATTCAGATTTTTCTCCTTGGACCTGCTTCCTGGGAAGAAATCTTACTCTTTGAAATCCTTTATCTTTGGACATTGTTCATCTCATTCTCCTCTACCCCCACCACACCAAGTTACATCACCCATTGCAGTCACAACCCGTTTGGGTGATAGCTTCTTGTGGAGCAGCTGGACCCTGGGCTAGACCCAGAAGCTAGACCTGGAAATGAACTGGCAAGACACCCATGTCTGTATGCCGCACTGGTGGCCTCTATTAACTCTCCCTCCAAGTAGAGAATGCCAGCATGATTGTTTGCTCTGCCTGGGTGAACTGCTTCCTCTCCAGTCTTTCCAGATCCCTGGCATCCAAGTGGAACATACGTGAGTCTACCCCCATCCTCAGAGAGCTGACTGAAGGTTCTGGTCTTACAGCCTAGCTCCGGCAGCGCTCAGCCTCCCGAGTTGCTGTGATTCACAACTCTTTATTTAGTGAAACATGAGACTCACAGGTGACCACAGATGCCACTAGCAGATCCAAAACTACAACAGGGAGAGGATGACCTACTTTGCACAATAGACTCAATTTTCTGCAACAGAGATCCTTATTACAAACATACAAAATAGCATATTAAGTGAAATAACGGGTCCATTCAGTTCATTCAAGCCAGTATTCTATCTCCAAAAAAGGCATGAAGAAATGTCCAATGAGGAAACCTGATGCCACGTCTTCAAGGCATCTTTCTCCACCTCCCCCACCCCTGGGTATCTCATGCAACAAGCCTCCCCCATCTTATGGATGAGGGGAAATCCTCAATGTCTTCATTCTTTCATACTCTATTCAAAGCACCTGCTTCCCCTGAGCACCTTCTTTTCTGAAGGTTGTTCTCACTTTATTCCTCCAGCTCCTCTCTTTTGCAAATGTTACCCTTCTTCTTGGTAACTTAAGGGCTGGGGAAAAAACCACTGTTCATCAGTGTGTTTAGTGACCTCCTCCCAGAGACTCCTCCCTCAGAGCCACTCATGCTCCCTCCTCATCCCAAGCTGTGTCTAGCCCTATGTACACTCCTTAAAAAAATGCTTGGTATAGGCAAGTGTGAAGTTTGCAGCTGGTAGAGCAAATGACTCCCTAGCTGTAGGACATATACCAATGGCTCCCAGTTGAGGAGATGAAAATGCAGAATGTCAGTTCCTCTTCCTTTGCTCACTTAAACAAAGAGCCTCTAATGCCCAAAGCCTGACTTGACTTAGAATCTTTTTGTATGGCATAGGAGATTAGGCTCAGTCCTCACTCTTGATTTACTTTTTTTTTTTTTTGTATGTGTTCCTTGGTTTTGGGTAACAAGTAAGAAAATCAGATATTATCAACAACTCTTTATTAAATTCATCCTATTACTATTCTCATATGAAAAAATACAGGACATTTTATCAAGCAAAGGGAGACAGGGAGCAAAATATCCCACTGCCAAGGTCAGAGTATGCTGGAGCTGTGACAGGCTGCGAGTGCAGTGTGGAGCAAGACTGTGAGTGCAGCAGCTTATTTTGGGGGTGACCCCAGAGAGTAACAATGGGGAATGGGGTGAGACAGAGGAGGAAGGCCATAAATGACACATGTTCAGGCATCTGTGGGCTACTGAAGCTTAGTCCCTCTGGGACTTCCCTGTCCACAGTGCTGCCCCACCCCAGGAGTGAGGAAGCTGGGCCAGAGGTCCACTAACTCCCATTACCCTTGATTAAGTGCACATTCTAGGGATGTCTTTGCTGCCCCACATGAGAACCAAGCACATTCCTGTGCCCAGAGGCAACCCTTGAATGGGGGATTTCACTCACATGCAGTAAAAATGTCTGTAGAGTGCATGGGGCAGTGAGTGCTCAGGGGACACAGGAGGGTGTGTCAGCATAGGCTTGAGGAACCCTGACTCATTCCTACTCTCTATACTCCCTGATGTAGCCATTTTTATTTTTTCTTGTTCTTTATTATGTTGTATGTAGGTAAGTATGCAGGTGTACATGTGTATATGTTTGTGTATGTGTGTGTGTCTGTATTTATGTAAGTGTGTGAATCTGTGTCTGTTGGTGTCTGTCTGTATGTGTGTGTCTGTCTGAATGTGTGTATATATATATTTACATTTGTTGCCACGCTAGTTGATATGGTTTGGATGATTGGCCCCTTCAAATCTCATGCTAAAATATGATCCCCATTGTTGGAGGTGGGGCCTAGTGGGAGGTGTTTAGGTCATGGGGGTGGATCCTTCATGAATGGCTTGGTGCCCTCCCTGCAGTAATGAGCAAGTTCCCTATTAGTTCATGTGGGAGTTAGTTGTTTAAAGAGCCTGGCACCTTCCTCCCTTCTCCCTTTCTCCGTCTCTTGCCATGGGACATGCCTGCTCCTCATTCACCTCCCACCATGAGTAAAGGCTTCTTGAAGTCCTGACCAGAGGCAGATGCAGTTTCTATGCTTTGTGTACAGCAGGCAGAACTGTGAGCCAAATAAACCTCTTTTCTTTATAAATTACCCAGACTTAGGTATTCCTTTATAGCAATGCAAAAAGGACTAACACCATAGTAATCTTGTAAAACTCAACCAAGCAAAATTATTGGACAATCACAGGGTAAGTGGCACCCAGGTGAGTGTGTTCATGACTTTCTAGATGAAGAGTTGTCAAATTTTTCCTCTAAAAGGCCAGATAGTAAATATTTTAGGCTTTACATGCCATGTAGTCCTTGTGGTAACCTCTCTCCTCTGCTGTTGCAGTGGGAAAGCAGCCTGTGGGTTTGTACGTTGCCTGTGACTGCTCATGGATTTGCTGACCATGGTCTAGAGTATGATCTATGCATTCATTCTGTTCTTAATCACCTCCCAAACCCAGCCCTTCTCCATCAAAGTTTTCCCCTAAAAGAAACCACCTTCAGGATCTGAACACCTAAGCTCTAGTTCTTGAAAAGAAAGTCCCATTCAGGTCCCACTAGCATCCTAAAATAGCATAATCTGGCAAAATGCAAGTTCATATTTGTATTTCCCATGCTTCTTCACACACAGATGGACTTTATCTTCAAATATTATTTCAAATATAATCAATTTCTCTCTTTCCCTTAACCTATGGAATCATCATTTTTCACCTTTCCTTTATTGGTTGTTTATCTACAAATGTCACAAGTCTTTATCTTTGCTCTCCTCCCTTTTATCAAACCATTCTCTTCTCTGTACAAATAAAAAACAAGCAAATAAACACGGAACTGACTAAAAAGTGGGCCCTGAGTCAGGCTGTTTACTCAGCATTACTGGGCTCTGTCCCGAGCTGGATGGGGGCCTGATGGAATCTACAAGCTGAAAAGCAAAAACCTCTTTCCCTCTTCCCCTTGTCTCTTGTCTTCCTTCCCCAAGCTTCTTTCTGGGAACGAACAGCTTTCCCTGACCTACTAAGAGGGGCATCCCATACAGACTTTTGCATACCTGGGATTCCTCTCTTCTCTAGCTGAGGCCTGGGGGCCTGAGTTTGTTTTCACAGTTTGGATTCTTACACAACTTGGAGCCAAAAAAAATTCTACTGAGGTTGTACCTGCACAGAAGGACATCACTGTTTTTTTTTTTTTTTTTCCAGCAGCTGGAGGACAGGCAAGTTGTATTTTAAGCCTTTAATCTGAAGTTATGAATTACGAGCTTTTAGGAATGTGATCTTCAAAACACAGCTTATGTTGAGTTTTAAATGAGATTTATGCTAAACCGTGTTTGGGTACCAGACATAGCATATTGATTTGCACACCCCAATCTCTGCATACTTACAGTGGCTGGAAGCAAGAACTCTAGCTCCAAGGCAGCTCCATAAATTGTAAGCTTATTTTCAGAAGGTAGAGACTCATTTGTCCACCTCGCGGACAATGACTAACATAACCCTGTCCCAGGGGAGCTCAAATCCTGAAGCAAGATGGCCAAGAAAATGAGAAGCAGAGTCGGCAATAGCAGCAAAATGTCATGGTGCCATTCATGCCGGCACGAACAGTATTTGCTTTTCTGTCCTCCATTCCCCCTGCCGTCTGGGGTCTTCCTGTGCTTTGGAAATCCATCTGGACAGCTTCATAGCTCATCTCTGCTCCTGCTCCCACTGCCCTTTTTTGTTCTGTCTGAGATAGCTTTGCCACTCACAAATGAAAAGTTTGCTCACAGATTCTCTTATTTGAAGTTTACTGATTAATATAGTTGGAGACTGCACACGGGGTCCCATTGTCATAAATTCCTTAGTCTATCTGGGATTCCTGGTCTGTCATAGATTCCTTAGTCTATCCAGAGCAGGCAAGTCTGGATACCTCTGCTGTTCCTTCAGCACATCACCCCCCAGCGACCTACATGCAGCTCATCGGGACCCTAGGAGAGCTTCCCATATTCACAGAAGCACCATTATGGTTACTTATTGCTATGCAAGGAATATCCTCAAACTTAGCAACTTAAAACAGCTATTTTCTTTTGCTTGTAATTTGCAGGTCAGGGATTTGGGAAGGGTTTGACTGGGAAGTTCTCGCTTAGAATCTCTCAAGTACTCAGGCTTCAGTCCCCTGGAGGCTCCTCGAGGCTGGATGTCCGAGGTGGTTCACCTGGCTGGCAGGTGATGCTGGTTGTTGGCTGGAGCTCATCTGTGGTTGCTGACCAGAGTGCTGCACACCCGCAGGTGCCTCTCCAAAGGGCTGGGCTCCTCGCAGCGTGGAGGTGGCTTCCACACGGAAGTGTCCCAGAGGCATGTCCAAATAGTCAGTGGTCTCAGAAACCAAGGCTGAAGCTTCAGAGTGTATCCCCTGTCCTTGTAAGCTGCTAACCATCATTTACACCACAAGTGACTCAATGAGGCCCACCAGATTTGAGGGGAGGGGACAGAGATCCCCCTTCTCCATGGAGGAATGTCATAGATATGCACCATCTCATCCATGGCATGACCAGTGCCTTACACCAACCTGTTTGCACTGTGGAAGCCAATCTGAGTTGGCCATTCAAGGTACTGGGAAAGACCCCTCCAAGAGCAGGGAGAGGAGGTATCCCTGCCCTCCTGGAGAAAAGGGCTTGGCGTGGTGGAATGAGGAGGTTTGGATCACAAAGATGAAAGCTCAACATGCAGTTCTTCCACTAACTCTCTGTGTGGCCTCAAATGAGTGTTTTAACTGCTCTGACCCCCAGTCTCCTCATCTGTAAAAATAGGGATAATGCCATTCTTGCAGTCTGTTGTGAAAATTAAATGGAGTTAAATAAGATGTTGTATAAAATAAAGCTTCCTACAGACCAGTACCTGGCACATAGTCCTATGTCAGTCACATCATCCTGACAAGTTAGGAGCTATCATCGAACAGGACCTGGGGTGGGACCATGCAACCTCCTGAAAAGCGCTCTGCCTTGTCCAAGTCACAAGCAGAGGAGACAGGACAAGGCAGAGCTCTCTTCCTCTTTGCCTGTCCCGTTCCCCCTCAGTTTCTGTCATTCTCTTTCATTCTTTCCCTGTCCTGAATGTGCCTACTCCTTCCATTTCAAGCTGGCTCATTTGGGATTCCACCTGCTTCCATTGGGAAGCTCCGGGTCACTCCTTCCTCAGTCTTTTCCTGTGGCTTCCAAAGCAGGCTCCTCAAATTTGGCCAGGGCCAAGAGCACATGCCTAGCTAGGGCTTTGCCACCCACCCGGGTTTCAGTTGGTATCTGGTTAGCACACTGTCTCTGGGGTTTTGCTGTCCACATGGGTTTCAGGAGGTGCCTGGTCAATAGCACACCCTCTCTGGGGCTTTGCCATCTCCATAGGTTTCAGGTGGTATCTGGTCACTAGCACACACCTTGCTTGGATGTTGCCATTCACATGGGTTTCAGGTGGTGTCTGGTCAATAGCACATGCTTGGCTGGGGCTTTGCTGTTCATATGGGTTTTGGGTGGTGTCTGGCCAATAGCACACCCTCGCTGGTGCTTTGCCATCTACTTGGATTTCAGGTGGCGTCTGGTCAATAGCACATGCCTGGCTCAGGCTTTGCCGTCCACATGGGATACGGGTGGTGTCTGGCCTTAGGAAGAGAAGAGGCTGGGTGCTCTAATCTTCACTTAGTTCCTGACTTTTGGAGCCACAGCCTGTTTTCCATTGCTCCCCAAGACGAAAGCCACCCCTCCAATGCTAGTATTTTTTTCTCTGGGTGCAACAGCTCTTTCTGCTTCTTTTGAAGAGGAACCGTGACATTATTGTCTTAGAAATTTGGTCCCCAGATTACCTGGATGTATTTCTTAACCACCCAACATGGGTGTCCCAGTTCCAGAGAAATATTATATTTTCTCAGCTCTCTCCCAGATTGAAGACAGAGGGCTTCATTTATCCCACCTCACCAGGACTTGAAACAAACTCTCCCCAACTTTTCCAATCAGTCTTGTTCCCACCACATCATGCCACATCCATGTCCCTTAAAGGGTCTCATGTTCAGTGTAACTGAAGTTTGAGAACAGTGAGTTGTCTGAGACCAAACAAACATGTCATATTTAGGCAGCCTGGGGCCAGGCCTCCTTTTTGAGACATCATTAAGTCCACCATCAAGGCAGAGGCCCTGGACAGCCAGCACCCCAAGAAAGTCAGAGGAAAAGTACATGAACGTTACTGAAACACAATAACTACTTGCATTTCTGCCGCCCCTCCTCCCACCCCAGGCACATGCGAAATCCATTTTCCTTTTTAAAATGATCTGCAACTTACAACATTATTGAACCCAACAGTTCTTTTGTTTCACTTGTATCTTTTTCCAAATATAGTCCTGAGGGCAGAACATCTGTCAACAACTTTTCTACAGCCTAAATCCTTTCCTTAATCATGGCAAATCTTCTCAGGATATTAGCCGGCCTTTCTTTTGCTGTTCTTTCTTTTTTTTTCCTTTTATTTTTAAAATCCATCACTGTTCTCGTTGAACTTAGTTTCTCAGTGCTTGCCTCACCAACTCTGAAAATCATGACCTCTCTGCTGACCTCATCCCTATCTCTGACCACATCGTGGGAGCCTGGGACTGGGACCGAGAATCCACTTTGAACTGTGGTGTCTTCCTCTCATGCTCTGGCAAAGCCCACCCCATGGAGTGCCAACGACTGGGAGCCCCACTGAGAGCTTCCCTCTTGTGCGTCAGGAGAGCACCAGTCAAACAGGAGGCAGCCCGCTCACGCCCGCCTGATATAGTCACGTCCATTTCAAAGATGCTAACCCAAAAGCCCAGGAAGGCTGCATGGCTTCGCCAGGGACAGTGGCTGGAAGTGGCCGTAGCCAGATCTTCACCCATGTCCTATACCAACTCCAAGACAGCATCTCAGCACCTCCTCCTAACCAGCCCTGTGATGGTGGGGGTGGACAGGGAGCGGCTGTGCTTCCTGAGTCACATGTTAAGTTGCCCTCTTGTTCTAACATACACAGTGCCTGATCCAGCCCCTAAACAGAGCCCAGGGCAGCTTCCTTCAGCTTCCACAACACACCGAGCTCTCATGTACTAAAGGGATCTGGGTATCCCTGGTCCTGCGGAGGGCCTGAAACCTCTGAATCAAAGGGGAACTGAGCCCAGAACGTGTACCTCTGAGCCTCCAGCCCCTGCTTCCTGCAGCCTTTCACAGGCACACAGGCAAGCTGGGCACCCAGAGACTGCAAGGTCACAGGACATTGCTCACCCCCACACCTCATCTGATGGTTAAGGGAGGAGCCACCAGGAGGCATGAGTGATGCTGAGTGACACCGGATCACCAGATGAAGACCCAGGCCTCACGCCGTCCAGGTCTGCAAGTGGACAGCAGGTGACCATGGCCCTGAGATCAGAGCAATCATCCTGGACTTGTCAGGAAAGTGAACCCGAGTGGGGCCACCTCATTTGGGAACTTCTGCTCTACAGAGTCATGGTATTAAGATGATGGGTTGGGGCTGGGCACGGTGGCTCACGCTTTTAATCCCAACACTTTGAGAGGCTGAGGTGGGCGGATCATGAGGTCAGGAGATCGAGACCATCCTGGCCAACATGGTGAAACCCTGTCTCAACTAAAAATACAAAAATTAGCTGGGAGTGGTAGTGTGTGCCTGTAGTCCCAGGTACTTGGGATGGTGAGGCAGGAGAATCGCTTGAGGCAGGAGAATCGCTTGAACCTGGGAGGCGGAGGTTGCAGTGAGCTGAGATGGCGTCATTGCACTCCAGCCCGGGTAACAGAGTGAGATTCCATCTAAAAAAAAAAAAAAAAAAAATATATATATATATATATATATATATGATGGGTTGGGTTGGGAGGCACTGCTGACCATCTAAAGGGGGCACTGGTGTCTACAGTCCATCCCAAGGGACATACAGCCTCCTCCTTCTGTTAAGTGGGTACTTCAGGGAGCTGAGGGCTTGGCCCAGGCTCTAGGGGGACCATGAACTATTGGTCAGTTGTCAAAGGGGCATCACAGTCACAGCCTAGTCCTGTGCCCCTGGCTTCATCCCAGAAGGTGTGGGACAGTTCGAGTGGCCTGATTTGCCTTCTCTGATACAATTGTCTTGCTTTTACTGAGCTGAGTTTCTCTCTAGGTTTGCCTCAGCACAGCTCTTAAAATAGCAGCCAGTTAGGTTGGCCAGCCTGGAATTTCCTGGAACCGCCCAGCACGGGGCAGTAGGCACTCAGGCCCTCCCTACCTATCTATCCAGGGGCTGCCTGACCCATGGCTCTTTTCCTGCTTCCGATCCCGTCCCACCCTTTGAATTGGGTCAAGAGGGTTTGGTACTGAGTCTATCCAGGAGAGTCCACCACCACTCCCTTCCCCAACCCAGGGTGTAACAGGATAAAAAGGTATTTGGGGGGTTCCCATGGCAGGCAGGCTGTGGGCACACGGGCGTGGGGCCAGAGATGGGGGCCTGGGCATGACACTGTCTGAGGTTACAGGCTCAGCAGCATTCTCTCCATTTGTGGAATTTTTTCTATTAAATTGCACTTTCTCACTTGTTGGGAATGATTCAGAAATTCTCTCAAAGTTATGCTTTGCCGGTGAACTCTCTGGCATTTGAATAAAGGCACAGAGATCACTCCAGGCACTTCCTGGTGAGTTGAGCTGACACACCCGGCCTCTCCTTGGGATGTGTAGGGGTCTCATCTGGCCACGCTAAGACGTTTATGTTTTTCATGTAGGATTTCTTCTTGCTCACATTGGGGAAACCAGTTCACTTAAAACGAAAGAACCGCTACAACAAAAGACAGACAGACAGAGAGACAGACACAAATAGACAGTGGTGCCAGCCTGAGTGCTGGGTCCTGAGCACAGAGGAATGCAGGGCTCCCAGAATCTGGAGTCTGCCATCTCTCCACTTCCCCTGATTAGGGAGGACAGGGAAAGTCAGAGAATTAGAACAGGACTCTCTGGCACTGATGTCTGTTAACATTAAAGTATGGTGGTCCAACTTGAAGATATTTCTGCTCCCTGCCCCTGTGGGATCAAACCCTTTCCACATGGAACGCTGTCCCCTTGATACACACTCCACATTCTGAGTGTGTCATAAGTGCCCAGCCGGGGGTGACCCCAGGACACAGCTGTGAGCCAGGCAGACCTGCCCAGGCCCTCATGAGGCCTTGTCTTGCCCCACCCTTCCCTGGCCATGTGGCCTCTCTCAGCCTGTGGGGCACACTCTACAGGCCTGGGCCTGTCTATGCCTTCCAGGTGCCTTTGTACATCCACTGACATGTTAGGTGTTGCTTTTATATAATGCAAACTTTGGGCATGATTAATTTGAGGATTTTGGGACCTTCTCTTTGCCTGCAGAAAACATCCATTTCCCTTGGTTAACATTTCTACTTCCCAGGAAATGAAGCTGACACAGACTGCCCCTTCCTGGGGTGGCGGTGGGAGCTCATCTTGCCCCAGTGCTCTGTCTCTCTCTGCCTCTACGTCTCTCTCTCTCTCTGTCTCTGTGTCTCTCTCTGCCTCTGTCTCTATGTCTCTCTCTGTCTCTGTCTCTGTGTCTCTCTCTGTCTCTATGTCTCTCTCTGTCTCTGTCTCTATGTCTCTCTCTCTGTCTCTCTCTGTCTCTGTCTCTCTCTCTCTCTGTCTCTCTCTGTCTCTATGTCTCTCTGTCTCTGTCTCTATGTTTCTCTCTGTCTCTGTGTCTCTCTCTTTCTGTCTCTGTGTGTCTCTCTGTCTCTATATCTCTCTCTCTGTTTCTCCCTATGTCTCCCTCTCTCTGTGTCTCTCTCTGTCTCTATGTCTCTCTCTCTTTCTCTCGGACTCTCTGTCTCTGTTTCTTTGTCTCTGTCTCTCTCTCTTTAACCACTTTATTGAGATACCATTCACCCTCTCAACGTGTACAGTCCTGTGGTTGTTTATGTTTGCAGATAGGTCAGCCCCATCTCTTGCAGCTTTCCTGACCACCCTGACTTCTCACTTTCCCTTTCCCCATCCAGGTGAACTCGGGGCCTGGCACTGTGTCTTGCCCTGTGGTTCCGGTGGGAAATCTGCTACACCAGGAATCAGGAGACCAAACTCCACTACCAACTGCCTGGTGACACTTGAGTTCTCTTGTGCTGCAGTTTGCACTGTCAAATGTGTAAAAGAGTCAAACTGGCTCAGATGAAATCAAATGGGTTAAAGAATGTGAAGATTCTGGCCAGGCACAGTGGCTCATGCCTGTAATCCCAGCACTTTGGGAGGCAGAGGCGGGCGGATCACCTGAGGTCGAGAGTTCGAGACCAGCCTAGACAAAATGGAGAAACCTCGTCTCTACTAAAAATACAAAATTAGCCAGGCATGGTGGTGCCTGCTTATAATCCTAGCTACTCAGGAGGCTGAGGCAGGAGAATCACTTGAACCAACCTGGCAGGCAGAGGTTAGGGTGAGCCGAGATCGCACCATTGCACTCCAAAACTCCATCTTAAAAAAAAAAAAAAAAAAAAAAAAAAAGAATGTGAAGGTTCTTTGAGGCATAGTAAACCTTATACAAACATAATATATATTTTCCTATATTATGTTTTAATATTCAGTCCTGATTATTACAGGGGGTTGGCGATCACCTTTGAGGTAAAAGGAAACAGTGCTCCAAGGCAGCTTCAAGACACAATATGAGAAAAGAATGCAAAATATTTCACTAACATTTGTTTTATAATTAAGAGCTGAAATGATAATACTTTTGATACAACAGGTTAAGTAAAATCTATCAATGAAGTAAATTTTACCATTTTCCCTTTGTTAAATGTGGCTATTAGATATTTTAAAATGGTACATGTGGCTGGGGTCATATTTTTACCAGGTGGCCCTGCGCTAGGGTAACTGTTTTGAACTTGAGACCACAGAGTGAAACCAGCTATGTCCTTTGCCTTCTTTCTTTCCTGCCTCCATGCAAAGTGGCTTCTTTGGCTAAGCATCTGGGGAGGGGAGAGAGGCTGGCATTCCAGCGTGTGTTAGGGTCAGAGGACCTGGTGAACAATGCTCTGACAACACGACATCTTCACAGACACTGCATGAGAGGAAAGCTGCATTTTCTTTGGATGATGCTGCGTCCCAGAGCGAATGCCCCCTGCTTGTGAATTCTTTGAAGTTGAGGCTGGCTGGCCAGGGCAACTGTGACCTTGGCTTTCTAGAAGGTTCTAGAGTACAGCCTCCCTTCAGCTCACCCCTATGGGTGGAAACCATGAAGGAGGCCACCAGCCTTTGGCAGTGGGCTGCCCCTGGATCCCCACTGCTGACTGTGGCCTGTGTGGGCCTCTCTTTCAGCTGCTCTGTCACTGACAGGCCTGGGAGCTCTGCACAACCAGCTGAAACCATGGGACTGGTTATTGACTGAGGCTTATTAATGCTCCTGCTTCCCACCAAGCCAGGGCTTCCCAGATGGGAAAGAACGGCTTGCCAGGGCAGAAGGAGGAGAGTGTGGTGTGGCACCAAGGGGGAGAATGAACTACTTTCGCTTGCTTTGATTCCAGCCAACCCAGTCCCTCTGGGAGTCCTATTCCCAGAGAAAATATTTCTCAGGAAAGGGTTTCTCAGGAAAGACCCATCCGAGACCTCATTCTTGCAGCAGAAGTTCACTGCAGAGCTGCAGGCCTAGCAGTGACAGGGGTACATAGGAAAGCCATTGGTAGGGATTTAAGAGGAGTGGCTAAAGCAAAATCAGTCCTATGAATGGAGCCAACAGCCCTGGTGGTCGCTTGGTGTCCATCTCTCCTCTTTGACCCCAAGAGGTATGTGGAAGATACCAGTATTTCTTCAGCTTTTACATAGCATCACCTCATTTAATCCTTACAACGGAACCATGTAGTGGAGCTGACACTGATGAGCTGAATCCCCTTGTCCCATCCCCTCTCACCATGTTTCCTATATGTAAAGGTTGAAGGTAGCCGTCAGTTGCAGAGAAAGTGTGTGGACCTTCCTAACTTGTCCTTCATGGAAAGTTTACCACTTTCCTTATAGCATGGAGGATGGGGGTCAGCTCTTCCCATATTTGGACGCTCATGGGTCTCCACCTAATATCCTACCACAACTGCCTATTGGGCACCATGTTCACTATTTGGGTGATGGGTTCAATGGAAGCCCAAATTCCAGCATTATACAATACACCCATGTAACACACCTGCACATGCACCCCCTGAATCTAAAAACAAAAACAGAAACCCTCAAGTGTCTGCAGAAAAGCTCTGTAAACTCAAAATGCCAAGCAGGTATGGATGAAAACAAGCTTCAAGCATCTTCGAATTAAAAAAAAAAAAAAAATGAGCTCATGTCCTTTGCAGGGACATAGATGAAGCTGGAAGCCATCATTCTTATCAAATTAACACAGGAACAAAAAACCAAACACCACATATTCTTACTCATAAGTGGGAGTTGAGCAATTACAACACATGAACACAGGGAGGGGAACATCATACACGGGGGCCTGTTGGGGGGTGGGGGGCAAGGGGAGGGAGAGCATTAGGACAAATACCTAATGCATGCAGGGCTTAAAGCCTAGAAGACAGGTTGATAGGTTCAGCAAACTACCATGGCACATGTATACCTATGTAACAAACCTGTACATTCTGCACATGTATCTCAGAACTTAAAGTTAAAATATGTGTATATATATATATATTTTAAATCCTTCCCCAGGGAAATGACCCAGCCCCATGGTGGTGTGACGAGAGGATTCTCAGAGGCTCTGGACCCCAGCCTGACCCTCATTGGCTTTGTAACTTTGGGAAAATCACTTACCCTTCTTAACCTTGAGTTTCCTCATTTGTAAAACTGTCTTTAGGAACCACAACATTTAAAGAATAAACCCATGAGCACTGTGGAAACTCAAGCGTGCTATGTAAATGTAAGCTTTTATTATGCATGGTCAAGTTTTTATGAACTGCGAAAGAAAAATTTGGCTGAACAGCCCTTCCTTGTTCTCAGCCAATTTAAGGAGCCAGGACAACTCACTGCTTTATGAGAAACCACCCTCATCCTTCAACTGGGTTTGAATTTTTCTAACACTTGGACTCATTTTGTTGAGCTCTTCAAGCAGCAGATCAAATTGAGCCTGGAAATAAAGGCTTCGCACCCCTCTGAAATCCCATGTAGCAGCCACACAAAAAACAGGGCTCTGGCCTCTCTGATTGCCCAGAGTGATGACTGTGTTTTCACATTCAAGGGATTTCAGGAGGCTAAAAGGATCTTTGTTTTTTCTGCTTGTGGATCATAACCTGGTCACACAGGGCAGGCATCTGGGCCTGTCCATTCATGAATCTGGTTATACCAACCAAAGCCATCCAGCAAACCTGAGACCTAACCCAGAAGACTGTTCTGCCAGAGGGCTTTGGAGGAGCAGCCTTGTGTCCTTCAGCAGAAAGGTGAGTTGGAAAAGCTGGAAAACAATATCAGAGTCATCAGAGCTTCTCGCCTGAGGCGGGTGTCCGTTGGCATGTGAGCAGTGAGCCCAGGACCACTTGAGATGGGAAAGGCAGAGCTCTCAATCTTTGGCATGGCCTTCTCCACCCATCCTGACCCCCAAGGGGCAGAGAGAGAGGTGGAGGGAACCGAGAAGCAGGAGCAGCCAGCCCCCTCTGCGAAGCTCAGTTCACACCCAGAGCCAACCTGGCTCTGTTGCCTGGGTGGGTCCCAGATCCCTGGGCTCAACCCTTTAAACCCATATACTCCAGAGGTTTACAGATGGGCGGGATTGCTCTTCTTCCAGGGCTTCCCATCTCTCTTTGCACCGTGAGACCGGGCTAATTTTGTTTAGCGGCTTTAAGAAGAGTTGGAAGATGTTCTGCACAATTTTTCAAACTGAAAACTCGACTACAGGGAATTTCTAGAGACCAAACCCCTGCAGGGCCTTAACCACAAGTGATTGACAGCTGCGGGCTGTGGCTCCTCTGGCTGTGAATGGTACCCGAGTTCCTGATCGTCCCTGTGAATGGCAGCAAAGTGAAAACCAGGACATAGAAAAAATAGGTCTGCCCTGGCCACTGCTCCCCTTTGGAATTCTTGGTTCTCTTGTGTCACCTTCAATATATCCATGGAATGTCTAAGTTGTTTCGTTTGGAAAACAAATATAGAAAGAAATGGAATCAAATATTTAGTGAGCAGGAGAGTGGATACTGATAGTCATTGGAGCTAGTCACAAATACTCTGGATTTCCTTCTGGGCACATAGGGAGGTAGAATTTGAACGCCCTTTTTGCATTAGAGAAGACCACGTGCTTCCTTTACTGATTGAAATGTGAGCAGAACATCACATGTCTCTCCTGGTTGGCAGCTTTAAGGACTAGCACATGACTAACTGTGCCTCTTCCCTATCTCCGCAGAAACATCTGTTGAGATGAAGCCTCTGTCCTTCTAAGAGATGAAACCTCTATCAGCTTAGGTCCTTGAGTACCTTATGATGGGCAGAAACCCCCCACCTCATGCTGACCTGTGGTGGACATACATTGTGAGCAAGAAACAGCCTTTGTTGTTTGAAGCCCTGAAATCTTGAGGTGGTCTTCACAGCATGGCCTCACTTGTCTTCCCTGAAACAACAACAAAATACCAAGTACAATACTGTGGGTCCTTCTCATCATGTCTGGACTCCTGGGGAACAAGTAAGGAACCAACACCATCCGAGTGCAGCCGTGGAACTGCCTCCATTCAAACCCAGTCTTATTCTACTCTATGGGCATAAACTTTTGTGGCCCAGAATGATGTGAATTGAATACTAACTTCCCTAGTTCTGAACACTTTTTGTTACTATCTGTGAGTTTTCTGTCTGTTAGTTACTCGAATGACAGAGTCCTCAACTAGTGATTTCTAGGGAGATTTTCCTTTCCTCCCATAAGCTCAGAGAGGATTTCTCCACCACCCCCACCCCTGACACTGGTATCTCCACTTCCAGGGCACTTTGGTATCCATCATCTGGCTTTCTGTTTTCTGAAAGCATTGCTTTCCCTGGCCAGCAGGCTCTGAGTTTTTTCTCATTGTCTGCATGCCTTGCGGCATAGTTAATGCTGATGGTCTTTCAATGAGAAAAGTAACCTCCAGTGTGATGTCTAGCTGAGTACGTACTTTCTTTTAGCATTTGGACATTGTCATTAGGCAGCCCCTGCCCCTCCCACTGCCCTGCCTTCCAACACCTTTTCCCTATGCCTCTCATTATGGCATCAGATAGAGAGGCCCAGAAGAACTCAGATGACTAGCTTCAAGATTCAATTCTATTCAGCAAGGGCACAGGCTTCACCATCAATACATAAAACTCAGTTGTATTTCTAGAAACTTGCAATAGACAATCCAAAAATCAAATTTAAAAAATAATTGCATTTATACTAGTATAAAAATGAATAAAATATTTTGGAATAAATTTCACAAAAGAAGTGCAAAACTTATAATGTAAAAGGAGAATTTAGAATGCTAATGCTACACATAGTCTTAACTCACCTCTTGCCCTGAATGCCTTCTTAAAATAAGAAACCTCATTTTTTTAATGATGGAATTCAGATGTCTTAATTAATCATGCTTCTCCTGTCAGTAAATTGGAAGTTGATAGACAAATACTGTCAAAACTACTTCTATATTGTTGGTGACAGTGGATGGAGCAGGAGATAATTTACTCAGGAAGTTCTTAGCTTTTGCAATTAATAAAAATTACTAGGTTATTTGGAGATGACATAAAGTTAGTTACACCAAAACAATTGTCATTAGTTTTAATGACTACCCTTGGCTTAATCCTTACCTGCAAATCACTCTGATACTGGTCAGACCCCACTCAGATCCCTTATTGGCCAGTGTGCACAGCCTTCAGCTGCCAGGGAAGTCAGCTGTCTCAGCTTCGAGCTACCCCCATTTTGGAAAATTGTCATTGGATCATGGAAGCATCTTAGGAGATTACAGCCCATCCACCCACCCCCAATAAACAGTGACTGGCTCAGGGTACAAAGGCCAGCCCCTCGCAAGGTGAGACTGTGGTGCAGTTTGTTCCAAAGCTCCCCCAGGGATCAGGGTAAAGCCAGACTGCAGCTCGAACCTGCTCCTGTTCAGCTCCTTCCTGTCCCTCTTCCTTCCCTCGCTGCCCTTCTTTGGAGAACCCTGCCCCAACATCACTTGAAGATGGATCCCCATTTGACAAAAACATAAAGGACCTGGGGAAATTGGACCTCTCCTTCATCTGGCCTGAGCTGGTGTGATTTTTCAGGCCCTCCAGCTACCTGTCAGCCCATCTCCTCTGAAGGCCATGTTTACTTGTATAAGCCACTCAGATTTTATGTCTACTCACCTTGAGATCACAGGGAAATGCCAGCATAAATCACCCCAAGTGGATTATTGGCAAGCTCAATCTATCAGTCAAGAAATATTCTAAGTGCCAGTGCACCAGGTACAGGGAAATACCAGGCTGGGCTGTGGCACTTGCTTAGGCATCCTATTTATATGTGAGGGCATGCCTGAACACCTGCAGCTAAGTACATGTCAATCCACCACACAACATATGCACACAGGCACACACAGACGCCCTAATATACATGTACATGCACACGCATGTACACAAGCAAACCCCTGAAGCCAGGGAAAGGGGCATTACTCAATTTTCCCACTTGTCGAGAGCCACCTTGCTTCTGTTCTGTGGCTGGGCAAGGGGCTGCAGAGGGAATCCACCACTGACTTTTGAGATGGTCTTCCCAAGGGGGCCCACAGGTGCAAAGCTTTTTCATTGTGCTCCAAGCCTTGCTGTGCTGTGACTCCCCTATGTGGCACCATGAAGGGTGAGGCGCTCAGATGGGCAGTCAGAGTGGACCACCACCCCAGCACCCTGATGGCCTTGGCCCGTGACCGCAGGACCTCTACTCTGTCATGGGTGTGGAGGCTGAGCGCTGCCTGATTGGACCTCAGCCCACTCCTCCAGGCACATTCCAGGAGCCTGCAGGATTTCCCACCACCGTGGGGCTCAGAGTGTGGAGCAGGATTCTGGGGCTTGCTTTATCTGCCTTTGTGTGACTAAAAGCCTTTGCAACGCTTGCTAATGTGGAACGAGGAGAAAAGGATCTCAATAAATTTGAAGGCGGCCGGGCGTGGTGGCTCACGCCTGTAATCCCAGCACTTTGGGAGGCCGAGGCAGGCGGATCACGAGGTCAGGAGATCGAGACCATCCTGGCTAACATGGTGAAACCCCATCTCTACTAAAAATACACAAAATTAGCCAGGCATCGTGGCGGGTGCCTGTAGTCCCAGCTACTCGGGAGGCTGAGGCAGGAGAATGGCGTGAACCTGGGAGGCGCAGCTTGCAGTGAGCCGAGATCATGCCACTGCACTCCAGCCTGGGCCACAGAGCAGGACTCCATCTCAAAAATAAATAAATAAATAAATAAATAAATATAAAAATAAAATAAAATAAACTTGAAGGCAAGAAGGGATGGTGTTTATTTCCCTATGGTTTTTACTTAATCAATGTCAACACAGGTGCTAAGGCTCAAAATCAATGTTCATCTGTTTATGCACATGTAGATATAGATATCAACACATATACAAAGGAAGTATTATATGTGTCTGTCTGTCTGTCTACCTGTCTATCATCTATTAGGAGATTTTAATAGTTAAGAGAGAATATATATTTTCAGATAGACTCCTGTTCAAATCCAAACTCCAGCACTTACTAGTGTTGGAGTGTTTCCTGCTGGTGGTGGACAAATTGTTTTGCCTCCCCATCCTCAGTTTCCCCATGTGTAAAACTGGCCCTTGGTTCATGGGGCTATTGAAACCATTAGAGGAAGCATGTGTATTTGTCTTGTTTCCATGGTGCCTGGCACATGGTGGGTCCTTTAGAGTGGAAGTTATTCCCAAGGTTACTCCTTTCCTCCATGCACACAGACACACCCATTACATGTGGATGCAGGTTATTTTGATGCTGTCAGATGCTCATGGATACCTAGTCACCTTCATACACATCGGCTCTCGGGTGTTCGCACATGCAGTGGCCAGCACTTGTGTATCCCGGTCAGAGGCCATCCTCAGGCTGCTGGAGAGCAGTTCTAAGGTGCGACTTGCAAGCTCCCTGCTGTTGGAGCTGCTGCTTCCCTGCAGGGATTTTCCCCTGCTTATCCTCCTTCCCTCTGCAGTCCCACTTGCTTTTGTCCTGCTGACTTTTCCTGGCAACGCCATCTAGCCAAACACATTTCCAGAAATCCTCCTGAAGCTCTGCTTCTGAGGGACCTTCTGGGGCAGAGAGGGGAGAATATCTTTCTCAAAATGACCGCTGGCTCTGTGGCCAAAGTACTGGCCTGAACCAAAGGCACTTGTCCTTTTTAGGTATTTCCCCAAACTGGCAGTGATTTGGAAATCCTTTCCTTTCTCTAGGTACACAACTTTCCCCAAGAGAATTAGGTTAATACTCAAAACAAAATTCCCTACTATTTTGAAAATAAATAGAGGAATCTAGGAGGAGTATCTAGGAGGAAAAGTAATTTCAAGCAAAATTATTCTATGTCCACATTCAGACCTGAAATCATTATCACTATTTATGTTATTTGTTGTTGTTGTTGTTGAGATGGAATCCTGCTCTGTTGCCCAGGCTGGAGTGCTCACTGCAACCTCCATTTTCCGGGTTCAAGTGATTCTCCTGCCTCAGCCTTCTGAGTAGCTGGTACTACCGGCGTACACCACCATGCCTGGTTAATTTTTGCATTTTTAGTAGAGAGGGGTTTTCACCATGTTGGCCAGGCTGGTTTTGAACTCCTGAACTCAAGTGATCTGCCTGCCTCAGCCTCCCAAAGTGCTGGGATTATAGGCGTATCATTATTTTTAAAAACTAATAAAGATCCATGTTGCAGGCAATTCTAAGTAGAACATTCTACCATAAGTGTGTGAACCTAGATGTTTGCCCTTCTCCAGGACTCATTCAGGGTGGAAGGATGACAGAACTGCTGGCTTACACTGCAGATGAGCTCATGCGGCTCCCATTCCAACCCCATTCTAGCACCTTCCAGTGCCATGGAGGCTCAAAATATGAACACCTCACTTCTCAGCATTCCCTGACACTAAGTCTCCCTGTGTGACCTGCTACAGCCTACAGCAACAGAAGGTGGAGGCCCTGTACACTGGGATGGGGTAGCTGTGCTGGAGCTTCAGTTGTCCAGGCCCTAACATCATGTGTGCTGAGTGGCAGGAGATGGCATTTCTGCTGAGGTTGTTCGGAGGTTTCCTTGCATCTCTGGCTGCTCTGTTCACAGCTGAGTTGCATCCGCACCTAAATACATGACTTTCCAGAGGTCTTTGAGCATCCCAATACCTTTTACTGAATCCCTTTCCACTCAGATTTACTAGAGGGTACACTGCTGTCTGCAACTAAGAATCTGACTGAGAAGGTGTCTGGTGTTCATCCATGAGTGTCTAGGCAAATAAATGCATGCACACTTGCTGAGCAACCACAGCATGCATCACCATTTACCCCAAAATAGATTCATGTGGCTGTTTATGAGCACTTGACCTGATGACTTTGCATCTATTATCTTATTTGATCTTCACAACAGTTCTCCATGACAGGGGGACAAACTGAACCTGAAAGAGTCTCAGTGACTTACCCACAGCTCAGCAGTAGGATTTGAAGGAAATCTCTCAGGTTTCAAAGTCCATGCTATTTCCCATCCCACACTGCCTTGTTACAAGCACTATACCACATACATACCTATACAAGAGCAAATATGTAACAGCAAAGCAAAAGAAGACTTATTTCATGCCCTTTTTTAAAGATGTGAAAACTGGGCCTTAGAAAGGCCAAGTGACTTTCCCAGGGTGAAATAAATGTCTGAGGCCTAAGAAACCAACCAAGGAAGACCCCGAACCCAGGTCCTCTGACTTTCGCTCTGGGGCAGGTATTTCTACCCACACCAAACTGCCTGGACAGAGGCTCCCTTGGTGGAGAGAACATGCAAGCTTACAAACCAGGGAGCTGAGACAAACCTACACAATGCAGAGGCAGGACAATCCATGGACTTCAAGATGGACCCTTGAGCAAAAAAAGAATCCAAGTCCCTCCTTACATAGCTGCATATGACAGAGAGAAATTTCTGTAGTTTTCGTTAAAAAATCATCATCACCATGCCCAATGACTTCAATAAACTTCTTGAGTATAAACAAGCAGAACATTTTTCTCAGCACTGTAGATTCTTTACCATTGACCCCGAGCTACAGTCTAAATTCTTTAAGGTTGACGGTGACTTTGATTGCTACTTGGGAATGATTTTGGAATTCTAGTTAGGGTGGTAAGGATTTTGGGGTCAGAGCTGGCCCAGTTCCCATTGCCCTCCAGAACCCAGCACTGTTGCAGACTGTTTTTCTCACTCCGTATGTCCTTTTCTTTATGTTAAAATATTTGCCTTTGGTGTGTAGGATCAATGCAGTGCTGATACTCATTTGACCTCATGAGCCTCGTTGTAGGGGAGAAACTGCATGCTGGAGGGCGCATTTCAACATGCCCAGAGGAGTTTGGAGGGGTGCTCCTGGGCCTGAATTTTACCTTCGAATTAAGTGCAGGGGTTTGGGGCAAAGTGGGCTTCTCTGTGATAATGACAGTGGTGTTGCTCATATTAAGGGAGAAATGCTTTATTTTTGTAAGCCCTATTTAGAATGTTCAATTTGAGGTAGTAGTGCTATAGATCCCATGACACAGCAACACTGTCTGAGGCCCTTTAGCAAACAGACTTCTCTTAAGCTGAGTCGGCCAAGGACTCCAGATGGCTGTGAGAGCCTGGCCTCAGAGACACATGAAGCGGCTCTCAAAGCCTCCCAGAATCTGTTTCCCTCAACTCCCTGGCCCCACCCACAGTGCTGCCCAGCAATCGATGTTGCCGTTGCTTGAACTCCTTCCCTTCCCTTAGACAGGCCAGCAATGTCTTGCCTCTGAGCCTTCTCACATGTTGCATCTTCTCTTGGAACCTACTCCCTTTCCTTCTACTCCTCCTGTTAATCTGCGTTAGGTTGGGTTATGCCTGGGCACTCCTCCACCCTGTCCTGGTCTTCTCAGTTGTAGCGTTAGTGGTTAATGGTCCACTCATAGTTCTCCAGGGCTTCTGAGTGCCGTTCACAGCAGCCTGATGGCTAATAAATCTGAAGACTTTCTTGTGGCCAGAGCCCATGTACTCCAAACTGGAAGTGCTAGAAAATTAGTAACTGCCCCGCATACACACACACAGCAGATCTCCTCAATAGCTGGCAGGCATGGTGGACAAGTTTCTCAGCTCCGTTGTTCCTTGGTGTGATTACTCTCATGACTTATGGTATCTGGGGCTCCAGGTGCCCTCCCTCAGTGGTCACTGCTGGATAACACACCTGTGCTGGCTGCCTTCCCTTTCCTTTCACCTCCTCATTCACTTACCAGGGTTTCCTTAATCATCTTCTAAACAAACTTAATGCAACAAATTCTTGTTTCAGGGTCTGCTTCTGGAGGAAACCAGGCTAAGACACCCATCATAATACCACATCTACCTGTCTAAACTGAGTGCACCTTGCCGCTAATTCTAAGCTCAAGGTGGGCCTGAATGAGTTGCTGTTGTTCACAGTAGTGCCCCAGTGCCTGATTCATGATTAGTGTTCAACATATTTTTTTTCTAAATGAAAAAGACACAGTACAGCCTGTGGAAGAGCTTAAGCCTCTGGCAGGGAAGACATCACAGGCAAACGAATAACTTGGAGAAAGAAGGGGAGCACTCGAAGCATGTCCATAGGGAGCACAGAAGCGGGGGACTCATGGTGTGCAAGGCACAGAATCAGAGCAAGGGCTCTCCTTTATTTAAATGACTGAATAGGAAAGAAATTTGAGGAGAAAACAAAGTAGAGACTAGCCATGGTGGGTGCATAGATCTGCTGCCAAGACCCCCCTTCAAGTTAGGACTTGCTCCCAGCTGCAGAGTGTGGCCATCGGATGCCACTGGCTCTTCTAAGTTGGCATGAGCTGCTGAGAGCTGCCTGGCCCAGTCAGGCCATTCCTAGTGTGGTTTGTACACCATCCCTGGTGTGCTTTGCACACCATACCCAGGGTGATGGAGCAAGGCAGGGGCATAAGGGCAGACTTTTTTGACCTAATTCTGACAACCCTGATGGGGGACTGTGGATCCAGAGCTCCCTATGGGGTGGCCAGGACTTTGCCAGCCCTGCATTATGACCAGGTTCTTCCTTGGCCAAATTCTGCTTCCTCCCTCTACCCTTCGCAGATATTGATCCCTAGTCAGAGCTGCCAGATTTAGCAAATAAAAATACAGAGTGCCCAGTTAAATTTAAATGTCAGATACACAATAAATCATTTCTGGTATTCATTATATTCCAGCTATTGTATGGGGCATCTCAAGATGGCCTTTGAGGGCAGAAAGTGGGAGAAGTTCATTTCATGACTCCTTCCTTCCACCTTTCTCTCACTGTTCTAGTTCCTTTCCACGGGTATTAACTGTCTCACTCCTCCAAGTTATGCTACCTGGTTCCTTCAGGAAGCCACTGGGAAGTCAAACACTGCATCACGTGGTGCAGTCTGAGCCCCTGGGCTCCATCTGAGTCCCGGGGTTGGAGTAGAACTGCAGGGTATCTGAGTGGATTGAGCTTGGGTGACAGGGGAACTGTAATTCTTCATGGTGCATGCAACAGAATCTATACAAAAACCCAGTCCAGGGGAGCCCAAGAGAGCAGTCAGCTTTAGGAGATAAGACAATAGCAGGTGTGGTTGGTTGGGGTAAAGGAGTGGTCTCCACTGAGCAAGTGGTCAAGGACTAGGATGGAAGGTGTAGCTGAGGCCCTTGAGTCCTAAAACTCACCTCCACACAATCAGTTTATTGAGCAGGATAATGAGGTCAGCTCTGACCAACCAGGGGGCTCTAGGAGCTATCCCATGGGCCTAGAGTATCCCATAGTGCATTGGGAAGCTGTTTTGTGGGTTACCCATTAGGAATGCAGGTGTAGCAATGATGATGTGGGCTATGGTCAAGAAGAGAAAGGCAATGCAATAGGAAGTACAGCATCCATAGAGCTTGAAAGGCCCTGACATGCAAGATGCGTGAGATTCAGTCAATAGAACCAAGAAGGAATGCTCAGCAGACACCTCAACCCCCAAAAAAGGAGAGGGGACAAGGTGGTGAAGCTCAGGTCTGGAGGTGCAGGCGGGCAACCAGCTGAAGGCTCAGGAAGGTCGAGGAGCCAGATGAGAAGGAAAAATTCTCATGGTGCCTGGCATGGAGATAATCAGTGACCTACATCAGCATAATACATTCAAAGAATAGATTTGGTATATTCTAACTAAGGCTTTCTGTCAATAACTAAAAACAAGCAACATGAGCTACAATTGAAGCCACAGCTACTGAAGTTCAAGGAATCTCTCCCCTCTCTCTCGTTTTATACTTTAACCAGTTTAATAAAGAAGCAACAAAAGATCTTGAGACAAAAAATCTCTCAGCCTTACAGCAAAGCAAAGAATGCAGCAATGTTCTTTGGATTTAGTGTCTCTGACAGTATTGGGGGATTTAAAGACAGCCTTCATTTTTCAGAAATGAAACCAAGAAAAATAAAGGGAGAGAAGCTCCTGGGGTCTTTGAATAGCCCTAGGAAATGTTATCTAAAACCACCCCGGTCTTTAGGGCTTTCTCTGTAAACAAATTCATCTATTCCCGAAACTTTTTTATCATCCTCATAGGCATCGGAAAGACGAAGACTTGCCAGGATTGAGACAAAATCCTTTACTCTTTCACACATTTGTGTAAGCATTTCCAAAAATAGAAAAGGGTTTTCCACTTGCTTCAAGAGGTGGAGGGCTGGAGGAGACAAGTGGAGTTGAGGGACGCTCAGGGCGAGACAGGCTATGGTGGCACCTGACTTCAGAAGGGGCACTCTCAGCAGCCTCCCGGGCCGCATCACAGCTCCTGGTGGGGTCTTGGATTCCAGAATCAAATGACATTTCTGGTTATCATGTCTATTTTTTATTTTTTTGAGACGTAGTCTTGCTCTGTCCCCCAGGCTGGAGTGCAGTGGCACAATCTCGGCTCACTGCAAACTCCGCCTCCCGGGTTCATACCATTCTCCTGCCTCAGCCTGAGACTGTAGTCTCAGTAACTGGGACTACAGGTGCCCACCACCACGCCCGGCTAACTTTTTGTATTTTTAGTAGAAACAGGGTTTCACCGTGTTAGCCAGGATGGTCTGGATCTCCTGACCTCCTGATCCACCTGCCTCGGCCTCCCAAAGTGCTGGGATTACAGGCGTGAGCCACAGTGCCCAGCCTGTTATCATGTCTTCTATGTACATCCTACTCAAGATCCCAGGATGGTGTCAAATTCTTTGTATTTTAGCCTCTGAGTATCAGATTCAAAATCTTTACAGAAGCAATGACTTATGAATCACAAAATATAGTCAAATTAAATCTTTCACTTCAGTTGACTTCTAAGTGTATGAAGCAAGGGTCCAGACTGACCCAAACTCTGTTCACATTGGGATTCAGGAATTTATAAGCATTTCTAGTGCACTGGGGCACTGCCAAGAGCTATTCATGTGAGACCCCAGTAAAGCCCTGGGCAGGACATCCTGGAAAGACAAATTTGCTTCAGGGTGATTCTAATTGCCCTTCTCTTGGCTCCTTTCCCGCACATCTCACATGACTTACTTCTGAGTCCTAGGAGGAGGTGGGGGGCGCGCAAATATCAAAGGAGCACTGGAGAGAGCAAAGCCTGGGCAGCACAGCCATTGGTGATGTCGGCGAAGAACCTGTGATGCAGGCAAACCACCCTGGTGACACTGGAGCCTGGCTTTGCTGACACTAGCAGCTCTGAATGGCATCATCCAATGTGATAGGCATGGTTGCACTGGGAGGTATTCACAGCACAGGTGATACCACCACCACTTGCTGGAGTTTGTGTAGATGTTACATGGCAGCCACTTCAGGTGGGAACCTAACAGGAAAAAATGGCAGACTCAAAGTGGGTTACTGAAGAGAGTTTAATATACATACTACTGAGAAATGTGGGAACAGAAGGTTGAAAAAGCACAAGACATTCTAAACCCAGACCAGTGTACCCTGGGTGCAATAATAATGGGGATCCATCACTCTCTCCACTCTCCCCAGGCATCAAGAAGCAGAGGAGTTGACCTGGCTGAGTGTATATATTGCATTCTGAATTAGTTGTCTAATTTGGAGTAACAAACAAACCTAAAGCTTAGCATATTAAAACAAAAAACAATTATTATCTCACACAATTTCTGAGGGTCAGAAATTTGAGAGTTGTTTAGTAGGGTCATGCTGGCACATAGTCTCTCAGTAAGATCCAGTGAAGATATTGGCTGGGGCTACTGTCATCTGAAGGCTTGACTGGGGCTGCAGGATTGGCTTCCAAGATGGCACATTCCCATTCCCATGGCTGCTGGCTTGAGGCCTTGGTTCTTTGTTGGCTTTTGGGCTGAGAGTCCATTTCTGTGCCATGGGGACCTCTCCACAGGGATGCTTGAGGGTCTTCACAATATGGCAGCTGGCATCCCCCAGCCTGAATGATCAAAGAGAAAGACAGAACAGGGCAGAAAACAAAACGTCTTTTATGACCTAGCATTAGAAGTGACACCTCTATGCATACTTCAATTTATTTTTTACAAATGAGTCATTAAGTTTACCCCACACTTAAGAAAAGTGAAAATGTATTCTACCCTTCGAAGGAAAGAGTATTAAATAATTCATAGATACACATTAAAATCATCACAGTCCAAAGTCTTTGTCAACTATGTAGGTAGATTTAAAATTTGAAATTATTCACCGATACAGATTTTAAAATACCAACACAAAGTCTGCAATCAGGACAAGAGCTGAATCTTTCCTTTTACTGGGATTATGAAAGGTTCCAGTTGAGTGTTCGTGGCCTTCTGATTGTAACAGCTGAATCCCAGGTAGCTTTTCCTAAGGATTATTACACTGTGTGGATTCCAGAAAGGTTCCAGCTGATGTACATGGTGGTCAGTTCTTGCTTCTGAGGGAAAATAAGAATGAGAACATGATTTATACCTGGTAAATAAGATGGACAGGGGTGGAACTCACATTCAGATTCTCTGACTTCTAGTGGATGTGGTTTTTCTCATAGATTTGATAACTCAACCTGCACCTAAAAGGCCAGGATAGACCCCACATCTCACCTTACCTACTCATTAATAGATCTAACCTATTCATGTACGAAAAACGCTTAGGGTCAAGATTTCTGACTGGAAGTCAGAGAATTGACTGTGAGTCCCACCTTGTCCCTGCCTGTGAATTGACCAGGTTTAAATTATGTCCTCATCCTTATTTTCCTCACTGGTCAAATGAAAATAATATATATATTCACCTTCAGAATCACAGAACATGAGAACAAGATGACATATTATCAATATCAGTATTATTGTTCCTAAAGTTGTCAAAGTTCAAGAAACTTCATGAAAAAAGGTGGCAATTATCATTAACTTCATCACCCAAAGGCCACCAGAGTTTTTCAAAATTTTTCCTATCTGAAAAAAAAAATAAAAGAAGAAGCTGATGAACAAGTATCAGATACCATTTTAGGACTGTAGGCTGGTGTTAAGGCCAGTGAATTGTAGATACTAGAGTCGTGGGGGTAAGGCTTGGGAAATATTTTCTTTTTATAACTCCTGATATTACTCAGTGAGATAAAATAATGACAGGTTCATTTACTAATCATTGCTTGATAAGCAGTATTGCACAATTTGTGAAAGGATAAAAACAATTACAAACAAATCTAAGCAACCAAGGCAGACTACAGGTGCCTGAGGAAGGTTTACTTTGACACAGCTTCCATTACAGATGAGTAGAGATGTCATCCAAACCCAGTCTGTTCCAATCAGCACTCCACCACTGGCATGACTTCAGGCTCTTTGGCACCTGTGAGATATAAGTGGGTCTTCCAGCATTCACTCCTATAAACACTTTCATAAAAGTTTTATTTGTATCTAATAAAGTGCAATGTAATACCCAGAATAAGTAACCCATGGCATTCAGCCAGGGAATGAATTCCTGCCTCAAATAAAGGAAAAGCACAGAGCAAGTTATACTTACGACATTCCTGTCTCTGTGCAGAATCTCACATGTCTTTCCTGGGAGGAGAAGGTGATGAACCTGTAGCTGGGAAGTTCTTGGAATGTCAAGCAGTGGCAGCTCTGATGCCCATGCAGAGAAACACTCATATCATCTGAGAATTGTGAGCATCTCTCCAGTCTGCTAGTTTAGCAATGTTGCAAAATCAGTTTCTGGAGAACATAATAAATTACCATTTGTTCTGTTTAAATATACACAAAAGGCAGTGTTAGTATGTAAAACTAAGTTTTTATGGACAAACAGGCATGTTATCAAGATTTATTTGATCTCTAACGTGGGGGAATCATCTGAAATCTTAGTCACCTGCAAATGCAAGTCTAGACTTGCTAGGTTTGTGATATGGTCTTGCACTTCTTTTAACATCAAAATCTAAGTTACCACTTGAAATTGAGTTTGTCAGTGAGTTTTAAGAGTTATGGCACTGGAAATGTATTCTTTTCATTATTTAAAAATATACTTTATTATTAACTATTGTTACCATGCTGTGCAATAGACTCCAAAATCATATTTTCCTTCTAATGGAAACTTTGCACCCTTTGATCAATATCTCCTCATTCCTTCCCCCAACCTCTGGTAGCCACCATTCTACTCTCTATTGCTTTGAGTTCGACATTTTTAGATTCTGCATGTAAGTGAGATCACGTAGACTTTGTCTTTCTGTGCCTGGCTTATTTCACTTAGCACAATGTCCTCCAGCTTCATCTACATTGTCACAAATGACTGAATTTCCCTCTTTTTAAAGGCCAAATAATATTTCAGAAAAAGCAATAGTACTAACAATCTTCCTGTTTTGGGGATGGCATAATGTGCAAAGAGTCAAGGGTTGTAGACTCTTTCATTTTTCCTGCCACTCGCTGAGCAATTTGGGGCAAGTCATTCCACTGTATCTTCTATCTATTCAGTCAGAAACATTTATTGAGCACACACTGTGTGCCAGACAGGTTTCTCAGCATCAAAAATACAGCAGTGAAGAAGGCCAACAGTAATGGAAAAAGTGTGTGTGTGTGTGTGTGTGTGTGTGTGTGTGTGTGAGAGAGAGAGAGAGAGAATGAGGGGATGAAAAAGACTATCCAGAAACTTTAGATGGAGCAAAATGGCCATGCTTGGGCAGCCACTCTGAACAGATTTCCTCTTGGGTGACTTTACATTTAATCTAAGATCTGAGCAACAAGAAGAAGCCTACTCTGCAAAGATCAAGTTCAATGGCATTCCTTGGTGAGGAAATAACTAGTGCTAAGCCTAGAAACAAGCACGGGCTTGTGGTGGTGTAGGCTGCTGAAGCTGCAACTTGGAGACAAGATCAGAAGGGAGGACAAGGGTGAGACCAAGTAGAGTAAGTGAACCCAGATAAGTGCTTGGACTGCATTCTAAGCAATGGGACATGGTTGTTGGAAAGTCTGAAGTAGGAAAGCAATGTGATCCATGCTTTTAAAAAATCTCCTTGTGTCTCTGTGGGATTAAAACATACAGAGCAATGACTGAATCAGTATATGCCTTAGGAGACTACAGACTCTTCCAGTGTTCTAGAAGCTTGGACTAAGGTAGTGAGAATTCACAGAAGTGAAGGATTCAGGATATCTATATATGTAAGGAAAGGAAGACTTACTGGTGTGAAAGAAGAAGAGAATTCAGAGAGGTTGCATAGACTTTTGGCTTTAGCAAAAAATGAATCAATTTTGGATATTGTTTGCAGAAATGAAATGATAAATATTCTAGGTAGATTGGGGGAATACACCTGGAGTTCTGTTTGGGCCATTACAGACATGTTCCCTATAGACATCCATGAAGATTTGGGTTTATGGGTTTAGGTGAGAGGAGCGGGTGGAAATTTTGGAGTCTTTTCATGTAGAGGATTTGAAGTCTGAGGCCTAAATATTGTCACTCAGAGAGTTTGCAGATAAAGAAGGAAAGGGTGCCCAGGAAAGAGCACTTCAGCATTTGGAGGATGAGTAGAGGAGAGTATAAGGAAAAAGTACTCAAGGAGGTAGGGGATCTACCAAGGAAAGAAAGTATTACAGGAAGAGGGCAGTAGTTGCTGAGTGGTTGCTCAACTGTTGCTAAGATTATGTGGAATAATAGAAAGTGGCTGTTGAATTTAGAAACACAAAGATCTTGGTGTCTATGAAGAGTCTTTTTTTTTTTTTTCGAGATGGAATCTGGCTCTGTTGCCCATGCTGTAGTGCAGTGGTGCGATCTTGGCTCACCACAACCTCTGCCTCCCGGGTTCAACCAATTCTCCTGCCTCAGCCTCCTGAGTAGCTGGGATTACAGGCAAGTGCCACTGCTTTGTCCGACTAATTTTTTTTTTATTTTATTTGTATTTTTTTAGTAGAGACATGGTTTCACCATGTTGATCAGG
The DNA here is from genome assembly GCF_000001405.40 of Homo sapiens. Taxonomy (NCBI): domain Eukaryota; kingdom Metazoa; phylum Chordata; class Mammalia; order Primates; family Hominidae; genus Homo; species Homo sapiens. The sequence goes on along the minus strand of NC_000020.11, from coordinate 22,742,483 downwards.
CTGGTCTTGAACTCCTGGCCTTAGGTGGTCCAACTGCCTCAGCCTCCCAAAGTGCCAGGATTACAGGTGTGAGCCACTGCACCCGGCCTCCATGTAGAGTCTTAATGGAGTGATGGAGTGAGCTGACAAGAGAATGAGAGGTGAGTATGAACAGATGGAACCCTTGAGAAGCTATAACATAGGGAGTGAAGAACCAGCGCTGGCTCGGGAGAAATATGAGACCAGGAAAAATCTTTTCTGCATGGAAGATACTAGAATATGTTTACCTGCTGATGGGAATGGTCTAGTAAAGAAAAGAGGGCATTGTTTCAGGAGAAAGGGAACAACTAAAGGAGGGAGGTCCTGAGGCTATGAGAATAGATGTGGTTCAGGCCATGTCAGAAGGGGCTGGCTTCCATGAAACTATCCCAGGAGCGGAAGAAGAAAAAAAGGCTTGGCCCAGATGCCAGCCGATATATGGGTGGTACCTTGAGGCTATTACCAACTGAGGAGTTGCTTTCAGTTTCTCAGTACAGTATGAGGCTGAGTTATTAGCCAGCAGTTGCCCTATACTTAAAATGAGAGGGCTGAGACATTATTTTTTTAACAAACTTTATTTTTAGAGAAGTTTAAGATTCACTGAAAAATGAATAGACAAGTACAGAGTTCCTATACACCCCTCACTCCCACATCTGCGCAGTCTCTTCCACTATCAACATCCCCCACCAAAGCAGTACATTTGTTACAATCCAGGAACCTACACTGATACATCATTATCACCCAAAGTCCATAGTTTACATTGGGGTTCACTCTTGGTGCTGTATATTCAATAGATTTGTATTCAATAGACATATATCCAACACTGTAGTATTCTACAGATCAGTTTTCACTGCCCTAAAAATTATCTGTGCTCCATCTATTCATCCCTCCCTCTCCTCAACCCCTGGCAATCATTGATCTTTTCATTATCCACATAGTTTTACCTTTTTCAGAATGTCATGTAGTTGGAATCATTCACTATGTAGCCCTTTCAGATTGGCTTCTTTCACTTAGCTATATACACTTAAGGTTCCTTCATGTCTTTTCACAGCTCAATAGCTCATTTTTTAAGTGCTAAATATTATTCCATTGTCTGAATGTTTCACAATCTATTTATCCATTCACTTGCTGAAGGACATCTTGGTTCCTTCAAAGTTTTGGCCATTATGAATAAAGCTTCCATAAACATCTGTGTGAAGGTTTTAGTGTAGACATAAGTTTTCAACTCATTTGGGCAAATACCTAGGATCACAACTGCTGAATTCCATGTTGAGTATGTTTAGTTTTGTAAGTAATCACCAAACCATCTTGCAAAGTAGTTGTACCATTCTGCATTCTCAGCAGCAATGAATGAGAGTTTCTGTTGCTCAACATCCTCGCCATATTTGGTGGTGTCAGTGTTTTGGATTTTTATTCTAATGAATAGTGATGTCTCATTATTGTCTTATTTACAGTTCCCTAATGACGTATGATGTGCAGTATCTTTTCATATCCTTGTTTGTCATCTGCATATCTTTGTCAAAGTGTCTGTTTCAGTCTTTGGCATATTTTTTAAATGAGTTGTTTGTTTCCTTAGTGTTAAGTTTAAGAGTTCTTTGTATGTTTTGGATAACAATCCTTTATCACATGTATCCTTTGCATATATTCTCTCTCAATCTGCAGCTTGTCTTCATTTTCTTTTTTTTTTTTTATTATTATACCTTAAGTTCTGGGGTACATGTGCACGACGTACAGGTTTGTTACATATGTATACATGTGCCACATTGGTGTGCTGCACCCATTAACTCTTCATTTACATTGGGTATATCTTCTAATGCTTTCCCTCCCCCCTCCCCCCACCCCATGGCAGGCCCTGGTGTATGATGTTCCCCTTCCTGTGTCCAAGTGTTCTCATTGTTCAATTCCCACCTATGAGTGAGAACATGCGGTGTTTGGTTTTTTGTTCTTGTGATAGATTGCTGAGAATGTTGGTTTCCAGCTTCATCCATGTCCCTACAAAGCACATGAACTCATCCTTTTGTTATGGCTTCATAGTATTCCGTGGTGTATATGTGCCACATTTTCTTAATCTAGTCTATCATTGATGGTCATTTGGGTTGGTTCCAAGTCTTTGCTATTGTGAATAGTGCCGCAATAAACATACGTGGGCATGTGCCTTTATAGCAGCATGATTTATAATCCTTTGGGTATATACCCAGTAATGGGATGGCTGGGTCAAGTGGTATTTCTAGTTCTAGATCCTTGAGGAATCGCCACACTGTCTTCCACAATGGTTGAACTAGTTTACAGTCCCAACAACAGTGTAAAACTGTTCCTATTTCTCCACATCCTCTCCAGCACCTGTTGTTTCCTGACTTTTAATGATTGCCATTCTAACTGGTGTGAGATGGTATCTCATTGTGGTTTTGAATTGCATATCTCTGATGGCCAGTGATGATGAGCATTTTTTCACGGGTCTCTTGGCTACATAAATGTCTTCTTTTGAGAAGTGTCTGTTCATATCCTTGGCCCACTTTGTGATGGGGTTGTTTGTTCTTTTCTTGTAAATTTGCTTGAGTTCATTGTAGATGCTGGATATTACCCCTTTGTCAGATGAGTAGATTGCAAAAATTTTCTCCCATTCTATAGGTTGCTTGTTCACTCTGATGGTAGTTTCTTCTGCTGTGCAGAAGCTCTTTAGTTTAATTAGATCCCATTTGTCAATTTTGGCTTTTGTTGCCATTGCTTTTGGTGTTTTAGTCATGAAGTCTTTGCCCATGCCTATGTCCTGAATGGTAATGCCTAGGTTTTCTTCTAGGGTTTTTATGGTTTTAGGTCTAACATTTAAGTCTTTAATCCACCTTGAATTAATTTTTGTATAAGGTGTAAGGAAGGAATCTAGTTTCAGCTTTCTACGTATGGCTAGCCAGTTTTCCCAGCACCATTTTTTAAATAGGGAATCCTTTCCCCATTTCTTGTTTTTGTCAGGTTTGTCAAAGATCAGATGGTTGTAGATGTGCGGTATTATTTCTGAGGGCTCTGTTCTGTTCCATTGGTCTATATCTCTATTTTGGTACCAGTACCATGCTGTTTCGGTTACTGTAGCCTTGTAGTATAGTTTGAAGTCAGGTAGCGTGATGCCTCCAGCTTTGTTCTTTTTGCTTAGGATTGTCTTGGCTATGTGGGCTCTTTTTTGGTTCCATATGAACTTTAAAGTAGTTTTTTCCAATTCTGTGAAGAAAGTCATTGATAGCTTGATAGTGATGGCATTGAATCTATAAATTACCTTGGGCAGTATGGCCATTTTCACAACACTGATTCTTCCTATCCATGAGCATGGAATGTTCTTCCATTTGTTTGTGTCCTCTTTTATTTCGTTGAGCAGTGGTTTGTAGTTCTCCTTGAAGAGGACCTTCACATCCCTTGGAAGTTGGATTCCTAGGTATTTTATTCTCTTTGAAGCAATTGTGAATGGGAGTTCACTCATGATTTGGCTCTCTGTTTGTCTGTTATTTGTGTATAAGAATGCTTGTGATTTTTGCACATTGATTGTGTATCCTGAGACTTTGCTGAAGTAGCTTATCAGCTTAAGGAGATTTGGGGCTGAGATGATGGGGTTTTCTAAATATACAATCATGTCATCTGCAAACAGGGACAATTTGACTTCCTCTTTTCCTAGTGGAATACGCTTTATTTCCTTCTCCTGCCTGATTGCCCTGGAGAGAATTTCCAACACTATGTTGAATAGGAGTGGTGAGTCTTGTGCCAGTTTTCAAAGGGAATGCTTCTAGTTTTTGCCCATTCAGTAAGATATTGGCTGTGGGTTTAGCATAAATAGCTCTTATTATTTTGAGATATGTCCCATCAATACCTAATTTATTGAGAGTTTTTAACATGAAGGGCTGTTGAATTTTGTCAAAGGCCTTTTCTGTGTCTATTGAGATAATCATGTGATTTTTGTCTGTGGTTCTGTTTATATGCTGAATTACGATTATTGATTTGCATATGTTGAGCCAACCTTGCATCCCAGGGATGAAGCCCACTTGATCATGGTGGATAAGCTTTTTGATGTGCTGCTGGATTCTGTTTGCCAGTATTTTATTGAGGATTTTTGCATCAATGTTCATCAAGGATATTGGTCTAAAATTCTCTTTTTTGGTTGTGTCTCTGCCAGGCTTTGGTATCAGGATGATGCTGGCCTCATAAAATGAGTTAGGAGGATTCCCTCTTTTTCTATTGATTGGAATAGTTTCAGAAGGAATGGTACCAGCTCCTCCTTGTACCTCTGGTAGAATTCGGCTGTGAATCCATCTGGTCCTGGACTTTTTTTGGTTGGTAAGCTATTAATTATTGTCTCAATTTCAGAGCCTGTTACTGGTCTATTCAGAGACTCAACTTCTTCCTGATTTAGTCTTGGGAGAGTGTATGTGTCCAGGAATTTATCCATTTCTTCTAGATTTTCTAGTTTATTTGCGTGGAGGTGTTTATAGTATTCTCTGATGGTAGTTTGTATTTCTGTGGGATTGGTGATGATATCCCCTTTATCATTTTTTATTGTGTCTATTTGATTCTTCTCTCTTTTATTCTTTATTAGTCTTGCTAGTGGTCTATCAGTTTTGTTGATCTTTTCAAAAAACCAGCTCCTGAATTCATTTATTTTTTGAAGGGTTTTTTGTGTCTCTATCTCCTTCATTTCTGCTCTGATCTTAGTTATTTCTTGCCTTCTGCTAGCTTTTGAATTTGTTTGCTCTTGCTTCTGTAGTTCTTTTAATTTTGATGTTAGGGTGTCAATTTTAGATCTTTCCTGCTTTCTCGTGTGGGCATTTAGTGCTATAAGTTTCCCTCTACACACTGCCTTAAATGTGTCCCAGAGATTCTGGTATGTGGTGTCTTTGTTCTCATGGGTTTCAAAGAACATCTTTATTTCTGCCTTCATTTCGTTATGTACCCAGTAGTCATTCAGGAGCAGGTTGTTCAGTTGCCATGTAGTTGAGCAGTTTTGAGTGAGTTTCTTAATCCTGAGTTCTAGTTTAATTGCATTGTGGTCTGAGAGACAGTTTGTTGTAATTTGTATTCTTTTACTTTTGCTGAGGAGTGCTTTACTTCCAACTATGTGGTCAATTTTGGAATAAGTGTGATGTGGTGCTGAGAAGAATGTATATGCTGTTGATTTGGGGTGGAGAGTTCTATAGATGTCTGTTACGTCCACTGGGTGCAGAGCTGAGTTCAATTCCTGGATATCCTTGTTAACTTTCTGTCTCATTGATCTGTCTAATGTTGACAGTGGGGTGTTAAAGTCTCCCATTATTATTGTGTGGGAGTCTAAGTCTCTTTGTAGATCTCTAAGGACTTGCTTTATGAATCTGAGTGCACCTGTATTGGGTGCATATATATTTAAGACAGTTAGCTCTTCTTGTTGAATTGATCCCTTTACCATTATGTAATGGCCTTCTTTGTCTCTTTTGATCTTTGTTGGTTTAAAGTCAGTTTTATCAGAGACTAGGATTGAAACCCCTGCTTTTTTTTTATTTGCTTGGTAGATATTCCTCCATCGCTTTATTTTGAGTCTATGTGTGTCTCTGCACATGAGATGGGTCTCCTGAATACATCACACTGATGGGTCTTGACTCTTTACCCAATTTGCCAGTCTGTGTCTTTCAATTGGAGCATTTATCCCATTTACATTTAAGGTTAATATTGTTATGTGTGAATTTGAGCTTGTTTTTATGATGTTAGCTGTTTATTTTGCTCGATAGTTGATGCAGTTTCTTCTGAGCATCGATGTTCTTTACAATTTGGCATGTTTTTGCAGTGACTGGTACTGGTTGTTCCTTTCCATGTTTAGTGCTTCCTTCGGGGGCTCTTTTAGGGCAGGCCTGGTGATGACAAAATCTCTCAGCATTTGCTTGTCTGTAAAGGATTTTATTTCTCCTTCACTTATGAAGCTTAGTTTGGCTGGACATGAAATTCTGGGTTGAAAATTCTTTTCTTTAAGAATGTTGAATATTGTCCCCCACTTCCTTCTGGCTTGCAGAGTTTCTGCAGAGAGATTCGCTGTTAGTCTGATGGGTTTCCCTTTGTGAGTAACCCGACCTTTCTCTCTGGCTGCCCTTAACATTTTTTCCTTCATTTCAACTTTGGTGAATCTGAGAATTATGTGTCTTGGAGGTGCTCTTCTCGAGGAGTATCTTTGTGGTGTTCTCTGTATTTCTGGAATTTGAATGTTGGCCTGCCTTGCTAGGTTGGAGAAGTTCTCCTGGATAATATCCTGCAGAGTGTTTTCCAACTTGGTTCCATTCTCCCCATCACTTTCAGGTACACCAATCAGACATAGATTTGGTCTTTTCACATAGTCCCATATTTCTTGGAGGCTTTGTTCATTTCTTTTTACCCTTTTTCTCTAAACTTCTCTTCTCACTTCATTTCATTCATTTGTTCTTCCATCTCTGATACCCTTTCTTCCAGTTGATGGAATTGGCTACTGAAGCTTGTGCATTCTTCATGTAGTCTCATGCCATGGTTTTCAGCTCCATCAGGTCATTTAAGGACTTCTCTACACTAGTTATTCTAGTTAGCCATTCGCCTAATCTTTTTTCAAGGTTTTTAGCTTCTTTGCATTGGGTTCAAACTTCCTCCTTTAGCTCAGAGGAGTTTGATCGTCTGAAGCCTTCTTCTCTCAAGTCGTCAAAGTCATTCTCCATCCAGCTTTGTCCCATTGCTGGCGAGGAGCTGTATTCCTTTTGAAGGGGAGAGATGCTCTGATTTTTAGAATTTTCAGCTTTTCTGCTCTGTTTTTTCCCCATCTTTGTGGTTTTATCTACCTTTGGTCTTTGATGATGGTGACATACAGATGGGGTTTTGGTGTGGATGTCCTTTCTGTTTGTTAGTTTTCCTTCTAACAGTCAGAATCCTCAGCTGCAGGTCTGTTGGAGTTTGCTGGAGGTCCACTCCAGACCTTGTTTGCCTGGGTATCAGCAGCGGAGGTTGCACAACAGCGAATATTGCTGAGCAGCAAATGTTCCTGCCTGATTGTTCCTCTGGAAGCTTCGTCTCAGAGGGGTACCCAGCCATGTGAGGTATCAGTCTGCCCCTACTGGGGGGTCCCTCCCAGTTAGGCTACTCGGAGGTCAGGGACCCACTTGCGGCAGTCTGTTCATTCTCAGATCTCAAACTCTGTGCTGGGAGAACCACTACTCTCTTCAAAGCTGTCAGACAGGGACGTTTAAGTCTGCAGAGGTTTCTGTTGCCTTTTGTTTGGCTCTGCCCTGCCCCTAGTGGTGAGTCTACAGAGGCAGGCAGGCCTCCTTGAGCAGTGGTAGGCTCCACCCAGTTCGAGCTTTGTTTACCTACTCAAGCCTCAGCAATGGCAGGTGCCCCTCCCCCAGCCTCGCTGCCACCTTGCAGTTCAATCTCAGACTGCTGTACTAGCAATAAGCGAGGCTCTGTGGGCATGGGACCCTCTGAGCCAGGCATGGGATATAATTTCCTGGTGTGCCATTTGCTAAGACCATTGGAAAAGCACAGTATTAGGGTGGGAGTGACCCTATTTTCCAGGTGCCATCTGTCACCCCTTCCCTTTGTTAGGAAAAGGAATTCCCTGACCCCTTGTGCTTCCGGGGTGAGGTGATGCCTCATCCTGCTTCAGCTCACATTCAGTGGGCTGCACCCACTCTCCTGCCCCCACTGTCCGACGAACCCCAGTGAGATGAACCCAGTACCTCAGTTGAAAATGCAGAAATCACCCATCTTCTGCATCACTCATGCTGGGAGATGTAGACTGGAGCTGTTCCTATTCGGCCATCTTGGAACTGCCCCCCGATTTTCTTAACTGTGTGTTTTACCAAGCAGAAACTTTTAATTTTAATTAATCAAGCTTATTATTTTTTATGGGTTTTGCCTCTGGCGTTATATTGCCATATCCAAGTCATTGATTTTCTCCTGTTATTTGCTGGGAGGTTAATAGTTCTGCATTTTATATTTAGGTCTATGCTCTATTGGATTAATTTTTGTGAAGGATGTAAGATTTGATCTAGATTCATTTTTTTTACACAGAAATGTCCAGTTGTTTCAGCACCATTTATGGAAAAGACAACATTTCTCCATTGCATCCCCTTTGATCCTATATCAAAGAGTAATTGACTATATTAATGTGGGTCTATACCTTAGCTCTCTGTTCTATTACTTTGAACTATTTGTTTATTCTTTCATCAATACCTCACCATCTTGATTACTGTAGCTTTCAGTAAGCCCTGAAGTTGGTTAGTGTAAGTATTCTGACTTTCTTCTCTTTCAATGTTGAGTTGGCTATTCTCGGTCTTTTGCTTTTCCATATAAACGTAAAATCAAGATGGTCAGCAAAGCCTGAGTCCTGTCCTCTCGCTCTCCTCCTCGGACAGCATGAGCTTCACCACTCGCTCCACCTTCTCCACCAACTACTGGTCCCTGGGCTCTGTCCAGATGCCAAGCTATGGTGCCCGGCTGGTCAGCAGCAAGGCCAGCGTCTATGAAGGTGCTGGGGCCTCTGGTTCCCTGATCTCCATGTCCCACTCCACCAGCTTCGGGGGCGGCATGGTGTCCAGAGCTCTGGCTGTGGGGATGGCTGAGAGTCTGGCAGGAATGGAAGGCATCCAGAACAAGAAGGAGACCAGGCAAAGCCTGAATGACCACCTGATCTCCTACCTGGACAGAGTGAGGAGCCTGGAGACCAAGAACCAGAGGCTGGAGAGCAAAATCTGTGAGCAATTGGAGAAGAAGGGACCCCAGGTCAGAGACTGGGGGCATTACTTCAAGACCATAGAGGACCTGAGGGCTCAGATCTTTGCAAATACTGTGGACAATGCCCACATCGTTCTGCAGATTGACAATGCCCATCTTGCTGCTGATGACTTTAGAGTCAAGTATGAGACAGAGCTGGCCATGCTCCAATCTGTAGAGAGCTACCTCCATGGGCTCTGCAAGGTCATTGATGACACGAATGTCACTCGGCTGCAGCTGGAGACAGATCAAGGCTCTCAAGGAGGAGCTGCTCTTCATGAAGAAGAACCACAAAGAGGAAATAAAAGGCCTACAAGCCCAGATTACCAACTCTGGGTTGACCATGGAGGTAGATGCCCCCAAATCTCAGGACCTCAACTAGATCATGGCAGACATCCAGGCCCAATATGACGAGCTGGCTCAGAAGAACTGAGATGAGCTGGACAAGTACTGGTCTCAGCAGATTAAGGAGAGCACCACAGTGGTCACCACACAGTCCACCGAGGTTGGAGCTGCTGAGATGATGCTCACAGAGCTGAGACATACAGTCCAGTCATTGGAGATCAACCTGGATTCCATAAGAAATCTGAAGGCTAGCTTGGAGAACAGCCTGAGGGAGGTGGAGGCCCCCTACACCCTTTAGATGGAGCAGCTCAATGGGATCCTGCTGCACCTGAAGTCAGAGCTGGTACAGACCCGGGCAGAGGGACAGCGCCAGGCCCAGGAGTAGGAGGCCCTGCTGAACATCAAGGTCAAGCTGGAGGCTGAGATCTCCACCTACTGCCGCCTGCTGGAAGATGGCGAGGACTTCAATATTGGTGATGCCCTGGACAGCAGCAGCTCCATGTAAACCATCCAAAAGACCACCACCCACCAAATAGTGGATGGCAAAGTGGTGTCTGAGACCAATGACACCAAAGTTCTGAGACATAAAGCCAGCAGAAGCAGGGGACTTTTGGGGAGAAGGAGGCCAATAAAAAGTTCAGAGGTCAAAAAAAAACTAACTTAGAATCAGTTTATGTAACAAAAATAACTTGCTGGGATTTTGATTGGGATTGCACTGAATCTACCAGTCAAGTGGTAAAGAACTGACATTTTGAAAATATTGAGTTGTCCTGTCTATAAACATCGAATAACTTTTTATTTGTCTAGTCTTTTGATTCCTTTTTATCAAAGTTTTGTCATTTTCCTCATATAAACCTTCTACATACTTTGTTAGATCTGTATCTAAATATTTCAATTTGGGGCTGCTAATGCAAATGGTAATGTGTTTTCGTTTTAAATTCCACTCATTCATAGGTTGCTGGCATATATGAAAGTGATTGACTTTTGTATACTAACCTTGTATCCTGCATGCTTGCTATAAAATTATTATAAAGTTTCAGTTATTCTGTTGATTCTTTCAGATTTTCTATATAGGCAATCATATCATCTGCAGAAAAAGACAGTTTTATTTCTTCCATCCTAATCTATATACCTTTTATTTCCAAACTGCTATTTTTTAAGGTTTATTACAACACCAACGTGTTATGAATACATCCTAATAAAGGATTATTTGTAGTTCACAAATAAAACCAAAAAAGTCTGTAAAATACTGAAATTTTACATAAGTCAAAAATAATAGGTGAAGACAAATATTGTATGATTCCATATATATGATACTGAGGGTAGTCAACTTCATAGAGACAGAAAGTAGAACGGTGGATTCCAGGAACTGAAGGAAGGGAGAATGGGGAGTTGTTTAATAGGTACAGAGTACTCTGTACTCTGTCTTAGAAGATGAGAAAGTTCTGGAGATGGATCGTGGTGATGGTTACACAACATTGTAAATGTACCTAATGTCACTGAACTGTACACTTAAAAATAGTTAAATGGCAAATTTTACATTATTTCTATTTTGCAATAATTTTTAAAAAAAGATTGGTAATTGATTTTGTTGCTGGCAGGATTTAAAGCCCTTGCTCCACCCTACAGACAAAACAAGATTGCAGGATTGTGTTGCTGGTATTTTGTGTTTGTTTGTTTTTTCCCTATAGAATTCACCTGTTCTCAACATGTTCAGCATTCACTCAAAAATCCCAATGGTTTCTAATAAAGATTCAGCTACTAAAAGATATAAAGTTTAATGATACAAAACAGCAGCAACACAAATTGACGATTAACCCAGATCCCATCCATGCAGAGTCGCTCCAAACTATCTGTTCTCTTTTCCTTTCTTTCTTCCTGTTGGGTAACTGCTGTTGTGAAGTTGCCACCCATACGTGATGTTTTCCTACTTTCAGAGGAACCCATAACATGTGTATAAATAGTCACGCATAATATTAACAGAAGGTGTATAGGCTTTTTTGTGTGTTTCCCTGTTTCTTTTTCTTTTTTCAAACGCTTAACCCAGTGCCCAGAGGACTGGCCATTTGTTGTCTAGATACCCTACTCTACCACAGTTTTCCCAGTGTGATGCCATCTTCCTCTTCCACCATGAGGCTTGCCCTCATGATCACTCCCCTCTCATCCATCATCTCTCTCGTTAATTCCTCTCTGCCTTTGCCTGCTTAGGGAATCCACAAGCACAAGTCTCCCACTGGCACTCTGAGATACAAAATTCCACAAACCATATTTCCACGTGAAATCCAACACTCTAGAACTATGAATTTCTGCCCTTGTACCATGCATTACACACATGTACTCAGTATCATTTAGTTGTATTTTATCAAGTGTTGGAGAGCTTGAAACTCCCCAACACTTGATAGGCAATCTTGGGTAAGAAACTTGATGTCTCAGATTTGGTTTCCCACCTCCCCTAGGTAAGGATTAAGTACAAGTCGTTCTTTGAGAAGTGATCCTAAGAAAACTCAGTGGAGTGGGGAGTTGAGGAGAGACGCGAAAGGGTAGAAAGTTAAGATGGGAGGTATCATTGAGCTCTTTACCACTGGGAGCAATCAGGACTCAGCTCACAGGGAAATTCTGGAAACAACTGCAGACTACACCCCAGAGAGATTCTCTTCACAGCAGCTAGGAAACTAGGACATTTATCTACCAACTCCCAGCTGCCATTGGTTGAAGGCTGCTTCCTGGACACTGCGTTTCCAGCACCTCTGGCCTGCCCTGAACTCAGGTCCACCATCATCCTGCAGCCAGAACAGTAATGCCCTCAGGCAGAGGTGTTCTCCCTAGGCAGCTATTGATTAGCCTGTGGAACTGATAATGGAGGGGATTTAGCCCGGCCACTGACAGTGTCTGCTGCACTTACCCTTTCTGAGCTCCCACATCTTCATTGGCAGAGTGCATGTGAGCGTTTAGGGGGTTTTCACTTCACTGGGTTTGTTGCATGAAATAAATTGAATAATGTATGTAAACATGTAAACACAGTATCTCCATCAGAATTTCCAGAAGCAGACAACAAAAATCCACTCTAGCTACTGAAAACAGATGGGGGTTCGGTAAAGGGTAAGGCAGACCTTAAGGAAGCCCAGGAAGGGGCAGACAAACAGAAATAAAAGTTATACGACTGGAGGGATTCCCCAGGCTCCGTCCCTTTGCCCATGTATCTGTTCCTCCACTGAAGGCTGCAGCTCCCATCAGAAAGTCCCTCTTCCTAATACTGGTTTCTCTCTCAGAGATTGGGAGTCCCCCTGTTCTGCTGGGGGCAGTAGCAGCTCCCCACTGCTGCTGGCCGCTAGGGTACTGCACCTCAGTGACTTCCCCACACCCCGCCCATCTCAATACCTCTTCATTAGAGTCTCCTCCATGACTCCCCACACCCCGCCCACAACTCTCTATATCTCTTCAGTAGACCCTCCTCCATGACTTTCCACACCCTGCGCACAGCTCTCTATGCCTCTTAATTACACTCTCCTCCATGAATCCCCACACCCCGCCCACAGCTCTCTACACCTCCTCATTACACTCTTCTCTATGACTTCCTACACCCTGCCCACAGCTCTCTATACCTCTTCATTACACACTTCTCCATGACTCCCCACACCCCACCCACAGCTCTCCATACCCCTTCATTAAACCCTCCTTCATGACTTGCTTCCCTGTAGTGTCTGTTTCTAGGCCAGAAATTATGGCTAATACTGCCACACCAGGCCACGCTCTTTAATTATGATCTACTCTGGCTGTGTTTCTCGCAAAGAAAAGGTGGAATGGGTCTCAGGACAAGTTAAATTTTGGCATATGGGAGATGGGGGTGGAAGAAGAACCTGAGCCCCTTTTCTGGTTGAAAGGATGCTGAGAATCAAGGAAGTTCCTGCTTGCCTCAGGGTTAATGTGAGGGGACTTCCCAGGCATGGGACAGCCCTGAGAGGAGCAGAGGACTGAGCAGCAGGAAGTGCCCATGGACCACACACCCTGACCTTTGACTCTTCCTGTGACTAAGGCTGCTGTGGCTTCTGGCAGCAGGAGACTATAGGGAACTTCAGAGTGTCTCCAGCACCTCCCTGTCACCCTCCTTGTTGCATTACAGAGGATACAGCTGAAAAGGCAGGCCACCTGCATCTTCTTTTCTGTAGAAATTGATGTGATGAGAATCACATGTCCTATAAACCTAGCATGAGCCATGCACTCATTAAAGAGCAAATGCACAGCTACAACTTTGTGGCCATGCAGGAGAATTCCGGTGCACATCGGCTCTGCTAAGAACCAACTGCATGACTGTGGAGCCACCTGCCATCCCGGTGGCTGCCCTGTGAGGGAACTAATACCCACCTCACCACCACCAGGCAACCCTTGGCCCATGGCCAAGGGACCAGTGGATGAATAGTCTCCTCCTGCATGTCTCCAGTGGGAGGTTCTCTCCAGTTTTTGGTGGGTCCCTGGGGATCTGAGCCCAGCTTCCTACAGTGTGTGAGATCATAAGGCTTCCTTACATGGGCTCCTGGCCTCTTCCCCTCCTCTTTCCAGTCCTCCATCTCTCCAGAGCCCTAGCATCACTTTCCAGAATACTCCCAGGGTCTGCTTCAAGGGGACTGGAGCTAAGATGGTGCCCATGAGAAGTGTACTGAGTTTAACTGGGAGATTTGGGAGTCTGGAGGTAAGTGAGTGCCAGCTCCCTACTCTGAGGATGCGCACAATTTGGACAGATGGGGCCTGGAGACAGCCATCAACTTCCTCATCTGCTGAGCACTGAGCACAAACCCTGAGCAAACTAAGAGATCGCCACCCACAAAGCCTCCCTTGCCTTGGCATTGCATCCTTTTGTTTCTCCCCAAGGTGTGGCTGGCAGGAAGTAAGTCTGTGGGAGCATCGTCTCACACTCAGCCTGGAGATGCCCCACAGCCTTTTCACTCTCACAGCAGCTTCACAGCAGGAGAATCAGGAACTTGCTGTGACGGCCAGGGCTTGAGGCTGTGCTGTGGGTACAAGAACAGTTTCTACTGTAAATGTGAACAGCCTGGCTTCTGCATCTCAGACTTCAGTTGAGTTGAGAGAAAAGATCAAGCCACACCTTGACCTTTACAACCACAGACCAGCTGAATCCTCCCAGAACTGGGAGGTTAGAAGTAGTATTCTGGTACAAGTGTTGATGTTGCCCTGGGAATATTTTGGGGAATGAATTTCTCTCCAGGAACAAAGGATGGACAAGGGGACAGGAAACAAAGGCCTGCTTACCGTGAAGGTGGAGAGTAGAAAGGTGATTCATTAAATGGACTGGCATGGCTAGGATTTACCCCAGTGGCTACAGTCTTGGCCTTGTATTGATTCAGATCTAAAATGTTCTGGGTTTTCACATTTGCCCAACTACATGGCCTCTCCAAAGACTCCCTGAGCTGGTTTTAAGCTGGTTGGCCAGTACATCTGAGGCCTTCTTAGATAATCATCATGCCTCTCCCTAGAAGTGGTGCCACTGAGCCTTGTTCCTGGAGCCACATACTCTCCGCCCCCTGCTGCCAGAGTGCACAATTATGTTTGGACTTGGACTCACTTCATGCTGACAGTGTCTCAATGAGCCAGGCTCTGTGCACAGGTGAGCTCAAAATTGTGACAAACTTATCCTAAGGTAACTCTCAATCGCTTGGGGCCAGGAGTTAGTAGGTAAATGCTCCTGCCTCCCATCAGATTCTGGCGACTTTCTGCATTACTCTTGGGAGATCCCAGTGAAATCAAGCCCCAGTGGCTCACAGTGGTGACCATGAAAAGACATTCTCCCTCCACCCCTGCTTCCTGGAATCACGCTCTATATAAACCTCTGCACACAGCTCCATGCTCCCATCAGCTTCTGGGAAACTTCAATCTAAGGCACTGAGTTAATGCTACTGCATGCCCTAATCAATGGTTCTTGGTGAAATCAGGGGGTGAAAACTCCTCTCCAGGGGGTGTTTTGGAAATTTCTAGATGTGTTTTTGGTTGTAAAGTGATTGGGGTGATACTGGCTTTAGAGAGTGAATCACATGGAATGTCACATGCACTTCAATGCACAAGGTGCTCCCATGTCAACAAACATGCCCGCCTGCTCCACACACTTTTGAGGTGCCCACTGCATGTTTTTGTAGGTAAAAAATTAATGATAATTATTTCACCTAAGAATCTAAATCTGACTCCCTAAGAAAAACAAAGTGTTTGTCATGGTTTTGATTGGCACTGAATTTTCTAGGATATCCAGTTTTGTGCAGTGAGAGGAGAAGGTATTGTTTCCTTTCAGGGAATGAACAACAGGTTTTCAGTGTTTTGGAAAAAGCACACCATATTGTGTATGTGTTCATTCTGGTAGTATCAGTAAGAAGGTTGTCTTCTAACTATCAGGAAACCCAGACTCAGGATTCAGTCAGCGCCCAATGACATCTGCCTTCTATGTATGTGTATAACGTATATACATATACACACACACACATACACACACACATACAGGTATAACATAGATATAATTTTAATATAGTTTTATTTTGATGGTACATTATGAAGTTCTATATGTATATGATTTTGTAAGCAACTTCAAATATTTTGCAGAAGGGAGATTGATAAAACTGAATGAATGAATGAATGAATGAGTATGTGAATGGGAAGTTACACAACAACCAAGAAATCACATAAAATCTTCAAAATCTGTACAATTTCCTTATTCAGTTAGTGACGCTGATGTTCTTAAAATAGTCTGTCTCTTTAATTCTTTTTTGTTTTCCCAAAATGGAAATATATAATTAAAATTTATTTTTAGTTACATAAATAATACAAGCATGAGGCCGGGCACAGTGGCTCACGCCTATAATCCCAGTGCTTTGGGAGGCCGAGGCGGGTGGATCACCTAAGGTCAAAACGTTGTGACCAGCCTGGCCAATATGGTGAAACCCCATCTCTACTAAAAAAACAAAAATTAGTCGGCCGTGGTGGCACATGGCTGTAATCCTGGCTACTCAGGAGTCTGAGGCAGGAGAACTGCTTGAACCCAAGAGACGGAGGTTGCAGTGAGCCGAGATTGTGCCAATGCACTCCAGTCTGGGGGACAAGAGCGAAATACCATCCCAAAATAATAATAATAATAATAATAATAATAATAATAATAATAATAATACAAGCATGCATTCTCCCTGCAAATATTTAAACATTTGCCACAGCTAAATTCCCCACTGAAAACAAACCTAATCCCAATCCTCTTCCTTTAACCCAAACAAGCCTTCCCTTCCAGAACTTTTATCTGTGCTTACCTACACCTATACCTGCATCTGTATCTATTTTTACATAAAAAGTGTTTCCAAACAATATATACAGCATTAAAAATAAACATTTTTGCAAGATGCTTATATACATTGCTATGTTTGAATGTTTGCCTTCTCCAAAACTCATATGTTGAAAGTAAATTGCTGTTATCATAATATTAGAGATGTGACCTTTAAGAGATGATTAGGTCATGAAGGCACTGCCCTTATCGATGGGATTAATGCTATTATTAAAGGGCAAGTTTTGGCTCCTTTTGCCATTTGCCAAGTGAAGACAAAGACTTCCTCCCCACTGCAGAACTCAGCGTTCAAGGTGCCATCTTGGAATCCAAATGGCCAAACCAACCAGCACCTTTATGTTGGACTGCCCAGCCTCCAGAACTGTGAGCCAATAAATTTCTGGGTATAAGTTACCTAGTTGGTGGTATTCTGTTATAGCAGCACAAACAGACTAAGACATACATGTGAAATGCACATACACACACATGAACAGGATATATTCTTACTGAAGAGTATATTATGCTGTGTGTCTCAGTCTTCCTCTGTCACTATATCTAAATCCTCTCCACTCATTTTAACTGCTTCTTAGTAGGGTAGAGTATAACTAGCCCACAACTGATTCAGCTCTTCTATTGCTGAGCATTGAGTGTTCCTAGCTTCACTGTAACTGCTGCAGGGAATGCCCTAGAGCACACCCCAATCCTAATATGATGCTTGGTTTGATGATCTCCTTCACATGAACACAAGCTCCTTGATTTTAGGGACCTGCATGTTGTGAGTCCACAGTTCTAAGCCCAGCACATGGGCCATGGGAGTATTCAGTAAGGATTGTGGGATAAAACAATGATGAGCAATGAAATAAAGGAATGGTCATTAAACTAATTCAGGTAAGCAATAAAAAGGTGTGAATGCTGTTTTCTTATTTACATAGTCCCTGGAACAGGAAAAAGAGTAAGATAAAAGATACAAGAAAAGATGGTAAACTTATGAGTATAGCTCTAACACATCATGGAGGAAAAATTACCAAATAGCCCCACCAGCTGGATTGCCAAATGAATTTAGTGATGACACAGATGTTTTAAAAATCAAATTTAAAATGACCCGGTGCAATGACTCATGCCTGTAATCCCAGCATTTTGGAAGTCTGAGGCGGGCGGATCACCTGAGGTCAGGAATTCAAGACCAGCCTGGCCAACATGGTGAAACCCCATCTCTACTAAAAATACAAAAATTAGCTGGGTGTGGTGGTTGGCACCTGTAATCCCAGCTACTATGGAGGCTGAGACAGGAGAATTGCTTGAACCCAGGAGGCAGAGTTTGCAGTTAGCAGAGATCGAGCCACTGCACTCCAGCTTGGGCAACAAACAGTGAAACTCTATCTCAAAAAAAAAAATCATATTTTAAAAAAGATAGTGGCTCATCCATTTTATCCAGTATTGTTTACCCACTTATCTTTGTTGATGTGAAGCCCCAGGCAGGTATCACTGTCTACTGGTGCTTTCGAGAGGCCAGTACTGGTTCCAGATCTACCAGGACTGACCCTCACCTCCTGCCCTGATGTGCCTCTGGGAGGGGCTGCCAGGCTGACTGGACAGAGGTGTGAGCTCTGAGAACTGGACTTGACCTCTGCCACAGGGAAGTCAGGCAGGTGAGAGGGGCTTCTCCAAAACAAAATCCTCCATAAAGAAGGCATCTGCATCATTCTTTAGCTGCTGCCCAACCTACATACTGAGCGCTCAAAGGAGTCTCCTATTCACCGAGCATCTTTTTTTATTTTATTTCATTTTTTTTTTGAGACAGAGTCTCTCTGTTGCCCAGGCTGGAGTGCAGTGGCATGATCTTGCCTTATTGCAACCTCCGCCTCCCAGGTTCAAGTGATTTTCCTGCCTCAGCCTCCCAAGTAGCTGGGATTACAGGCATTCACCACCACCCCCAGCTAATTTTTGTATTTTTAGTAGAGACGGTGTTTCACCATGTTGGCCAGGATGGTCTCAATCTCCTGACCTCATGATCCACCCACCTCAGCCTCCCAAAGTGCTGGGATTACAGGCTTGAGCCACCGCACCTGGTCTGAGCACCTTCTTTGAGGCAAACATTTATAGCTGGGCAGCTGGGATTCAGCCTGCAGTGATTCAGCTCATGAGCACAGCACAAACAGAAGCTGATCTGCAGACACATTAAACATCTTGCCTTCATTACTCTAAGTGAAGTAACTCTGGAATGGAAAATCAAATACCACATGTTCTCACCACAAGTGGGAGCTAAGCTTTGAGTACACAGAAGTATACAGTGGTGTAACGGACTTTGAAGACTCAGAAGAGAAAAGGTGGGAGGGAGTGAGGGATAAATACTATATATTGGGTACAATATATACTACTCAGGTGATGGGTGCCTCATCACCCTCAGACTTCCTCACTATACAATTCATCCATGTAAGCAAAAACCACTTGTACCCCCAAAGCTATTGAAATAAAGAAAGATTTAAACAAAAAAATCTTGCCTAGGGTCCCATGGCCCAGTAAAGAGCCTATCTGATCCCAAACCCCGTGCTCTGCTGGCACCTGTGTTCTGCTTCAGCAGATCTCAGCAAGGCAGCCCTGGACCCAGCACACCAGCCATGACCCCAAAGGAAAGGCTGCTTCCCCATGGTCAAAGGATTGTTGGATGGGACACATTGCTGTGGACTCTCTTTGTGTTCACATGACTTTTCTTTCGGGTCCTTAACACTTTCTCCTTTCTTATCTCACTTCTGTTCTTTCCACACCCTTCAATCTGCTCTGAAAGCTCTGAAGCACCCACCCCAGCATGGGGGACTGGAGCAGGCTGGCTGAGCAGGTGCCCTGTAGGCTCCACGGCCAAGCCCCTGGCAGCCCTTCTCTGCTGGTGGGCCACCAATTGGTGACGTCTGTACTCAGCTGCTGGGGGGACTGAGTTGCAACTGGCACTGCCCTGGGATGGCTGTGGCTGCAATGGCATGCTGGCTGGACTGTCCCCATCAGAAGCATCCCAGCAGTGCCTCACCCCCTGCATGGATGTCCCTGGGAGTGGGCCTCTCTACTAGCTCTGAGCTCCTCTTCCTTCCCCTTGGGACAGCCTCACTTTTCCTTCAGGAAAGGCAAGGCCCTTGGGCAGGAAGTCCCACACCCAATGGAACAAGCCCTTCAGGGAGCCCTTGACCCTGCTGTCAGCCTCAAAAGGAGACAGGGATGGATTGCAGCAGGAACATGTGGTAATGGGCCATGTCAGCCCAAGAAAACATAAGCTTAAGGAAGTGATCACTTGACATTTTATATACAAAAATGTCATTATTAAAGAGAATCATGAGGACTTCCATAAATATTTAAAACCCACTGGATAAAATATGACTATTTTTATGTTATGTATTTTTGTGAGCCTTATCATAGTGTAGAAAGAGTAGAATATTTTATGAAGAGTTTTACATAGAACTCATAACCTTCTCCAAACTTTTACTCTTTTTATTTGCTTTCTATTATTATACATTAGTATAATGTCTTTCCAATAATCATCTTTTTCCATCATTCATATAAGTCACGAAGTCATTTGTGTTTCATTACTTTTATGCTCATCTTGTTCCCAAGAAATGGATTTCTTTTGGAAGATAACAAAAGATCCATTGCATAATCCCATTCTTTCTAAATCCTCGAAAGAGACCAACACTTTTATCATTTTCATTGTTCTTAGGCTCTATTCTTTCACCTTTAAACTGTCCATGTCTAATCTATTCTATTCTAAACCTCTGTGGATAATTTGTTCTTCACATGCCATTTTAGGAGGGAAAAAAAAACTTATATAAAAACACTTAAGAAACAGACAGCTTAAAAAAAATGAGCAAAGGAACCTGAATAGATACCTCAGAGAAGAAGAAACCCAAATACATGTGAAAAGATGTTCCACCTCATCAGCCATCAGGAAAATGGAAAGTAAAGCCATGATGAGCTATTGTTACTGTCAAAGATAAACAGCCCGACACTAGGTAAAGGGGTAAGGACCGATTTTAGTAATAACTAGTGAAATAGGGAAAAGAGTCCTCCATGAAGGGAACTCAACTTCCATTTGTACGCAGGTAAACTGGCATTTTAAAAGGAGAATGAAGAAGTAGGAAGTGGGCAGGCCATACAGAAAAGTTAAAATTCATGAAATATCAGCCCGTGTAAACGAGACCAGGCTGACAATCCTCAGTGTTAGGGTCTCATCCTCCTGAGACTGGGGCTGGAAGACAGAAGCCCTATCCTCAGGTATTGGCTGAAACAAACTGTAAATTATTTTAACAGCCTTAAGTTTTCCCAGGAAGGCAATTTAAATGAGGGCTAGCATCCTCTTGGGGATGTGGTCTTGTGCTGTTAGAAACTGTTTGTGCTTGTTCAAGGATTTATTGACCAAAATTGAGGTCTATTAAAAGGAGAACTCCCATTCTGTAGGTTGCCTGTTCACTCTGATGGTAGTTTCTTTTGCTGTGCAGAAGCTCTTTAGTTTAATTAGATCCCATTTGTCAATTTTGGCTTTTGTTGCCATTGCTTTTGGTGTTTTAGACATGAAGTCCTTGCCCATGCCTATGTCCTGAATTGTATTGCCTAGGTTTTCTTCTAGGGTTTTTATGGTTTTAGGTTTAACATTTAAGTCTTTAATCCTTTGAATTAACTTTTGTATAAGGCATAAGGAAGGGATCCAGTTTCAGCTTTCTACATATGGCTAGCCAGTTTTCCCAATAGCATTGGGAGATATACCTAATGTAAATGACAAGTTAATGTGTGCAGCACACCAGCATGGCACATGTATACATATGTAACAAACCTGCACGTTGTGCACATGTACCCTAGAACTTAAAGTATAATTAAAAAATTTAAAGAAAGGAGAACTCAGAGGAGCCTACCTTAAATTTAATCAAGGGGATAATCTTTTTACTCTATATCAAAATGGGCTTTAACAAAAAGATAACATAGTGTTCATAAGGATGTGTGACAAGTGGAATTCATACACTTTGGAAAATTACTTGGGGACATTTCCGAAAGCTAAAGTGTACCTACCCTGAGGTCGAAACATTTCATAGGGGAGTGCTATGTTACCAGAAAACGTGGGCAGAAATGTTCATAACAGCATTATTAGTACTAGCCAAAGCATAGAAGCAATCCATATCAATACAGACAGCAAAATAAAACCACATTCACCAATGAAGTACTACAAAAAAAAATGACAACTGCAACATTTGCAAAATCATGGCAGAGTCTACAGGCAGGAATCTGAGCAAAAGAAATCAGACAGGAAAGAGCACACACTGTATGTAAGATTCTATGAATTTTAAGAACAGGCTAGAGGTGGACTACTTCACAGCCAGAAAAAAAGAACGAGATCATGATCTTTGCAGCAACAAGAATGGAGCTGGAGGTCATTATCCTAAGTGAACTAACACAGGAAGAGAAAACCAAATACCACATGTTCTCACTTATAAGTGGGAGCTAAACATTGAGTACACATGGACACAAAGAAGGAAACAATAGACACCTGGGACCCCTTGAGGGTGGAGGGTGGGAGGAGAGTGAGGATTGAAAAACTACCTGCTGAGTACCATGCTTATCTGCCAGGTGACAACATAAGCTGTACACCAAAACCCCAAGACATAGACATGTAATTTACCTATACGACAAACCTGCACATGTACCCCTGAAACTAACATTAAAGTTTTTTTTTGGTGGTTTTTTTTTTTTTTTTTTTTTTTTTTTCAGAAAGAACAGGCTAAAGGGCTTGTGTTGAGGGAAGCCAGAACACAGATTCCCTCTGGTGGGTGGGTGATGACCGGAAGGAGCCAGAGGTGTGGGGAGTTGGGAATGTCCACATCTTGATCTGAGCAGTGCAATGTGACTCTAGATAGGCGTTATTAAACATTCACGAAGCTACACAATTAAATCATTGGACAGTATGCCAGGCATTTTAAGCCTCAGTTGTTGTTTTTTTTTTTTTTAAAAAAAAAAAGAGAGAGAAACTTAGGGCATATCAGTTAAATATAACATGCAGAACTTGTTTGGATTCTGTTTGTACAAAATCCTGTTAAAAAGCATTCATGAAACAATGAGGAAATGGCAAGTCTCAATTGAAACTTACTACATAACATGAAGTGATGATATTTTTGTATGCTCATGGTATCACAGTATGGATTTATATTCCCTGATCTGTTAGAATACATGCTGAAGGATGCAATTATATGATACTTGGCTTTGCCTCAAAATAGTCCAGTGGGGCCTTGCAGGAGGGCTGGATGTTACAGAGGACACGGGTCAGGAGTACCTTAGCGACGAGTGCATGGAAGTTGATGCATGCATTTGCAGGAAATTTTCCATAATAAAATAATTTCTTTTAAATCTGTCTTTGGGGAAGGCCATAAGAGAAAAAAAAATCTAAAATAAAAATTTTATTTTAAAACAAAGTCTGGTTTTGCTTTATCATGTAGTGAGGCGTACTGCAGGAGATCTGAAACAATGTCAGGGTGCCCCACCCCACCCTGCTTTTCCCTCCTTCCCAGCACGTGGGATCACCCCACAGGGCCAGACATAGCAGAGTCTGAGGCCTCTTCCTGGCAGGAGGACTCCCCGAGGCAGGCAGGAAGCGTCTCTACCCAAGGCTCCGGGGAGCTAAGCCTTCCTCTGAGGGACCGCCCTGGGATTGTTTTATATTTACCTTAGCTCAGCACAGTCTCCACCCTGGCTTCCCTTGTCCTTGAAAAGGCGACAGAGGAATATTCTTAGCTCACTAGCCCTGTGCATACCTCAGGCTTCCGGAGCATCTCTGCAACTGGGGCCTCTGTGCTATGCTTTTTCCAGATGAATATGTTTGCAAGGCTTCTGCTTGAACCAGGAAGCTGCAGGCCCTAGTGGGAGCTGTGCCCATAGACCACACTTCCCCCACTGCAACTCTGCTCCAAGAGCAAGTTTGAGAAACAAGATTCCCCATGCATGTAACCATATTGAGAGCTCTGAGAAGACCTAGAGTAAAGCAGAATAAAACAAAGAAAGCATTGACAGAGGAGCACCAGGGAGCATCCCTCAAGTCCTCCTCCAAATGCACTCTTGGGGAAACCTGCGCAGAAGTGTGGCCCTTGGAGCAGTCGTTCTGAACCAGGATCCACTCTGGGTTCTGGAAATCATGAGCTTTCTAAAGTCACATTTCGTGCCTTCTTTATGAAGCAAAGGTCCTTGCGTCATGAGGCTCACAAAGGGATCCCAGACCCTGAAAGAAGCCAAAACAACTGCACTTGGTGGGTTTTTCTAAGGGACAGTCTAATGTGTTCTTGATGAGTGTTAAATTTGAATGCATAACATCATCTCTTCATACATTTATCTTTCAGTGTTGTCTCTCACTTTAAAGATCTTACCTCACAAATTATAAGACAGACCAAATTCCCATTTTAAATCCAGGCACAAAGGAATCTTGAAAAGCAAGTGGCTAAATCAAGAACACATAGAGAGAGAGAGGGTGGTCTACCCTTCACGCGCATGTGGCCAACCTGGAGGAGCTTGCAATTTTAAAGATTCACATTCAGCAGATCTTTCCACTTGGCTCTCTCATCTACTCAGGATTCTGCAGAAGGTTGAATGAACTGTCCTTGTTCCACTGTGCATCTCAGGGGAAGGTCAGCTAGCAACTCCAGATTACACGGGTGCAGTGTCTACTGCGTAACCCAAGCAAGCATGTCATCATTGAAACGAAGAACCAAGTCTTAAAAATTAATGCCCCGAGGTTCAGACTGAGGGCTCTATTCTGGTCTGATCTGAGACCAAAGGGAAGGCCTTGGTATCTTATAAAAAGAAGCTTAGGCTTTATATACATACATTGTTTTTCATCGTGGCCTCACATTTGTATTATTTTATTTTATATATTTGATTTTATTCATTTATATTATTTACAGCTCATTTACAACTCATTTTATTGGTATTTTTCTTTCTGTTTAGCACACTTCCTAGTACACAAAATTGTAGCATGCATAATAATAAAATATTTGGTTTTCTTATTAAATAATAACGCATGCCATGGTAAAACACTGGAAACTAAGAATCACCATCATTCCGACATCTCAGAGGTAACTATGGTTTACACAGACAGAGCTTTGAAGAAGCAGCTCTTCTGCCCTTTCTGGAGTCTCAAGTCCTGTGTCGCTTCTTCCCCATATTAGAGAGAGATCTACACTATACATCTCAACTTGTCTGAAGTGCCTGTGAGTTTAATACATAGCTGTAGAGCGTAAATGTTCAGTTCTCCAGACTTGAGCAAAATATACTGGGAAATTGTCCTTTTACAATACATTACCAGGAAATATCCCTATAACAACTGCGGAAGGGTGTGTAACCATGGCTATTCTACACTTCAGCGCTGCATCCACCCAGTTCTGAGTCACTGAATTCCCTCCTTATCAGCCTCCTGACCTTCAGAGTTCTGCTCCTGACCCCATCTGCACCCTCCCCTCCTCAACCAACGCTGACTTCACCCAGTCCTGTAAATCCTCCAGCTTCTGACCAAATTGCATTTGAGGACAAGGAAAAGGGACAGAGTCTGGATTTCAAATGTAGATAATGAAACTTTAGCTGAACTGATCAAGGAAAAAGGAGACAACTCTAATTTCTAATATCAGGAATGGAAAAGGAAGCAACAGTGTAGATTTTGGAGACATCAAAAGAATGGTCAGAGTACATTATGGTCAGCTTGATGTCAATAAATTGCACAGCTTAGATGATATGGACAAATTCCTTGAAAAATATAACTTAAGAAATGTATAAAAAAGGAAAAAATACTTGGAATATGAATCATCCCACTCAAGGTTCCAGAGCTTAGAAATAAATCCAACAGCTTCAGGGGAAAATATGAGGAGAGTGAGGAGTGGCTCTAGATGGAAAGGAAATAGCAAGTGTCTCAAAACTGTGTTTGGTGTAGTTCCCAGAATCAACAAAGCAGAGGCCGTTGAGTGTGTTACATATTTTAGATTTGGGGAGGGTATGTCTTCGATTAGATCAAATTGGGGAATGTAATGTTTGACCTTCATGACTCCCACCTGTGAAGACTGAACATCGTCTGTTTTGCTAAGTGAAACTCAGCTGGAGGAGAGTGCAGAACGAGGAAGAGAAGCAAGCAGTCAGAGGCCACAGTGATGATGTGGTGGGGTGGAAGCCAGGAACCACACAGTGCCCGCTGAAGGACCCACCTGCACATGGCCTCCAGCCAAGGCAAGTGGAGTAGTCACAGCCTTCCTTCCTTCCGCAAAGCAAAAACTACAAAAGCTACTTATATCTTCTAAGTTCCTCATAATCATTTGCCTAAAGTATTTGCAGTTATTCAGGTATTGAATAGTTTCTACAGGAGTTTCTTATAAACTCCAACTTCTACTTATTCCCTTTTATTCCTCTCATTTCTTCAGTCTGTTTCTGTGTATCTGGATTCTGGTGTTACTACCATTGGAGATCATCTTTATTTCAAGGATCTTCACACTTTCATTGCCTTTCCTCTTCTCTTACCCAGGTCCTGTGAACCTTGGGGAGTGTACGATACCTGCTTTTGTGGTAACAACCTTGACAACCTATGTAAAGAAAGAGTTTGGGCTACGATCATTGGCATATAGTTTGGTAGAATGTACAAATGCCTTTTTGTTTCTATTTTATAGACTAAATATGGAAATAAGTGAGGCTAATTTAATTTGTAAAGGCCTCATAGTGGATCAAGAGTTTCACTTTTGGACTGAAATGACATTTTAAGAATTTGCTGGGTAATGAAATATCTTTCAACTTCTCCTTCATATAAATTTAGCTTCCAAACCTGGGATTTATTTTTGTTCTTCTAATTCCTTTGCATAGGAGAGTTTAATAAGATTTGACATTCCAAAGTTCTGCCACAGAACTTTGCTTTGTCCTCCACATTGCTTTGCACAAGATTTTTCTCTAGAGAAAAGGACATAACTATGAGAATGAATTAGTATTTTGGGCAGCAATAAGTATGGAGAGAGAATTTTTAGGGGAGCATCTATATCCACAAGTGAGGTAATCATATAACTTATTACTCTAATTGTGGCATTTTAAAATTATATTTTGAAGCAACTTTAAACTTACAGAAAAGCTGTAAGTACTTCTACAAGTTATAAAAATTTACAAGTACAGAACTTTTTTTTTCCTTGAAGCCATTTAAGAGTAAGTTGCTAAGGCAATGTCCCATCACTTCTGATTATGATAATATATATTTCCTACAAACAAGGTCATTCTCCTACATAACCAAAATAGAACCATCATAATCAGGAAATTAACACTGATGCATTACCCCATCTAGTCCTGAGATTTCATTCAGGTTTTATCAATTACTTCAGTAATTTTTTTGTAGAAGAATGATGCAGCTCAGAATCACAGGTTGCATTTATTCAACATGTGTTTTTAATTGCCTACAATCTGGAAGAGTCCCTTGGTCTCCCCTTGACTTTCATGACTCCAACATTTTGAAGAGTACAGACTATAGCATGTCCCTTAATTTTATTAGTCTAATGTTCTCTCATGATTAAATGCAGGATATGCATCTCCAGCAGGAATATCACATACACGATGCTGTGTTCTTCTTATTCCATCCTATCAAGTTGTACATGCTTTCGACTTGTCCTGTGGCTGATGAGTTAGGTTTTGTCGTCAAATTCAGGTGATGTCTGCCATACTTCTCCACTGTAAAGCTACCTTTTTCCCCTTTGTAATAAATATGTATACTAAGGGGAGTATTTTTTGACTATGTAAATATTCTTTATTTTTTCAAGCGTGTTTGGCCCCACCTTATAGCTTATAGTTTTATTTGTATAGAAATTAGAGGGAAAGGAAGAAAAGAGAAACAGGGAAAGAAGAAACCTAACCGGGACAAATATTTAAAGGCATAGATTGAGACTGTGTTGGGAAAATAAACAAATGGTCATTGTGGCAGGTAGCCTCTAAAATGGCACTTGCTGATGCCTGCCTCCTGATATTCTCATCCCTAGGTAATTTCCTTCCCGTGAGTGGGTGTTGGATCTAGTCACTTCCTTCTAATGAACAGAATATGGCAGAAGTGATAGGGCATCACTTTCTAGTGTAGGTTGTAAAAAGACTGTGGCTTTCATTCCTCTTGAAAACTGGCACAAGACAAGGATGCCCTCTCTCAACACTCCTATTCAACATAGTATTGGAAGTTCTGGGTAGGCCAATCAGGCAACAGAAAGAAATAAAGGGTATTCAAATAGGAAGAGATGAAGCCAAATTGTGTTTGTTTGCAAATGACGTGATCCAATATCTAGAAAACCCCATTGTCTCAGCCCAAAAGCTTCTTAAGTTGATAAGCAATGTCAGCAAACTCTAAGGATACAAAATCAATGTGCAAAAGTCACAAGCATGCCTATACACCAACAACACGCAAGCAGACAGCCAAATCATGAATGAACTCCCATTCACAATTGCTACCAAGAGAATAAAATGCCTAGGAATACAGCTAACAAGGGAAGTGAAAGACTTCTTCAAGGAGAACCAAACCATTGCTCACAGAAATCAGAGAAAATATAAAAGAATAGAAAAACATTCCATGCTCATGGATAGGAAGAATCAATATCATAAAAATGGCCATACTCCCCAAGGAAATGTATAAATTCAATGCTATTCCCATCAAACTACCATTAACATTCTTCACAGAATTAGAAGAAACTATTTTAAAATTCCTGTGGAAACAAAGAAGAGCTTGTATAGACAAGACAATCCTAAGCAAAAAGAACAAAGCTGGAGGCATCACACTACCAGATTTCAAACTATACTACAAAGCTACAGTAACCAAAACAACATTGTACTGGTACAAAAACTGACACATAAACCAATGGAGCAGAATAGAAAACTCATAAATAAAACTACACATTTACAACAATCTGATCTTTGACAGACCTGACAAAAATAGGCAATGGAGAAAGAATTCCCTATTTAATAAATGGTGCTGGGAAAACTGGCTAAACATATGCAGAAAATTGAACCTGGACCTTTTCATTACACCTTATACAAAAATTAACTCAAGATGAAATAACAACCTAAATGTAAAACCCAAAACTGTAAAAACCCTAGAAGAAAACTTAGGCAATACCATTAAGAACATAGGCATGGGCAAAGATTTCATGACAAAATTGCCAAACACAATTGCAACAAAAGCAAAAATTGACAAATGGGAACTAATCAAGCTAAAGAGCCTCTGCAAGCAAAAGAAACTATCATCAGAGTGAACAGGCAATCTACAGAGTGGGAGAAAGTTTTGCAATCTATCCATCTGACAAAGGTCTAATATTCAGAATCTACAAGGAGCTTAAACAAGTTTACAAGAAAAAAACAGACCAGTCCATCAAAAAGTGGGCAAAGGTTATGAACAGACACTTCTCAAAAGAAGACATTCATGCAACCAACAAACGTATTAAAAAAAAAAAAACTCAATATCATTGCTCATTAAAGAAATGCAAATCAAAGCCACAGTAAGATACCATCTCATGCCAGTCAGAATGGCAATTATTAAAAAGTCAAGAAACAACAGATGGCAGCAAAGTTGTGTAGAAATAGGAACAATTTTACACTGTTGGTGGGCATGTAAATTAGTTCAACCATTGTGAAAAAACGGTCTGGTGATTCCTCAAAGATCTAGAACCAGAAACACCAATTGCTCCAAGAATTCTATTTCCGAATATATACCCAAAGGAATATAAATCATTCTGTTACAAAGATACATGCACACGTATGTTCATTGCAGCACTATTCACAATAATAAAACATGGAATCAACCCAAATGCCCAGTCAATTATAGACTGAATAAAGTCAATGATAGACTGGAATCAACCCAAATACTCAGTCAATGATAGACTGGATACAGAAAATGTAATACATATACACCATGGAATACTATGCAGCCATAAAAAGGAACAAGATCATGTCTTTTGCTGAGACATGAATGGAGCTGGAAGCCATTATCCTCAGCAAGCTAATACAGGAACAGTAAACCATACACCACATATTCTCACTTATAAGTGGGAGCTCAACAACAAGAACCCATGGACACAGGGAGGGGAACAACACACACTGGAGCCTGTAGTGGGGTGGGGTTGGGGGAGAGAGAGCATTAGGAAAAGTGGCTAATGAATACTAGGCTTAATACCTAGGTGATGGGTTGATAGGTGCAGTAAACCACCATAATACACATTTACCTATGTAACAAACCTGCACATCCTCCACATGTACCCTGGAACTTAAAGATAATTTTTTTTAAAAAATGACTGTGGCTTCTGTCTTGATCGATCTCTCTCTCTCTCTCTCTCCCTCCCCCCGCCCCCTCTCCTCCCTTTCTTGGATTGCTCACCCCAGGGCAGCAGGTAGTAAGTCAGCCCTGTACAGGGAGCCTACATGGCAAGGAGCCGAGCCTGCCAACAGCCACATGAGTGAGCTTCACCCACTCCCAACTCATCAGACCTTCAGATGACACTGCAGCCCTGGCCCACAATTTGAAGCTTCATGAGAGCCCTTGAATCAGACACACCCAGCTAAGCCACAAATGGATTCCTGGCCCACAAAGATAATAAATATTTGTTGTATTAATCACCTAAATTTTGGAGTAATTTGTTATACAACATAGATAGCAAATATAGTCATCTTATCTAGAAGTCACTTCTCTTTATTATTCAAAGAAGTGAGGGTCAGGGTTAGTGGGTTTCATTTCTTGCCTAAAACATTTCCACCAGACCCTGCCCCAAACACCATGCATGGGCCCTGGGGGTCAGAGATCTAAAGAACACCTCCTACAAGCTGTGTGACCACATTTAACCTTGTTTAACCTCTAAACCTGTTTTTCATCTTTAAAGTGGTATCTGGTCCATTGATCTAAACCTTTTTCCTCACCTTTGAAATAGGATCTAGCCCATTAATCCCTGAGGATGATTAAAGGAGATAGAGTGCATGAAAGTCCTAACAGTCTCTGGCACATGGTGGACATTCAGTAAACATTCCCTCTCATCCCCATATCAAGCACAATAACAGCCACTAGCAGAGCAAATTAGCTTCCAACAAATGGCTGATCACAGTTCAAAGTGGATTGCAACCATTTTGCAAAAGATGCAAGCCTATATTCTGTTTCTTTGTGGTATCTCTGAGGAACAACTAGAGAGAAGGCATGGAGTCTACTCATACCCTAATGTCTAAAGACCTGCTTCACAGAAGTATCTCTGTTGCTAATCAGGTGGCCATAGGCAAGCCAGCCTCTCTGCGCTGTGACTTTCTCAACTTAAAACAATGCTGACTCCCACTTCCCAGTCCAGCATGTAAGGAGCTTGGAAGCTGTCGCTCTGTCCTCACAACAAGTGAGAAGCTGAACAAACTACAAAATCAATAACTTTTTATAGACTCTTCAGAAAAGTAAGGTCACAAGGTAAACTGCTGCCTTTAAAAGTGTAAAGATGGTGGTACAGCGAATCACAACTTAGCATAGAAGAAACTCAAAGCAGACACCTCTGTGGGAACCCATGCTGTGGTAGGAAGACCTGACCCATAACTGACAAATTGCTGGAGGTTCAGCGTGGCCAAGCCAGCAAGATGAAAACAGGCTGGGAGAGTGCAGTTAGAGGGAAACCTCAACACTTTTGTGAGTTTTACCTCCAGGAGCCCAGCATGCTTCACAACAAAAATGGGAGAAAAATTTCTTCATGCTTCTGGCAGGAGGAGGGAAATAGAAACCATTATTAAATATGCCAGAGCACTCTGCTCTTTTTAACAAGATCTGCCCTCAGGAGAAACTATTTAGCCAGAACCTAACCTAAGGTTAAGTTTTACCAGACTCTACCCTGCCTGGGAGAAGCAAAATTCCCAACTCCAGCAGCTCTACCCTTCCACATAGAAGAGAAGTACACAATTCCTGACTTGTCTATCCATCATGTCCCACCTAAGAAGTGGGGAGACAGAAAAGCACTTACAAAGTTTACAACCCAGAGTCACAGACTCTCTGAAAGACTCAAAACTAATCACAGGACTATAGAACATTTCCCCTTCCCCCACACCTTACCACCACATCATTAAAGGCCTGTTTAAAGGCATCCCTTTTACCCAATACATCATATTCAAGTATCTAGAAGAAAACACAAGGAATATTAAAAGGCAAAAAACAAACAAAGTTTGAAGACACTGAGTGAACATCAAAACCAGAGTCAGATGTGGCAGAAATGTTGAAATTGTAAGACCAGCGATTTTCCTAAAACTATGATTAGTATGCTAAGGGCCCTAAATGACAAAATAAGCAATATACAAGAACAGAGGATAATGTGAGTAGAGATGGAAATTCTGAGAAAGAATCAAGAAGAAACTATAAATATCAAAAACACTGTAACAGAAATAACAAATGCCTTTGATAAGCTCATTAGTAGACTGGGCATGGCTGAGGAAAGAATCTCTAAGCTTGAGAATATGTCTATAAAAACTTCCAATACTGAAAAGCAAAGAGAAAAAGACAGAAAAAATAAAACAGAATATCCAAGAACTATGGAACAGCTACAAAAGAGGTTATATATGTGTAATGCGAATACCAGAAGGAGAAGAAGAAGAAGGAGCAGCTGTGGTTTGAGTGTGTCTCCCTAATTTCAGATGTTGAAAATTCAATCACCAAATTCACATGTTGATTAGAGGTGGGACCTTTGGGAGGATTAGATTAGGTCATCAGGTCCCCATGACAGGACTGGTGGTTTTATAGGAAGAGAAGAAAGACCTAGGCTTACACACATGCTTTTGCCCTCTCACCATAAAATGATCTTCACCATGTTATGACTCAGCAAGAAGGCCCTCCTCAGATGCTGACACCTTCATATCGGACTTCCCAGGCTCCAGAACTGTAAGAAATGCATTTCTTTTCTTTATAAATAGCCCAATCTGTGGCGTTTTGTTATAGCAACAACAACAACAAAAAATAAGGCTGGACGTGGTGGCTCACGCCTGTAATCCCAACACTTTGGGAGGCCAAGGCGGGCAGATCACAAGATCAGGAGATTGAGACCATCCTGGCTAACACAGTGAAACCCAGTCTCTACTAAAAATACAAAAAAAAAAAAAAAAAAATTAGCTGGGCCTGGTGGCGAGTGCCTGTAGTCCCAGCTAATCAGGAGGCTGAGGCAGGAGAATGGAGTGAACCCAGAAAGCAGAGCTTGCAGTGAGCCAAGATTGCGCCACTGCACTCCAGCCTGGGTGACAGAGAGAGACTCTGCCTCAAAAAAAATAATAATAATAATAGACAAAAACAGAAGATACATTTGAAGCAATAGTAACAGAATTTCATCAATTTTTTGTCAGACAACAAACCACAGATCCACAAAGCTCAAAGAATACCAACCAGCATAAATGCCAGAAAAATGACTCCTAGGCATATCATATTCAAAGTGCAGAAAATAAAAAATAAAGAAAAACATCTCAAAAGAAGTCAGAGGAAAAAAACACTTGATCTACAGAGGAGCAAAAATAATCACATCTGACTTCTCAAATCATCCAAGCAAGAAGAAAATAGAATGAAATGTTTAAAATATTGAGGAACAATAACCCCCACCAATCTAAATTTCCTGTAGTCTGTGAAACTATTATCCAATATTTAAGGTGAAATAAAGGTGTTCTTGGACAAACAAAAAATGAGATAATTTGTTGCCAGTAGAATTGCTTTGCAAAAAATATTTACAGAAGTTCTTCAGAGAAGGAAAATGATACTGGCCAGAAACCAGAATCTAGCTCCTGATGAGGTTATAGATGATTCAAACTACTCAAATTCCAGCTGTGTCCCCAGGGTTTCTGATCAACCATTGTGGGGAACACCTGGAAAGATGCCCTGGGTCCAGAAACATGGTCCAGGGAAAATCAGGAGGAGGCCAGCAACCCACTGCTGACAATTGTGCTGGTTACCAGGCATTAGTTAGTGGCCATTTTTATTGGACACTGGGATGGTTAAGGTGAGACGATGTTGGGAAGGTAAGGGGAACAGGTTCTGGAGCACAGTCCGACCCTCTTCCAGTGGCAGCCTTGGCCTGAGGCAGCTCCAGCCATCTATATCCATTAACCCTATGGCAAGTGGGACAGACTGCAATCTCCCTCTTCCCTCCTTTGCCCTCCCACTCCATAGCCCGGAAAACTCCATTCTGGCTGGGTGGACCCTATTATTCTTTTATCAGTATTCTTTCTTTCTGACTTTTGCAAATATATACTCTTCTGCCTGGGTTTTAAAAATGTAAAGTGTATCATAACTTCACCCTGGACCCCAATATATTTCTATCAGTAAACTTCTGCCTCGCACCCACATCCCTGGCCTAAGGAAGTTCCATGGGCCACTCCTAGCAGTCATGCACCCAGACAAGCCATGATGCCGTGAGATTGTATCCTGGGCCTGAGAAACAGCCATATAGGCCGCTTTCTGCAGACATGTCCCCAGGCCAACTGTGCCATTGTGCAGTCATGTTTCAGGCCTGAAAAACAGCCCTGTGGGCCCCCAGGCCAGACAAGCTGCTTTGCACCCATATACTGGAGCTGAGAAAAAGCCCCACAGGCCACCACTAGCAGAAACATACTCAGGTCAGCCAAGAAGCCATGAGATTGTTTCCTGGACCTGAGAAACATCCCTGTGGGCTGCCTCTGGAAAACAGACCCCAGCTCAGCTGAGTAACCACATGGCCGTGGTCCCAGCCAGAGTAACAGCTCCATGTCCCAACCCTAGTGAGCCAGACCCCAAGTTGGCTGACCCAATGTGTGCACACACATGCTTCACCTGAGAAATAGCCCTGCAAGTCCACTCCTGGCAAAGCTGTGCCTCCACCACCACAAACTGTCTCAGCCTGGGCCACTAAGAAACTTCAAACATCACTAGTGTGGATTACAGCTAAAGAAACTACCTGGAGACTATACCACTGCATCCACCTAGAGCCAAGGCCGACATGTCCACCAAACTGACAATCCAAGACCCACTCATATGAATAAATTTTTCCCTAAGAAATCTACTCCATAAAATTAGAAGAAGCAACTTTTCCATCTGTTGTATATAAATCAATGTAGGAACACATCAACCATGAAAAAGCAAGGAAACATAACATTTCCAAAGGAAAACAATAATTCTCAAGTAACAGACCTGAATCATAAAGAAAAAGAATTCAAAATAATAATGTTTTTAAAACTCAGTGAGGTACAAGGGAATACAGACAGAAAATTTAACTATATCAGGAAAACAAGTCATGATTTGAAAGAGAATTTCAACAAAAAGATATATATTATTTTTTAAAAAAAGAACTAAATGGAAATCCTACAGCTACAGAGTTCAATGAATGAAATGGAGATACAATTGAGAGGTGAAACAACAAACTAAACCAGGCAGAAGAAATAATTTCTGACCTTGAAGACAGATCTTTTGAAATAACACAGGCAAAGAAAAATAAAAGATTAAAAAGTATGAAGAAAGTCTACAATGTTTCTAGGACCCATTAAGTAAACCAATATTTGTATTATGGATACTCCAGAAGGAAAAGAGAAGGGAAAAGGTATAGAAAACATATTTAATAAAATAATAGCTGAAAACTTCCCAAGTCATGGACTAGAGATGAACATGCATGTTCGGGAAGCTCAAAGAACCTCAAATAGATTCAACTTACACAGGTCATCTCTGAAGCATAGTATAATCAAATTATCAAGATTCAAAGACAAAGAAAGAATTCTAGAAGTAGTAAGAGAAAAGCATCAGGTCACATATAAAGAAATTTCACAGTAGACTAACAGCAAATGTATTGGCAGAAATCATACAAACAAGAGAGGAATGGGATAATATATTCCAAGTACTAAAAAATAAAATAAAATAAAAAGCTGACAGTAAAAAAAAAATTATACTAAACAAAGCTACCCTTCAGAAATGGAGAAATTAAATATTTCACAGATAAGCAAAAACAAAGGGAATTCAACACCACTAGACTGGCCTTACAAGAAATGCTCAAGAGAGTCTTACATGTGTAAGTGAAGAGACAATAACTACCATCAGAAAACACAGAAAACTATAAAACTCACTGGTAGAGCTGATACACAAAGAAGGAAGAGAAGGAAATCAAACCTTATCACTATGGAGAACCACCCAACTACAAAAATAAACAATAAGAGTGAAAGTAAGGAACAAAGGATATACAAAACAAGCAGAAAACAATCAATAAAATGACAGGAGTAAGTCCTCACTTATCAATAATAACCTTGAATGTGAACAGGATAAATTCACCCATATAAAAGATGTAGACTAACTGAATGAATAAAAAACCAAGACCCAACTATATGCTACCTACAAGAAACTCATCTTATCTGTAAAGGTACATGTAGCCTGAAAGTAAAGGGATAAAAATGTATCTAAGAAATATATCCCTTTTGGTTTTTTGGACAAAACCAAAAGCAAGGAGTAGCTATGCTTGTATCAAAAATAGACTTCAAGTCACAAGCTGTCAAAAAAGACAAAGAAAGACATTATGTAATAACAAAGGGATCAATTCAGCCAGAGACTATAACAATTATAAATATATATATAAATATATATGCACCTAATATGCACCTAATAATACCCAGATATATAAAGCAAATATTATTAGATCTAAAGGAGAAGCTACCATAATTGTTGGGGACTTGAACACCCCAATCTCAGCATTGTGCAGACCTTCTAGACAGTAAATTAACAATGACAATTAAAACAACAACAACAACATTGGATTTAAACTGCACTATAGACCAAGTGGACCTAACAGATATTTATAGAACATTTCACCCAACAGCTGGAGAATACACATTCTTTTCATCAGTGCATGGAAAATTCTTTAGGATTGACCACATGTTAGAATACAAAACAAGTTTGAAAAAAAATTTATAAATCAAAATTATATCAAGTACCTTATTGACTACAATGAAATAAAATAAAACTAGACATCAATAGCAAGAATATTCAAAATAATGTAAATATATGGAAATTAAACAGCATTCTCCTAAAAGGCCAATGGGTGAAGGAAGAAATCAATAATGATAGTTAAAAATTCCTTGAAACAAACGAAAATAGAAACACAACATAGCAAAACCTATAGGTCATGGCAAAAGCAGTATTAAGAGGCAAGTTTATAGCAATAAATGCCTACATCAAAAAATTAGAAAGATTTCACATAAACAGCCTCATGATGCGCCTCATGAAATCAGAAAAGCAAGAACAAACCAAATGCCAAATTCATAGGAGAGAAATAATAAAGATCAAGGCCAGGCATGGTGGCTCATGTCAGTAATCCCAGCATTTTGGGAGGCCAGGAAGGGAGGATCATTTGGGGTCAGGAGTTCAATGTCAGCCTTGTCAACATAGTGAGACCATGTATCTACAAAAAATTTAAAATAAAATTAGCCAGGAGTGGTGATTCATGCCTCTAGTCTTAGCTACTTGGGAGGCTGGGGTGGGAGGATGTTTTGAGCCTAAGTTCAAGACTGCAGTGAACTATGATAGTACAACTGTACTCCAGCCTGTGACAGAGTGAAGCTCTGTCAAAAAAAAAAAAAAAAAAAAGCAAAAATAAATGAAATTAAAACAAAAAAAATGCAAAAGATAAATGAAACAAAAAATAGATTTTTCTGAAATGATAAAATTGGCAAACCATTAGCTAGACTAAGAAAAAAAAGGGAACATACTCAAGTACATGAAATCAAAAATGGAAAAGGATACATCATAAAGGATAGCACAGAAATAAAAAGGAGCCTTAAAAACTACTATAAACAACTATATGCCAATACATTCAAAAACTTAGAGGAAAAGGATAAGTTTCTGGACACATACATCCTATCAAAATTGAACCAAGAAGAAATAGAAAACCTGAATAGACCAATATTGCGTGAAAATATTAAATAGGTAATAAAAAGTCTCCCAATAAAGTTAAGTCTAGGACCAGATGACTCCACTGCTGAATTCCATCAAATCTTTAAAGAAAAATGCATACCAATTCTTCTCAAACTATTCAAAAAAACTGAAGAGGAGTGAGTTCTTCCTAACTCATTTTACAAAGCCAGCATAACCCTGAGACCAAAACCAGAAAATGACACAACAAAAAAAGAAAATAAAGTATCAAAATAGTTAAGATATTTTTGACAAAACGACAAAAATAGAAAAAAAATCTAAACTACATAAAAGACTCTAAATACCCAAAGCAATCTTGAGCAGAAAGAACAAAACTGGAGGCAATTACTTTACCAGACTACAAGATATACCACAAAGCTATAGTAACCAAAACAGTGTGGTACTGGCATAAAAACAGACACAAATACCAATTGTACAGTACAGTGGACCCAGAAGTTAATTCACATATCTATAGCCAACTGATTTTTAACAGAGTTGCCTAGGTCGCTCACTGAGGGAGAGGACTGTCTCTTCAATAAGTGGTCTTTAGAAAACTGAATATTCATATGCAGATGAATAAAACTCTCACTCTACAAAAATAAACTTAAAATGGATCCCAGACCTAATTGTAAGACCTGAAACTATAAAATTACTAGAAGAAAACAGGGAAAATGCTTCATTACTTTGGTCTGGGAAAATATTTTATGAATAAGACCTCAAAAGCACAGGTAACAAAAGCAAAAATAAACAAATGGGATTACATCAAACTAAAGAGCTTCTGCACAGCAAAGGAAGCCATTAGCTGAGTAAAACAACAGCCTGCAGAACGGGAAAACATATTTGCAAACTATTCATCCCAAAGGGGATTAATATGCAAGAAACTCAAACATTTCAACAGCAAAATATATATATATATACATATATCTAAAAACAGACATTCTCAAAAGAAGACATACAAATAGCCAGCAAATATATGAAAAATGCTGAATATCACTAATCAACAGGGAAATGCAATTCAAACCACAATGAGTATCATCTCACCCTGACCCCAGTTGGTATGGCTATTTTCAATAA
This sequence comes from Homo sapiens, assembly GCF_000001405.40. Taxonomy (NCBI): domain Eukaryota; kingdom Metazoa; phylum Chordata; class Mammalia; order Primates; family Hominidae; genus Homo; species Homo sapiens. Next base: position 22,704,099 of record NC_000020.11, on the reverse strand, counting down.
GACAAAAAATAACAAACACTGACAAAAAAAGATATATGGATGACAAGTAAAGCATATGAAAATATGTGTGACATCATATGTTTTAAAAGAAATGCAAATTAAAATGAGATACCACCACACACCTATTAAAATTTCCAAAATCCAAAACACTGACAACACCAAATGCTTACAAGGATGTGGAGCAACAGGAGCTCATTCATTGCTGGTAGGAATGCAAAATGGTAAAGCTGTCTGGGAAGAGAGTTTCACTGTTTCTTACCAAACTAAACATACTCTTACCATACAATTTAACAAATGTGTTCATTGATATTTACCCAAGTGAGTTGAAAACTTTTGTCAACACTAAAACCTGCATATAAATGTTTATAGCAGGTTTCTTTATAATTGCCAAAACTTGGAAGCAACCAAGATGTCCTTCAGTAGGTGAATGGGTGAATAACTGTGATACAGCTAGACAATGGAATATTCTTCAATGCTGAAGATGAGTTATTCAGCCATGACAAGACATGGAGGAACCTTAAATACATACTACTAAATTTTAAAAATCCAATCTAAAAAGGCTACACATTGTATGAGTCCCACTATTTGACATTTTGGAAAAGACAAGACTATGGAGTCAGTAAAAAAAGTAAAAAGTGCTTTCCTGTGGGTTGGGGGAGGAGGGATGAATGGTGGAGTATGGAGAATTTTTAGGGCAGTGAGACTATTTTGTAAGATACTATAATAGTTGATAGACACCATTACCTGTTTGTCAAAACCCACAAAATGTATAGCCCTAAGAGTGAGCCCTAATGTAAATTATGGACTTTGAGTGATAATGAGGTGTCAGTGTAGATTCATTGATTGCGACAATGAGCCATTCAGTTGTGGCAATGTTGACAGTGGGGGAGGCTTGCATGTGCGAGGCCAGGGGATAGATGGAAACTGTATTTTTAGCTAAATTTTGCTGTGAGCCCAAAGCTGCTCAGGAAATAAAGTCTGGCCAGGCACAGTGGCCCACGCCTGTAATCCCAGCACTTCGAGATGCTGAGGCAGGGGGCTCACTTAAGGCCAGAAGTCTGAGAACAGCTTAAGCAACATAGTGAGACTCTGTCACTACAAAAAAATTTTTTTAATTAGCTAGGAATGATGGTGTATACCTGTAGTCCCAGCTGCTTGGGAGGCTGAGGATCAATTAAGCCTAGGAGTTCAAGGCTGCAGTGAACTATGATCACACCACAGCACTCCAACATGGGTGACAGGGTGAGACCCTGTCTCTAAAAAATATAAATGAATACACAAAAACAAAGTCAATTTTTTTAAGTTAAAAAACATCAGTGCTTGTGGACAAAGTGATCATCAGGACCCGGCCATCCCTGAGGGCTACAATGGTTCCACGAGAACAGCTTTAACAGTCTGAGATGTGATACTTCTGAGAAATAGAGGAAAGAAGCAACTAAGTTTCAAGGGGAGACTCACTCTCTCAGTGTGAGGGGCCACTGCCATGCAGGTCACGGACTGGGAGCTGGATTTAGAAGGAATTCCACTCAATGTGACCAACACCTTCTATGCATGGAGTAAGTGAAAATCCTTCTGTTAGAGGTGTGATGTTTAAGGGGAGAGTCAAGGAGTCCCAAAGTAATGAGAACAAGCAGGTTTCAAGGTGGGATTGATGCTGGGGTGAGCGGCAGAGAGCTGAGATAACAACCTCTAGGAGCCAGACTCTTAAATGACATTAATATGTGTACACGTTCCAGAGTGTCCACAGTTATGAATAAAGCAGAGAAGACAAGGGGCATGAGGAGGAGAATAAGCCAGGGGAGTTGGCAACAAGGAGGCCATAAATGACTGCAAGATTCTTGAAGGCAGAAAGTCGACCTGATGCTGCTTATGCCACATCAGGCAGTCTTTCTCACAGCATCCACTGATTCATGTGAGAGCTATTGATTAAGAAATGTACTGCATGCCAGGTCCAGGATATTCAACAAGGAGCAGGAAAGGCAGATTCTTGCCTTTGGCATGAACAGTGTAGCAGAGAAGAGACAAGAGTCCACTTGTCCATGTGAGCAGGACATGATGGCACAGCATGGTGAATGCTGTGATAGAGGGAGTTTAGGGCAATGTGGAGAACCCACTGTGAAGCAGCACCCCATCTAGGTTTGAAGTCAGGAAGGTAGGGCTTCCTGGAGAAAGTTATGCCCAAGTTGGGACCAATGCCAGACATACATTAGTCAGAGCAAGTAACACCAGCTGCTGTAACAAATGAGCTCCAAATTATAGACACTGTTACAGGCTGAACTGTGTTCCCAAAAAGAAAAGATATGCTCTTAATTCCTGGTACCTGTGAATGTGACTTTATTTGGAAACAGGGTCCTTGAAGATATAATCAACTTAGGAAGGAGTCATGCTGGCTTAAGGTGGGCCCTGAGCCATGTCTGGTGTCCTTATAAGAAAGGAAAATGTGGACACATGCAGACACAGAAGGACAGCATCACGTGTGGACAGAGGCTGTGACTGGGGTGGAGCCTCTATGGGCCAAGGGGTGCCAACGATTCCCAGCAACCACAGAGACAAGAAAGAGGAAGGAAGGATCCTTCCCTGGAGCCTTGATAGTGAACATGGCCCAGGGCAAGCTCCGGGAATGTGAGACAATACCTTTCTCTTGTCTTAAGGCACCCAGCCTGCGGTACTTTGTTACGGAGGCTTAGCACACTAGGGAGGTTATTCCTTGTTTGCCCTGACTTTGGCTCAGAGGAGTAGCTGGGGGTAGGGGTGGGAGTGGCTGTGCTCCACAGAGTCACTAAGGGACCCAGGATCCTTCTCTCTTGTTGCTCCACCTTCCTTTAGGACCTCCACAAGAGAAGCAGAGATGGAATAGAGAGAACACAGAGACCCCATGGGAGGCTTCAGGATCAAGCTACCTCACTGCACCCACATCCTATTACCAGAACAAAGTCAGATTCCCTACCCTCAACCAAAAGGGACATGGAAATATCCTCTTTCTGTATATCTAGGGGGAAAATAAAGCATTTTTGGTGAAAACATAGCATTTCACTGTTTCTTCCCCAAAATGCAAGCTGTTTTTTGAACTATAAGTACAGAGCTCCTTTGAAGCTTCCTGGGATGATTCCTAGTGCCATTATTCTGGGCTGTGGGAATAACCATTTTCATTGTCTATATCATCTACAATTCCAGTGTAACTCAAGATCCATTTGTGCAGACCAAAGTGTCCAACTCTTTCCAGTCTGCTATCAGGAGTGCCTCTCCATTATCCCTGCTGTGGACAAGCTCTTCCCTTCCTGGGCCTCCTAACTCAGCTGCATTCATTTCTGGGTAAAGCAAACAGACCTCTTAGAGTTCCTCTGATAGGGTGCTCTTGTTTTCAGGTGGGAAGCTGTTTTGCTTTGCCCTATGGTGCCCTTATTGATGAAGCTGAGTAGAGCTACAGTAGAGCTCTGCTGCAAACTGTTGAGGCCTTTGGAGAGTGTTTTTCTGGGAAAGATGCCTGAGTTCTTTCAACCCCCTGGGGAACTAAATGCCAGCAAAGCATGACTGGCTCTGGGCCCAGCTATGAATACAAGGAGCAAGATAGACAGATCTGGGTGCATTTCTTTTCCATTATCATCCCATTGTATCTGGAGCCCAGGAGAGGAGATGAAAGTGCTAGCAATTAATCTGGGGCCAGATGGCTCGGCCAATCCCATCCCACTCTCTGTGCTGTGGGGTCATTTCCATTTGCCTTTTATTTTGACAAGCATATTAATCAGCAAAGGTGAGTGGCATTATTAAAGCAGCTGCTGGTGCCAGCACTCTCTCCCCCAACCCTGCCACACTCAGTTTCAAGTCGTTCTCTCCAGTAAAGAGGGAGGCTTCTGTCCAGCTCATCGGGAGTAATTACTGCTTTACTCTTTACAGGTAGCTCAGCACACACATGCGCACACATGTGCACACACATGCATGTACATGCACATGCATGACACACATGCACACAAACACTACTGTGCCTATCAGAGGATGCCTGCATGAGTGAAGAGTTGGACTTTCCCACTGCACACTGAACAGAGACAGGGCAGGTCTTACTGCCATTTCTTTCTCTCTACTTGTCCAGACACATTGAGGTCCAGTCTTGAACACAGAGAGAGAATATTTAAAATACCATTGACTTCCAAGCCTCCCACAGCCAACCTGCCCATAGATACATTACATAGCTATTTAAGTTTGACAGCGTTCTGAATTCCTCTGGCAAGGGGAGAATAGATTGAACCTCCTAAGTCATAAGATAGGAAGAGAGAATTACGGCAAGGAGAAGAGGAGAGGAGTTGTTGTGGCAAAGACTTTGAGCACAATTGCAGGGCATTGTTTTCATAATTGTGTATATTTACATTAAACCACTGAAGATGCTGTGGCTGCTGAATTGGCCACCACCAGTTCATTCTGCAATGTTCCTCACTGGTGCTGGATGTCAGGGATGCACTGGGTTTAGGGGCTACAAACTGGCAGCAGAGAATCTTGTTGCAATGTCGCCCACAGCCTCACAGGGCAGGCCCACGTGCAATAGTTGCATCCACGGATAATGGGGTGGAGCAGAGGAGGTGAAAGCTTTGGATTCCTAGGTCTCACCTGTGAGGCACAGAGGGGAGCCATTTGATACTGCACTTGCACTCAGCAAATGACAGTGGAAACACCAAGTGTGTGGCTCAGATCTAGAAACACAACTCATTTCCATTAACCATCAAGTGAAGCTGAGCAGAGAGTTGGGAGACTGAACTTAATTGGAAGCACAGAGGTCATCAGATTGTATGCTCAATTGGCACGACTCTGTCTCAGAGCCCTAACTGGGAAAGAGGCTGCCCGCTCTCACTCCATGGCCTGAAGGGAAGACAGCAGGTGAAAAATCAGTGCACAGTTACCACCACTGCAGGAGGACAGCAGAGACTCTTGTCATCACAATGGACGGGGGCACTTGTGACATCTTTGTCCAAAGAAGGAGCACATTGTCCTGCCTGGTCTTAAACCCAGCCTCTTTGGCATAAAATTTTTAAGGTAAAATAGGTTCATGGTCCAAAGCTATTGAAACAGCATTCTCTGCCTCCTCACTTTGATATTTTTATCCAGGTCAGATCAGATTAAAATGAACAGCAGGAAATTCCATGACAGATGAAAAAAGCACACAAACTTAGACAAGAGAATTGTGAAAGTCAATTTCTATTTAACAGATATTTATTAAAGATTCACATGTGCTGACACTGTTCTGGGTACTTGAAAACATCAATGAACAAAACAATGCTGGCCCTCCTTGAACTTGGTTGCATCCTAGCAGTTGGAAACAGGTAAAACAGAGTAATAAGTGAGTAAATTATCTAGGAAATGGTAAAGAGTACAGCAGAATTGAGTCAGAGCAGAGAGGGTGGGGCAGTTACAGAATTAAACGAAGTGCTCAGGGAGGCCTCATTGGAAAGGTGGCATTTGGGAAAGACTCGGAGGAAGTGCAGGAGTGAGTCAAACTGACATATGGAGGAAGAGTGTTCACATTTCAGAGATTACAGTGGCCAGCGTGGCTGCAACAAAATGAGCAAAAGGAAATATCCCAGGAGCTGATGTCAGGAAGCAGCAGGACCCACATCTGTGGGACTTCCAGGCCACGGCAAGGAGTTTTATTCAGAATAAAACTTTTATTCTGAATAAAACGGAGGCCCTGAAGGTTATTAGCACAGCACTGATATCAGGTTACTCAAGTATTCTAAGGATTACTTAAACCTGGCTGCCATGCTGGGAATAGATTACAAGGAAACAGGGACAGAAACAAGAAAACAAAAATTAGATGATGGTATTTAGACCAGGGTAGTAGCAGAAAAGATAGTGAGAATTGGTCAGGTTCTCAGTATTCTGAAGATAGAGCCAATGGGTTTTATAACAGGTTTGATGTAGAGATAAGTGAAAAAGTGAGGTTGAGAATGCCACCAAGATGTTCCCTGGGCTGTTGGGATGGTGGAGTTTCTATTAACTGGCATGGAAAGGTGGCAGTGGAACAGGCTCAGGCTAAAACCCAAGAGTTCTGTGTTAGCTATGATCACCTTGAGATGTGCTTAGGCATCCAAGTGGAAAGGTTGAGTAGGCAGTTGGGTATATAAATCTGGAATTTAGGAAAAGATTTAGGTTAAAAATATAAACATGGAAGTTATAGCATACCAATGGTATTTAAAGCTATGAGACAAAATGGGGTCATCAAAGGGGAGTGTCTTTAAAAAGAAGACAAAGAGCTGACATTACAAGGTCATGGACAAAGGAGAAACTGGCAAAGGTGACAGAGAAAACAAAGCAGTGTGTGGTGTCCTAGAAGCCAAATGCAGAAAATGTTTCAAGGAGTTGGAAGCACTCAATAAATCTTTTCCAATGCTGCTGAAGGGTCAAATCGGATGAGGACTGAGAATGGACCTTTGGCTTCAGCAACATGGAGGTCAAGGTGATCTTGACAAGAGCAGTTAGTTGAGTTCAAGGATTCTAGTCTGATGAGAGTGGAATCAAAAGAAAGTGGGAAGCAATGAATTAATGACAGCAAGTGACATCTTTCAGAGTTTTGTCTCAAATGGAAAGCAAAGAAATGTACATAAGCTGGAGGAAGAAGGGTCATGAGAGTGATCTTCAGATGAGAGAAATTATATAAGCTTGTTGAGTGATGGGAATGATCCAATACAAAGCCAACAGCTGGCAACGTAGGAGAGAGAGGGTAGAATCCCTAACAAAGCTGAGACCTCGTGCACTAGAGAGAAAGGTGGTGTTACTTTGCGAAAGAGGCAAGAAGGCAGAAGTGAAGGTGCAAAGAAAGGTGGATGAGTAAAGGTGGCAGTGACTGTCTTTGGAACTTATCTGGTTACTTAAATTTTTCCAGTAAAGGTAGAAGCTGAGAGAGAGAATGGGGTAAGAGATATGGGGAATTGAGAAGAGAAGAGAAGAGAAGAGAAGAGAAGAGAAGAGAAGAGAAGAGAAGAGAAGAGAAGAGAAGAGAAGAGAAGAGAAGGTGTGACATGGCCATTTAGAGAACATGAGAGAGGAGGGACATGCAACGGCACTGCCAGGCAGCATGAAGGGCCTCAGGTTTTCACAGCCATGAAGTTGAAGCCAGACATGCGGCCGTGGTGTGTGCTTCCCTGCAGGCATGTTCAGCTGCACCAAAGTAGGCAAGGAGTAGGCAGATTTGATTTCACCAGGGTTGTGGGTTGCCAAGCTAGGAGGAGAGAGGAGCAAGGTGGTGTTGATAGTGACTGACCACGAGATTGGAGCTGGGAAAGTGGGGGTGAGGAATAGTAGAAAGGAGGATTTCTGCTTCCAACAAAGATGGAGTAACAGGAATCAGAGCTACCCTCCCATCTTAAAGAACTAAATAACTGGTTCTCTCTCTCTCTCTCTCTCTCTCTGTGTGTGTGTGTGTGTGTACACATATGTACAGGACCCAGTGATCTCCCTGAGTTTAGAAGATGGAGCTGGGAATCTGGGGAGGCTACAGCGGTAGAATCCCAGAGAGGTCCACTGCATAGATAGAGAACTCTAGAAGACTGAAAGAGGCACAGAGAGCTAGAGGGCCACAGAGAGACACAGAGGGCCACAGAGAGTCACAGAGGGTTACAGAGGACTGCAGAGGGCCACAGAGGGCCTCGTGGAGCTGCAGAGGGCCGGAGAGGGCTGCAGAGATCCACAGACGGCCACAGAGGGCCCAGAGTCCTCTATAGGTCTTCAGCAGAGCATACTTGAGTGTGAGGCAAGTGGGCAAGGCTGAAGAAGAACCATCAGAAAGGAGAGGAGGGGACAGCCTGCAGCACTCATGCAGGTAAAACAGCGAGTGTTTTACCACTGCTCTTCTGCAAAGCCTCCTAACACACAGGCATCAGTAGAGTACTCAGAAGGTTATTATCTCAACAGAGGGGCAAAATCGGGCTACTCTGGCCTTATTGAGCAAAACTTAAAAGCAAGATCCTAAAAGATCAAAAATTGTTTTCTTATTTTTTTTTTTAAGACAGGGTCTCACTTTGTTGCTTAGGCTGGATTTGAACTCCTGGGCTTAAGCAATCCACCTGTCTCGGCCTTACAAGCAGCTGGGACTACAGGCTCTCATCACAGCACCCAGCCTCTGTCCCCTTACCTACATCCCAGAACAAAGCTTTAATTTTTTTGTATTAAAATAATATAAAAATATTCAGGACCAACAAGGTGAAATGTGGTAGGATCAATGGGATGAATATCCTAGTAGGCTTGCAGGATTGCTGGCCTTAGAATTCTAGAGAAAGTAAACTAGAAATATGGTCAGAAAGGGAAGTCCTTAAAAGTAAGATAGTAGCAGAGCTGTAGTTATTGCTAATGACATCTCAAATCAATGATAAAAGTGAGTGGAGGATAGGATGGGTGAAGAATCAGGGTTCAATAACTGAGAGGCCAGGTTCTACAAAGAATCATGTGTGCACACACTGAAACTATTAAGAATGAAGATAGATGCAATATTGGAGAGAATGACAGCAAGCCAGGATCATTAATCATCTAGAACAGCATCATCCATTACAACAGTCATTAGCTGTGCATGGCTATTTCCATTTTAATTTTTAAACTTTAACTGCTGTTAAATAAAGTTTAAAAAAATACGTCCTTAGTTGCAGCAGCTAGATTTCAAGTGCTCAGTAGCCACACGAGGCAGGTGGCTATCATTTTGCACAAGCAGTTATGGAATCTTTCTATCATGGCACGAAGTTCTATTGAACAGCGCTGGCCTGCGTTTGGGGAAATAAGTTGGAAGAGGACAGAAAGGCAGCAGCAACTGAGGATACCCTCTTTGGGATCAGTGTGGGCCAGAGGCTTGGGCCTAAAAACCAAAAAATCCTCTCCTTTTCTCCTCCTGTTGCCTATCTAGTCCCCACAGCAGCAAGAAATGAAGCTGGAGGTCAGATGTGGTCAATCCAGAAATAGCTCCCTTCTTGAATATGTTGGTGGGGTTATCCCAGCCTGAACCTTTCATTTATTTTGAGCTTGAGCTGCCTTAGACTGTGCCATTTTTAATGGAATATTTCTTGGGCTTCATATCTTTAAGCATCTCAATTGCTCTATATTTCTGGTGCACTTTTGAACCAGATTCGCTCTCTCCCAGTTTAGGAAGGAGTGAGTGTTAAACAGTCCTGGCTTTATTGGCAGGGCTAAGGCACCCTGCACTCTGCACCGTGGGCATTATGATGACATAAAGACTATGAAGTTAAAACCCAGAGTGGCTTCCATCCAAGATCCTTGTGAAACGATGGTGCTATGAGGGAACCAAAGATTGAGCAATTTGAACAATTGAAATTAGACTGAACAATTTAACGCAGGAGTTAATTTTCTTAAATGAAAGAAGAGAGGATAAATTTGGAATTGTTTTGCAAAGAAAAGACAGGCCATGGTTACTGTCAGAGATAGGAATCCAACATGGAGCCTCACTCCTTGGAGCTGAGACTGGCTGAGCAGAAGGACCAGAACCCCCAGCCTCTGCTTACAGCTCCCCTAGCATCCTTCTCTCGGGTTCTGTGGACCACCCCCAAATATGACCTCTGAGGAGCAGACCTTGGCTCAAGGAATGCTTTGAGTTCCCCAAGAAATAGAAGTTTTAAAAAATATTATGTTAAATATTTTGTTTTAAAAAAAACAACATAGAAGCTGCCCCTTGTCCTCAGAGATGGCACGAACTTTAGTTCTATACATGAGAACTACAACTTGGGGAGGTGGAAGTGCTTCCTGGGTCCAGGAACCAAGAAATAGGGCACAAGCAGAATTGAGCTAGTTGGGTTAGTACCCCAGGCAAGAACAGGGTTATGAGGATATCTGGGTAAAATATGGGACATCTGACCCCCAGAACACGCTGGACAACACAACCAACACTGAGGCTGACTTTACTAAGCTGGGAGCTGCTGACTGATCTTCTCGTGGCCTGGGATGGGTGCTCCCAGTGCCTGGGGAAGAGCCAGTCCTGAGTATGGCAGCTCAGCAGGTGGATGAGGTAAGTGTGGGGACCAGTAGACCTTCCTTTCAGACAGAGAGGTAGATGGATAAACTCCAGGGAGGGGTGCCTGCCTGAATAAAAATATGAAACCTGGAATGGGTAAGAAATTAGCTTAGGTTCACACGGAATCAACCCAAATGCCCATCAATGATAGAATGGATTAAAAAATGTGGTGCATATACACCATGGAATATTATGCAGCCATAAAGAGGAAAGAGGTCATGTCCTTTGCAGGGATGTGGATGGAGCTAGAAGCCATCATCCTCAGCAAACTAACACAAGAACAGAAAACCACACACTGCATGTTCTCACCCATAAGTGGGAGCTGCCTCTCTACCCTGAATGCAAGAGACCCTCATAGTTAGACAATATCATTGCCCCTATTCAGCCTGAAGAAGTTACAGAAGATGGATCTTTGTCCCTCTGCAACCCTTAGGATTAAGGGCTCTCTTATAAAAGGGAATGTTAGAGGCATGTGAACCAGAGCAACTTCATCTTAAACAGGAGCTGGGTAATATGAAGCTGAAACCTACAGGGCTGCATTCCCAGACGGTTAAGGAATTCTAAGTCACAGGATTAGACAGGAGGTCGGCACAAAATACAGATCATAAAGACCTTGCTTATTAAAAAAAAAAAAGAAAAAAGAAAAAAAATTAGCCAGCCAAAACCCACCAAAACCAAGATGGCGACGAGAGTGACCTCTGGCCATCCTCACTGCTACACTCCAACCAGCGCCATGACAGTTTACATATGCCATGGCAATGTCAGGAAGTTACCCTATATGGTCTAAAAAGGGGAGGCATAAATAATCCACCCCTTGTTTAGCAGATAATCAAGAAATAACCATAAAAATAGGCAACCAGTAGCTCTAGGGGTTGCTCTGTTTACGGAGTAGCCATTCCTTTATTCCTTTACATTTTTTTTTTTTTTTTGAGTCTCACTCTGTCACCCAGGCTGGAGTGCAGTGGCATGATCTAGGCTCACTGCAACCTCGCCTCCTGGGGTCAAACAATGCTCTGCCTCAGCCTCCCGAGTAGCTGGAATTACAGGCGACTGCCACCACGCCCAGCTAATTTTTTTTTCTTTTCTTTTTTTTTTTTTTTTTTGTACTTTTAGTAGAGACGGGGTTTTGTTTCCATGTTAGCCAGGCTGCTCTTAAACTCCTGACCTCGTGATCCACCCCCCTCAGCCTCCCAAAGTGCTGGGGTTACAGGCGTAAGCCACTGTGCCTGGCCTAGTTTCTTAATAACCTTGCTTTCACTTTGCAAAAAAATAAATAATAATAATAAATGGGAGCTGAACAATGAGAACACATGAACACAGGGAGGGGAACAACACACACTGGGGCCTGTCGTGGGGCAGGGGTAGAGACAGCATCAGGATAACTAGCTAATGAATGCAGTGCTAAATACCTAGGTGATGGGTTGATAGGTGCAGTAAACAACCATGGCACGTTTACCTACGTAACAAACCTGCACATCCTGCACATGTATCCCGGAACTTATAATAAAATTTAAAAAAATAAAATAGCTTGGGTTCATCGGTGGTTTCTACAAGGAACCAGAGTCCCACTGTCTTTGCGTGGATCACTTACTAACCTTGATACTCAGAGCTAGGGCAACAGCATCTTTAGAAACAAAAAACAAGGAAAATGGCTCAAAATGTGATTCACTTTTTTTTCCCAGGCCCTCTTTCCTCTCCAAGTGCTTGCATTTTGCCTCCATCTTTTCTCTTCCCCATTGTTGGATATTTTCACCGTGCTCATCTCAGCACTGATGGAGAGAGGAAGGAAGAAGGGCTGTCTGGCCATGCCCAGCCATCCCCACCGGGAGAGGATGCCCAAGGAGGAAGCTTCCAGGCAAGCTTTCTGGGAGCTGGAGGAGTTAGAAGATGAGGTTCTTCATCTTCATATGTTCCCTGCAGGCTCAAGGTACTGCTCGCTGCTTGCAGGAGGGACAGGGAAGCCTGAACACCACGATAACCCCAATTGGGGTTATCCGGCAGCTGCCCCACACCCTGGACATGCCGACAAGGAAAAGAAACACCGGGAATGTGTCTCCCCTTAGTCCTGCCTCTGACCTAACCTGCTGTTGGTCAGAGTTAGAGGCTGTGCACATAACCAGCTTCTCCATCAGGCCTGAGCTGGGGGTCGCTTGAGACTTTATCCAGCTCATTGCTCGCGCCTTGGCGGAGCCGGCCATTGTTAGCTCTGCCAGGGCCTCCGGCTGAGGCCGAGCCGGTAGGGAGCTTGTGCCTGTGCGGCCGAATGAACCCTGAAACGGCACCCTCTGCTGCCCTCTACTGTCAAATCGGCTTAATTGCAGACGGCCTAAGCGGCTGCTTCAAAAGGGAACTAGAAGAGGGTCCTACATTCAGACACGATTTTGCTTCCACCTGCTTTTATGAATTTTGCATCATTTTATTGGCATAGATAACCTAAATGAAAACATTTTACTTAAGCAAACCTCAATGACATTCCCTAGGACCCAGGGTTTGCCTTTGACCTAGGGCACAAACGTCTTCCTTCTCAGTGTCTGGCAGAGGGTCTAGCAGCAGCAGGCCTGGCTGATGGTGCGCTGTGAAGCTTTCGCTGATGTGCTTAGTAAGTGCCGGGGCACACATTCTCATTTAAAGCGCCTGCAAATCTGTGCAATAGAAAAACACATCCAGTAGCCAGAAAACGTGTGAGCCCTGATCTGAACTTAGGTCTCCTTCGAGGGCTTCCAGTTTTTTTGTGCAGAGTCGCTGGACTCATCTGGAACGCTACTTGATTAAAGTTTGGGAATTTCTGATCCTCCCAGAAAGCAGATCAACCACCAACTAAGGCTTCAGGCTCTATGGACCACAGGCACCACCGCTTCCTCCTTAACAGCTGGTGGGTGGCTAGGCAGACCCACTCCACCACACTTATGTGGGACCACCAGCCTGGCATTTGGTTGCTTGGCCCAAATATCAGGGCTTGTTCCATCCACAAAGACACACTGCAGCCCTGCTACATGCCAGGCACTTCTCTGGGAGCAGGGATGGGACAGCAGTCAGAGACGCGAACTCTACCCCCTAGGGTGCTGGCAGCTTTTTCGCCAGCTCTTCAGATGCTTCCGTATGGTGGAACCACATAGCGCTCAGACAGCTTGGCCGTCAGGTGGTTTATCTATAGCCCTAAAGAGAAAAACACACCCATTGTCCACAGAGCTCACTACAGACAGTCCAGGAAGTGCTCCCTGGCATGCCTGCTTTCTGGGCAGTTTGCACAGTTGATCCCGTTCCCCTCAGGTGGAGAAGCTTCAGGGTCTAGGGGAATGAGGCAGAGCAACAGTGGAAGGTCAGGGGACAGTGAAGTGGGGTCACTCCCAGGTGCTGAGCTCTGGCAGCCACTGGCACCAGAAGGACAGACAGTAAAATAAGTGATATTTCCCAAGCATACAGAGAGTTATTAATTAGAGTTAGCTATTTACCAGCTAAGTGCTGAAAGGGTCCATGGTAATTAAAAGAGCTAATCAGATTTTCAAAGGGCACCAACACCATGTAAACATAAGGGGATTCTACGTGCTGTTCTCGGCATGTCATTTGAAGCTGTTGGGGTGAGGGGTTGTGGCTGTTGACTCTTCTAGTAGAGAAAGCACCACCCTGTTGGCTGCTCACCCCTAGAGAAGGATGGAGGGACCTAGAATTAATGCCAGGGCCTCCCAACAGGTGCTGCACACACATTTGCACTGTTGTTTGTAAGTATATACAGCTCTTCTGGCTTCTGATTTTGTTTTAGCTTTAATTATCCAAAGTGCTACTAAGTTAATATCAATGTTTTTCTATTGCCTTTTTCTCTATCAGTGGTTACGAAACATGTGTCCATCACGTGTTGTTTGCCTTTAGATCCATTTCACAACCGCCCCCTGCAAACGCTGTTTTCCAGGCTCTCTTGCCTACTGGCTTCCATTTAGGTTCATCCAACGGGAAGTGATGTCAAGAGATGGAGGTGAGAGGAAGAGGGAAGTGAGAGCATTTCTCTCCTCACCCTGACCCTTCACCTCTGATTGGAGTCCCTGGTGGGAGCGGCCCCTCCTGGACCGGCTGGGTGTCAACTCCAGCTCTAGCCAGGTGACCCTTCCTTAGACCCGGTTGCCACTGCGAGACTCAACTCCAAGTTCTATCTTGGCTTCTCCAGATTTAATCTTAAGAGCAGCTGCAGCTAATTTCTGAGGTTTGAAAATAACAGTAATTCACATAAGCAGGTTAATGAAATACAGGAAATGTATCACTTTGTAAATTCTTACAGTGTCCTATTTTAGGATCCCTGGAAGCAGAATCTGAAACAAGTCTTTGTGTGAAGATTTATTAGAAAGTGTTCCCAGAACAACAACAACAAAAAGAGGCAAGACAGTGGAAAGGTGGGACTGGGGAGTGAAAAAAGTGAGCCAGGAACCACGTGGGTGCTTCTGGCTTCCTCCTGCTAGGGAGTTCTGAGACAGAGTCAGGGCTGGTCACACCCCAGAGAGGCCGCACTGGCGATGAAGGAGCTGGAATATTCATATTCTGCAAGTAGTAAAGGGTTAACCTTGCCCAAAGAAAGGTGTGGCCCTGGCACAGCTCCTGGAAGGCAGCCTCTAAGTCCTTTAATCTCTAATGTCCTGTCTGATAAGTGTCTGTTTACCGAGGCCTTAGGCCACACCAGGTAGTTGATGCTAAGGATAGGATTCACAGTGGAGGTCTTGTATCAGCTTGATCTGTCAAGGGGCTGGAGACCAGGTCAGCCATGTAGATTGTCCATCATGTTTACGTGACCAAGCCTTCAATAAAAACCCTGGACGCCAAGGCTCAGGTCAGTGTCCCTGGTCAGCAATATTCCATGCATGCTGCCCCATGTCATTACTGGGAGAACTAAGCACTGCTGCAGAGCCCCACTAGGAGAGGACACTGGAGCACCACAGCTAGAGCTCTCCTGGGACCCACCCTAGGTGCATCTTCCCACTGCTGACTTCGACTTGCTGTGTAGTGTTGGAACCATGTGTAGTAAGAGGTAATCGTGAATCTGGTGACCTTTCTGGTTCCTATGAGTTCTCTTGAATCATTGAACCTGAGGGATGTCTTGCGTCCCTTGCATCCACCCATCACTGGGTAAGGACTGTCTCAGGCCCCCATGCAAGCAGGGTGAGCACAAGGGCTCCAGCAGCCTTGGGACAGCTGCTCACAGAGAGAAGCTGGCACTGGCTGTGGGGGTCATAGCGGCACCCAGGAACAGCATGCACAGATGGGGAAAGGTACCCCAGGGATGCATGGGGCACTGACAGGGCTGGAGGTCAATGTGAGGGCTTCAGTTCCCAAAGCCCCTGTTCTTCCCAGCATCTGGGTGTGGTATCAAGAATTACTTTGGCAAACTGATATGAAGATATTGGTAAACACGAGAACATCTCTCATCATTAATGAGTCATCATATGCTGTTACATAATCAGGCCCCAACCCCTCCGACCAGTGGTTAGAAGCAGAACAAGCTGTTGTGAACTATACATCTAATGCTAATTAGTATGGCTTTAGAGCAGTGCTTCTAGGGCTGCAGCAAGCCCTGGAGTCCCCTGGAGGGCTGTGGGCACACAAGGGTGGAGCCCACCCTCTGAGTCTCTGATTTAGCAGGTCTGGGGAAGGACCTGAGCATTTGCACTTCCAGCTCCTGGGTGACGCTGCTGACAGCCCAGCACACGCTTGGAGAAGACAACTTTAAAGGTGCAGCCATGGGGCGAGCTTGCCAGGGGCCAGTTCTCCATTCTGGTGAGGAAGACGGTGAGCAAAGGGTAACAGGGAAGGTAAATGGCCAAGAGGGCAGGAAGGGCTAGAGGTGGACATGGGTAGGGACACGAGTAGAGGACAAAATGCCCACGTCTCCAACTCCCCAGGGGAACAATTCCCAGGTGTGGTCCACGTGGTTTCTTAGACTTTGGCAGGCCTAAGCCCCCATGCCCACACAGGCTTTTTCCACAGAAGTGGATCTTGATGTGGCACAAAGAGGAAGTGCTGCTAAGAAAAAGGGAATTGAGTTCTGCTTGGTGTGGATCCTCCCAAAGTGGATCCAGAGACAAGGGCTTGGGTGCAGGCAGCTTATGTGGAAGGTGGTCCCAGGAAGCACAAATGAGGGAGTAGGGAAGTGAATGGAGGAGGCAAGGAAAAAGATAATGGAGGCGTCAAGGGCAGGTTACCCGTGTGAGCATCCAAACTCAATTCTCTGGGCTGGGGGTCTTGCCTGTGCTCCCCTTTCTAGGTAAGTACATTCACAGTGAAGCAGGCTCCTGTGATGGGGAAGCCCTCAGGCAGAGACAAGGGCTTGAATGGGAAGTTGTCAATTTACAGCAATCTGCCCCTCATGGCTGAAGATGAACACAGGTAGGCTGAGGGGATACAGGATGGGGCACCAACAATTTATCTGAGGGGTTTGATCAACATGTCATAAAGTGAAAAGAATCATGTCTGTTTTGCAATGAGATGCTTGTCACCCTTGAAGCACTGACAGAAGAGGGTGCCCACTGCCACCCAGACAGTGACTGCCCAGGATTCTGATGCAGAGAAAATCACATGCTTAACAGCAGAGAAATGCCACCTACCATTTAAAACAGGCCCTGACCCCATTCAGGAGGATGAGTAACAGTGAGCGAGGGCACATCCACTGCAAGAAGATGAATTCACAAACTCTAACACCCATGTCCCCTTGCCCAAAATTTAGCTCCAAAAATGATAAAGAAACACATTATTTTAAAACCACCTTACGTTTGACCTTGTCGTGAGTTCAAACTATGCAAACAAGTAAAGGAAATCATTGCAGATTGGGATACACGATGTGAAACAAATAAACAGGACAACATGATAGAAAGTAAAGTAAATTGCAGTGAGGGTGGGGTGAGTGGGTGCATTAGCTATGATTTTCAATGAGAGCCTCTGATAAAGTAACATTTGCTTTTTGTTCCCATGTTACCTGAGAGGGCAACAGAAAGTTTGAGGGATGAGAAAGTGGCAGCCACATGGAGCTCCAGGGAAGGAATATTTAAAGCAGAAGGAAAGCAAGTGCCAAGGCCCTGGGGTAAGAAAGAGGTGGGAGTCTTAGAACATGAAGGACGTGTGGCCGGGCGTGGTGACTCACACCTGTAATCCAGCACTTTGGGAGGCCAAGGCGGGTGTATCACGAGGTCAGGAGATCGAGACCACAGTGAAACCCCATCTCTACTAAAAATACAAAAAATTAGCCAGGCACAGTGGTGGGCGCCTGTAGTCCCAGCTACTCAAGAGGCTGAGGCAGGAGAATGACGTGAACCTGGGAGGTGGAGCTTGCAGTGAACCGAGATGGCACCACTGCACTCCAGCCTGGGCGACAGAGTGAGACTCTGTCTCAAAAAAAAAAAAAAAAGAACATCAAGAAGGATGCCAGGGAGTGGGACGCCTCATGCAGGAGGGAAAGGGATATGAAATATGTTTGAAGGAGTAGGCAAGATGTCCAAAATCCCGGAAACTACACTAGGTATTTCAAGCAGAGAGAACTTAATATGGGGGTTTGTGGCACAGGTGAATGAAGAGTTGAGGAGTCAAACAAGAAGTAGAGACAAAATCCAGATATGAGCAACACCAGGAAACTGATCTCACCCCTAGGCCAGGGGGGCAAAAGGAGAATGCATGTGGGGCTCTCTGAGCCCAAGGTCTCTGTGCCCTCCCAGCCAGGCACAATGGGAGCACAGAGAGAGACTGCCTTGTGCTGGAGCTAAAATCATGGATGAAGCCATGAGAAACAGGAAGAAGAGGCTGGCACATCCAGGCTTCTCTCCTCCTCCCAGCAGCCAATCTCCGGCCAGTGCCTCCCATTGGCTGAATCTACCAGGAAGCGAGAGCGCAAGGCCTCCCGGGAAATGTAGTTCCCTTCGCTGCAGCGCATGGGCACAGCTGGGGAGTGGTACCCTATGTGCCATTTAGATGTCATTTCTGCTGTATTCCCCGCAGTTAGCCCTCTGTGCAATGGTCAGATTAGGTGCTTAAGAAACCTTTGCTGAATTATCAACTACTCATGAAACGAGAAAAATCCAAACAAGTGATGCTAAGGACTTTAGTCCTATTACCCCAAATCCATATAAAGTTCTTCATCCTCAGCAAGACTACCTGATTGTATGCAGTTCACCTGATTAATCAAAGTGTGCTTATATCGCTGATGATGGAGAGCTGTAAGCTTCTCCACAGCATTTTCTCAGCCACTTACGTATAGATGGTATTCACATTTAGTCTTGCATGTCTAAAAGCTGGACGAAGTCCCCCACAGCAATAGGACAAGGTATGCCACAGGTGCCCTCCAATCCAGCTGGTGAAGTCAAAACTAACTTCCTGCAAAAGAGAATCAGTCCACACTGCGATGATAAACTGGTCCAGGACCGGCTGGTTATCACACGGAGTTTGGAATCCATTAATACTGAATGTTCTTATATTCCCTCTTCCCGTCCTTCTTCCAGACATTGCCCTCCATCTCTCTGATGGTTCATATGTGGTAGCCAGCGTGTACAGGATATGGCTTCATTTCCTGCTGTGATCTCCTCTGCGATTTCAAAAAGGTTAATTCGTTACTTGGTAGAAAATGTGAAATTCAACAAAAATATTGCCTTTCTTACTAAGCAAACTAAGCCTGGTCTAGCTGGGGATGTGATGTAACAATTCTCTTGGTGGTCTGCCCTCAAACCGTCAGGTTTCCATAGCCCTAACAATGTGGCCGTGGATCATGGGGGAGCTAGCATTGCCTCCAGGGTGATGTCACAATTCCCAAATCCTTGCACTAGGTGGGGCCAGCCTCCTGTTGTGTAGACTCATCAACTATACCAGTCCTCTGTTCCTGGTCTCTGGAGCTTCAATTTGGGAAAGTGACCCATTAGCTTCTGAGGACCAGGGTGAGAGAGGGCAAACTTGAATGCCCTTCACAATGGAGAGATGTGTGCAGACCGGACAGACATCAGTTCCTTTATCAGTGCACAGGTAGCTGCAATGTAAGTGGCTAGTGTGCAGGAACAGCCAGGGAGCTGAAGGATAAACACTTTGGCTTCATTCTCCTGGAGGGGACAGTTCTGAGTCCTCATGCCCCCGCCCCCCTCCTTCAGAGACCACACCTCGGCTGCTCACAGCAATGGCTGCCCATCAACTCACCCTTCAATGCTTCCACCCCCACACTTCCGGTCCCTCTTCCTCACTCTCTTACAGATGCTTCCTGGAATCCTCTCTCAAATAAACTGCTTGCCTCCAAATCCTTGTCTCAGGCCTGCATGTGGAGAGATAAAACCCAGACAAAGAGGCAGACATGAGCAGATGAGCTCCCCCGAACAGGAGACAAGTGGGCTGAGAGGTGAAGGAAGAGGATGAGGTAAGAGAGTGGGGATGGGGAGAGCGGTCTAGGCAGGAATGCACATGCAAGGGTTCTGAGCACGCACAGCCTCGTGGAATCCCCAGGCCTGCCCGGTTCCATTTGGAAGGAGGACACCTCAGGGTTTCCAGTGCTGTGTGGCGCTGTTGGCATTTGAGGCTCACTCTTTGCCGTGGGGGGGCTGCCCTATCACTGTAGAGTGGTAAGAAGCATTCCTGGCCTCTACCCACTAGACACCAGAAAGATCCCCCAGTTGTGACAACCAGAAATGTCCCCAGACACTGTAAAATGTCCTCTGAGGGGCAATGTTGCTTCCTGTGGAACTGGGGTACAGGGCTCTGAAAAGATGAGGAGGGAGAGGTGGCCACTGCCAGTGTCCCCCTTCCTTTGCACATCCATGGACACGTCCCTTGCCAGGTCCTCCTTAAGGCCGACGTCTGGCCAGGCTGCCTGTCCCTTGGCCTGCTGAGATTGGCCGAGATGGGAGGGCTTGTTGGCTCAGTTGCTTTTCAGAGGCCCGACCGGTGGACATTCTTGCCTTTGACCACTAGATGGACCCATTGCAATGCTGTACACAGGAGAAGAGGGGTAGCCAGAAAGGTTCCAGTTTTACCCAGATGGAGAATTTGGTGTTTGAGGCATTTTCTAGTTGAATTCCCCTGACCCCTTCTATCCCTGGAACCCAAAATGTTGTATTGCTCCCAAGTGTGTTCATGAGTGCCGCTGCGTGGAGAGGCAGCCAGGGCTTGGCCGTGAGCTCCTGCAAGCTCACCTTGGGCAGATGTGAGTTCCAGCACCATCGCTTCTTCCCTGTCTGTAAAGTCGGGGTAAACAAAATGCTTATTTCACAGGGCAGCCACGAACGCTCAATGAGACATGACAAGTCAAGTGTGGAGCCCAGGCCCTTCACCCAGAGGAGCTCAAAAAATATTAGCAGCCGTTACCATTGGAGCCTCTGCCTCCTAAACCTGCCTCAATATCTATGGAGGGTGGGAGCAGAGTCACTTTTCCTCACTGGACCTCAGTTTACTCCTCAGAAAGACAGCAGTGATGATGCCCTCTCAAGATATCCTCTAACTCCAGAATCCCTGTCTCTATTGATCGTGTAGGATGAGGCAGTCCAAGTTAAAACAAACACTTTGTTCTTAGTATCTCATTTCATTTTCATAAAAGCCTTAGAGGACACACGCTTTTCTTATCCTCATCTTACATAAAGGTAAACCAAGGCACAGAGGGCTCAAAAGGTGAGGAGGGATTCAAACCTGGCTGTCTAGACCCATTGCCCACATGGCTAACCACCCCATAACCTGCAAGGAAAAATGATCGTTGTCATTCCTTCTGCAAAAGAAGGATGGCTGCTTGTTTCACAAAGGTTAAAGTTATTTAGCAAGGGGAGCTCAAAGGGCTTTGACTGCATTGCAGCCTGGGAGTCAGAGCAGGAATGGAAAACAACCATGAGCCGGCATTGTGTCCGGACCCTTCCAGGGGTTCCTTGAAAGGGGCTATTTTCCTTTTATTCCTATGCAGGGGTTGGCAAACTTTTTCTGTAAAAGGCCAGAGAATAAATAGTTTAGGCTCTGCAGGCCATATGGTCTCTGTCATAACTACTCAACTCTGTCATTGTAGCACAAAAGCAGTAATGGACAAAATGAAAACAAATGGGAGTGGCTGTGTACCAATAAACCTTTATTTATTAAAGGCAGGCAGTGGCCTAGATTTGGCCTCCTGGCCACAGTTTGCCAGTCCCTGAATTAATGCAGCACTTTACCCCAAACTTGTACTGAAGTTTTAGTTGCGCCTCATCTGGCCAAAAGCATTGCCCACTAAACGTGGACTGTGTCCCCAGTGTGGGATTCCTAAGTGGCCAAAGACGAAAAGCATTTGGTTTTTATTGATAAGGTGTTTCTAAGTGGAATATGTCAGAATGTGTCAGGCTCTAATGAGTGTCTGGGAAACAGAGCCTAGGCAGGCACACGGGGAATGTGCTGGCTTTTTACCTCTGGGTCTGTCCCAGAGAGCCTGCAGGCAGTCCACACAGGGGACACGGTTTCTCTGCCCAACTCTGAAAGTACACGACATGAAACATGTGAATGATACTTTCTCACATCACACTAAGTCAACCTGCAGAAGCTTGCACTGCATGTGCTGGTGCATGCCCGGGGAGGCAGCTGCTGGCTGGGACCGACTTTGCCCTGTGCAGAGATGGGAAGGTCTGTCTAGAGTGCCTGCATAGCTGCTTCTGGTGCCCCACACGGTCCCTGTCTATTTACTGCTAGGGAAGAATCCTGGTTCTGCTTCTGTGACAAGTTGTATGAATTGCCCCAATCCAGCCAATTGCAGTGTTAAGACTCAGCAGTGGGTAGCCACAGGTGGATTCTCTCTTGTAATTCTACATGGGTCCTCACCAAACCTGAGAAAGTATCAACTGCTTGTAAGGAAAAAGACATCAGGGAATTATCAACATATCTCATAAACCTGTACAACTCCAGGAAGAATCACCTAGTGAATGTAGCTCTTAACCAAGAGCAACATACAACTTTGCACACTTATTAAACCCTATAAAACCAACAAATTCA
Source organism: Homo sapiens (assembly GCF_000001405.40). NCBI lineage: Eukaryota > Metazoa > Chordata > Mammalia > Primates > Hominidae > Homo > Homo sapiens. The sequence continues at coordinate 22,682,168 of NC_000020.11, read as the reverse complement.
AATTATCAGCATTAGTTTAACATGATAGATGGCGTTTTGGGTGAAACTAAATTGTCCATGTTGAATAGTAGAAAGATGTCTTGGCTGCATGCTTTCCTGATGGACCAGCTTTGGTGACATCATCATCATCATTTTCAGTAATTTTCCTGAAAATAGTGAACTCATTTTAACTACAGTTTCATTATGTTGATGGAGAAATCACTTCTAATTGTGCATTACAGAACAGAGTACTCCAGAAAGCAAAAGACTACCAGAGAATGATAAAAATTTTCTTTCATATTCTCTGTGTTGCAAGAGGCCAGTTGCAAGGTGGCACATATACAGCCTGAGAAAGCTATTGGCTCAGAAAAAGGGTAGTATCTTAGCTGCTGCCAGCCACTTGGGAATTGATGAGCCAGTGAGATTCAGTTCTTGCTGCTTCCCTCTTGTTGATGCATTATAAGACTTCCCACATAGGCAGCTCCTGGCCAACTTGGTGACAAAGACGTAAAGGCCTTTGCAGCTGCGCAGCTCTGCTGTTGGGCAGCCTTGCTAGCCAGCGTGTGCCAAGTCTTCAGGAAAATGGAAATGGAAATTGTTGAGATTCTCATTTGAACTTGAGGATCCCCAAGAGTACAACACATTTTGTCCTATAAGTACAGAGGAAGGTGGCTTTTCCATGCAACAGGTTTCTTATTTAAGCAGTAACTGTTTTTTCTTAAATGCTTAGGTTGCCACTTGTAAAATTTTTACTTCACGTTCATAGTTCAAGGAATGTTGACTAGTTTGCATTCTGATTTTCTACCATTGTTTCATGTTAGTCTTTTTCCTAAAAATGATTTTATAACATCGACAGAGCCAATTGTTTACCAAAGAAACAGTTTGCTGACTTTGTTATGTGAGTGGGAAATAATATTTAGTGTGTAGAAATTAGGTATTAATTTGTCCAGAAAGTATATTATTTTTCAAAATTCACTTATATCTGTAACTTTTGGGGTTTTTTTGTGTGTTTGTATTCATCTTTGGGGTCATGGAAGCAAGCAATTCTATGGGTAAAACAATATGGAATTATTTCTGTATGTCAAACATAGTGGCAAATGTATTAACATATGATTCAGTCTGATAGAATACACTCATATCATCAGCTTTACTGATATGATGCACAGGCATGCTCATTAAAAAAAAAAAAAATCCCAAACCAGATTTCAAATCTAAAAGCTAAATGTGAAGCTTCTTATTCAGAAAACAAAATTGCAAAGCTGGCAGTGTCATGGGTCATGGGGAGAGACAGAGCTGGCAGTGTGACCGATAATTAGAGGCAGCTCAGGGTCCCCGAGCAGGAGCCTCTTCCCCAGTGGATGATGAAAGATGCCGGGAACAACACCTTTGGTGACTCCTGTCCTTATCACCATGTTTTTGGAAGATGTAGCAGAGAAAATTTGCCAGCATGATTTGGTTCTCTCACTTCCTAGCTTTAAGTTTGAGCCTCTGCTGGAGCTTTGGTGGGAAGAGGTGAAGAGGCCTCTGGGTCAAAATTTCCTCTACTTTGCAATTTCCCTCAAGTGTGAACCTCTGAGCAGGTCGAGGGTCCATTATGGACGATGGCCGTACGCAGAGATGACAGCAAGGAGAAAATGACCCAGCAGGGAAAGAATTAAAAGAATGTCACCTTTGTTTGCTCTGGCTCACTTTTTTAATACACCAGTCACCTTGACATTTCTAAAGGAATTTTTCAAGAGCCTGCGTTTAAAAAGTATGCAACTTGTCCAAATAAAATGTTCAGAATCACCAGGTGGGCCCCCTAAATTTTGGCTGTGCTATTCCTCTCACAAAGGTGTGACTTCAATCTCGTTTAACCAAAAGGTATCTATACTTTTGCTGGTGAGAAAGTATTTTCCATTTCAGGTGACCGAGTCTGGGATACCCAGCCTTTGCCGAATGTCAACACTGTTTGGGGCTTCTGATGGTTGCTCAGTGACCCTAGATAAGCACATTCATGCTTAGCAATTCCAAGGTTTTTACTTCCAAGCTTGGGACAATACAAATCATTAACATGTTCTGTTCTCAAGAAAAGGACTTCTTCGTTTAACAAATAACATCAGATGTGAAAAGCAATGGAATCCCTCTTGGTCTTTCAGTACTGTGTTTGTGTGTGTAGAGCTGGGTTTATTACACATGCCTGTTGTGAAGTTCTATTAGACCAAACTCCATTAAAATATCCAACAGTGGCAGAATACAGCAAAGATTTATATCCACAATCTCACTAATCGAGTGTGCAGGCATAGTATAATTCAGACAGAGTATCCCTTATCTGAAATACTTGGCACCAGAAGTGTTTCAGATTTCACATTTTGGAATATACTTACTGGTTGTGTGTTGCGAATCCCAAAATCCAAACTCCAAAATCCCAAATCCAGTGAGCACTTTCTTTAGGCATCATGTTGGCCTTCAATAAGGAGCATTTCAGAGATCAAATTTTTAGATCTGCAAATTCAACCTGTACTAAATTGAGAAATGGCTCATGAGGAAGCCAACATTTGAGGGAGACTTTGAAGGAGAGGTAAGATTTTGACATGAATTGGACTTTGGAGTCAAACTGCAGCTTCCAAATTCTGGGCTCAGATCCACAAAGACAAATCTTCAGCTCAGTTCAAGATTCTGTCATTAAAAACTGTGCGGTCTTAGGGGATGTTAGGAACCATTAGAAGCCTCGGGTGGTCTCCTACAGGGCAACAGTGAGAATCAACACTGCTGATAATCCTATAATTTGGGGCTAACACATGGTAAGTACTTTACAGCACGTGTGATTGTCTCTGCTACTACTGTGCTATTTGCTATTGTCACCTCTTGTGGTAGGAGGCATTATTTGCCGTAAATCTTCATCTCTCCTGCATCCACACCCTCTCCAAGGTAAGGTGGGTGTGAGCTATTTTCTTGCCCCTTTACTTTGGGCTGGAGCATTCAACTTTGTTTCACCAATAGCCTCTAGAAGAAGGGATTGTTTTCCGGTTTTGAGCCTAGGAATCAAGAAGCCTTGTGTGTTTCCACGTTCCCTCTTATTTTTCTGCCAATGACATGAGGAGAAGTCCCCCTGGGTCACTACTGTGCTGCAGCCTTGGCTCAAAACAAGCATGGTGGAGTCGAGCCCTCCTTGCCCACCCACAGACTAGCACTGAGAGCAAAACTACCTGGGCCAAGGCAGCCTGGAGCAAAACTGCCTGGCAAAGCCCAGCCCTGACCAGCTGAACCCAGAGAACACACAGGCACATGAGCAACAGCAAATGACTGCTGGATTATGCAATTGATATGAGGATGTTTTGTTATGCAGCTATAGCTAACTGATACATTATTCCTGATAATTTCAATACCAGAGGCTGTTGAATAAGCAAAAGCCTGATGGAGGGGCTATGTAGGGTGGAAACTGGAAACAGTGGGAAAACAGGGTATGGAAAACAGAACAGTGGGAACTAAGGATTAAAAGGCATGGAGATTACGGAGTTCCCTGAGGATAAAGCTAAGGAGCCCAGGCTTTACCCATTTTACAGTGGTAGCCCCTGGAGGCTTTAAGGAGGTTGAGGTGAGCAAGAAGAAGTTTAGGAGAGGTGATAGGACTGCAGCTCCTTCTTATGCGGGCCACACAGAACAGGGCCGGCCACTTGGCACCACAGCTCCCTACACCTTCCTCCCATCAGGCCCGGAGAGGCTGGTCGGTTGGTGGTCTCCCTTCCTTTCCCTGTCCAGAGGGACAGGGAAATGCTCCCGATTTTAGCATTGATAAATACACCAAGGGGCAGTGAGGTGGCAGCCCGGACCCTCTCTCCTTCTCTGACAAATCCACTGTCCTGGACATTGTCTAGACATGGGACTGTGGCTAAACAAAAGTAACAGACACTAAACCAATGATCTGCACTTTGTCCCTATATTGTCAGCAGCTCCAGCAGCCTAAGGGCTATCCTCTGAAGCAGAGTCACAGAGCCGAGTGTAGCAAGAAAAGGCTCGGTGATGCCTGGGGAGGCGACGCCGGCAGTCAGAAGAATCCAAAGGAGCCTTGACAGCGTCACTGCAGACAAACCTGTCTCCACTGACTGCCCTACTCAGACTCTGCCTGTCTGTGGTGGCCCACTCTCCTCGGGGTGGATCGGCCTAAGAGTTTCATTAAAATCAAGGGGACGGGGATTGTGGGTAGTGTTGGGACCCAGTAAAGCCCTGGGCTTAATGGATCAGAACCAAAACCCCAGCTCCACATGGGCAGCCCTCAGTTTTCATGGGTCAGCCCTTTCTGAGAAACCCAGCCAGGGAGGAGCACAGGACCAGCAGCAGGGGATGCTTCTAAACCCATATCTCACTGGATAAGCTCATCACCTTCCAAGCCTCTGAAGAACATTTACGTTCCTATAAGTTTCTGAAGCCACGTTCAAATCGTAGCTCTACCACCAATGAGCTGCACGTTGGAGGGGAAGTGAATTCACCCCAGACCTGAGTTCCACATCCCTAGACTGGGTGAGAGGGCCTCTGCCCAGGCTCTCCATGAGGATGACCTGCACCGTGTGCCTTTAATGCACTTAGAACAGCAGGTGCCTCAGTAAACGCTCACTGCCATTCTGCGATCATTATTGCATTCACTTCCTGGGGCTGCTGCAACAAAGTACCACACCCTGGGGGCGAAAACAACAGACCCTGACCGTGCCGATGCTGGAAGTCTGAGATCAAGGTGTGGGCAGGGCTGGTTCCTTCCGAGGACTGTGAGGAAGACTGTTCCACGCCTCTCTGCAGCTCCGGGTGGTTTGCAGGCAACCTTTCCATTGCTGGCTTTGCAGACACATCACCCAGTCTCTGCCCTCATGTTCACATGGCTCTCTCCCTGTGTGTGTGTGTCTGCGTCCCAGCCTCCCCTGTTTATAAGGACATAGTGGCATTACATGACTACTATTACTCTGATAGGGCCTCATCTTAACTAACTACATCTGCAAATAACCCATTGCCACATAAGGTAGCATTCTGAAGTACTAGGGGCTAGGACATCAACATAGGAATTTGGGGAGCACATAATTCAACCCATGATAATGATTATCGTGATTATTATTAAGAATATATAACCACTGTAGGATGAAAGCAAATACTGTAAAATCCTACTCATAGGTTTGCAGGGATTAAATGGCATCACTGGAAAATTGTCTGACACAAAGAAGGGGTTCAACAAATGTTGTTTTACTTCCTCACTGTCAGCCTAAATATAGAAAGTATTTGCTCATTGGCCCGACAGACAAGTTTTGACTTCTAGTTTTATACCAGCTTTATGTATACATGCTTATATGTCGTATGTGACATTTTGTACATATAAACATTAGTTCTGCCTTCTAATGCTATTTTGAAATCACCTTTCCCTTGTTAAAGTGTTCTTTTGAAATTATATAAAATAGCTGAATAGTATTTTAAAGCCAAAATGCTACAATTTACTTGCCATGTTTTATAATTTGCTTACATTCAGATGGTGTACCATCTTGTGTTCTGTTATGAAATAGCACAACCATGCATAAATGACCCTGCCATCCTACCCCTAGAACTTTATTTACCATGAAATGCCTCCACGTACTTTCATTTGCATGTCTTGAGAACTGAACCGTAGACCCCTCTTCCCTGTCAGTGTTGACCATCGATATTTCCTCCCACATGTGGCTTCTGTTTCTGTCTCTGGGCAGATTTATTCTAACCTGCCCTCAAATCTGTAAGAAGATTGTTCATTCCCTAGGGCTAGTCCAAGTCTCCTGGCCTGGTGCTTACTTCAAATTCACCTAAATCTGGCATAAAAGCTTTCAGGACAAGGTGGATCAAACTGCGCCCTTGTGTGAGTACTCCCTGGACAGAATGTCTGGTTATCTTCGGTGTAAGTTATTTCCCATGACTCACAAATAGAAATCAGGAGAGGAGGGAGGTAGGAGGTGCAAGCCTCTGCAGCTGTCTGGAGAGTCAGCAAAAGGGAGACAGAATCTTTAGTTACTTCACATGTGTGACAATACGCCTATGTTTTGTTTTATGTTGTTTATTTCTTATGTAACATTGTTGAGTTATCAAATGAAGTGGTGTATAAAAATGTCAAATAAACAGGTTCTCTCCCTTTCTTCCTGACCACATAACTCTAAGAAGCATGGCCAGACCCGCCGGGCGCGGTGGCTCACGCGTGTGATCCCAGCACTTTGGGAGGCCAAGGAGGGCAGATCACGAGGTCAGGAGATCGAGACCATCCTGGCTAACACGGTGAAACCCCGTCTCTACTAAAAATACAAAAAATTAGCCGGGCATGGTGGCGGGCGCCGGTAGTCCCAGCTACTCGGGAGGCTGAGGCAGGAGAATGGCGTGAACCCGGGAGGCGGAGCATGCAGTGAGCCCAGATCAGGCCACTGCACTCCAGCCTGGGCTACAGAGTGAGACTCCCTCCAAAAAAAAAAAGAAAAAAGCCCGACCAGACCTATGGCTCAGTGGCGTCTATACACGGCCACATCTGAGAAAGCCAGGGATGGGTGGCCTCATCGTACCCCAAGCACAAGGCGTCATCCACGCAGCCCTGCTGGTTTGATAGCAGCAGCCCGGGAGAGCTCTAGGGATTTTCATTTGGTGGGCTTGTCTATTCTCTAGCTCACCCTCAAAAGGGGAAGTGCCCAGAAAGTCACCAGCTGAAGCAGGCTCAGAAGACCGGGGCCCATTTGCTCATTTGTTCCTTGCACAGAGTTTAGGAAGGTACCCATCCTGCAGGAAACACAACCTGGCTTCTCGAATAAATGAGTTGCAAAGAATGGAGACGGGGAGATAGGGAGAAAAGGAGGTCAGGGCAGTGGAGTGTGAGGCAAAGAGAAAGAAAGGGAGAGAGTTGGGGAGGACACCTGCCAGTTAAAGGAGATTGAAAACAACTCACTGCAATAGGTAATTTAGCTCCTAATTTAAAGAAACCGCTAAAAAAAGATTATGATATTTATGAGACAATTGGAAATATAAACATAAACTGGATATTTGATGATACTGAGGAAATTGTTGCTCATTATTTTACATACAGTAATAGTATTAAGATTGTATTTTTTTCAACTTTTATTTTACATTCAGGGGGTACATGTGCAGATTTGTTACCTGGGTATATTGCGTGATGCTGAGGTTGGGGTACAAATAATCCCATTTCCTGGATATTTTTTTTTTTTTTTTTTTTTTTTTTTTTTTTTTGAGACGGAGTCTCACTCTTTCGCCCAAGCTGGACTGCAGTGGCGCTATCCCGGCTCACTGCAAGCTCCGCCTCTTGGGTTCATGCCATTCTCCTGCCTCAGCCTCCCGAGTAGCTGGGATTACAGGCGCCCACCACCACGCCCGGCTAATTTTTTGTATTTTTAGTAGAGACGGGGTTTCACCGTGTTAGCCAGGATGGTCTCGATCTCCTGACCTCGTGATCCGCCCGCCTCGGCCTCCCAAAGTGCTGGGATTACAGGCGTGAGCCACCGCGCCCGGCCCATTTCCTGGATATTGAGCGTGGTATCTAATAGTTGCTTTTTCAATTTTGACCCCCTGCCTACCCCTCACCTCTAGCAGTGCCCAGTGTCTATTGTTGCTTCTTTATGTCCATGAGTACCCAATGTTTAGTTTCCACTTAGAAATGAGAACTACTGGCTTTCTGTTCCTGCCTTAATTTACTTAGGATAAGGGCCTCCAGCTGCATCCAAATTGCTGCAGAGGACATGATTTTGTTCTTTTTTTATGGCTGCATGGTATTCCATGGTGTATTTGTACCACATTTTCTTTATCCAGTCGATATGATTATATTTTTTAAGATGACTTCTTATATTTTAGTGGTACACAGCAAAACATTTACTGGATGAAATGATATGATGGTGACAGCATAAAGAAACCAGTTGGCTATAAGTTTGTACTTATTTAAGCAGTGACCTAGAGTTTTCATTAGGGAACTCACTCCATAAATGTCAAGATAAGGAGACCTTTTCTCTGAACTCTAAAGAGAAAAGTTTCTCTAAGCTTTTATCAACAGTGGGATGAGGAGCAGGCCACCTGCACTGTGGGTGATGCAGAATTGATAGGGGCTGGTGTCTGCACCTCACCCTTCAGCTTCAGGATGTCATACAAACTTTATTTGGTGAAGCCCTGGGTCCCACCCTGCCCTCTGCTGCACCTGGAGTAGCTAAGTCGGGAGTCTCTTGTTTCCATTTCTCCCAGTAATGTGGTCTGCATGGGGAAGGCAGGCCCATGCCTGCATGGGGAAGACATGGCCTGATCGTTGATGATGCTGAGGTTTGAGGCACAAATGATCCCATTGCCTGGATACTGAGCATAGTGTCCAATAGTTAGTTTTTCAACCCTTGCCCTCCTGCCTCCCTCCCTGATAGTGTCACGCTTTCCTTTCCAGCACCCCCCACCCAAGCCTTGTGTATGTGCTAATTCCTCACTCTGCTCTGGGTTGGGTAATCCTTCCTGTACACAGGAAAGGAACAGGTGAGAATGGCGGCTCAGTTCTAGGTAGGATACAGGCAACCTGCAGCGCTCCCCCTGAAGGCTTGGCTCAATTACACATTCTTATCTGCCCATTTGTCAACAAATAGGGACCTGCTCTGCCCACAGCGCTGGTGGATGCAGTAAACCAGGTCCCCGCTGTCCGTGAGTTTTGCCCTGTTTAGTGCAAAGGTATCAAATGACTGAAGACAATTAGCATCCAACAATGGGAATAAAATTGAATACATCGATGTGGATTACAGTCAACCTAAGCTGGTAGTCTATTTATGTAAAATTTGGACAAAACTAACCTAGCCTGATAAAAGTCAAGTCAGAGGTTGCCCTGGTAGGGTCAAGGAAGGCGGTTAGCTGGGCACACATGTAAGGGACTTTCTGCAGCAGTGGAATGTTCTAGATTTTGATTTGGGGAAACCGTTACATCTTCTGTCAAACCTCACTGACCTAGAGGAAGTGACACTTCTCTGAGAGTACCTGGTATATGATTATGATTTCTGAGATCGTGTCAATGTATTATGTATTTGAGAAACAAAACTAAACCAAAAGGGCAGGGAAAATCCTCCTGCCAATGGCAGCATGGAAAAACTCACTCTATCACATATACATGAAGTTGATGAGTGGTAACAATTTGATGTCTAAACCAGGGATTCCTGTCCTGGTCTAAGGATGTATTATGACAGAAGCCCCAAAACCCCCTAAAATAAGATGCAAAATGCCGTTCATATATTGATTTTTCTAGGAGGGAAAACCACTGTTCCATCAGATTCTCAAAATGGTTCCTGACTCAGTGGACTTAGAAACCCCTCTTCTAAAAAAAAACAAATAATCTCATGAGTTAATGCTGGAGTATGCAGGAAGCATAGAGCCCAGTGCCTCTGTCCTTGGGGAATCACATTTTTCCTGAAAGCTTCCAGAAAGTTGAAAGGCTGGCATTTGCTTCTCTTGCTCTGCCGCTGCCTGCAGAGTGAATGAAGAAATATGGAGGCCACCATCTACCAGGGCTTTGAGGGTGGGGTATATAGTAAAAGATAAGGAGATTCCTTAAAAAAAAATTGAAAATAGAACTACTAATATTATGGCTGCGCTAATTTGCATTCCCACCAGCAACATAAAAGGGTTATCCCTTTCTCCACATCCTCACGAGCAGTTATATCTACTGTCTTTTTGATAGTGGCTATTCTAACTGGGGTGAGATGATATCTGATTGTGCTTTCAATTTACATTTTCCCTATGATTAGTGATGCTGAGCATTTTTTCATATACCAGTTGGTCATGTGTATGTCTTCCTTTGAGAAATGCTTATTCAGGTATTTTGCTCTACTTTAAATTGGGTTATTTAGGTTTTTTAATTTGTTTTCTTTTCTTTTTGCTATTGAGTTGTTTGAGTTTCTTATATAGTTTAGATATTGTCCTCTTGTCAGATATAGAGTTTGCCAGTATTTTCTCCCATTCTGTAGGTTGTATCTTCACTCTGTTGATTGTTTCCTTTGCTGTGCAGAAGCTTTTTATTTTGATGTGATCTCATTTGTCTACATTTGCTTTTATTGTCTGTGTTGGTCTTCTCCCAAAAAATCTTTGCTCAGATCAGTGTCATAAAGTATTTCCTCTATGCTTTCTTCTAGGAATGTTATAGTTCTAGGTCTTACATTTAAGTTTTTATTTGTTTGTTTGTTTGTTTTCAGATGGAGTCTTGCTCTGTCACCAGGCTGGAGTGCAGTGGCACAATCTCAGCTCACTGCAACCTCTGCCTCCCGGGTTTAAGTGATTCTCCTGCCTCAGCCTCTTGAGTAACTGGTACTACAAGTGCACACCACCACACTCAGCTAATTTTTGTATTTTTAGCAAAGATGGGGTTTCACCATGTTGGCCAGGATGGTCTCGATCTCTTGACCTCATGATCTGCCTGCCTTGGCCTCTCAAAGTGCTGGGATTACAGGCTTGAGCCACCACACCAGCCTACATTTAAGTTTTTAATCCATCTTGAGTTAATTTCTGTTGGTTTTATATATGATGACAGATACAAATCTAGTTTCATTCTTCTTCTTTGGACACCCAGTTTTACCAACACTATTTATTGAACAGACTGTCCTTTTCCCATTGTGTGTTCTTGGGCATCTTTGTCTAAAATTAGTTGGCTGTAAGTGTATAGATTTATTGCTGTGTTCTCTTTTGTGTTCCATTAGTCCATCTGTCTGATTTTGTGCCAGTACCATGCTGATTTGGTTATTACAGCTTTATAGTGTACTTTGAAGTTAGGTAGTGTGATGCCTTACAGTTTTGTTCTTTTTGCTTAAGATTGCTTTGGCTATTGGGGGTCTTTTGTGATTTCATATTAATTTTATAATTGTTTTTTGTATTTCTGTGAAGAATATCATTGATACTTTGATACAGATGGCATTAAATCTATAAATATGTTTAGTAGTATAGACATTTCAACAATATTAATTCTTCTAATCCATGAACATGGAACCTCCTTTTCATTTATTTATGTCTTCTTAAATTTGTTTCACCAACGTTTAATAGTTTTTATTGCAGAGACATTTCACCTCTTTCTTAAATTTATTCCTAGGTGTTTTTGTAGCTATTGTAAATGGAATTGTTTTCTATATTTCTTTTTCAGGTAGTTTATTATTAGCATACAGAAATGCTACTAACTTTTGTACATTGATTTTTGGAATCTGCAACTTTACTGAATTGGTTTACTAGTTCTAACAGCTATTTAGTGAGGTGCTTAGGATTTTCTATCTATTATCTCATGTCATCAATAAGCAGGAACAATTTAACTTTATTCTTTTTAACTTGGATACTTTCTATTTATTTCTCTTGCCTATTTGCTCTGTCTAGTACTTTCAGTACTTTGTTGAATAAAAGTGGAAAAGGTGGGCATCCTTGTCTTGTTCCTGATCTCAGAGAAACAGCTTTCAACATTTTGCCTTCCAGAATAATGTTAGCTGTGCGTTTTTCATATATAGCAAAGCCTTTATTGTGTTGAGGTACATTCCTTCTGCACCTAATTTCTTTTTGTTTTTTATCATGAAGGGGATGTTGATTTTTGTCAAATGCTTTTTCTGCATTTATTGAAATAATCATAGGGTTTTTATCCTTCATTCTGTTAATGTGATATATTATGTTTATTGATCTGAGTATGTTGAACTATCCTTGCATTCCTAGGATGAATCCCACTTGATCCTGCTGAATGATCTTTGTGTCACACTATTGAATTTGGTTTTCTAGTATTTTGTTGAGGATTTTTACATCTATTTTCCTCAGGGGTATTGGCTCATAATTTATTTTGTTGTTGTTGTATCCTTGTCTTGTTTTGCTATCAGGATAATGCTTGCCTTACAAAATCGGTTTGAAATAATTTCCTTTTGTTCAAGTTTTTGGCCTAGTTTTTAAAAGTTGATATTAATTCTTCTTTAAATGTTTGGTGGAATTCAACAGTGAAGCCATCAGGTCCTGGGCTTTTCCTTGATGGAAGATGTTTTACTATCGATTCAGTCCCTTTTGTTATTATCAGTCTATTTAGTCTATCAATCTATTTCTTCATAGTTCAACCTTGTTAGGTTGTATGCATCCTGGAAAAAATCTTTTTTTACACACTTTATATATCAAACAGAATGCAGATTGACACATGGCATTTGTTGTACATGCCTATGCTGATGTTGAAATTTCATTGAGGTAGTTTATTTTCTATTTTCCCATCTTTCTGCTTTGCTTCTCTGGGTTCTTGATACCATCCTTTCACTCTAATGACACTGTAGTTATTCCTTTACCAGGCTCAAAGTTTTCTCTTCTCCAGAGCATTCCTCTCACGCTGCCTCTGCTTGGGCTGCCTTTCACTTCAACCCATCCTTCTTTGTTGAAATCTCACCACCATTCAAAGCAGTGCTCATGTTCCTTGCTGACCTGCCTTGACTCCCTAGCTCTTCCTTGAGACCCTGGCACATCTGATAAATGGTTTGCAAAAGTGGCCCCAAAGCTCCTCCCAAGCATATATTCACACCTGTTTGCAATCTGACTCAAATTCCATCAAGAGATGGAGTCCATTTGATGCCTCTTAAATCCAGATTGGACAAATATTTTGGCTAAGGAGACATTAGAAAATATGGCACAGTGAAGATTTGAAAAGTGCTTGTTCATTGGATCTTGGCCTCTTTTGTTGCTCAGGATACCTCTGCCTCCGAGAAAATGAGACTGGGTTGTCCTGCTGAAGGAAAAGAGTCACATGACTATTGCTCAGATAACATCAAGCTAACCACCAGGCATGTGAGTGAGACTGTCTAAGATAACCCAGTTTCAGCTGAGCTGATCCAGAGCAGAAAAGCTGTCCAGGAACCAAGGAACCTGACAGATAAGTAATTTTTCTTACTTTAAATCTTTATATTTGAATTGGTCTCTTATCCAGCAAAAACTGCCTGATATGACACCTTCACAACTCCTTTATATATTCCAACTTAATTGTAGCCTCCTTGAGCACAGAACCACTTTGACTGACATCTTCTGAAGCTCCTTCAGGACTCAGATTCTGCCTCACTCATTTAAGGAGCAGAGGACATGTTTGTTGATTGACAATCTTGTCCAAAGTTTCTGCTATGCTTCAAGGATCAGTTAGTAATTTAATTCCTTTAGAGGCTGGTTTAGGTCCCCAAGCACCAGCTAAAAACAAACCTGCAACATCGAATCTTGAAAAAAAGCCAACAGATCATAAGCTTTGAAATCAACTGTAGGATCTATGGAGGAACATTTTGCTAGGGCTTCAAAGACCATAGGCATTAATATAAACTCACTCTCAGACTCAGATCCTCTCTCTGATTTCTCCTTCAGTTCCTGCAGAGAATTTGAGTCAAAGGGAATGGAAGAGTCAGCTAGTTCAAATGAATTGAGGTGGGGATGATTAGAAATTGAAACTCAGCTGACAAAATTGGGAAGTAAAGTTTCTCTGAAAGTATTATTTTCATAATTATAAGGAATTTGCATATATATATAAATTACTTTCTGTCATTTAAAAATGCTTCCACAAAAATATACATAAGAGTTTCACCTCAAGGTTGAAAATGAGAAAGTTGGAGTATATGATGAGTAAGAGCTTATAAATATATAATCCTGTATAGAGTTCTGACATCCTAGATGCTGTCCACCTGTCCCTAACAAAAGCCATGGATTTCTACAGGGTCATGTAAAGTAAAAGGTTATTTTGAACATTCTAAATTAGTTTCTGGGAAAGGAGGGCAGGATTTCTCTCTTGTGCCCTTTGGTTCTCCACAATGTAGTTATTAAGACAAGTACTAGACACTGTGATGAAGTTTATTTCTCACTCATGTAAAGTCCAAAATGAGCCATTAAGATAGGTGGTGGAGGGTGGGGTTGGGTACAGAAAGTACACTCCACACAGTGGCATAGTCATCTTCAGCATGTAAATTCTATGGCCACACTGAGTGCCAATCCAATCAACAGAGGAAGACAGAAAGGGTGATGCATCAGAGAGTTTTATGCAGCGGGCCTAGAAAGTAGTGTACATCCCTGTGCCCACATTTAATTGGTGGAACTCAGTCACATTATCACATCTAACTGCAAGGGAGGCTAAAAATGTGGTCAGCCTTCCACAGATTGTCACCAATAAATGATTTCCCCCCATAATAAGAGCATCACATGGATCATGTCACATCCAGACTTGGGGATTCAGTGACATCCAGCTAATACAGAGTTTTGGTAGGAGGTGTGATTGCATGCCAAAGTCATTCCCCATGTAAAACCAATAAACAAATTCATTCAAAAACACTAGTTTATAATATATTATACTCCTGGGACAATGCTAAGATCTACAAGTTATAAAAGAAAAATACACCATAATGTCTCCCCATTGGGAGCTTATAGTTAAATTGAACACATTTGACATATTCACTGAAAGATTTGTAAATAATGCAGCATTGATTTCTAAGTATGTTTCTCTGTCATAGATAAGTGCATATTTATACATTTTTCTAACATATTTTTCCAGAACATAAGACAGTACAAAGAGTTTAGAGATAGAACAGATCCTGCTATTGTTTGAATGTCCCTTCCAAAACTCACATTGAGATTTTATTGCCATTGTGACCATATTAAGAAGTGGGACCTTTAAAAGGTGATTAATACTGTTATTATGGGAGTGAGTTAGTTATCGTAGGAGTGGGCTCCTGATAAGAGGATACATTTGGCCCCCATTTTCTCTCTGTCTTGCACACTTCCTTGCCATGCACAGCCTTCTGCAGTGGCAAGACCCTGACCAGATGCTGATGCCATGCTCTTGGACTTTCCAGCCTCCAGAACCATGAGCCAAATAAACTCCTGTTTTTTGTAAGTTAGTCTGTGGTATTCTGTTATAGTAGCAGAAAATAGATGAAGAAATCAAATGGTATGAAGAAGTGGGGTTTTTGCTATAACAAATACCTGAAAATGTGGAAGCAGCTTTGAAACTGAGTAATGGACAGAGGCTGAAAATACCTGTGAAAGGTATGGACAGAACAGATTTTGAAGTAGCTGGTTAGGAAAAGCCTAGATTACTGCAAATAACATGTTAAGAGCAATTCTTTTCCCCCAGGCTGGAGTGCAGTGGCACAATCTCAGCTCACTGCAAGCTCCGCCTCCCAGGGTCATGCCATTCTCCTGCCTCAGCCTCCTGAGTAGCTGGGACTACAGGCGCCTGCCACCATGCCCAGCTAATTTTTTGTATTTTTAGTAGAGACGGGGTTTCACCATATTATCCAGGATGGTCTTGATCTCCTGACCTCGTGATCTGCCCACCTCAGCCTCCCAAAGTGCTGGGATTACAGGCGTGAGCCACCGTACCCGGCCATGTTAATGGCAATTCTAATGAAGGCTCAGAAGAACAGGATAGCTGTAGGGGGGAGTCTGGAACTTCTTAGAGATTACTTACGTGTTTGTGACCAGAACATTGGTCAAAATATGGAAGGTAAAGGCCATTCTGATGAGGACTCAGATGGAACTGAGGAACAAAGTATTGGAAACTGAAGTAAAAGAAAATCCTTGTTGCAAAGTAGCAAAAGCCCTGGCTGAATTGTATACTGGCCCGAGGGTTTTGTGCAATGCAAAACTTAAAGAGTACTAAACTAGGATATCTGGCAAAAAAAAAAAAAAAAAAAAAAAAAAAAAATCTAAGAAGTAAAGCATTCAAGCAGCTGTGTGGCTACTTTTAACTGCATATTGTAAGAGGGAAGTGAAGAAAACTTATTTAAAAACAGAATTTATAATTAAAAGGCAAGTAAAATGAGAAATATAGAAAATTTTCAGCCATGTAAATAGTGTAAAGGTATCTTCAGGAGAACAAACCGAGGGTGTGGTCAATGATTGTTTGCTAAAGAGATTATCATGGATAGAATGGAGGGAAGTGCTATTCATCAACACAATAGGAGAAAGACCCCAAAGGCATTTCAGACATCTTTGAGGCTCGCCCTCCCATCACAGGCCCAGAGCTCTAGGCAGGCAGAGTGGTTTCAGGAGATGAACCTGGGGCACCTTTCTGGGCCTCACTGCCCATGGTCACCTGGAGACTCTGCTCCTCACATTCCAGCACAGCACTCCTTGACATCTCAAGCCATGTTTCAAGTGGTCCCAGGTGTGACTCGACTAGATGCTCCAAAAGATACCAGTAGTAAACTCTGGCAGCATCCATGTGGCGTTAATTCTGCAGGCTCATAGAACGCAGGAGCTATGGAACCACAGCTTCCTCCACCTACATTTTAAAGAATGCCATGGGCTGCTTGGGGACCCAGGCAGAGACCTGCTGCAGAGGCAGAGCCATCCACTAGGGTAATGCCAAGTGGAGCCACGGAAGTGGGGCTACCTGAAAAACCCCAGAAGCATAGGGCCACCAGCATACAACTCTAGCTTAGAAATGCTGCAGGCATGAGATTCCCACCCAGCAAAGCCATAGAGGTCAGGCTGCCCAAGGTCTTGGGGACCTAACCCTCACCCCAGTGTACACAGAATGTAGGTCGTGGAATCATAGGAGATTTTTCTCAAACTTTAACACTTAAAGTTGTTTTCACTGTTGGGTTTTAAATTTACTTGAGACCAGTTGCTCCTTTCTTCTTGCCATTTCTCCCTCTTGAAATGAGAGCGTCTAACCTATGCCTGTCCCATTATTGTATTTTAGAAGCAGATAACTTGTTTTAATTTTACAGGCTCATAGTTGGAGGGAAATTTGCCCAAAGACTAACCATGCCTTGAGCCTCACACATTGCTGATGTGGATGAGGCTTTGGAGTTTGGACTTTTGAGTCAATGATGGAACACTTAGGACTTTAGGGGCTATTGGGATGAAACGAATGTATTTTGTATGTAAGAAAGCCATGAGTTTTGGGGGGCCAGGGATGGAATACTATGGCTGAATATCCGAAACTCATGTTGAAACGTAATTGCCATTGCAAAGGTATTAAAAACGGGAACCCTTAAGAGGTGATTACCTCATGAGGGTTCTGCCTTCATTAACGAATTAATGTCATTAGCTTGGGGGAGTAGGTTAGTTGTTGTGAGAGTGGGCTCCTGCTAAAAGGATAAGTTCGACTGAGCATGGTGTCTCATGCCTGTGATCCCAGCACTTTGGGAGGTAGAGGCAGGAGGATTTCTTGAGACCAGGAGTTTGAGGCTGCAGTGACTTGTGATGGTGCTACTGCACTCCAGACTGGGCAATAGAGTGAGACCTCATCTTAAAAAAAAAGTTTGGCCTCCATTTTTTCTCTTTATCTTGTGTTCTCAATTGCCACGTGAAGCCTTCCACCATGGGACGACCCTCACCAGGTGCCAGCACTATGCTCTTGGACTTCCCGGTCTCCAGAATTATGAACCAAATAAACTTCTACTTTTTATAAATTACCCAGTCCATGATATTCCATCAACATAGCAGAAAACAAACTGAGAAAGATGCTTAGATGCTAATTTATACCACATGGTAGCCTGTGAAAAGGTGTGTGAAAATGAAAATAATATCATGAGCTACAGTCATTAGAAAAGTGCATGGAGAAAATATGACAAGCTGGGCTTCAAAGAGTGGATAATTTGTGGGTATTTTGGAGCAGAAATCAGTGATCAGGGACGTAAGGATATGTTGTGTGTTAGCCTGGCAGCACAAAGATTTCTCCTGAGACTCCTTTAAAAAATGTGTAATTCAAGTTTGATAAGCCTGCTGTGCACAGCACTGAGTTAGGCATCAGGAGCCAGCAGCAGGCAAACCAGACCTGGGTCTCCTCTCATGGACTGCACACATACAAGCAGTGCAGGAAGACACTGACTTTGCCTAGGCCCAGACATTGGGGAGACTTTCCTGAAGATGTGACATACATGTAACCGGCAGGCTACATAGGTGTCCCTGAGGAGATCAGGTTCATTTCATTCTCGGATAATAGGGAGCTATAGCAGGTTCTTGAAAATCAAAATGGCACAATGTAGAAGAGTTTACATTTTGTTCTTAAGAAGTGTGTCTGGTGAAGGGGAGAAAAGGCAAAAGCAGGAATCTTCAAATGTATCTTAAATTGCTCACTAAGGAAATTAGGGAAGGCACCTTGAATGTTAAGAGAACCAGTCACTGCTTTAATGCAGTCGAAAAAGCCGTTAGACACTCCCCTTCTTGAAGTCTCTTGAAGAGACTCAGAGTTCAGAGTTCAGCCAACCTCCCTGAAAAGTCAGTGGAAGTCCTTTTTTTCTGGAAGGAGTAGGTCCCAGGTGTGACGCTCTGAAAAGTCTCCAGCCAGGTCTGGCTTTGAAATCGGGCAGCTGAGAGGAAATCTGCATCTCCATGGCACACCGAGCAGCATGGAACCTGGACACTTCCTGAGGGGCTGAATACACATCCCCAGCCTGGTGTCTCTCCCTTCAGAAGGACTGTTTGCCCACCTGAGCCCAGCCAGGCCACCCATTACCCACTGCTTCACAGGAGGAACTGAGGACAGCTGCGCTCAAAGTGAAGCCAGGAAGCTCCTCTCAGTCCCTCCAGGGGGCTTTGCATCACAAGGGGGACATTATTTCCTTGACTAGGAAGGCTGTGTTTGTCTGAGACCCCAGGGAGCTGATGAGGTGATACTCTGGGGACCTCAGTGCTTCTGGGCTGTGCTGCAGGGCTGCCTGAGGATGGCCAAAGCTCAGCAAGGCAACACTAAGGGACCCGGCCTGGCCACAGGGGAATAAAGCTGCTGTTGGTAGGAAATCTGCTGTTGTAGCCTGCTGATTCCTCGTAAAAGGTACAAATTAGAGGTCTGCTCCCAACACCAAAGCCAGAGGCAGTTCATATGCTAGGAGCTGTTCCCCTAGAAAATCATGTCTTTCTTTTCCAAGGAGATGGACATGCTGCCTGTTGGAGTGCAGCAGGAATGCAGCAGCTTGGGGTGTCCTGGTGTTGGGAATAGGTCCTTTGCACACGGCTCTGTTCCTCCCTAATCAGAGGTGATGGGGAGGGAGGATTTGCCTGTTTTGAAATCAATCTAGAAATTGTCAACAACAGAGAAGAAACTAGAGAAAGGACACTCGCCCAGATGACTTAAAACAAGACAAGATCACAAACACCACAGGCAGGCTGCACTTTATGCACTGAGATGGGAAAGTGACAGAAGTCAGACACAATGTGAGGGTGTCGCCAACAGTAAACATGGGAGTTTCATAGGGAGTACAACGTAATGGTGAAAGGAGGAGGCGGGTGGGGGCTGCAGGCTTGCTCTGGATGGGCAGCCACTCACTGGAGCTGAGGGGACAGCACTCTCCTGGCCCCGCTCCTGTACTAACTGGTCTAAGAAGCCTGTACTTCCGAGCCATGCTCTGCGGAGATCCTCAGATCACAATCCTGGGAGCTGCCATGTACAAGCTGACCTCGGCTCTCACTTTAAAGCGAAAATAAGCCAGGCACAAAAGGACAACTGTCACATCTTCTCACTTATACGTGAGAGCTAAAAAATTTAAACGCGTGCAAGTTGAGAGTGGAAAAACAGATGACAGACTGGGAAGGGCAAGTGCGGGGAAGGAGAGGATGCAGAGGAGAGAGATAAAGGGTACGAACATACAGGAAGATAGGAAGAAGACACTCAATGTCTGATACCAGAGTAGGATGACTACACTTAGAAAATATATTGTGGCCAGGCACGGTGGCTCACATCTGTAATCCCAACAGTTTGGGAGGCCGAGGCAGGCAGATCATTTGAGGTCAGGATTTCAAGACCAACCTGACCAACATGGTGAAACATCGTCTCTACTAAAAGTACAAAAAAATTAGCCGGGCATGGTGATGCATGCCTATAGTCCCAGCTACTCAGGAGACTGAGGAAGGAGAATTGCTTGAACCCAGGAGGCAGAGATTGCAGTGAGCGGAGATCGCGCCATTGCACTCCAGCCTGGGTGACAAAGATACTCAGCTTCAAAAAAAAAAAAAAAATATATATATATATATATATATATAGAGAGAGAGAGAGAGAGAGAGACCCTAAATACCCTGACTTGATCACTATGCATTACATACCTTGTAAAAAAATTCTCATGTACTCCATAAATTTACACAAAAAAAAACAAAAAAAGAAAAATAAATAAATAAATGAAATGAGCTCCACATTCCAGATGTGCAACATCTGTATCATAACATGTTCTTCTCAGACAGCATCTCAAACACCTGCACTTCTAAAAAGCAAGGCCAGCATTGATTTTGCTTTCCACACTGACTCATATACACCAGTACCCCAATAACCATTTTCTAATCAAATAAATTAATATGATTTTTTTAATAAAGACCTAAATTTCAGCTTCCACAATAATAAGGGCAAGTGAAATGTTAGCAAATTCTCGGAAACTTTTTCTCAATTGGTTCTAGCTTCTGGGGCTTTGGTCTCTCTCATTTGAGTCCTAGGCAGCCATGGTGCCCTTCTTACAGATTCTCTAATGGGCCAAAATGCTTGGCTGTTAGTTAGTTAGGACTAGTTGTCAGGACCAGGCGTGTAGCATGTGTGATATCTGTAGCAGGCACTCAGGAAGCACCCGTTGATTGATACTAGTATTTGGCCTTCTCTTAGAGTCTGGGCATGCCAGTTGTTTCAGCAGGAACTGCTCCCCCTGAATGCTGCGGCCCAGCCTCTGAATGCTGTGGCTGAATAGAGTCATAGCTTTGCCAGGCCTGGTGGCTTTTAGCAAAAGGGATGCAAAAGTGTATTTCTGTCTAGCTTTAATAACTCTCTGGCTTCAAGAATTTCTGTTCAGGCCGGGCGTGGTGGCTCACGCCTGTAATCCCAGCACTTTGGGAGGCTGAGGCAGGTGGATCATTTGAGGTCAGGAGTTTGAGACTAGCCAGGCTGACATGGCGAAAACCCATCTCTACTGAAAATACAAAAATTAGCCAGGCATGGTGGCGGGGGCCTGTAATCTCAGCTACTTGGGAGGCTTAGGCAGGAGAATTGCTTGAACCCAGGAGGCAGAGTTTACAGTGAGCTGAGATCGTGCCACTGTATTACAGCCTAGGCGACAAAAGCAAATCTCTGTCTCAAAAAAAAAAAAAAAAGAATTTCAGTTCAAAGAAAACTATAAAGAGTTTTTACCACATGTCTTATGTCTTTCTGGCAAGTTTTTTTAATCAGGTAAAATTATCTTTCTGGCAAATTTGGGAAAATCTGATGTCACCGAATGCCTCTTGAAATCCAGTGAGCCTTATTTCTCAAACTCCTGCCCTCCAGTGATCCACTCACCTTGGCCTCCCAAAGTGCTGGGATTATAGGCATGAACCACTGTGCCTGGCCACCGAGTCTTTTTACTTATTTATTTGTTTTCTTTTTTTTGAGACAGATTCTCACTCTGTCGCCCAGGCTAGAGTGCATTGGCACGATCTCTGCTCACTGCGACCTCCGCCTTCCGGGTTCAAGCAATTCTCTGCCTTACCCTCCCGAGTAGCTGGGACTACAGGTGTGCACAACCACGCCCTGCTAATTTTTATATTTTTAGTAGAGACAGAGTTTCACCATGTTGGCCAGGCTGGTCTCGAACTCCTGACCTCAGGTGATCCACCCGCCTCGGCCTCCCTAAGTGCTGCAATTATAGGTGTGAGCCACCAAGCCTGGCTGCGAGTCTTATTTCTAATGATTCTGGGTTGTAGGATGGAATAGGGTGTATTGTGTCTATAAAGTCCATTAAATTCTCCAGAGAAACTAAAATGAGAACAGAGGCTTAGGCCTGAAAAGAAAGCAGAGAGAGAAGCATCGGCTCCTCTCACTTTCCGCAACCACCTTTTCAGATGAGGTCCAGGGACCTGTACAGACAGATTCAATTAATTGTCAGTGGAAGGACAGGACTAGCAGCCACTTATCCAGATGCCTTGATTTTTGCCCTTTTGGTCCAGAGCAGACACTGGGGGTGAATCTGGTAATAAGACCCACAGAGTTGGTGTGGGTTCTGAAACCTCAGTCTTGTAGGGAAAGTCAGGTAGATATTCTGAAGGTGCAGATGCCATTGACTTCTGGATTCACACCTGTGGACGCTGCCTGCCTGCCTATGAAAGAAAGGATGCTTCTGCACGGCAGTGGCCTAAACACAGAGATAAGATAGGACAATGCACTGTCGGGCATTTTATTCAAGGAACCAGAAAGCGAACTCATGGGCCATCATCTTAAACATTACTAAATCTGTGAGAACCAACACTTCTATAAAATCCCATCAAATTATCTGACATTAATTTTTCTAAATATTTGTTACTGGTGTGTTCCTTTGAACCCACTGAACACTTAGACTTTTCATTGTTTACTGGAAATTTCAATATTTGAGACTCAGTCATCTGGTCCTTAAAAACTAAGTTGTGAAAATATAAGTCATGGTTGTTAAGAATTTGGAACGTTTTTGCAAAGGCTGCCATTGATTCCAGCGACTTCTTGGTGGCCTTTGCCTCCATGCTCTTTGCAACGCATTTTCTGAATGTCCGTCCCACATGTGAATAGTCATAGAGGTCTCCCATGAATTTTCTGGTCAGACTTGTGAGATTAAAATCTGATAATGGATCTGAGAATATACTCTGAAAAAACCTGATAGAGCTGTGCTTAGGGAAAGATTTTAATTTTTGACAACTTAAGTCCTGTGTTCTTTACTTCCCCAAGTGTAACATTTCTTAAGATATTTTGTTGCATTCTGGGATTTTTCTGGAAATTATATTCACTTAGGAGTGTAACAAGCTAAGGGCTGACATAGCACACTTCTTAATAGAGCCAATCGTTTGTTGATTGTTTCCAATTAGCAGCTTCTCTGGGACCCTCTTTAGAATTTGATTTGTTCCCTGGAGAGTCAATGATTTTTCACAAGAACCCCCAGAGAGAAGGCAGAGAGAAAGAAATCCTCACTAATGGTTTCAAAATTATTGAGAATCAAGGCTCTTTTTAAGGTCAAAACACTTAATAGTTGTATTTTTAGCAATCCTTGAAGAAAGGGAAAATGCTATTATGAATTCTGTAACATTTTCAAATACATCTGAATTTTACAAATTTACTTTAACAGAATGCCTAGTCTCACTTCAAAAATAGTGCATAACCTATTTGATCAATTTTAACACATTTTCTCATTTTATACTTTAACATTTGTAGTCTTGGTGTGTTGTTGAAAATTGATGATACCTTAGTCATTGTGCCAACGGTATAATGTCAGTATTTATTTTCTAGTAGTACATAAATAATGGTGGGCTTTACAATCAATAGTATCCTAAATTTGATGAAATACACCTAGGGCAGAAAGCTTAGTGTTTGCTCAGCCCACAGGCCATACATGGTAGCCTGATTTCCAGGCTCTCCAGAATCATTCTACTTCTCCCCAGGGATCTTCTCTGCCCCACAGACTGGGAAATTGCTTTGCTGTATCCTATCATTTATATTAACCAAGTTGTTCCTGGGTATAAAATGTAACGAAGTAAATAGTCTTGCTCTCAGTGGGGATATGTGCATCTGGTGGATTTCTCACTCATTGTTGCTGGGGAGACTCTGCAATTTCAGGTTTGGTTGTGTAAAATACCAAGCATGGTGCCCAAGTCCCAAGAAACACCTACAGAGTTTCTCCCAATTCCAGCAAAGACACAGCTAGTGTTTAGATGGATCAATGGCCAGAATGTCCTTATGGAACTCACTGTGAACCCAGCACAACGTTCCAAAAATTATTAAACCAGGTAATAAACTGAATTCAAGAATTTACTTTTATTGAAGCATTTGGAGAATAGAATAATACACTGTGAGATCCCACTTAGAGGGTTCGGGGAATTTCAGAGGAGGCAGTGGAAGATCATTTAAACTGAGATAAGCATAAGAGAGTTTGAGCCAGAGGTTGAAGGGTGGAGGTCAAGTCCACCTAAAAAAAAAATTCAGCCTGCATCCCATTAATTAGATGTGAGCCATAATTCTAAAAACACTGATTTATTGAACATTCTCCGTCTTCTGAGTCCTTTATGTTTACGATCTCACATTCATGATCCTATAGTCCCATTTTACAGTGGTTACATCCGTCTCCCAGGGTTGCAGGGCTGATAAATTACCCAGCATCTGGCCCACCCCAGAGCCTGTGATTGTCATCACCCCAGACAGCCCCCGAGGAGGACAGGTAAGTAAACAATAAGTAAACAAGGAGGGAGGCATTTCCGGAGGGAGAAAGAAAAGCAAAGTCTCATGTGCACCTTCTCAGGTCGGTTTCTAATGTGTTGCCTTGGGCGAGTGAGTTAGCCCTTCTGAGCCTCATTTTCCTCACTGGTAAATAGAGACACAATTGCTTGTCTTGCTTTATTCATCCACACAGTAAACTTGATAATGAAAATAAAGCACAGTACAAGGCAATGGTAGAAATCAACAAAATATAATCATCTATTACTGCCGTTGTATACTTGCTGTGGTTAGTCCTTGAGTGGTTTTAAAGAAAGCAAGCTGGAAAGTTCTGGAAGATGTCACCCAACTCCCCTTTCCAATACACCCTCTTATCGCCACACATCCCTTCTCGTCTCTGCAACCATTTCCAGATATGGTTCTAAGCCAATGAGTCCTGAGAAAACTCAACCAAGAAAGACTCTAAGTATCCCTCAGGTGGTCTTTTCTTGTTGGAATTGGTTTCCATTTGTTTTCTAATTGTCATTTAGCTGCCAGTGTCCAGATATGAAAAGTAAAGCTTCAGACAGGGGTGAGAAAAAAATTTTTTTAGTTACAGCTCCAAGCCCTCATTTCTCATCCCAGTGGATGGGTATAAACTCCAGAACTGGCCTCCACACTTGTGGGCCGTCCATACTACTCCTGTGGGGAGGACAAAAAAGGGAAGCATCGGCCAGGGGAACAGAGCACTCCTGGTCTGAATTTGTGGGCTCTGAGTTGGGATATTACCACACACTCTACTGATCACAGATGGACCCATAATGCCGGTGCTTAAAAAAAGGCCCTGGAGCAACTAAGGAGGAACTGACATGCTTGCCCCTGGGAATCGGGGCTAATGCATTTAGGCTAAATGAAGTTTTATGATCTAGCTGTTGTCTATTTCTTTTTAAAAATAACAGAAGCACTATTCACAATAGCTAAGATATGGAATCAACCTAAATATTAAATATCCATCCACAGACGAATGGATAAAGAAAATGTGGTATATGTACACAGTGGAATACTATTCAGCCATAAAAAGAATGAAATCCTGTCTTTTGCAGCAACATAAAGGATCCTGGAGAACATTATGCTAAGTGAAGTAAGCCAGGCATAGACAGACACATACTGCATGTTCTCACTTAAATGTGGAAACTAAAAATTGAGCTCATAGATGTAAAGAGAAAACCAGACTTATGAACTATGGCAAGGACCCTTCCCCACCTCTCTTCACAGGTGTAGGGGACATTGCTCCCAAAGGAGATCTGGGTTTCCTCTCACCTAGTGGATGACAATATTGGCTGCCCATTAGAATCATGGGGAGGGGAGAGCTTCTTGAAAACCCATGTGTCAGCTCCAACCTTCATCAGTCTCTAAAGAAAATAATAATTTTTTAGAAAAAGAAATCTACAGTGTCAGGTCTTTAAAAAAAAAAACAAAAAACAGTCTGTTAACACCAATGTTCACAGAAGGATTACTCACAATACCCAAAAGATGAAAGCAACTCAAGTGTTTATCAATCAATGGATGAATGGATATGCAAATGTAGTTATCTCCACACAATGGAATATTATACAGCCTCAAAAAGGAGGGAAGTTCTCACATGTTACAATACGGATGAACATTGAGAACATTAGACTAAGTGATGTAAGCCAGTCACAAAAGAACAAATACTGTATGATCCAACTTACTTGAGGTATACCTAGAGTAGTCAAATTCATAGAGACAGAGAGTAGAAGGGTGGGTGCTAGACATAGTGGGAGGGGAAGTGAGGAGTTGTTGTCTAATGGTTACAGAGTTTTGGTTTTGCGAGATGAAAAAGTTCTAGAAATGAATGGTGGTGCTGGTTGCATAACAATGTGAACGTACTTGATGTCACTGAACTGTACATTTAAAATTGTTACGATAGTAAATTTTATTATGTATTTTAACATACAACAAAAAAGATGATGCTTCTTGTGCAGGCCTGTCTCTTCCTGTTTTTCTGTTTTACCAGCTGATCCAAAAACATCAACATTTATTTACATGGAAGGATATCTGATCATTCTGAAGAATAAGGGTTAGAACCCAGGGATTCAGATAAGAACTTTAATATAAATTATAAAACTCCATTTAGCTTACTTATGGTTATAGGTATAAGAAACTGAAAGGAATTATGATAATATTAAAACTATTTAGTTGGTTTAAAGAGAAATTTACTCCTTTATGTGTTAATAAAATTATAATTTAAATGCTTAAATAATTTAAACGTGTAAAAATACACAAGTATTTGGATAATACAGGGAAAGTGCCCTGACTCGCCATCTATATCCAAAACAATATCGAAACACAGCTGAGCCACAGCCTCCTGCAGTCAAACTGACATTTACTAGAGTTGCGTTTTTCAAGGCAACTCGAGGTAGAAGAAAATCCAGTGACCCACTCAAAAAATTCTTTCATCTACCTCATCGTAGGCAGCACATGAAAACACCTGGGAAGAATGGAAGGGTGCAGAGAGGTGACCCATTTGCATAAAATAAACTTCAGCTGACAAAATACAGGTAATCAAACAGGAAAATGCAAATTGCTCATTAACTTCTCAGAGTCAATGAACCTGGCCATGAAGATTCAACCCACCAAGGAGAATCTATCTGCAGCTCCCCAGGTGGCCTCAAAACCACCATAGTAGTCACCGTCTTCCTTTTGGAGGACACAGGAGGGAGAAAGTAGCAGAAACCTTTCGACCTAAACTCCTTCGCGCGTGGATGGGCACACTAGGGCAACTGGGCCCACGCGGGCCTCCAAAGGGAGGGTGTTCCCAGAGCTGGGGACAACAACACTTTCTAAAAATGTTCAGAAGAACCAGAGACACGGCATTCGTGTGTTTCAGTGCAAGCTGTATGTGTATGAGTGTGTAAGGGAGTGTGTGAGTCCATCAGTGAGAACGTGTGTGAGGGCCTGTATGTAAAGAAATGTGCTTACAAACGTCTATGTGGGTGTGGGGATGTGTATGAGGTAGTGTGAGACTGTATGTGCATGTGTGATAGTTTATGTGGGAGTGCGTGTTGGTCTCTGAGGTGAGCATGCATGTGCAGTGCTGATGAGTGTGTGTGCATGTGAGTGTGCATGAGTGAGAGTGTGTATATGCTTGAGCATCTCCGTGTATTGAACACGTTTATACTTGTCTGTTTTTAGATTTGTATGCAAGTGTGTGTGAATGTATGTCTATGAATGTGTGTGAGTTTGTGTGAATATCTGTGTGAGTGCACATGTTGTATATGTATGTATATGTGTGTGCATATCGGTGTGCATATATGTGCATGTGTGTGCATGTATGAATGTATATATATCTGTGTTTGGAAATGTATATATGTGTAAATGTATGTGTATATCTCTGAGTGAATGTGGACGTGTGTGAATTTGTGTGTGTGTCTATATGTGTGAATGTGTACACATATCTGCATGTGTCTAGATGTGTGCACGTGTGTGCATGTGTGACTGTGTATATCTCTGTGTTTGCACATGTATATATGTTTGTGTTAATTTGTGTGTATATTTGTATGTGATCATGTGCATGTGCGCAGATGTGTATATACCTCTGTGTGTATGTTTGTGAGTGTGTGTCTATCTGTGTGCATGTGTGTATATCTGTGTGTGAGCATGTGCGTGTGTGTGGATTTGTGTATTTATGTGTGTATGGGTGTGTGTGGATGTGTGTCTATCTGTGTGTATATCTGTGCATGAGCATGTGCATGTGTGTGGATTTGTGTATCTACGCGTGTATAGGTGTGTGGATGTGTGCCTGTGTGCATGTGTATTTGTGTGTGAGCATGTGCGTGTGTGTAGGTTTGTATGCATCTGTGCGTGTAAAGGTATGTGTGGCTGTGTGTCCGTCTGTGTGCATGTGTGCATATCTGTGTGCAAGGCTGATCTGTATGAGCATGTACACATGCATATCCCCACCAGGCTGTCTCTCAGGCTCCCCAGCAGCAAGGAGAATGTGAGTCTGCCGCTGCTTCTGTGCCTGTGTGTCTCATCCATCATAGACGCATGTAAGACCCTTTTGTCCCCCTTTCTTTCCAATTTGAAAGCGACTCTTGAAGTGTAACGAGGTTTGTTTAAAGACTGTCCCTCTCCTTAGGTGAGCCCTGTTTGTCCTTGTGAACAGCAGGCCGTGAACAAGATGTACAGCCCTCGGCTTTAAAATAGCTGTGCACATTTTCCTCCGCCCGCGAGACACAGTTCCAGCCCTGTGGCCTCTCAGATTCATTCTCAGGTAAACACCCTGTGACAGGCCGCAAGCTCGAGACCAACCGGCATGGTCACAGCTGTGCCACATCACTGTGCACCCCGACACCAGGCCTGCACAAGAATGTTTGCCATCACCCCAGGCTGTAGGCAGCAAATATTTTCCATAACTCACCAAAGAGAAAGGTTTCATAGAGAGTTTCTCCTAGATCAGTTATGCTGGAGTCTGTAGGGATCTTGTTCCAGAATTTATGAGCCGCGTGTATGAATTCTCTTGAAAACATGAAATCGAATTCTTAGCGCTGGATCTTACTTAATCTGACACTATAAACTTCTTAAAGCTTGTAAAACTCCTACAATCCTAAAAAAGTAGCAGTTCGTTGCAGGGAAATATGAGGCTTTCGGGCTGGCAAACAAAGTGTGAGGGGCATTCAGGCGCCCAGCAGCTGTTTATAGACCAGTGACTCATATGCGGCAGAGGGGTGGCCTTTTCCCCGTGTCCCTCGGGCAGTAAAATCTTTGCAGCCAGGCTGTTTCCATGAGGGGTGGAGATCAGGCTGCAGGCTCAGGTTGCCCTGGTGGAGGTTAGACTCGGGACTGCGGAGGCCCCTGCTCCACCCCTGCAGGGTGAGTCATTTAGGTCCCTGTTCGCATGTGGGGTTCGGGGTGGTACTCACTAGAAAACCTCAATGAGAGAAACAAAACACCCTCCTGGACTTCCAGTTCCTGGTTCCAACCCAACTTGTGAAAGAATCTGGGAAGGTAAATGGCAGGAGAAGGGACCTACCCTTCATCCTTGAACTTGGCACAGCCAGAACCCCGGGACTGGCACCAGCCAGTTCAGCTCTTGGCAGGGGGAGCAGCTTCAGCTCCAGGGAAATGAATTTTCTGTCAGAGCAAAACATATTAAAATGAAGTGAGGTTCCTGAATGTTGAACTGAGCGGTGAAGACTCCAATATACAGCGGCATGTGGAGAAAGGGGAGGAGTCAGCCTCACAGAGCAGGAGTTGTAAGCCAGCTTGGGAGCGGAGGGAGCCGAAACAGCTCCTCCCCGGCTCGGTGCCATCCATCTGAAGGAGATCAGAGGGGAGGGCTTTGAAATAGAGCTCCTGGAGGTCTACTTCCTCCTTCTAAAGGAAAATGGGCTCCAGAAAGAAAGCCTGGACTCTTCTATCAGGCAAACTTGGGTTCCCTTCCTCCTCGTGCTTGTGTGCTTTGGGAATCGCAGTCAGAATCTCTGGATATGAGTCCCCTCCACATGTAAGAGGAGGGGGAGGGTTCGAGTGCCTGTTCCATGGATGTCACGAGGAGCAGAGCAAGGGAGGCCGTGGAGCCCCAGCACTGTGACAGGCACCGAGGGAAGGCCGATGCATCGGCTCTCCCACTGAATTCCACGAAGCTTGGCATTTGTGCTGTTTCCTCTGCCCTTTTCTCCTAACAAGAGATGCTAAAATGAAGCAGGAGGCAATGCACTCATTCACTCAAACATAGTCCTTCACTCCTGCTGTGTGCAGCATGATGCCAGGTGCCGAAAAGGGAACAAAAAAGAAGGCATGTCCAGGCCCTGCAGAAAAAAGAGGAGGATGGTCGTTCTTTCTGTGTTGCAGAGTCCAACATGGCTTGGGGACCGGGAAGTGGGAGCAGTTTCCCCAGACTCTAGAGAGGTGCACCTCATTCATCTCCTGTTGAGATTCCTAGGCAGGGTTGGGGGCTGCATTTTTCAGAAAACAGCTGCCTTCTTACCTCTTTTGTTCCACACACTGCCCTTTCAATGCAACGCCACTTCTTCACGAGAGGTGGGGCCTGTATTTCCTCCCTCTACACCTGGGCACACCTGTGTAACTATCCTGATGGATAGATGTGCAGAAGTGATGATGCATGGCTCCTGACGTTAGGTCATAAAAGTTGATGTTTCCAGCTGGCCTGCTCTCCCTTGAGACCCCCACCTTGGGAGCCCTGAGCCTTCAGGGAAGAAGCCTCCCTACCTTGAGGCTGCCATGCTGAGAGGCCATCTACAGATACACACGCCCAGGGAGCCCCCAGTGTTCCAGCTCCTCTCTGTGTGAATCTCCCCAGTGCTGGTCCTAGCCATGTGAGGGAGGAACAGATGAGTCCAGCCCATCCTGGCATCTTCCATGTGAGGCCGTGACATTGCAGAGCAGAAACCAGACAACTCCACTGTGCTCTGTCTAAGCCAACTTACAGGCTCTGTAAGTTGAATAGGTGCCATGTTTTACCCACTGAGTTTGGATGTAGGTGATTACATGACCAGAGTAAGTGGAGCAGGCAGTGGCATAAGACATTCTGCAAGGGATATATTTGCATGTGGGGCTGAGCAGTGGAGATGGCAAACAGAGGTAGAAGTTTGTTCTTTTGTATTGTTAAAATGGCCATACTGCCCAAAGCATTGTTCAGACTCAATGCTATTCCTATCAAACTACCAGTGATGCTCTTCACAGAATTAGAAAAAGCTATCCTAAAGTCCATATGGAACCAAAAAAAGCCTGAATAGCTAAAACAATCATAAGCAAAAAGAGCAAAGCTAGAGGCATCACATTATCTGACTTCAAACTATACTACAAGGCCATAATAACCAAAAGAGCATGGCTCTAGTGCAAAAATAGGTACATCAACCAATGAAACAGAATAGAGAGCCTAGAAATAAAGCCGCACACCTACAACTATCTGATCTTTGACAAAGCTAACAAAAACAAGCAATGGTGAAGGGATTCCTTATTCAATAAATGGTGGTGGGATAACTGGTTAGCCATATGCAGAAGATTGAAACAGGACCCCTTCCTTACACCATATACAAAAATCAACTCAAGATAGATTAAAGACTTAAATGTAAAACCTAAAACTAAAAAGAAACCCTTGAAGAAAACCAAGGAAATACCATTCTAGACATAGACCCTAGCAAAGACTTTATGATAAAGATGCCAAAAGCAGTTGCAACAAAAACCAAAAATTGACAAATGTGACCTAATTAAACTAAAGAGTTTCTGCACAGCAAAATAAACTATTAAGTAAGTAGACAACACACAGAATGGGAGAAAGCATTTGCAAACTATGCATCTGACAAAGGTCTAATATCCAGCATCTATAAAGAACTTAAACAAATTAACAAACAAAAAAAGAAACAACACCATTAAAAAGTGGGCAAAGGACGTGAGCAGACAGGTTTCTTCTTTCTAAAAGAAGACATACATATAGCCAACAAGCATATGAAAACATGCTCAACACCACTAATTATTAGAGAAATGCAAGTCAAAACCACAGTGAGATAGCATCTCACATCAGTTAGAATGGCTATTGTTAAAAATTTTTTAAATAAAAGATGCTGGTGAGGTTGTGGAGAAAAGAGAATGTTTATGCACTATTGGTGGGAATGAAAATTAGTTCAGCCACTGTGGGAAGCAGTTTGTTGATTTCTCAAAGAACGCAAAACCAAACTATCACTCTACCTAGCCGTCTCATTACTGGGTATCCACCCAAAGGAACATAAATCGTTCTACCATAAAGACACATGCATGCGTATGTTCGTCACAACACTATTCCCAATAGAAAAGATGTGGAATCAACCTAGAGTCCCATCAGTGCTAGCCTGGTTTAAAAAAATGTGGCACATATACACCATGGAACAGTAAGCTGCCATAAAAACAGAAGAAAATAGCGTCCTTTGCAGCAACATGGATGGAGCTGGAGGCCATTATCCTAAATGAACTAATTCAGGAACAGAAAACCAAACACCACATGTGCTCACTTATAAGTGGGAACTAAACATTGAATACACATGGACTCAAAGAAAGGAATAATAGACACTGAGGCCTACTTGGGAGTTGGAGAGAAGGGTGAGGATCTAAAAACCATGTATCCAGCACTGTGCTTATTACCTGAGTAACAAAAGAATATGTACAGCAAACCCCCACAACAAACAATTTATATACCAAACCTGCACCTGTAGCTCTAAAACTCAAATAAAAGTTAAAAAAAAAAAAGATGTTTCTACTTTTGGGTTAGACATTCTTTTATAAAAGCAAATCTTATGGACCCCTCATTTCCTGGTTATGATGTTGATCTGGGTAAGAAAAAGCATAACCTAAAACTATAGTGATCCCAAGGACATGGAACAAAACATTGGGTCCATGGAATGTTGATAGCTCTTATCAAAAGGTGAGGGAATATCCACAGGGGAGAGACAGGAAAAGGACATTGTGTAGTCAAACTTGAGAAATCCTGAATGTAGCAGAGTTGAGAGTGTCCACCCACATCCCCAAAGCACCTATCTGTCCATTACATGCTGGCCGCCTCCCATTGCAGAGCCCTAAAACCCACTGCCTGAGGGCTTTCTCTCAGTGTGCCCAAGTCAGGCTGGAGCAGCCTGGGGTGAATGCTGCAGGAGCCTCCCTCAGTGGATGATGGATTGGAGGGCAGGTTACCACTCTGCCTTTCTCACCACTGTGATGTGGTCTCCACCATCTCTCAGAAGTCCCTGGCCGGACTGAATTCCTCAGCAGTAACCTGTTTAACCATATGTGTTCTACTGGCTGCTGGCCCCTCTGTCTTACTTCCCTTCTCCCTAGCAGTGCTTCCCAGCATCACTTCCCAAATAACTACTTACAAGTACAACCTTATTTCTGGGTCTGCACTAGGAGAACCCAGACTCAGATACCATATTGTTAGTTTTTCTGTACAATTCTTCAGAGATAAATAAACTAAAGTTCAATGAGGCTCTCTAAGGTGGATGCTGAGAACTCAATGTTTCAGAAACATATCTGACTGTGTCCTTAGCCCACTTTTTGTTGGGATTGTTTGTTTTTTTGTTGTTGTTACTGATACGTTTGAGTTCGTTGTAGATTCTGGATATTGCTCCTTTGTCAGATGTATAGTGTGAAGATTTTCTCCCACTTTGTGGTTTGTCTGTTTACTCTGCTGACTGTTCCTTTTGCTGTGCAAAAGCTCTTTAGTTTAATTAAGTCCCAACTATTTATCTTTGTTTTTGTTGCATTTGCTTTTGGGTCCTTGGTCATGAAATCCTTGCCTAAGCCAATGTCTAGAAGGGTTTTTCCAAAGTTATCTTCCAGAATTTTTATAGTTTCCAGTCTTAGATTTAAGTCCTTAATTCATCTTGAGTTGATTTTTGCATAAGGTGAGAGATGAGGATCCAGTTTCATTCTCTTGCATGTGGCTAGCCAATTATCCCAGCACCATTTTTTGAAAAGGGTGCCCTTTCCCCACTTTATGTTTTTGTTTGCTTTGTTGAAGGTCAGTCAATTTGCAATTGCAAAATCGTGGAACCAATCCAAGTGCCCATCAATCAATGAGTGAATAAAGAAACCGTGGTACATATATATATATATATATATATATATATATATATATATATATATATATATATATGATGGGATCTACTCAGCCATAAAAAGGAATGAATTAACGACATTTGCAGTGACCTGTGTGAGATTGGAGACTATTATTCTAAGTGAAGTAACTCAGGAATGGAAAACCAAACATCATATGTTCTCACTCATACGTGGGAGCTAAGCTATGAGGACACAAAGGCGTAAGAATGATACAATGGACTTTGAGGACTTGGGGAAAAGGATGGGAGGCGGGCAAGGGATAAAAGACTACAAATAGGGTGCAGTGTATACTCCTCGGCTGATAGGTGCACCAAAATCTCACAAATCACCACTAAAGAACTGTCTCATGTAACCAAACACCAGCTGTTCCCCAATAACTTATAGAAAAAAAGATTGGGCTTAAAAAAAAAAGAAACATATCTGACTGTGAAATAATTATTTTGTTGTTGTTGTTGTGTGTGTTTGTGCGTGTGTGTGTGTGTGTGTTTTTCACTGAAACATCTCACAGTGTTCTTGCTTCTTAATACCAGCTTGGAGAAATGTTGCCTTAAAGGTATTTGTAAATGGGATTTTATGGATCAAATATTCCATGCAAAATAAAGGATTTATTAAGTAGCAATATCCCAACTGTTTTGTGATCTTTGAAACAGGCGACATTTTCAAATCAGACTTGAAATGATGCCTGGTCACCCACACATCAGGAGATCAGATTGGGATTATAAATAAGGGATCTGAGAGCCCTGAACCAATTTAAATGTCTTAGCCTGTGCCAAGAGTAAGCCTCATGTAAAAGAATGACAGCATTGTCTCTGAAAAGGGGAGATAGTTGGTCTCTGGAACACCCAAATGGTCTGGACTAAAACTGAAGAATTTTGACCCAGTAATATTATCCTCGTCTTCAATTCTGAAATGTAAGTATGCACTGCCCTCCAGGCCCACACACTTTGTAAGTGGTAGATCAAGCTAAGGGCCCATACTCTTGACCACCTCAGTAATGAAACTCTCCAATGAAACTTCAAAGACCACTGGAACCCGTGAGGAGCTGCTTTGATTGCCTCTGTCTTCCACACACTCTCCTTTGCAAAAAGGAAAGTTTTAAAATGTTTGGAGGCCAGGCATGGTGATTCACTCCCGTAATCTGAACATTTTGGGATCCCAAGGCTGGATGATTGCTTGACCCCAGAAGTTCAAGACCAGCCTGGTAAACAATGGAAGACTCTGTATATTTTAGAAAAAAAAGAAAAGAAAACTTTGGCAACATTGATCTA
This sequence comes from Homo sapiens, assembly GCF_000001405.40. NCBI lineage: Eukaryota > Metazoa > Chordata > Mammalia > Primates > Hominidae > Homo > Homo sapiens. The sequence continues at coordinate 22,647,230 of NC_000020.11, read as the reverse complement.
AATCTTTAGCAGCAAAAAAAGGGGAAAATCTGAGAAACAGTATAAGTTTCATAATTTAACCAGGCTCATTGTTAAGTAGATCATATCTTTCTAATATAGATATATCTAAAATGTAATTGTTCTGTTGCCTGTACTCCAGGGAAAGAGGGTTTGTGTTGAGGGAAAGGGTGGGGGATGGTGACTTTCCCTGAATTGTGACCTTTATCTCCTGGTTCTTCACCTGAAGCATTTTTTCCCCTTCCTGCTTGCCACAATCTAGCAAAGACAGATAGCATGGCTATGTGAGGGAAGATGCTGAGGAAATGGAAGTTTTTAAAAATACAATCTAAGAAAATGAACAAAGCCAAAAGTTGGCTCTTTAGTAGATTAATAAAATTGATAAATTCCTAGGAATAGTGGCCAAAAGTAAAGAAGAGAGTAAACAAATCCAATGTCAAAACAACAAAGAAAGATGTGACTACAGACATTTAAAAGACAAGCAGCTATTATAAACAACTTTTACCCATATGTTTGACAATTTAGATGAAATGGGCAGATTTATTGAGAAATGTTAATGTTTAAAAGCTGAAACAAGAAGAAATTAACAAATTGAGGAGTGTTTTATCTTTTAAAAAAATTGTATTCATTTTTAGAAACCCATCTATAAAAAAACACCCCAGATCCACACCGTTTCACAAGTGAATTCTTCCAAATTTTAAAAAAGAAATAATACAGATCTTATGGAAATTTTTTCAGAGAAAAGTATACTTAATGTTACTTAGTTTCAAACTAATGTAAATATCTAAACTGTCTTGCTGCTATCTTGCTTATATACCTCCACGGAATCAGAAATCATTTTGCCATGGCCACACAGCTTGATGTTCTTTCATCATCCCTCCTTGACCTCCCCTCTGCAGCCCTGAATGGATGCCCTGCCTTTTGCATATTGATTCTGCCCGCTTCCTCAATTCCATGCATCCATCCCTGTTTCAGTCCTTGTCACACCCTTGTTTCAGCTCCCGGTTGAAACTGGGTTAAGTTTATGACCACTTCACTAACAAGGGCAATGAAAATGAAAAGAAAGGAAAACAAATACTGTCCTGATTTATCCTTCCTAATTAATCAAATTTCAAAAAATCTTTTTTCCCATAATGGTTCATAGATATGCATAATTTTAAGTGGTTGCTAAAATAGTGTATATACGATTTTATAAAATGCTATTTCATTTAACAGAGGCTATACATGTTCTTCTGTGCTGCTTAGTAATTGTCATAATTATTTTATCTGTGAGAATAAAATTCCAATTTTTGCCTTTCAGGTATAGCATCTCAAAAACTCTCACTGTTTCCTGAGCACTGTTTCCTATTTTGTTATGTTTTAGGTAAGAGTCTTCTTCATTCTCCAGCCTTATTTTTTTCTTTCTTTAAATTATTCACAATATAAATTTATAAAACATATTAATGTACATTATTTGGTTTGGCTGTGCCCTCACCCACATCTCATCTTGAATTCCCACGTGTTGTGGGAGGGACCCAGTGGGAGGTAATTGAATCATGGGAGCATGTCTTTCCTGTGTTGTTCTTGTGATAGTGAGTAAGTCTCACAAAATCTAATGGTTATTATAAAGGGGAGTTTTCCTGCACAAGCTCTTTTCTCTTGTCTGCCGCCATGTGAGATGTGCCTTTCACCTTCTGCCATGACTGAGGCTTCTCCAGCCACATGGGACTGTGATTTCTCCATTAAACCTCTTTCCTTTGTAAATTGCCCAGTCTCAGGTATGCCTTTATCAGCAGCATGAAAACAGACTAATATGGTAAATAGGTATCAGTAGAGTGGGGCATTGCTGAAAGGATACCCAAAAATATGGAAGCAACTTTGGAACTGAGTAACAGGCAGAGATTGGAACAGTTTTCAGGGCTCAGAAGAAGACAGGAAAATGTGGGAAAGTTTGGAAGCTCTTATAGACTTGTTGAATGGTTTTGACCAAAAGCCTGATAATGATATGAACAATAAGGTCCAGGGTGAGGTGGTCTCAGATGGAGATGAAGAACTTATTGGGAACTGAAGCAAAGGTGACTCTCATTATGTTTTAGCAAAGAGCCTGGTGGCATTTTGCCACCGCCCTAGAGATTTGTGGAACTTTGAACTTGAGAGAGGTCATTTAGTGTATCTGGTGGAAGAAATTTCTAAGCAGCAAAGCATTCAAGATGTGACCGGTGCTGCTAAAGGCATTCGGTTTTATAAGGAAAGCAAAGCAAAATGGTATGGAAAATTTGCAGCCTGATAACGTGATAGAAAAGGAAAACCCATTTTCTGAGGAGAAATTCAAGCCAGCTACAGAAATTTGCATAAGTAACTAGAAGCTGAATGTTAATCCCCAAGACAATGGACAATGGGGAAAATGTCTCCAGGGCATGCCAGAGGCCTTCACAGTAGCCCCTCTCATCACAGGCCCAGAGGCCTAGGAGAAAATGGTTTGTGGGCCAGGCCCAGGGTCCCCATGCTGTGTGCATCCTAGGGACTTGGTGCCCTGTGTCCCAGTCACTCCAGCTATGCCTGAAAGGGGCCAATGTAGAGCTTGGGCCAAGGCTTCAGAGGGTGCAAGTCCCAAGCCTTGGCAGCTTCCACCTGGTGTTGAGCCTGTGAGTGCACAGAAGTCAAGAATTGGGGTTTGGGAACCTCTGCCTAGATTTCAGAGGCTATATGAAAACACCTGGATGCCCAGGCAGAAGTTTGCTGCAGGGGTGGGGCCCTCGTGGAGAACTTCTGCTAGAGAAATGCAGAAGGGAAATGTGGGGTCAGAACCCCCACACAGAATCCCTACTGGGGCACTGCCTAGTAGAGCTGTGAAAAGAGGGCCATTGTCCTCCACATCTCAGACTGGTAGATCCACTGACAGCTTGCAATGTGCACCTGGAAAAGCCATAGGCAGTCAACACCAGCCTGTGAAAGCAGCTGTGAGGGAGGGGCTGTACACTGAAAAGCCACAGGAGTGGAGCTTCCCAAGACCATGGGAACCCACCTTTTGCATCAGTGTGACCTGAATGTGAGACATGGAGTCAAAGGATATCATTTTGGAGCTTTAGGATTTTACTAATCCGCTGGATTTTAGACTTGCATGAGGCCTGTAGTCCCTTTGTTTTGGCCAATATCTCCTATTTGGAATGGCTGTGTTCATCCAATGCTTGTACCCCCACTGTATCTAGGAAGTAACTAACTTGCTTTTGATTTTACAGGCTCATAGGCACAAGGAACTTGCTTTGTCTCAGATAAGACTTTGGACTGTGGACTTTTGAGTTAATGCTGAAATGAGTTAAGACTTTGCGGTACTGCTAGGAAGACATAATTGGTTTTGAAATGTGAGGACATGAGATTTGAGAGAGGCCAGGGGTGGAATAATATGGTTTGGCTGTGTCCCCACCCAAAGCTCATCTTGAATTCCCAGTCTTGTGGGAAGGACTCAGTGGGAGGTAACTGAATCATGGCGGCAGGTCTTTCCCTTGCTGTTTTCATGATAGCAAGTCCCACGAGATCTGATGGTTATTATAAGAGGGGGGGTTTCCTGCACAAGCTCTCTTCTCTTGTCTGCTGCCATGTGAGATGTACCTTTTTCACCTTCTGCCATGATTGTGAGACTTTCCTAGCCACATAGAACTGTGATTTCTCCATTAAATTTCTTTCCTTTGTAAATTGCCCAGTCTCAGGTATGTCTTCATCAGCAGCATGAAAACAGACTAATACAGTACACAAAAGTGTACTTTTCTGAATTTTTCCTACAGAAAAATACACAGATGTAGAAGTAAATTTACTGCAACTTTTTACACTGACCCAAAAACCCACTGGCAACAAGATGAATGCCCACTAATATGAAATTGTTTAAATGAATTTAAATAACACAAACATCCTCAATTTCGTATTATAGTCTAGCAGCAGTTTACAATTTAGCCTCACCACAGATGGCTAAATATATAGTATATTCCACACAGTACAATGTTCTTAAAAAGAATAAAGTTTATCACAAAATGTCAAAATGAAAAGAGTTCCATTGCATATTTTAAGTTTGAAGAAAACAAGGTACAATTAGTTTATCAAAAGAATCTCATTTTAATCTGGGAGAGTTGGCAATAAACAGTTCTTTATTTTACACATTATAAATTTCTGCAGCCTTGTTTTGTTTTTACAACTAGAACATGTAATATCTACAATCAGGAAATATATAAAGAAAAGGGTACTTAAAATGTACACGTAGACTTATAATAGAGACCCCACAATTCCACCATATTCTAGGTATAAATGTCAAAATTAATAGTCATTTACAAGAAGCAAAGTCATTTGTAATCCTGAGTTATAACCAGGAATCATTTCTGAAAGTCTGGATGCATTCAATGATTCAATAAATATTTATTGAGCTAATGCTGTAGGCCAGGCACTGAAACAAGATCTCTCATCTCATGAGTTGACATTCTACTCTGTGAAAACAGACAACAAACATGGATACAAATAAGTAATTAAAGTGATTGCAAACCATATATTAGAGATGAATGCTCAAAGTAAAATACACATGGTGATAAGGTACTGAAAAACGGAGGGACGCATTGGACAGTTGGAGAAGTCTGCAAGGGCGGCCGGTGAGCCGATACCTGGAGGGTGGGAATGAGCCAAGTGAAGACCCAGTCAGAAGCATTCTAGGCAGTAGGCATCAAAGGTGAAAGTCTTCATGAGAGGGATGGTGCTTCTAGCATTTATGCAACACCAAGAAGGCAGTGTTACAAGATAAATATATACTTTGTGATTTCCAGGACATAGCAACTTCCCAAACCCACGTTTCTGGGAAAGGCAAAAGAGTTATCAAAAGCCATGAGAGCAGGAAGGTTGAAGTATGGGCTCAAGACCTACACATAACACAAATGTCCTAGGTTTTGTTTTCTAATCTAGCAGCAGTTCACAATTTAACTTCACCACAGATGGCCTTTTCTATTGATCAAAATACCACTGAACTAATATTCATCTTTCTACAGTAATTTATAGGTACAATTCCTCATCATATTCCAACCTCTGGGATTTAAATATGAAAACTTGAGACTGCCATTCACTCATTTGTCAAGTATTTACTATACATCTATTGTGTAGCAGGCACTGTTCGGGCTGCTAATGACACAGAAAAGAACTAAAAAGATCCAGCTGCTGTAAGGAGCAGGCACTCTTGTTGGAGAAGCTGATAAGAGGGTAAACTGCATAGCGTAACAAATGGCAGTAAATGCTTCCATGAAAAGCAGAGTAGGGAAAGGAGACAGGGAAACTGAAAGCGGGAGTAAGATTGCTACTTAATAATAAAAGGAATGAGCAGGGGAAGCTTCAGTGATCAGTGGCATTTGAGCAAAGACCCAAAAAAGAAGAGAAAAGGTGCCATATGAATATATAGGGCAAGATTGTCTCAGTCAGAGGGAATAGCAAATGCACAGACCTTAAGGCAGGAATATGCCTGGTATGTCCAGGAACAGTAAAGAGTCCACCATGTCTAAAAATGGTGAACTAGGGGTCACAGTGGGTGAGGCAAGATGGGGTGGACATACAGATCTTGTAAGGCCTTGTAAGCTTTTTAAAGACACCGGCCTTTAGTCTAAGGTTGGAAGACACCAGAGGGCTTTGAGGAGACTGCTAATGTATGATTACATTCTTTCTTACATATAATGAAGGTATATACATTCATACACATATATACTTTTTTTTCAATGAGTGCAGTATGTCAGTAAAAGGCAGTGTTTGTGGTGTGTGTGTGTAAAACAAACTGTTTAATACATTGGTTAAAAAGAAAAATGCCCGAAAAGCTATGAAACTGGGATTCCTCTGAAGACTAAGATAGTAAAAGTCTGGGGGGAAACAGAGTTTACTCTTTATAAACACATTTTATGTCATTTGAAAGATACTCTTAGAATCTACTATTTTGTGGTTTATTAAAAGGTGTTTAAAGAGCCAACGGAAAGCAAGTTAGTTATCATAAATATTCCCCCAAATGGTCTCTGAAAGGTAATTAGAATATGAGTGTTCCTGTTTGCATTTTAATTATGTAAGCAAACAATTTTTCATTTAGATAAATCACCATGCCTCCATCTTAAGTGCTAAATTAACAGACACTTATCCATGGTTACTCAGAATGACATGTAGGAATAAGAAATATATCAACCAAGTATTTTTTAATTTTTCTTTAAATGCATGAAAAGCAACCAGATTAGAATATTTTAGGGCAAAAGAACATCAACAACACCTCTAATTTCACCAAATTGATAAAATTGGTCCAGGTTGTTAATTATATTTTTTAAAATCTTTGATATAATTTAGAAGATCTGAGCAATTAAAGATCAAGTAATCAACACAGACCATGTGGCAAAACCAGTACTTTCAGCTTGATCCACTCTAAAAGCTCAGCTTCCCATTGAACCAAGATGGCAGTCAACACCCATCCTCCCACTCTATGAATGTTTCTTCCCTGCTAACTGTGTATTGCCTCTCACTTCATCCTCCTCACTCACCAGGAACTCCCAATATATTCTTTTTCCCACCACTCATACTCCTGCCAGCCACAAAAAGATGTTCACTCTGATTTGTCTATTGGCAGCACATTGGCCGTCTTTAACTGATGTTTATGCAAAGAACTTGGCGAGCTCAGCGCTACCAGAATCTCGTGCTGGGTGGAATAACTTATTCAGAACACTGACCGCCAACCCATCTCAAGAGGCAATAGGCTCCACAATATTAGGTGACTTTCTTCCCAGAGCCTAAAGTATACATTCATAGCTATATAACCACAAATATAAAAAAACGTTTTGTTGTCATTTCTTTCTATTGACTTGCTTATTTATTCTTTCCATTTATAAGATAAATACTAGCACTTACTGACAATTCATGGCCCAAAGTGCTATCCATATTCCATATTATTCCTATAAATTGCCAGCCATTCATATGATGGGCATTATTATCCCCTTTCCTTTCAAGATGAGAAACTTCCAATTACTTAAAAAAATTTCACTTATTTCTTTTCCCGAATGATTTGGGTTTTCTGCGTGGTGAGTGTGCACACTAACTATATGCTTTCTTCTCTCATTGATCCTGAGTGACCTCCACCAATGAGCTGCTTGGCTCTGCTTCACCCATTGCTACAATTAACCTCCCCACTAACGAAAAATCTTTGGATAAAAGATAATTGTGTGGCAACATGCTTCTTAAAAAATATGTTATAGAGAGATATCAGCAGGAATGGCAAATTAAGAAGCATAGAAAATTCTTTCCTCAATTAAAGTAAGAACAACACTGGCAAAAATGGTCAAAATCAACATTTTCAGGACTGTGAAAATTAACCAAATGCTTGCTTCAATTTGAGGAAAATATATTCAAGAAAAGTAGCTGAATCTTAATAAAAACAGTAAGTTATAAGGTGTTTTACCTTGTCTTATTCCCATTCCCTTCTTTCCAACCCTGCAGTAGCCTTGAAAATCAATAATTTCCCACTAATAGTGAAAACCAGCATCCTCCCAGGCACTGGAGGAAGTAGAATGGGTGAAAGCCTACTGTAACGCTTCATTCTGAGAAAACTGTCTTTATTTGATCTGTCTGGAAGCTTCCTGGTAAAGCACAATCACAGATTCATCATTGTTCTACCTTTCCCATACATCCACCAGTGCAAAAAGCCTTTTCTTTGGGGGCATTTGTCAAAAACAATCAGTGGCGAGTGTTGAAAATACTGCAACTGCATGAGGGAATGAGAAGAGAAGAGCTGGGGCAAACAACAGGGTAACAAAAAAGCCAAGTCATGAGTTGCTTCTAGGGGACTTTGAAAAGCTCTTACATATACCCGTGAATCTAGAAGGCCATGTACAGCTTAGGGCTGAACACCCACATTGGGAAAACCTGAGAAGGCCCTGAGATATCATGTTTGGATGACCTCGAGGCTCTGTACAAGTAGGAAATGAAGGCTAAGGCACCAGCATGTACCAATACACACAAAGATTCTTCACGAAGGGCTGGGAAACTTCCTGGTTCCAGGTATTTAATACTGGGCTCATTAGACAAATACTTAAATTCAGATATTTGAAAGACATTCAAAGAACTAAAGAAAACATTGTGTAATGAACTACAGTATAACAATGATGTCTCATGAAAAAGAAAATATTAATAAAGAGATGGAAATATTTTTTAAGTGCAAAATAAAAACTCTGGAGTAAAAAAATAGCTAAAATTTAAAAATTTACTAAAGGGGCTCAACAGCAATTTTAACCTGGCAGAAGAAAAGAAATCAACATATTTGAAGATAGGTCAATTGAGATTAGCCAGTTAGAGGAAGAGAAGAAAAAAGAATTAAGAAAAATGAACACAGCCTCAAAAATCTGTGGGACACCATGAGGCATACCAAATACTCATCATGAAAGTCCCAGAAGATGAAGAAGGAAAGAAAGATTTTTAAAAAGACATTTTTTTAAAATGGCCAAAATTTTTCAAAATTTAAAGAAAAATATTAATCTACATTACCAAGAAACTCAGTGAACACCAAATATAATAATCTCAGAGAGATCCATCCCTAGACACATCATAATCAAACTCTCAAAATCAGAAGACAAAGAGACTTCTGGAAGCACAACAAGAGAAGCTACTCATCATACACAAGGGATTTTCATGAGATTATCCACAGATTTCCTCTCCTAAACTATGGAGGCTGGAAGAGAATGTAATGACACATTCAAAGTGCTGAAAGAAGGCCAGGTGCAGTGGTTCATATCTCTAATCCCAGCACTTTGAGAGGCTGAGGTGGGTGGATCAATTGAGGTCAGGCATTCGAGACCAGCCTGGCCAACAGGGTGAAACCCTGTCTCTACTGAAAATACAAAAATTAGCCGGGCGTGGTGGCGCACACCAGTAATACCAGCTACTCGGGAGGCTGAGTGGGAGAATTGCTTGAACCTGGGAGGCAGAGGTTGCCGTGAGCCGAGATTGCACCACTGCACTCCAGCCTGGGCAACAAAGTTAGACTCTGTATCAGAAAAAAAAAAAAAAAAAAAAAAAAAAAAAAAAAAAAAAAAAAAAAAGACAAAAAAAAACAAAGTGCTGAAAGAAAGAAAGAAACTGTCAACTAAGAATTCTATTTCTAGGAAAACTACCTTTCAAAAGTTAAGGTTAAGACATTTTTAGATAAACAATTTGCTTCTAGTCCTACAAGAAATACTAAAGAGAATTCTTAAGGCTATAATAAAAAGACACTAGGCAGTAACTCAAATCCACATGAATAAACAAAATACAAAGTAACTACATAGGCAAATATAAAAAGTAGTTGAGATGTATGTTTTTTCTGTAACACCTTCAATTCCTATCTTATTTAAAAGGCAACTACATTAAACAATAATTTTAAATCTATGTTGAGGGATATATACAATGTATAAAGATGTAATTTGTATGACAGTAATAGCATAAAGGAGAGGGAATGGGTTATATAAGAGCAAAATGTTTGTATACTATTGAAGTTAAATTGATATTAATTTGGACAAGATTGTTTTAAGATAATAATTTCAATCCCCAGGGAAACCACTAAGAAAATAACTCAAAATAATATAGTAAAAGAAATACAAATGATACACTGAAAATATTTAACACAAAAAAATATATACTTATTTTAAAAATAGAAAAAAAGACATGAGACATATAGAAAACAAAAAGTAAAATGGCAGACATAAACCCAACTATAGCAATTATAGCATTAAATGTGACTGAATTAACAACCAATCAAAAGGCAGAGGTTGAAAAAATGGATTAAGAAATGATCCAACAAAATGCTAACAGAAATTGTAGATTGAAACTGTAGGTTGAAAGACACACAAGTTGAAAGTAAAAGACTGGAAAAAGATATAACCATAAGAGAGTAAGAATGGCAATATTAATATCAAGTGAAATAGACCTTTAGACAAAAATTGTTAGTAAAAATACATGAACAGATTTTATAATCATAAAGGCTCATTCAAGAAGATCTGTCAATTATAAAGATAGATCAACCTAACAATAAAACCCCAAACTGAAAGAATTGAAGAAAAATGGACAATTCAAAAATAAAAACTTAAGACTTCAACATCCCATTTCAATAGTGATATAACAACTAGGCAAAAGATTCATAGAGAAATAGAAAATTTGAACACTATAAACCATATAGATTTAATAGATGTACCTATATAGAGAGAACACTACTCAACAACAGCAGAATACACTACAAAAATATTATGAGCTAATAAATGAGTCAGCAAGATTGCAAGATACAAAATTAACATAGAAAAATAAATTGTATTTCCATTCACTGCAATAAACAATATGAAAATGAAAATTTTAAAAAATTTATTTATAATAGCATCAAAAATAAATACATGGATATAAATTTAACAAAGAAGTACAAGAATTGTACTTACATTACAAAACAGCAAGAACTATAGCACAAACAAAGCTGCTGTGATACACGATGCTGTTTTCTTCATTTGCCTTTTTTGTCATCTATCGGTTTATTAAATAGAAGGACACAACTAATTTTGAGTTTAGAGTTTGTTCCAACTCAATGGCTTAGAGTACCACTTTGATAAAAATCAGCATCAAAAGCATTCCTAATTTTCAAATACAGTATATGGCCTTTTCCATTGAAAAATGCTGAATTTTGTTTGTCGTATTAATCACATTAGGTAATGCAGTGCTCTTTGAAAACTGTTTCTTAGTGACTCATTTTAGCCCCTATTTTCAAGGGTAGTGAGATAATGTGGTTCCATTAATTTTTTTCTATTATTTGCTGTCAGATTACAGAGCATTATAATATTCTGTTGTTGTCATATGTGCAGGTTTATGTCCCACGTAAAGAGACTTAGTGGGAGAGTAACAGAATGCCTGAAGTGCCTAATTCTGAGCTTTTGAGGTAGTCAACCGGTTTGTGATAGAATGGTAATGGAATTTTCCTCAACTGTTATCAACTGTCATGATGTACTATCCCTTCCTCCTTTACTTAATTAAAATTGTAGGCTGACTTCTTTTTACCTACAATCTTCTTAATTTTTGATGATAATGACTCCTCATTCCTCTTTGCCCAAGGACCTCATTTTTTAAACAAAACTTGTGATTTTGCCATTTTTCTAATAGGGCCCAATACACATGTGTATCAGTATAGTTTTTGTTTTACATTGACTTTATAAATTCCATTGACTTAGCTTATAATATTATAGTTTTATGATTTATACTACTTAGGTAGGCCACTTGATTATCATCTGTGACAGAATAACGTGAAGTTCAGTAATTATTAAACTCCAAATTGAAATGGCTTTCAAGGAACTCATGCATTGAACTTAAAGATAGGCATATTGCTGCTTTCATCCAGCATATTTGTTTATGGAAAGCAAAACGCAAAACGCAAGCAAAGGCTGAGTAAGAAGAAATATTTAAATATTGTTAAATACTCTGTATTGCTGTAATTTTAGAATTTATCCATTTACAGGCTCCAAAAATAAATTTTTAAATAAAATATATTAGTTGATATAAATAAAAATTGTGCTGGGACAACTAGATAGTCACATGCAAAATAATGAAGTTGGATTCTTACTTCACATGACATATAAAAATTAATTAAAATTGAATAAAACACCTAATTAGAAGACCTAAATGTATAAAATTGTTAGAAGAATACATAGGTGTCAATCTTCATGACCTTGGATTGGGTAATAGTTTCTTAAATGCAACAACTAAAGCAGAAGCAACAAAATAAAACAGAATAGATAAATAGATGGATCTGAAAAGATAACCAGAGATGGGAGAAAATATTTGCAAATTATATATTTGATAAAGGACTGGCATCTACAGAACACTTACAACTCAATAATTAAAAAATGCAATTTAAAAATTGGCAAGATATTTGAAATTTTTTTCAAAGATATACAAATGTCCTGTAAGCACATGGAAAAATTGAAAACAATGTCCACACAAATGCCTGCACATGAATGTCTATAGCAACATTATCCATAGCACAGAAACACAGAAAAAACCCAAATGCCATCAGCTGAGAAATAGGTAAACAAAATGTGGTAAATCCATACAATGAAATTACTATTCATCAGTAAAAATGGAATCAAGTACTGACACATGTTAATAGATGGATATGCCTTTTAAAAGTTATGCTAAGCAACTAAGAAGCTAGACACAAAAGCCATAGATTTTATGGTTCCATTTATATGAAATGTTCAGAATAGGACATGCAGATTACTGGTTTCTGGGGCCTAGCGGGGGAGCACAATAAGGAATGATTGCTAATGGGTAAGGGGTTTCTTTTGGGGATGATGACAGTGTTTCAGAATTAGATCATTGTGACAATCCCACAATTTGTGAATATACTAAAAACCACTGAATTTTACACTTTAAAAGGGTAAGCTTTATGGTGTGTGAATTACATCTCAACAAAGAAGGTCCTGAATGTTCTTGATATATCTGCCTTTTCATATCATTCTGCTACCATATCATCTTAAAACCAAACAATTTGGTGTGAACCTCCATTTATGCTACCACTCAAAGCTCAAATTCAAAGGCAGGAAGAAAATGATGCCCATGATTTGCCTTGCACCATTAGGTTGGTTTCTGGGACACTGAGCTCCTCAGTTTGCTTCCTAAATGGCACTAAGCTTTTAAACAACAATTCCCCCTTCCACAACAATGTCATGGGCTCTTGTTCTGGGAAATTTCACATTGTCTATTAATTGTCTTCAGGTTTAAGAGCAACTCGTCTTCATTTGACAGGTGAGGAAGTAAGTCTTATTCATTTTAGAATCACAGAACTTTAGGGCTAGTGTGACTTGGGAGAACATCCAGCTCTTTATCTTATTTTATAGACGACAAGATGGGCATGTGGAGAAGTTGAAGGTCACACTGGAAATTGTGTGCCCCTCAATGAATCAGGGTAGAATTCTCCTTTCTGCCGCAACTCACCAGGTCCTGCTGCATTTTCCTCCACTCTTCTCTGGTTCTTTCTATTTCAGCCCTAGTGGTCTCCTTGCTGGTCCTTGAACACGCCAAACAGGTGCTCACCTCAGGGTCTTTGCACATGCTGTTCCCTCTGCCTGGGGTACTTTCTGCCCACATATATTCACATCATCTGGATCCTGCCTGGATCTCACCCCTCAGAAAGACCTGAATCTAAAATTCCTCCCCCTAGATTTTTTCCCTTCATCCCTTTAGCCTGCCTCATTCTTTCTCTTGGAGGGCACCTGAAACCACACCCTTGCTTGGCTCCTTCCCTTTTCTCAGCCAGCTTCACCTCCTCCCAAACGCTGCTCTCCTGAGAGCCCTTCCCCAGGCAATCCCAGGCATCAGACTGTCTATCTCTATTTCAGACACTGCTCCTGGGGCCAACTTAAGACACTGTGCAGGAGAGAAGCAGAGGTTCACTGAACAGTACTGCCCACAAGTGCTCTCCGGATATAGACCAACCTATTAAGAGTAAATGTTTATGAAATATCCAATGAAACTATTAAGAAACAATAAGCAAGCACTTAAAAATGAAATCAGAGCCTGATCCGATCACTTTAGTAATTACATGATCTTTGGTTTTTAATGCCAAATGTCTGGTTCCGGAGATGCGTTCAGCCCTCTGCGAATCATGTTTACCTAACTAAATGTGTGAGGCGATGGTATCAAAGCCGAGGAGATCACGTGAGCTAGAGCAAACAGTCAACAGATGCATGCTATTTATTTTGTTTTTTAGTCTTTTCATATTTTTTCATAAACCACACAGTCATTTTGCTTATAGGTTATTCCAAATTAATCTTCACTGAAGCATGTTTCCTAAATTGATGACAATATTGTCTGCAAGGCAAGGTACACTTATTACAGGCAAGTATCTAAACTATGTCATATCCTTTGATAGCAGTGCACACCAACATCAACTATGACTTGCTTAGTACACTACACTATAGCATGGCAAACATGTTATTGCCACCTTCTGAAATCTCTCTGGAGATATAACTGTTGCTTTAAAAGTCACACATGGTTATAGGTAAAATAGTCTCTGTTTTATTTTTCTCTCTGTTCAAAAGCCTAAAAATAATATCTGAAAAATAACACAGTATATATACTCAAAATCTGAAACAAGTAATTTAATGAAAACTTCCAAAGGGACTGTTCTTAAGTGAAAGAGTCGATTTTTTCAACTAAGGGTTTCTTCATATTCAGAATTTCGGATCCATGCCTGGAACCATCATTCAAACTTCCAAAGACCTGCCAACCTAACCATCATGGGTACACTCTATGACCCACGGAGCCAATGCAACTGCCAGAGCCCACCAATATTTTTGTGGGAACTCAGCTTTAAATGTAACAATGACCACGACAAAGTAAACATGTGAAAATCAAAGTAAAACGGAACTCCCATCCTTAAAAATACATTTGCACAGTGGTTTGGAAATACATGCATATTTTTCCACCCAAGGCATGTTCTCTAAAATCGTTGTCCCTCAATGTACTCCAAGGGGAAAACAATTATCTGGATCCTTGTGTTTGGAGACTATTGAGGCTCACAATCTCCTTCAAAACACATAAGCACATTCCCGATTCTGAGCAGTCATGGTATAGGAAGGAGGCCCTTTTACTCTTATTTGACACCAAGATTCCCGAGCTTTCTTAACCATGGAACCCTTTTTTTATGTAGTGAGTATTTAAATATCGCTTTATTTATTTATTGAGACAAAGTCTCACTTTGTTGCCCAAGCTGGAGTGCAGTGGCATGATCTCAGCTCACTGCAACTGCCACCTCCCTGGTTCAAACGTTTCTCCTGCCTCAGCCTCCCAAGTAGCTGGAATGACAGGCACTCACCACCATGCCCAGCTAATTTTTGTATTTTTAGTAGAGATGAGGTTTCACTATGTTGGCCAGGTTGGTCTTGAACTCCTGACCTTGTGATCCACCCACCTCGGCCTCTCAAAGTGCTAGGAATTCAGGCGTGAGCCACCGCGCCTGGCCAAGTATTTAAATATCTCATGGGATAAGTGTTTTAAATTATACTTTTGTATTCATGATCATATAACTTTTTAAGATTCTCCCTTAATACATTTAAACAGAAATTGGATGAGTTCCACACCATCAATGTGCAGACTGCAATGTTGCCTCCATTTTTAAAACAGGATGCTTTTCCACTGTTGTGTCCTTTAGAGGAATAAACAGTCAAGCTTTACAAAAGATGAATGTTAAACATTATCACTTAACCCTCTCTGAATAATTTTAAATTGAAACTCTAAAACTCTGATCAAAGCTGGAATTATTTCACACACTTGCAGTGCAGGTGGCTTAAATATATTATTTGGCCTTTTTCACATTAAATAAAACTAGAAAAAGAAAAAAATTTTATTCAAGAATTTTTCAGTGACTAGAGGAAAATAAAACAATGGGAAATAAATCAAAATCATAAATGTGAATATTTAGGTGCCAAGCATATTTGATTTTTTTCTCTGCTTAATGTTTTTCTAAACCTATGTCAAAAAAAAGCATACAATTATGTCGATAAAAATATACTATATATAAAAAAAGAAATGATCTGAAGTGATATTTGGTATATAGACCTCACAAAGAAGTAGTTTTTCAATTGCATGTATTACCTAAATCAAAAATGAAAAATGTTCAGTAGAGTTGTGGGCCTCACAGTAAGTTCTTATAGTTGATGCTCCCTTTGGCTCTCTAGTATTTGAGTTATCCAGGGAGCTGAGAACACGCGCCACATCAAGGAAGCCTCAAACTTCCATGGCATCAGTATTTAAACCTCATTTTTTAGCTTTTAGTTTTAATCCCCTCTGATAAGGCACTTCCAGACAAAATAAAGAAATTGAAGAGGTACATAGCATAAATTTTACTATGACTAAAAATCAAGCAAGCTTTACAAAAAAGTGAGCAATATTTGAAGAATTGCACACTCATTATTTTCTGCCTTTTCATTTATTAAACCGATGTTTCCTTTGTACTATTTGGCAAAACCTACTACAAATCTTGGTTGAATGGTTTACAGTAAGATTAATAATGTGCATAAAATTACAAGGTTTATGGTAGGTTGAAAATAAATGTTCAAGAATAAGTAAATATTCAAGAATGTGTAAAGTCACACAAGAAGTAAAATAGCCAGGTGAATTGCCAAACCTTTCAAGATGTCAAAACATTTTGCCTGGCTTCGTTTTATCTCCAGCAACAGCCAGTCACCCCCAAAGCTGGGAGGGGGAACCAAGCAAACACCATCACCAGGAGCGGCAGGTGGCAGGGCCCAGCTGGCCTTTCTGCAGTGTGTGTATCCACACCCAGCCCCTGCCAAATGTGCCTGCTCTGTGTTTAATCATGTCATGCCAACACTGATTCCAGCATGCAGAAGTGCAGGACAACAAATAATTACGATGAGGATTTGTTGGGGGGAAAAGGCAGAAAGACATGGGGCCGTCTTCCTAAGGATTTTATCCTAAAGGAGGCCCCGGATTCACATGCAAAACCTGACTCCAAACGTTGACTTCAGCTTTTCTTTGATGTCTTTACAAACACACGTACACACACACTTAAATGCACGGATGCACAGGACTAGAGTGTGTCTTTTACTTTCGTGAGAAAGAAAATCCCAGAACAGGCTACCTTTCAGCTTCAGTCTCCGTAAGCAACTCAGCTTGTTAAAGCAGCCAATTCAGATTGCTGAATAATGCTGTTTTGTTATTTTCTTTGACATGATGATGACAAGATTGGGACAAATGCTAACTTATTTTAGTCATTTATATGATGTGTTTAATTGTGTGTGGTGCATCAAACTATTGTGAAAAGGATAAAAGGAATAATTTTCTCATGGCCAGGGAGAAAAACTTGAATTGACCATCATAATATTTAGCCCAGTTGGCTCTTAAATTACTGTCTACTAACTATAAGCTCATAAGTTCTAGAAATCAAAAGCCATATACGCCCACATAGGCACCTGCATATATATAAAATAAACATATCTATCTATCTGTGTGTGTGTGTGTGTGTGTGTGTGTGTTTATCTTGGGGGGAGCTCTAAATTGTCTGTGAAGGAGAAGAAACTACTTCCTGTCTAGCGCCATTAACAACTGCATTAGCATAGAAATGCATTGGGTGACACATTTTATAAATGCAAGAAGTGGGAGACTGATGGTGTTTAGAAGGTTAAGAGACAGGAAAATTTGATCAGTTCTGAAAGTGAAATCAATAAGGAGCTCATGCCATCCACACAGTGCATTCTTAGATGCTTCATGCAATGAAACAATCTGGAAAAACCAGGAGAAACCAGCAGAGGCAGCCCCTCTACCTCATCCAAGACAACCCAAGGGGCACCTGGATACACACTGTTCCCTTCCTGAGGATCTCCAGACAAATGGACAGAGAGCCCCACACCACATTACTAATCATTATAGTTACACCACCTACCTATCTTGTTGTCCCATCCCTGAACCAATGCAAAGGTTTATCCCTATGAAAGTTCTTCTGCTCAAATTAAAGCCCATTTCTCCTGGCTCCTTTTAATTGAATGCACATAAGAACTCTGTCTCCTCTGCAGAGCGTGAAGATGACGTCAAATGCAGCCTTTGGTCATTGACCTGACTGAGCAGAGCCTCCACATCTGTCTCTGCCCAGCCCTTGCAGACTCAGCTACCACAGGACACAACTGCTGACCTCCCGCCAAAGGGAGGCTGGAACATTTTTGTCCTTGTCTGAAATTCCCTGGTTTCTTTATTATTCCCTGTAAGAACAAAGACAGTGAGGTTTCTAACAGCTCAAAGGGAAATCTGCCTTAATAAAAAGTTTAAAATTATGTATAAAAATTTCTGTCTTCTCTAATCACTCTCCTTTCTTTGTTTTTCTCCAGCAAAGCTAATTAAGGGAGAATTATTTGGTCTAGTATAATGCCGTGTAACTATAAAATAATAAATAGAGTTTTCTATCCCTTTTTTTGTTTCCCAAATCATTTTTATCAAGAAGAGTCCCTATTACTTGGTAGGGCAGCATTACAGAAGTTGAGGGAATAATTCTGATTTCAATAGGCCAAATGGGTTTTGGGTGATAAAAATCTCCCCGGCCCAGCCCCTGCAATTTTTGAGGAGTCATTTAAATGTGTGTGCAACACACCACACTTCTGCTTGATCCAGATCATTAAATCCTCTGAAAATGTTTTTCATGAATTAAGAATAGCCATTAGGTGGCGAATCTAATTAGCAAAGACTCAGCTCTGGAGTTCTTCAAATAGCTGAGTAAATATTACCACGTGTAATTGTGGTAATTCCCTATCATGCCTGCTCATACATCATTAGTACTATGGAGCTAGCTTCACAGACCAGGAAGATGCTATGCAAAATGAAGAGCATCTCTTCTTTCCATACCATTTTCTGATGCCAGGCCACTGGGGGAACCCCGCCTCCTCCATCACAAATCTCCACTCAGTTCCTCATAAAAGGTACATGCACTTGTTGAAATATCTCAGATTCTCAGAAGTTACTCTGCATTTATTTGAAGTTTTATATTCCTCCAAAAGAGATTTGAGGCCTTGTGTCAATGGCTTTCCTATTTGTGTTTTATCAGAAACATCTGAAAAGGGATGCAACAACCCTTCAGCTCCCCAACTGCATTGTGACTTTGTGGGCACAGTAAAACTGCAGTTCTCCTCAAGGTCACTTCTTAATATGAAAAGGAAAATTTGAAAGGAAATTCTACACTCTGCTTGTTCAACTGAATCTATAACAACTTCAGATTTTTGAATTTTAAAATTTGCTGAAATTTTAGAGTCAGTTTATTCCCCAGGGGTTGTTCTTTCCACTTACTCAATCATCTGCCTCCGCAATACTGGGCAGTGGGACAAGGAGCAAGCAGGAGACAAAACAGAGGAGTCCCACAGTGCTAATGAGGAGCAGCACAGTGCTAATAATTTGCACCAGCCTCCACCACCGCCAGACACTGGCCCCTACACATTCTCTGTCACTGCTTTGCTGGGAAACAAGGCTGAGATGCCTGAACCTTCAGCTGCCGTAGCTCCCAGTGGTCTATTAGTAGCGGGGGCTGGAAAAGATGCTTCACCCCCTTTCACTCTGCCCTCTGTCAGCAGAGCCACCCCATGTTTCCAGCAAAGCAACTGGCATCATCTTCGCACCCAGCTTCTCCTCTCTCTAAGGCATAGGAATGTGACCCCAATGTGTGCTGCAGGCAGTCAGACTCCAACATTTAGATGGAGGACCAAGGGGCCAAGATTAGCCAAAATCTCATGAAAAGAAATAGCAAGGCCAAAATGGATGCTGGAGGGCTTCCCTTACCAGCTATTGAGACTTTAATGTTATACAGACTAATAAATCAAAATTCCAAATATTGCCACATGTAGTAGAACCAGGAGCTCCAATGGCCGAGAACAGGAGAAATGGATATCCCAGATCAACAAGTGAGTGAATTCTCCCTTCCACCACCAGTTTGTTCTGTTCTAGCCCTGGAGGAATTGGACAATGCCTGCCAACACAGGGGAGGGCCATCTTCTTGACTCAGTTTACCAACTGAAATGAGCGTCTCTTCTGCAAACAGCCTCCAATACTCCCAGAAATATTTTACCAGCTATCCAGGCATCCTTTATCCCAACTAAGTTGACATGTAAAATTAACCATCACACTACAGGAATAGAAAAATAAACGACTAGGTCTAATGGAGCCAAGACATTGGCCACGCATATATGGAAACCTGGTGTGTGAAACAAAAGCCAGCGAGATGATAGACAAAATGCTAGCAGCAAATGCTAACCTAAGTGCCTCTATAGTCCGTGGAAGTCTCAGGACCTTTCTCATAGTAAGTCATTGAATCCTCACAGAAAGTCTATGAACTAGTGTGGAAGGCAGCGTCTACAGAGTCTCCCATTGGTTACCATCTCCTGGCATTCACACCCTGTATATCCCTCACTCCTTGAATGGGAGCTGGACTTATTAGGAAGAGAATATAACCTCTAAGAAATAGAGAATAGCAGAAGAAATGGAATGTGGAATGTGTCTCCTTCTTGCCTCCTTTTTTAAAAATTTTTAAATTTTTGTTTGTTTGTTTGTTTTTTGAGATGGGGTCTGGAGTTTTTTTTTCTGAAGCAGAAAATTCCAACTCCAGTTCAAGGATGTTTCTAACACTGGTCCATGATAGAATGTTTTGTTGTTGTTTTGTTGTTTGTTTTTTGAGACCAAGTCTTGCTGTCAGGCTGGAGTGCAGTGGCACAATCATGGCTCACTGCAGTCTCAACCACCCAGGCGCAAGTGATCCTCTTGCCTCAGTCTCCTGAGTAGTTGAGACCACAGGAGTGTCCCACCATGCCCAGTTAATTTTTTTTTAATTTTTTTGTAAAGAAGGGGTCTGACTATGTTTTCAAGGCCAGTGTCAAACCTCTGGACTCAAGTAATCCACCTGCCTTGGCCTCCCAAAATGCTGGGATTACAGATCCGGCCCTGGGATATCACTTTCAAGATGAGGATATAAAAGGGCTGTGGATGACACCTGAGATGCCTCTTTCACTCTCTTATTCACTGACTTTGAGGGAAGCCAGCTGCTATGTTGTGAGCTGCCCTGCAGAGAGGCCTGGATAGCAAAGAACTAAGGGAGACTTCTGGCCAACAGCTAGTAAGAAACTGAGGCTTTTAGCCTGATTGCCCATAAGAACTAAAACCTACCAACAACTACATGAGTAAGCTAAGAAGAGGATCCTCCCCAGGTGACTATTCAGAGGACACTACAGCCCCATCAGGACCTTGCTTTGCAGCCTTGTGAGACACCTTCAGCCAGAGACAGCCAAATCCCTGACCCACAAAATCTGTGAGATAATACGTATTGTTTTAAGCTGCAAGATATGGAGGTATTTGTTACATGGCACTGGAAAACAAGCACAGATAATTCCTGTTATCACCCCCATTTTACAGACAATGAAGGTTAAGGTCACTCACCACAGGACCACTCAATAAATGTGTTGGGAAAATTGTGTATGCATTTAGGCCAAATAAATTGTTCCCTATTACATACCACTTGTAAATTACAGTCGAATTAAATACCTAAATGAAAATAATACAACTTTAAAATTATTGGTAAGAAGCTATAGAAAGAGATATAAGCACAGACTATGGGATTACTGAAACTGATAAAAAAGTATAAATTATTAAAGTTTGATGAATTCGAGTACATTAAAGTTCAGTACATCTCTGTGTTTCAAAAGACAACAAAAGTAAACCTTCCAACTGAGAGAAGATACTTGCAGCATATTTAACAGACAAAAGGAGAGCACTCTGAATATATAAATTAATAAGATAAAGCACAACTCAATAAAAAAGGAGGCCAAAGACATGAACAGACTTTTCTCAAAATAAATAGAAAAAAAATAAGCAAACAAAAGAAAAAATGCTTTAATTAATAATACGGTCAGGCACTGTGGCTCATACCTGCAATTCCAGCATTTTAGGAGGCCAAGGCAGGAGGATTGCTTGAGGATAGGAGTTCGAGACCAGTCTGGTCAACATAGGAGACCTCATCTCTACAAAAAATTTAAAAATTAGCCAGGTGTGGTGGCTCACACCTATAGTCCTTGTTACTGAGGAGCCTGAAGCAGGAGGATCACTTGAGCCCAGAGATGGAGGCTGCAGTGAGCTGAGCTGTGATCATGCCATTTCATCCTAGCCCAGGCAAAAGAGCAAGAACCTGTCTCTGATAATAATAATAATAAGGAAGAGGAGGGAGATAAAGTTAAAACCACAACAAAATGAGATTTATACCCAACAGATAGGGAAATATTTAAAGATCTGAGATTTCCAAGTCTTGGCAGTGAGGAGGAGCAGGGGATCTCTCACGTTCTGCTGGTGGGAATCAGTAAACTGATAGTATTACTATATCTGGATATTGGTTGGCTAGTTCTCAGATCCTAAAACTGTTGAAGATGTTCATACTCTTCATCCCAGCAAATTCTCTCCTACTTAAGTACCCTGGAGAAACTCATGTAATAATGTTTTCAGTAGCAATCATCATCATAACAACAAAAAACAGAAACCCAAATGTCCATGAAATAGAGAAACAAATAAATTAAGGTATGTAATTCTAAACAGCTATGAAAATAAAACACAGATAGACACATCAATGTAGATGAATTTGAGAAATACCACAATGTGTTTGCCACTTACAAAAGAATATATATGGTGTGATTTCATTTAGATGAAGTCAAAAGCTGCACAAAACTAAGTGATAAATGAATGACATTTCTGTGGCACCTTGCGTTGGGAGGGTGCAGTGGGGATCTCTAAAGTAGGATGATGTTTTGTGTCTTAATCTGCATGGTAAATATACAGGACTTTATTATCATTCTTTTAAGCATATATTGACATGACACACATCCTTTTGTACATATGACATATCTGATTAAAAACAGTAAACCAAAGAGGCAAATGGAAGCCTTTTTTTCTGCTGGACTTAATCTGAAAAGCATCTGGATAGCATCTTAGCATCCTAGTCAAATTCAGTAGGGAAAGACATGAGGAGGTGCAGCAGAGACAGGGAAGTAGGGAGGGAGGGCAGGGGACAGGAGAGAGACAAAGACCGAGGAAGATAGACCTTGTTCTAGAGACTTCATTTCAGTTGCTTAATCAAGCCATGCCTAAAGCCAGATCTACCTTCCTGGAAGTTTCAGTCTCATGAGCCATTAACTTCCCTCATCTGCTTGAACTAAAATATGAGAATTTTAGTCACTTACACACACACACAAATACACACACAAACACACACACACACACACTGCTAATTGATCTAGAAGCTCATTTCTTTCTCATTTCTTTCTCTTTTTTTCTTTTTCTTTTTTTTTTTTTTTTAGGGATTGGGTCTCTCTCTGTTACCCAGGCTGGAGTGCAGTGGCCCCATCATAGCTCACTGTAGCCCTGAACATCTGGGCTCAAGCAATCTTCCTGCCTCAGCCTCCAGAGTAGCTAAGACTACAGGTCTGCGACACCATGCCCAGCTAATTTAAAAATTATTTGTAGAGATGGGGGTTTCATTATGTTGACTGGGCTGGTCTTGACCTCCTGGTCTCAAATGATCCTCCTGCCTCCACCTCCAAAGTTGCTGGGATTACAGGTGTGAGCCACTGCACCTGGCCCATTTTTCCTCTTAACCAGCCATTAATAACTTTGGTGGCATAAAAGAATCACTTGGGAAGACTTTAAAAACCCAATTACCTAGGCTATAACCCAGACCAATGATATCAGAAGCTCTGAGGGCGGGACCAGACAAGGGCATGATTAAACCTCTACAGTTCTTACCAAGATGCAATACAATGTAATACTAGATGTAGGCCAGATTCCAGGTGCAGAACAGTGCCATATAACTGTGCCACTTGCCTGATGGAGGCAGAGATACATAAGACGTGTGGCGTGCAAGGAGCATACAGTCTGCAAGACAGAAATCCCTATGGTGTACATGCAAAATGTGTGCAGAGGCTATCATGAAGTGGAATTACCGGTCCATTGTAACAAAGATGGCTGTTGCCCGGTGTAATCTATTTGTCCCTTCCTCCACAGTAAGGGATCTGGAACTGGTCACATGGGTGCCCAACTGGGTAACATCTCCCAGACTCCCTTGCAGTTAGATGCAGATGTGACCACATGTTCTGAGTGGAATGTGAGTGGAGGTGAAGTGCGCGCCTTCAGGAGCAGGCCTTAGGACAATGACATGCACCTCTCCACTGTCTCCCTCTCACTGTCTGAAACCTGACCACAGCAGCCATCGCACCTTGGCCATAGGGCTGTTGATGACGTCCTTGTGGATAGCAGAGGAACAACATGGAAAGAACCCTGGACTCCTGCCACCTAGGCGAGTCACACAGGAACTGTGATGTGAAAGAGAAATGCACTGCAGGTTAGTGCTTATGGTTAGCTAAGCCACTATAACAAACACTGCCATGAAACCCTAAGGAGGACCTTTGAGGGGGATGCTCTGCCCCGATCCCTCTTCAGTAAAGGTTTTGTTGCCTAGCTACTGGATGTTCTGGCGCAGGCAGTCTACAGCTGCTGAGCCCTTCAGAGGTGGCTTGCCTCCAGAAAGCTGCCTCATCCAAGGTCAGGGCCATTCCCAGGGAGACTCACATCCCAGGACTGATGGTGGTAGGCATCCTTGATCTGAACAATGGCCTGGCCTGGCCACCTTGATCTGAGCAATTTAAAAGGTTTTTCTGGTCCCAGCAGTTCCCATACTGGTGAGCTGGCAGCTGCTTCCTCTGCCTACTCCTGCTTCCTTCCTCCCCGCTCTCCACATGGCATTGGCCCTGAAGGTACTCCTTAATAAACACCATTCTTCAAAAACTCTACCTCATGTCTCTTTCCTGAAGAAGCCAATCTGCAACCATAGAAAGTGCTCAATACAAATGCCTGTCAAATGAATAAACAAAGAAATAAATAAATGAAGTGAGCCCAGGATTTTCATCATGCCAAAGAGAGAGCTGAATATAAAAGAGTAAAATCACAACTCGGGGTTGCTGAGTACTTATTTCAAACAGTAGGAAATACTCTCAGATCTTTAGTGTTTTAGATCTTTTTAGAAGCTTGTGTAAGATGAATAAAAGTTGAAGTTATTAATACTCCACATTAAGTCCCAAATATCCCAAACTGGGGAAGCTAGGTTAATGTTAATGAACATTGAAAACTATTTGCATGTTGGCTTTATTTGGAGAAAACTATTTCCAGGAACTACTTTTTTTCTTGCCATGTTCTGGTGCCAGACATAGAGGGGAATTCATAGGTAGCCAAGCTCTCATGAGATCAGCTGAGGCTCTTATACCGGACGGCCGCAGCCTGGAGCTCACAGCTCCCTCTCCACCCTCCATGGAAGTCTTCTACACTCCAAGCTTTCAAATCCAGAGGCACAGAGCTGGAGCACCACCATCTTGGATTAGCCTGTTAGTGAAGGACAGGAAAATAAATGCAGATTCATTAAAATGAGGTCTCGGTATTTTCTATGGATTTCAGTTAATAGTGATCTTTAAATCGAATTCCCTAGGGACCAATATTAAGTGATATTCTAACTTAAAATTTCTTAAACTTTCAGACACCCAATGAGGCAGAGACTGTAGGTTATTCCTCTAATATTCATCTCTAATATTCATTTACTGGCCTTCCTTAGTAACAGAATCTAATTCTTATCTGTACACATTGTCACTTAATCAAAAGTGACATGCTCTGTAGTCCTTAAGAGCCAGCAGTGGCCATGGACTAGTTTAAGTTAGTAAAGTGTGAATGGAAATGACACATGAGCAGTGAGCCCTCCTTCCCCTTCTTGCTGCCTAGAATGAACAAAGAGCATCATCTTGGATGATGAAGGCAAGACGACCCACTGGGGATGGTGGCGTGGAGAGCTAGAAGAACCTGGGTCCTGAAAGAGCTTTGTTTTGTTTCGTTTTGTTTTAAAGGCAGTCTCACTGTTACCCAGGCTGGAGTATGGTGGCTACTCACAGGCTCAATCATAGCTTACTGCAGCCTCAAACTCCTAGTCTCAAGTGATCTTCCCACTTCAGCTTCCTAAGTAGCTGGGACTACAGGTGCACACCACCACACTTGGCTCCAGGAGGATTTTTGACATTCCCATACCACCTAAAACATTGACATTTAGGCTACTTTTGAGGAGTCTTTGTACTTACAGATCATGGAAATTACTAACAGATTAAACTTAGAACACAAAAGTACAATATTCTTTATGTAAAAAACTGGATAGAAAATTGTTTATAAAAGTAACACATAATTTGTTATTTTTAAAATACAATAAATTTACATTTTGGCATTTCATAATTTTTTGTAAAACTGGATTTTTTTTTTCAGCTTGTTACTTGAGAGTCTCCTAAGTAAACACCAGTGTTTCTCAGGGAGCAGTTTTGGAAATCTAACAGGCGTGCTATGCATGGTGTATGTGGGAAAATACAGAAGTTCAAAGGGCACTCTAAAAGGGGACAATTTGCTTCATGTGATGACATGTATGTAAAATAGTCCTATTTTGAATAATGTAGTTTCAGTTACACAAAGAAACACACAGGACAATGGCTTGAGTGGACATTCATCTCAACGAGAAGTGATGGCACCTGGGGGTGTGTCATTACCAGTGACATTTAATTATTTTTCCTTTTTGCCTAGCTCTATCTCCTAGTTTTTGGGCAATCAGCTTGTATTTCCTGTGTCATTTGAGCATATGTCCCCTCCCCAACTGGGCCCTTGCCTGTCTTCCTGTGTAAGATGCAGGGAATTGAGCAGCTGGGCCAGAGTCCAAGGTATACTCCAACCCGGACGCAAACAGATTTGGGGAAAGAACCTGTGCTCACCACCTCTCAGAAAACCACCTTCCCTTTTTCTTCAGTTAAAAAAGTTCAGCTAATTTTGTTTGTCAGTCTGCTCTTTCCATTTCTGGGCAATGGTGTGCTTCCTGCTTTTAACTACGTGGGCAGCTTAAGCTGCCTGAACCCTGGCGAGGATGCTTGTGGCTTGTCAGGCACAGACAGAGTCTGCAGAGGAGAAGTCTCCAAAAGTTTGTATGTAGAGAGGTTTGCTGCAACCCGAGCTAAATGTGAGTAAATACGAGCTGATGACTGAGGCTCTAGGAGGCTGGGGTGCAGGGCCTCTCGGGGCGAGATTCAGCCCGTGGCCTGCCAGCCTCAAAGGTGTGCTCCGTATGCGGTGAGGTCTGGGCTGGCTGGTGTTTGACGGTGATTTAATACACAGCTCTACACACTAAGAGACTTCAATCAATGTTGTTGACTGACTGCCTGACTGGCTTTGACCTCGCCTGAAAAGGGGTGAGGGTTGCTAAATAAACTGAAGGTATTATCATAATAATACCTGCTGACCAAGAACATTGTCAAGATGAATGAGTTCTTTTTGAAGGGCAAAATGTGCTTCTCTGAAGAATGACACTAGATGAATACTAAATGTAACATCATTTGAATAGAACTTTATATTGCTTCAACCCTGCGCTGATCACAATATCAGCTAGAGGTCTTCTGGAAATGCAAACACTCTTGTTGAGAAAGTTCAGACAAAATGTGACCTATCTTGACACCAGCGGTTTGTTCGGCCTTTATTATCCTGGAATCCTAAGATGGAATGGATCTTGGAAGATTGAACACGTTGTCACATCCCCAAGGCCAAGACTGCCCCGAAATCATCTAGAGGTGAGTCCCTCCTTCCCCATTCCCCTCCCCCAACCCACCCCAGGAAGAGAAATTCCCCAACTCTCCTAGGTAACGATCCCCAGTGTCTGCCCCATCAACACTGTCAGGATGACCTCTTTGTGTTTAACCTTAATCCTTTGAGAAATGATTTGTCAATTCCTTGTTTTGTCTTTAGTGGAAATAAAGAAAAACCTAATACTTTGTGCTTGTATTGAAATTCAGATAGACCGACAGACACACACACATACACACACACGTTAATTTACCAACTTGGTGCTTTAAAAATTGATTTTGTCCTTAATTCAAGATAAACTCTAGCTCTTCACTGTGCCCTTACCTTTTTCTTATCTCTCTTGTGCTCCTACTACCTAGATGCTATGTTTAACTCAAGCCAGAATTTGGCACTTGTTGCAAAAAACTAACAGGTAAAAAATTACATATGTCAAAGAACTAATGCCTTAGATGCTTCACTCGGGTTTCTTTTCCCTTTTTTGCTTGGGAGGTGGGACAAGCCTGTTGAAGGTGCAGATGTGAAAGATAATTCTCCCGTGAGCCCAGTGATAGGATTATTTGCTGAGTGAGTAATGGCTCCAGGTCTCAGGCATGTGTCACCTTTGCTGACTGTAGCTCTCTACAGAATCCAGGAAAACCATTAAACAGTGAACTGAAGTTAGCCAATTATTTTATATGACTGAGGAACTTATCATTTTTGGCTGAATTCTTAAAAAATTGTTTTGTATCAGAATAGTTGAATTGAATAAAAATGCACCCAAACATCAATGATTTTCCACTAATTGATATGTAGCTATACTTATCCAATCTGTCTCATGCATTTGTGATGTATTATATGAGCACCAGAATTAACCAGCTGGCATTATCTCTTGAAGTGCCTTAAAAATGAAAACTGGAAAGAATAGTGGAACACTTGATCAACAGACGATTGTGATGATGTAATGAGACTTAGGCAAAACTGAATCTGCTCCTTCTTGATCTTCTAATTTTTATTCTTTGGGAATGGCGTCTTGGAAGAAGCTTATCTTGAGGTATGTGAACAAGACAACTAAATTATAGGAAGCTAATTTCATTTGTATGTTGGATACGTTTGGGATTACATCAAGGAAAGAGCAATTTTTTTGGATGTACTGATTTATAGCTCTCAACCGTTGACATGTGTAGGTGACAGACAAGAAGACCGTTGTCTTCTCCCAATCCAAGATGCCACCAAGCAAAAGTTCCATGGGAGGTTTTAATGACTAGGTTACAGGACTAAAAACAAAAGCATCAAGGACAACTCCATGGCTTCCCTTACTGGCAAAAGACTTCCACAGACTGTTAAAAGTGGTCATTGATGTGTTGTTTTGCTGAGTTGTCCTGCTAAGCCTTTCTGGATTGTTTCTATTAGTATCCCGTTTTCTGTGTTTTTAATAGTTTTTTCAGAGAAAGGATTTAAAATGTTTCTTCTACAGCCCTTGAAACAATCTGGCTTATATATTCAGGTTATTTATTAAAATGTGTCTTTTCAAACAGTCTAGTTGATACATTCAGGTTCTTTATCCAAAGGTATCATCTCGATTATCTTCTGAAGTTTCAGAGCTATAAATCTCAGATCTTGTAGTAGCTCCGTGGACATCAGGAATTCATCAGCACAGTGCTGGGACCAGGGAGTCAGCAATCAGGGGATTCACGGTCTCTACAAAAGTTAAAAGCAACAATAACTTGAAGTATCATCCTGCATTGAAAATTCCAGACGTTATTTGTGGTAAAATATGCCTACCTGGGGGAAAGAATTGCTGATCTAAAACAAATTCTAAACAATTACTGTGATTACTGTTGAGTTTTAATAGCATAATACTTAGGTAAATGTCAAATTAGCACATTTTTATTACCCATCCTTTAGTAAAGATTTTATTTACATGAGTCGGTCAATTATACAGTCAGCCATGGACATAACATACATGGACTTAGCTATGTGCACTGATGTCTAGAGTAAGATCATTAGGGTTCAGAATTTTTGAGCTACTTTGTGTGCAATTGGAGTCTCTGACTTTTGCATTTGAACAGTGGTTTGGAGCCAGGAGAAATGATTACAAACTGATTATAAAGCTGAAAAACCAGAATTTAAATTACTTCAATCTTGTCATTTATGCATAAATCATTCTCTGAAACTTGCAGAATCCATTCTTCTGTATTTTTTCCAAAATATACATTAATTCTATTTAAAAGAATTAATCTATTTCTTGTTTGCTTTTTTGCTCTTTGTTATTATTATTTGTTGGCATGATTAAATATGCAAAGTTCATTAAAAGTGTTCCATGTTCATGTTTCTTTTCTAACCACTATTATTACTTGATTTATTTCATGATTGGTACTGAAAATAATTGTGTCATAAGGTGCATGGTTAAAAAACGACCAACTTGAGGTGTCAAATCTGCCAAGCATTCCCCTACCTGGGACAGAGAAAGCCCCCAATTCAGTGGTAGCTATGATGATGATGATGAATATTGTTAGTGTGTGGTGCTGCATAACTACATCCAGGAAAGACTTTTGCTCATAGGCGCCCACAGTAGGTATCAGAAATATGTCGCCATCCTTCTCCATATCAATGCCTCACCTCTGGCTCACCCTCCCACAGCAGATATGATTCAGCACACCATGTTTGTCAAGTCCTTTATCACTGGCTAGGAGCTGTGCCAAGAGGCAGCCCTTCAGAGGAAGGCCAACTCAGGGCTGCCCAGTGCAGAGATAAGGAAACAGAACTCCATAGAGGAGGTCAGCATCCTGGTCAGGTATCAGCCAAGTGGCCTGGGAGCAGACTTTAGCTTCCTGGTACAGGTTATTTGTGCACACTTGACAAGTGATATCTACAGAAGACGTCATCATCTTAAGTTTACAACTGGAGAAACAAGGGAACAGAAGAATTAAGAACTCTAACCTGAAGGAAAAGAAACCATACAACAACTAAGAACCAGTCAGTGATATTAATTTTCGGGCTGAAAATTTCCCTTAAGATATTAATAACAGCTAGTGGTTATGTATTGCAGACTTGGAGTAATTGTCTCTTGGCATGTAAGGCACCTTCTGCCACAAGCATTCCGTAAACTCCAAGTGTTTATATTTATTGGTGTTTCTATTCCAACTCGTCTCTGCATCACCTTTCCCACTCAGTGATGTTCCCCTGCCTTTTGATAACCCAGGGTTTATCATTTTTGAATCTTATAACATGCATGAAGCATTGTGATGGGTATGAAGATTGCATAGAGACAAGCTGGCCCCTGCCCTGGATGAGTCATAGACAGATTCTGCCTCAACGACACAGACAGTTAATAGGATGAAATGTCACAGAAGAGAGAGAGAGTGATCTTTGCCTAAACTAGGTCTTGAAAGAAGGGAGGCTAAACAAAGAGGAGAGTGAGACAGGATGAGAAGAGAAGCAATAAGAAGGCATTCCAGGCAGGAACAGGAGGAACAATCACTATTTTGAATGCTGGTTCTATTCACACTGAAACATGCATCACACAGCAATGTTATTGATCCCATCTCAATCTATGTAAGTTGTGTTGTTTTTTAAATCCATCTGTTCTTTTACGTTTTTAAAATAATAAAACACATGCTCCCTTGAAAATTTCTGAATTTTTAAAATTCAAAGCAGTATAAAGAAAGCAACAGAAATCGCCCAAAATTATGTAAACTGAAACAACCAGTGTTAGAGGTTGGTAAATACTATCTAAAACATCCATCTTTGCATATAGACAGACAGAAAGATAGATAAATAGGCAGACAAACAGAACGACAACTAGATAGAGATACACAGATGACCTCAGAACATAGCATCACCGTATTTATACCGTTTCAATTAAATTAACTAAAGTATTTTTACTTTAACAAAAGAAAAAGATGTTGAAGTAAAACATGATAAATCGCTAGAAATCAGATAATATTTTCCCGCTGCAGGAAGTAATCATTTCTAAACAATTCTTTAAAGTTAAAATAAAATGAGTATAAAAACCTTTATAAGACTAGGTGCAGTGACTTCACACTTCTAATCGCAGCACTTTGGGAAGCCAAGGTGGATGGATTGCTCGAGCTCAGGAAGTTGAGACAAGCCTGGGCAACATGGCAAGCCTTGTCTCTACAAAAAATACAAAAAATTAGCCAGGCATGTTGGTGCTGGCTTGTAGTCCCAGCTACCTGGGAGCCTGAGGTGATGATCACTTGATCCCAGGAGGCAAAGGTCGCACTGAGTGGAGATCACGCCACTGTACCCTAGCCTGTGTGACAGAGCGAGATTCTGTCTCAAAAAGAAAAAAAAAAAAACCTTTATGAAAGTTTCGCGTGGTGCAGTGCACCTGTAGTTTCAACTGCTCAGGAGGTTGAGGCAGAAGGATCGTTTGAGGCCAGGAGTTTGAGACTGCAGTGTGCTATGATCATGTTGGAGAATAGCTCTGCACTCTAGCCTGGGCAACATAGCAAGACCCCATCTGAAAAAAGAAAGAGAAGGAAACAAAGAAAGAAAGAAAAGGAAAGAAAAAAAACCTTTATAAGATTGTAGTCATTATTACTGAGGATACATTTCAACTTTTGACAATATCTGACTCTGGCTGTGAAAAATGAGGACATAAGCAAACAAAGTGTTTAAACATAAGTTATTTGTCTTCTATATCTATGATGTTTCCATTAATTGTCTAATTATAGTTAATTGTCATTATCTCAGGCTTTTTCTGGGTCACTTACACAGCTTTTAGCCCTGTTAGGTATATTCTTGGTAATTCCTGCTATATGTACAAGTTATGGATAGAAGTAGTTTCTCAATTTATGCTCTTAGCTTAAAAAAAACTTATTTCATACAATTTTTTCAATTTCTTGTTTTTGAGTTTTTTTATTTTTTAATTTTCACTTTGAAATAATTTCAGACTTATGAAAAGGTTACAAAAATAGTACGAAGAATTTTCTTTCATATGTCTTGCACCCAGCTTCCTCAAAAGTTAATATCTTATATAATCACAGTGCAAGTATCAAAACCAGAAAATTAAGAGTAACACAGCCCTGTGAACCAGCCTTTGGATCTACTCCAATCTTACCACTTGCCTCACCAACGTCCTTTTTCTGTCCAGGAGCCAGTCTAGAATCACACATTGCATTAAGTTATTGAGTGACTCCGTCTTCTTCCTTAGTTCATGTCCTTCATTAGCGCCTCGATAACACGAAATGAAGCCTTCGCTGGTGGGGAACTTTCTTCTGCTTCCTGCATTATGCCTTTTCCAGTCTGGCTTCTTCCTCTCCCTTTTCTGCACATGGTGCAGCCATTGTGGTTGCCCACTTATTTGGGCAATATTCCCCCCTTTTTTACTTACAGAACCCCAACCTTATTCAGGCCTTGAGGGGAGATCCTTGATCTCAGATAAGATGTGCCAGACCAGTGGGCTGTAGTGATTTGTGACACAGTCCTGGCCAAAGTGACTTAAGGCAAATTCTGAGCTCTGCTGGGAAGATTCTGGGAAGGACTGATTCTCTGCAGTGAGAGAATAGGAAGTGAGCAGAGGAGAACAGCCCCGCATTGCCCCTACCCCTTCCAGTGACTGTGCGGTGGGGATGCGATGCACTAAGCTACTGAAGTCATTTAGTGATCAGGAGGCCAGTTCTGAGAGAACCGCACAGCTGCTGACCCAGAGCACTGAGATCAATCAGCTCCCCACCTCCAGACTTGTTATATGAGGGAAAAAATCCCTGTTTGTCTCAGACGTTTCTTGCAAGATGTTCTGATAGTTGCAGCTGGAATCATCCTAATGGACAGAGCACACTATGTCTCTTCTTTTTTGCTGAAGTTTATTTGCATAGTTGCTTTTCCACTTTTCAGCATGCTTATGAGTGAGTGGTTCTGACTGGACTTTCTACCTCTGGCTTACGGTGACTACACTGTCACTGACTTCCTTCCCATTTTATCTGAATCCTAAGCATCCTCCCCTCTGCAGTATAATTTAGGGGCTGAGGATTGTAGTCAATCTATATTTCTCCAGAGGTTTATTTCTGCAGAGATTTCATTTTGTTCAATGGGACACTATTGGAGAGCTTTAAGGATGGAAGTGATATGATCAGATTTACATTTTTAAAGATTCCTGTCTGCCGTGGGTTAGGGGCAAAGCATAGAAGAAGAAGAATGTTTACTTAGCAGCTCCAGTGGTCCCAAGAACTACAAAGAGATAATAGATGGTTTGGACCATTAGGGCATCAGTGGAGGGGATGAGAGGTGTTTGAGGTTTGTGTCAACAACTCTTGCTCGTGGATTGGACACTGACTATGTGGGAAAGTAAGAAAGTAAGAATAAAACTTGGGTTTGGGGTCTAAGCCCCTGCATGAGTGGAGATGACATTTAGTAAAAATGAACATTGGGAAAAAAGGAAGATTGGGCAGTGGGTGGGTGGAACGAAAAACAGGAGTTGTCTTAAGCACAAGCGAGGAAGAAGCAGCCAGGAGGGCTCACTATGGGGATTTTCTTCAGTTCCTTGGATGAGGTTTCTCTCCACATGGGTTCTTCTTCTCTCTTCTGGTGTTGCATGTTGTGGCAGACATGGTGGTTTTCTACACATCGGGCAATGTCCCCATGCCTCTTCCTTGCTGTCAGATTCCCAGCTTTGTACGAGTCCTAGGGAGACACTGGTCTACCTTAGAAATTGGTGGGATATCCTGAGGGTGAGGCTGGAAATACTACAACTTGACTTCTTACCTCCTGTCAAAGAGGGTACTATGTAAGAATGTGTTCATTAAATAGTAAGCCTCCAAAGACCTTGGGAACTTATCACTTCCCTTTACCCTCAATTCATATATAAGGAAATTGGAGTTTAACAAAGTGAAGAAAGTAGCCCAAAGTGACACAATCCAGAAGTGGGACAACCAGATGCAAGCCTGTGTCATCTCTCACTGCAGGTTGTTCTAGCACACAGCACGTGCTGTCTCCAAGACCCCACCAAGCCCATGGGGTGCTTCGTTCACCAAAAACAGCACCTAATTACCCCCTCTACATAAACATTTGGCACATACCAGTACAGTGGAAAAAATATTCCTGCTGTGAACTTGCCATCCCTGTCTCCCAGCACTATGGGACAATCTGTGTGGTGATGGCGCTGGGCAGTGTTGTCCTCCCCTTCTTTTGAAGGGCTTCTAGCAGACTGTCATCCCCACTCCTACCCTCACTCCCTACCCACAAACAGTGAAGAGGAGATAGCAGGGACACGCTACTGAAAGAAAGCATTGGTTTTCAGAAATAGACTCTAAAAAGAAGGAGGTCAATGAAAATGTAGGCTATTTTTTAACGACTTAAAATTTGACAGAAAATGTCCATTCTTATCAATGTGAGAGAAGATATCTGTGACTAAGAGCAAGAAACACTGGCCAGCTCAAAGAAGGCCTGTGAGGTGTGGACCTTCAGAAAGGCCCAAGCACTCTGAAGTGCCTTTGTTTGAACGTGTCTTCTTGTTACAGTAATGAGAAAGGTGTTGCCTTAATGAGCCATATAATGCAAATTTTAATGGTAAAATTAAATTTTGAATAAACACTAAGAAAAATCAAATATTAGAAATCCATTTCTTAAAAGCTTACAACGGTGACTTGTCAATGTGCTAGGTGAACTTAAGTAAGATCATTTCAGATTATGTATGCAGTGCTGAACTATTTCAATCTAATTATGTTAAAATTGTGTTTTCATTAAGGCTTCTTCCTAATGCAAGAATGCTATTAAAATTATTTTCACTGACATTCGCCTAATAAGCTGGCTTAGAATTTGCATTTACATTTGACCAGGTAGTTGTTTTTAGAATTAGTGATGCCTCAGTGGGAACCACCCCCACCTCCCATCCAGGAAGGGCTGGTGTGAGGATTAAGGGAGACACTGCCACAGACGAAGCACAGTGTTCACAGCCTGACACACCCTGAGCACCTTATGAGGCTGACACATCATTACTGCCATTCTCAATCTCTGTCTATAATTATGCCCTCTGTGGCAACAAATATGCAAGTAAACAGGGGCAGTTGTCAGGCTCCAAATTTTGTAGCTATTTCTTAGTTACAGCCAGACATTTCTAGCCACTGACCAATGCAGAGACAGAAGATGGGAAGCCACTTCCAGGGTCCCATCACACCCTGTGGGCTGATTTCCTGGAGTATGTCTTAGTCTAGCCATTGTAATCCTCAATGGTTAGTGAGAAGAGAGGGAGGATAAGGAATGCTTAGATATTAGCAAGACAAAAGTCAGTAACACTAGGATTGCAAGGGGTTTAGGTTCATAGCTATACAGCTACCTAAGAAATAGTTGTGAGAAATGACCCTTAGAACCATGGCAGCAATGGTGCTTCCTCCACCTACTGGATTCACAGGACACATTGAGTACTCAATGACTAATCCAATTATTTACTTCACACATACTTATTAGATGTTTACCATGTGCTAGGAGCCATTCAGGTCCTGGAAATATTGCAGTGGACCAGGAAAAAAAAAGACCGCTTCATCTTAACCCTCTAGAGGGAAAGCAGATAAAAACAAGAAAATAAACTTCAGAGGGAGATGGTCTTCCCTGTCATAGTAAAAGCATTCAGTAACGTTCTGTGGAACATCCATTGGGTTCCAGACCCACCTACCCAGAGAAGTTCACCAGGGAACTTAAGAGGGTGATTACTCTTATAAGAAAAGAAAAGAAACATAACACAGAGTGAGTAGCAGTGCAGGGTTGCAGTAGGCAAGCTGAGCCTGGGTGGCAGGAAGGTAACACTTGGGCCAGGAACCAGATCCAGAAGGAGCCCACTGGTTGCCATGTAATCCCACCTCTCCTTGCTCCCAAGCCACTTCCCATAACCCTCAGGATACAGGCAAAGGACACAAGGAGGAAAGGCTTGAATTAATCTTTCAACACAGGTTGGCATTATCACATGAAGCCCAGAAGAAAAGGAGATAGAGGAATAAGCACAGGGTGGGTGAAGAGTGGTCTGGAAAGACCCCAGGGAAGTTCTAAATAAGTGACGAGATGAGGAGACCCTTAGGGAAAATCATTCACGATTATTAGACTTTCCTGATGGCATTCCTTTTAGGCTACCCGAATGTCATACAACTTTCATGACTATGGCTGATTCTAAGGTGACCCCCCAATTATCCCACCTCCTGGTATTTATGCCCTTACATAATCCTCTCCCCTTGAGTGTGGGTGAGACTCGTGACTTGCTTCTAACTGGTAGATGAATCACACAAGATTATATACAATTGGAACATCGGTCTTGCTGGTCAACTCTCTGCTTTGCTGGTGTTGGTAAATTAGCAAGGGATATGTTGGGGGCCATGTTGGTAGGCCCATGTGGAAGGGAACTGAGATGGCCTTGCCCAGCTAGAACCCAGCTAGAGACTGAGGCCCTCAATTCAACAGAAGGCAAGGAACTGAATTCTGCTAACAGCCTCATGAGCTTGGAAGTGGATCCTCCCCTGGCTGAGCCTTACAATGAGATCCCAGCCCCAGACAACACCTGGAACTCGGCATGTTGTGGGTCCTGAGGTAGAGGGCCTACTAAGCTGTGCCAGGATTCCTGACCACAGAAACCATGATATAAAAAAAAAAAAAAATGTGTGTGTTTCAAGCCTCTGAGCTTATGGCAATTTGTTATACAGCAATAGAAAACGAATACGATGGCATTCACGAAGGTTGATACAACTGCTAAAGCGTTCAGAGAACCAGGAAAGCATTACGGGGAGGGAAGAGGTCTGGAGCCCAGGGGGTTTCATAGAACATAACGTAATGTTTTTGATATGACAGGAAAGACCTGAGCACAGGAATGCTAAGAATTAAGACTTCTCACTCGTGCTTAAGAGATTGTCAGAGAGACTGAGGTGGCCAGGTGGTAAACTCTTGTTTACCACACTAATCCAGTAGTGTGGATTAATTCAGGAAATGTAGAGTCACGGCCACAGATGGATTTTTTTGCTTATTACAAAGAAAAATTAGGCTGGGTGCAGTGGCTCACACCTGTAATCCCAGCACTTTGGGAGGCTGAGGGGGGTGGCCTACTTGAGGTCAGGAGTTCCAGACCAGCCCGGCCAACATGGTGAAACCCCATGTCTACTAAAAATACAAAAATTAGACAGGCATGGTGGAGCCCGCCCACAATCCCAGCTACTTGGGAGGCTGAGGCAAGAGAAACACTTAAACCCGGGAGGGGGAGTTTGCAGTGAGCTGAGATTGTGCCACCACGCTCTAGCCTGGGTGATAGAACAAGACTCCATTTTAAATGAATAAATAAATAAACAACCCTGATTATAATAATATAATATACAAATATGATTTTTTTTAAACAAAGTCATACAAAAGTTTATAAAATAAAAAGCAAATTCTTCCTCCTCTCCCCTCAGGTTGTCAGTTCCACACCTGAAAGATTACCAGTTGTTATCATTTATTCTCTATCCTCCAGGAAATTTTCTGCATGTATCTAAGCATATGTGTGCCTTTGTCTACAAAGAGGAATAAACTATATCTGCCCTTTGCTTTTCTCGTGACACTGTGTCTTGGAGACCCCTCAGTGCCTGCGCATTGTAATTAGTCATCCTTTTTCATGGCTGCTAAAATTCCTTTGTATGAGTATGCTTTATGTAACTAGTCTCCTGCTGATTAGCATGATGTTTCCATGTTTTCACTATGACAATAAATGTGACATGTAAATCTTTGTTCACTTCTACAGTTGCAGGATGAAGAACTAGAAGCAGAATTGTGGGGACAAAGCATGGGCTACCAATCTGTCCATAAAAGCTGTACTGATTTTATTCCCATACCGCTACAAGGGCATATTTTTTAGTGAAACTTTGGCCAATACTGCATGTTAACAAATTTTAGAATTTTTGCCAATTTAATAGGTAAAATTAGTACCTAGGGTTTTAATTTGCAT
Source organism: Homo sapiens (assembly GCF_000001405.40). NCBI lineage: Eukaryota > Metazoa > Chordata > Mammalia > Primates > Hominidae > Homo > Homo sapiens. The sequence continues at coordinate 22,609,132 of NC_000020.11, read as the reverse complement.
ACATCTGATGTTTTCAAGCTTCTCACAGGTGGAATCTATTCAAAGGATCCAGAATCCAGGACAGAAGGTAGACATTAAGAATGAAGCCCTTGGTCAGGTGCTGTGGCCCACATCTGCAATCTCAATACTTTGTGATGGTAAGGGTGAAGGGTAACTAAAGACCAGCAGTTTGAGACCAGCCTGGGCAACATAGCAAGACCCTGTCCCTCCGCCACCAGAAAAAAAAAAATTACCCCGGCATGGTGGCATGAGCTTGTATTCCCAGCAACTCAGGAGGCTGAGGTGGGAGGATCAATTGAGGCCAGGAGTTTGAGGCTGCAGTGAGCTATGATCATACCACTGCACTTCAGCCTGGGCAACAGAGTGATACTCCAACTAAAAAAAATAAATAAATAAAGAATGAAACCCTTTGCGATAAATGAAAAGAAGAAACAATGTCATTTCAGAGCATCTTCTCAAGGGTAATGTACCCAGCACCCCACAGGTGGTCATGATCTTGACAGCCACCTCATGAAAGCTCAGAAACTTTCTTCCTTATCTCAAAATTGCTACATACTTTGCTTAGAGTAAGATTAGTGCATTATAAAAGAAGCAATGTGCATCAGGCACAATTAAAACATATATTTGAGTACTTGATGAACGTCAAAAATGATTTGTAATCCAAATGTCCTTCTACAGAGTCTTCAGGAAAGAACTTATGATTCTCAGGTGATCATCCTCCTAAGTGTGGCCATGCTTGAAGGTTAAAAGAGCCTAGACACTTTTCTTCTACTTTTTGTTCTTTCAAGCTGAAACTGCATCCAGTGAAAATTGCTTAACGGGGTCCCTCCATATAAACCAATAGATGTTATTTTAAAAAAAAAGACTCACAGATTTATATAAAAAAGGAAATGCTTAATTCACATGTATTCAGTTTCTGTTTTGACTGTTTTCAACAGCTTTTGAAGTAGCCTATGAGCTCACAAAGCCCTCAGCTCAGTGCAACACAAACATACAGCGAAAGCAAAGGGGCTACTCAGGTCTCTCCGTCTCGGAGAAAATATGCCAAAGACTGGATTATTTTTTAAATCTATTTTTGCAGTGAAAGGAAGCCACAGGCATCTGAATACTGGCTCTCTAGCTTGACACCTAATTTCTGCCAGGGTATGAAGAGCTCCCTTCTGAAACTGCACCTCTGGAATTTGGGTTGGTTTAAAACGAGATTGGAGCATTTGGGTGGCTTTTGTTTTTGTTTCCCGGTTCTCCTTCAGGCTGGTATTTCTTTCCTCCAAAGGACACTGTGTACTCACCACAGGGACTCCTGATTATCCCAAAACACAAATCCTGATTCATTTTTTAAAGACTCATGATTGAGGGCTCATCCTGTATTTTTGTTTTCCCCCAGCTATAGTCTACCTGAGCCAACAAAATGAGTGTATTCATTTTATTTTTAAAAGCCTCCTACAAATCTTCAGTGACTCTTTGAGTATAAAATATTCATACCTTGACTCCAAATTACAGTTGGGAGCATAACCACTCAACAAGTACTTTTAGTTCAGATTCATTTTAGATTCATACAAGCAGAAGAAGGAAACTTGGGAAACACAAAGTCTCCTTTGAAGGAAAGAAATCCTGAATGAAGAAACAGAGGGATATACTGCCGTCTTAAACCAACCCAAATGCCTCTGCCGCAGTCGCAGTTATTTAGGGTGGAGAAGCGGGCTCTGGCAACTAGAGAAGGTGGCCGCAGCATGGGGACACCCGAATTGAGGAGCTGTTTGGGCAATAAGCTGATTTAGAGAATTAAGGTAAGTCAATCAAATGTGACTGTGTTCCAGCTACATCGACTTTTATCAAAAGTATTCAGCACTTGTGGAAGCTATTCTGAGAGTTTAGTCACATCTACTGCAGACAGCTAGAAAGGTGATTTTACTACGAATTTGGATGCCAAAAAATATAATCTCGATATTCAAAACCCATTTTTTGATTTCCGTGAAGTGCTACCTGGCAGGTCTGGTTGCAAATCATTTTGCAAATGCAAATCCCATTCTCAAAAGTTTCAGGAGTTTTTCTTGTTAGTAGTCCTCATAATTGTTGCAATCCTGGTATAGATATCTTTAGAACAAAAAAATAAAGAAGCCTCCTGGACTTTCAGAATGGAGACATTATGCTAATTGGAGATGGGAGGTTTTATTTGACAATGGTTTGAAAGAAATTCACCAGCATTTATGAAGTCTGCTGGGCTATGAGGTCTTTGAAAGGTACAAACATAGTAAAAGGCAATTTTTTTTCTGCCAATAAGATTAGACTTTGCTAACATTTTAGCTAACCTAACTAAAGCCTTACTGGGAAAGGCCACACGTGGATGCCTTTCAGGGATCACATAACTGGAAGTCCAGAGGTAGGGAAGATTTTGAGTTTTTGATACTGGGGCCCAGTAAGAATGTCAAGGCCTCTGGATTCTGTTTTTCTCGTCTTCTTTCTGTGTGGTCAGCATCATGCAGGGTTGCAAATGGATCCCAGCAGCTCTCATGATTACAAGTTTCTTCCACCACCTTCAGGAAGGGAGAGCAGAGATGACTTTTCAGAAGAGTACTGCAGCTCTTTTTCTAATACCTGCAGCCTGTGTGGCTTACATGGCATAAAGAGTTCACTCTTGAGTTTATACCTGTGGCCAGGGGATAAAGTTGAACCTATTAGTTCAAGAGTGGGCCCAAGCCAATTGCCAGCACCAGAAACTCCAGGCAAAGCATTCTTCTTTAGCAGAAATCTTCTTCCTCTTTAGGGCTGAGCTAGAAAATCCAAACCAGGACACCCATCCATTCCAGTGCCCAGAGGAAGAGCAGCAATTTGTAGCCACCAAAATCTTCATCAAGAGATTAGAATTTTAGAGTAAATCCAAGACAGCATGCTGGAGGCCCTGTTTGAACAGGCTAATGTGGAATAGATGGCTCCATCTCAAGGGGCTAGAACCAGATAGACACCACGTCCAAGGCCTTATCCCAGCCGGTCCTAGAGAGTCTTAGTTCTCGTTCTTCATAAAGGACATTCACCTCACGAGAGCCACATGACCCAAAGCATAATCTCTGTGCAGTGGAACTTCAGCCAGTGGGAGGACAAAGTATTTGAGTGCAAATTAAGTTAGCCCAACACCACACCCCTGTGCCAATGCTGAGAGTAACCAGCAAGACAATTGTCACTCACTATTCTAGCTCTTCCACTGGCCCACTGATTTCCCACTGAAAATAACACTCTCTTATCTTGATTCTCAAATGCTGCTATCTGGAACTGAGTTCTAGTATAAATACGCTAATGATGCTCATTCAGCAGAACCAATGAGGTTTGTCCTGGGCAGCCACAGAAAAGGCAGAGACCTCCAGCTTCTCACTCTCTCAAGCCTGGCAGGTAGCAGCACCATGAAGGGCACCAAACTGTGGGAAAGTATTTAATTTACCTAGAGATGAAAAGGAAGCTGCCAGGTCCCGAGCATCCTCTTTTCTCCGGCTCCTGGATGCCTCCCGTTCCTGCCCTCTTCTCAGTTGCCTTGCATCTGGATTACTGCAAAGTCCATCTGTTTTCCTATTTCTAGTGCACCCTCGCTCTACATTCTAGATGTTTCTAGCAGGTTAATCTACCACTTTAATCATGTGACTTCCCAGCTTTGAAAAATTCTGTTACTCGTCATTCCCTGTTAAAAAAGAAACAGGATTTTGGGCCTGGCTTTCAAGGTCCAGCACAATATGGCCAGTCCCTGACCTCCCTGGCCATCTCTCACCCTCCCCTTATGATCTGTCCATATTCCCACCCTACTATCCAGTCACTATTTCCAGAACATGTCTACATCTTTGCTCCATATTATTTCTCATGCATTCCTCCCAAATGGGATGTTCTTCTGTCTCTCCCATCCAAACCCAGCTTAAATGCCACTTCACTGAGCCTCCTCTCTCAAAAGCAATTTGCTTGACTCTCATCTAGCAACCCAAATCACCATGTGTTGGGTGAATTTATAGGTGTACATGTGAGGGAGCAGATCATGTGTGCCACAGCTCATCCACAGAGGGTCCCCAATAAATATTCATCATATGAGTGGGCAAGAATTTACAATTCTAAGTCATCTCTTATTAAATTACTGCTGAGTTCATCATTTCCTGTAAAGGGAACATTGACATGTATGTCTAATAGGTATATTACTCTCTGTATTCAATTGCTAGGGCTGCCATAACAAAGTACCATAGCCTGGGAGGCTTAAACAACAGAAATGTATTTTCTTACCATTCTGGAGGCCACAAGTCTGTGATCAAAGTGTGAGCAGGGTTGCTTTCTCCTGAAGCCTCTCTCCTTGTCTTGCAGATGGACATCTTACACGTTCTTCTCTCTGTGTGTGTCTGCATCCTAATATTAAATAGGCCCCATCCATTAAATGACCTCATTTAAACTTAGTTACCTCTTTGAAGATCCTATCTATCTCCAAATACAGTCACCTTCTTGGGTACTGGGGGTTAGGACTTTAACATATAAATTTTAGGTGGACACAACTAAGCACATAACAGCATATATATTACATACAAAATGTATATACACATTCACACATAAACACGTTTGCCATTTTTCACACTAAATGTTAACAAGGTTGAATATAACAAAATAAAGAATAAGAAATCTAGACAATATATGGAAATATGTGTAACACAATGTTCAATCTTAAAAGATGATAAAATATCTCATTTACTGTCATGGTTATTAGGTAAAATGCATAGTATAAAGCATATGAATTAAACAGTTTTATTTTAGTGTGGTAAGATTTAGTTTTGTGTATTGATTAAATGGTACTATAGCAGGACTGACATTCCACACCACTGTTCCCGTGTGCCAAGAAAAAAATGACTTCTTTATTTCCTATAATTGGACTCAGCTTTGAAGTTCCTCCCACTTTTTTCCCTGTAATGACTGGGGGAAGCTGCGCAAGCTGGCTTGTGGAGAGAAACAGCCTCCTCCGTGTAAGCCACATCAGTCAGCCTCTTAGGCTATCTATTCTAAAGCCACCTTCCACTATAGCTGTTTATCCTTCCTGTGCCTCTTCAAGGTGCCTCCAGGAAATGCTTAATGTCCCTTCAGGTGTTAGGGGAGGCCTGGTCCCTATGCAGAGCTCCTGTATTTGTGGCTCCCAGGTAAAGAGCATCTCCCCTCCCCTGGTCGAGACAATATCCTCTGGTGCCGCTGCAGAGTGCCGGTTCTGCCTGGTTCTTTGGGGACAACTATGTGAGTTCCTTTTGCTGAAGAGTCTGTTGAGCATGGGCCTGGATCAGGACTGTTGGGGGGAGAGTCCACACACATGGCTCCCTTTCACCTTAGGGGGACTGAGGATCCAACCCACAGCAGGCACGATGGCCTCATCCCTCAGGGACTGCACTCACCCCCACAACGCCCATAGCAATGCCCGGCTCTCTTCCTCACCATGGAGGAGGTGAAGAAGACAACACACAGTGTCAAAACCCCGCATCCCAAACCCATGCCCGTCCTTGCCGTTGTAGAGCTGCCGTGTTGGGGGGTCGTGCTGGGGAGGGAAACAGGAGCATGTGTTCAAGTGTCTCTTGAGTCTCACAAAATACCTCCTAGGTGTTTCCCCACCCTCCCTCTTCCTGAGATCGGCCCTAAGGAAAGCTAGCCTGGGCCCCAACTACTCCTCTCCTTCTTCCTCTGGCCCTTCTCTCAAAAATCAGGAAGATATTCCTATCTGCTTCTTGTTGCCTGCAGTGCTTTCACATGGCCTCCTGTAACCTCCCCTTGTCATGGCTCATGGAAAACCTCTAGGGTCTGAGTCTGTCAATCCTCATTCTGGAGATGTAAGGGAGGATTTGGGAGTTTAAATTTTTTTTTCTCTTTCCCCAAAACCTGGTTTTAGGATTATTTCTCTGCTGTGGGCTCAAGAAGGAGAAAACTAAACCTCAAAGTAGGTCAAAGGCATTTTGTTCTTAGCCTTAGACTCTCAAAGAGTGGCCCTTGGAATAGGAGATTAGCATCACCTGGGGGCTTGTAAAAAATGCTGACTCTCAGCTCTCCCCTCCTCACTCCAGACCTTCTGATTCAGAATGTGTAATAAGACCTTCGGGTGGCTCCTGGGCACTAATGCACGGATCTAGGAAAAACTCCTCAACCTGTCCCTCACGGATTCCCTTTCACTTTCACAGTGGATGGGTTGAAAGAGAATATGACTGATGAGGTGACAAAGGCACCGGTTCAATATTTTCAATAATAAAAATTTGCTCTCCTATTCATCATCAACAAATGTGTATCTCTGCAAGAACCAAACCCCTGGGAAGAACCAAACCCTTTCCATGCCCAGTAAGGTTTATGGTTTTTGAGATGAATTCTGAGACCTGTTCAGCATGCACTTCCCTATGTCCATGTCCCCCAAGCTGTGGGACAACCAAAGCCTGGCAAAGCTCCTACCCTCCACTGATCTCATGCCACCTTCACAGTCTCTGGACAACTGGATGTGTTCACTCTATTTTAAAAGGTTAAGCTTCTGAGGCTCAGTAAAATTAACCAATTGACTCAGAGTCACCCAGCTCCCAAGAGACAGAGCTGGGGCAAAGCTGGGTCATTTGAGTCTATGTCCAATGTCTTTCCCAAGCTGTTGAGAAGGAGAATGCCTAGAGTAAGCTTGTTTCTCTTTCTTTAGAAATAACCACTAAAAAAAAAAAAAAAAAAAAAAAAGTGCTTGCCTTGAGTTAGAACAATTGGTCTTCTCTGTAACTCGGAATTTTCTGTGGGAGAATATGATTGCCCTCTAAGATATCAACTTAAAATGTTAGGATTTTCCTTCATATAATGATGCTGTTGATGACATAACAACTAGTTAAGGATCCAGTTTTACTGGAGGAAACAATAACCACCCTCAAAAGAAATACACCCTTGGCACCCTTTTCTCCTCCTGGAGTAGGCACCTGGCTGCACAGGTGAGTGCTTGGGAGTTTAAAGGCAAGGCCTGCAGCTGCCATGGATGACATCTGTTTCATGATCCTCCCTAAGGGAGCTTCTCAGGCACCACACAGCATGTGATGTAAGTCAGACCACTTCCAAATCAAGTGAAGATCCATCTAGCTACTCTACACCCTGCAATTGCCAACATACAGAGAAACCATATTGAGTGTTCTGGGTACTAATTAATATCTACAGCAGGCCCACTCTGAGTCACCATCACGTGCATTGCAGATCTAATCTCCATGATGCCTGGAGGAAGGAGAAAGCATGATCTTGTTTGAGGAAGATGAGGAAACTGAGGCCTAGGGAGGTTAAGTACCTGCCCAATGCTACTCAGCTCATAAGTGACAGAATCAGACTCAAATCAAGGTCTTGAGTCTAAAGGTCATGTTTTTTCCCACTACTATCCATCAATTTCTCTCTTCAACCAGTGAATACCATTGGTTTAGACCACCTGTTAGGCTGGATGAGAAGTCTCAGGGAGGAGCAATTACTAACAGAATCCTGAGGAAAAAGAATGCCTGGTAGGGGGCTGATAAGAGACCCTTGGGGATAGGGAAGCAGAGCTCCCCAGACATCAAAGGTAGTGACTAACAGAGAAGGTCCTGCCCACTGTGTTGACACAGTTGCAAGGAAAAGGTGGTGTTGATGAGTAAGACCAAGCTAAAGCAAAGCTGAGTTTTTTCCCAGCCCAGTCCCAGCTCCTTCTCACACAACCCTTTGAGAAACAGAGCTTTCAACGTGCAGGACTGGTGTGCCTTCACCTTTTCTTGTCAAATTTTAAGTAAACTCAACCATAACCCTTCCAGGTACTTGGGATATGCTGCAGTTTTAATAAAGACAGACCTTAGAACATTGTAATGTAGAATTTCCTACCAATCTGGTGGCCAGAGATTTCCTTCCCAGGCCAGTTGCCTTCACATTTTTTCTCACAAGAAAATGTGGTGATCCATGCAATTTCCAGCTTAAAAGCAGGAAATTGGATCCCTCTGGGTTTTGGACTCCTAGGAAAGGGGGTGCTCCGTAATAAATTGTTTAAGGGAAGGAACCAACCTCATTACCTATCTCTCAACACCTGCACACACCACCTGTCCACCAGCTGGTGCAGCCTGCAAGCCATTCAACCTACCCTCTCTACCCTCCCAAGTCCAAGCAAGATGGAGGCCTCTACCCAGATGCCTTATGACTGGCTGCTGCTGAGCACTGGCATCCACTCAACGTCCCCAGAGAACACAGACCCCGCCACAGACATCAATGGTGGAGATGAATAGCAATTCCTCTGCGAAGACCCTTGAGAATTCATTATATGGGTTGTTCTGAACACTCCTTTAAACATGCAAATCCCTTCAGTACCGCTGTACTCGTGATGGAATAGAATATGAATCAAAGGCTCAGCTCTTTTTATGCTCAGATCATAAAGTCTGAAACATAACAGGTTTATGTGTGGGTTTTTTTTTTTTTTCAACCAGAGGGCATAGTTAAGGCTTTACTTACTCAGTGCTGTCCGAAAGAAGCTTAGGAAAGGGGAAGTAGTATTTCAAATGTTATCTATTTTAAAAATTAAAATGATTAATGACTAGAACATAAAACTCTATTATAGAAAAAGCCATTGAGACTGATTAGAAATACAGAGAAGGTGGAATCTCCAGATAAATTCCAAAGAGTCTTGTGATGGATTTAAGGTCCCATTAGCCTCATGGGGATCAAATCAAAGGCTTTCGGTTAAAAGTAAATCTGAGACTCAGGCATGAGAGTTCTTACAAGGACAGGAGAAATTCCACCAGTACTTTGCAGCAATGGCCCTGAAAACTGGAGGACTCTTCTCACACATGGTGGGAATTATCACAGTCCTGGTATTTTGCACAAAAGTGCTTCTGGTCAAATTATAAGTGCTTTCCTCTGTAGTCTATTTGAGCCCCCCAGGTATAGTCCCTTTTCTTGCCTCTGGTGTTCAGGGAAGAGCTAGATATCTAGCCTTTCCTTGAAGATTTTCCGTGATGGTAGTATCTTATCAGGAGTCCCTATTCACTGCAAGTGAATCACCACACCAGGAAACTCAAAGCAGGGAAATCACTTACCTTCTATTTAATAGGGAACACAGTTCACCATTACTCAATGCTCTAGCTGACTCTTTCACCACTGAGCATTGGAAATGCATAGTTCTAGAAAATTTCTGTTCAAATTGGGCATTTCCATATGCCTCCTTCTAGTAATGATAATAATAATAAAATTAAATTAAATTTTAAAAAGCCTTGGCCGGGCACGATGGCTCATGCCTATAATCCCAGCACTTTGGGATGACAAAGCGGGCAGATCACCTGAGGTCAAAAGTTCGAGACTATCCTGGCCAATGTGGTGAGTGAAACTCCATCTCTACTAAAAATACAAAAATTAGGGGCCAGGTGCGATGGCTCATGCCTGTAATCCCATCACTTTGGGAGGCCAAGGTGGGCAGATCACCTGAGGTTGGGAGTTCGAGATCAGCCTGACCAACTTGGAGAAACCCTGTCTCTACTAAAAATACAAAAAAAAAAATTAACCGGGCATGGTGGCACATGTCTGTAATCCCAGCTACTCAGGAGGCTGAGGCAGAAGAATCCCTTGAACCCAGGAGTTGGAGGTTGTGGTGAGCCAAGCTCATGCTATTGTACTCCAGCCTGGGCAACAAGAGGGAAACTCTGTCTCAAAAAATAATAAATAAATAAATAAATAAATAAATAAATAAATAAATAACCAGGCATTGCGGCACACCTATAATCCCAGCTACACAAGAGGCTGAGGCAGGAGAATCATTTGAACCTGAGAGATGGAGATTGCAGTGAGCCAAGATTGTGCCACTGCACTCAAGCCTAGGTGACAGAGAAAAACTCCTCCTCAAAAAAAAAAGAAGTCTTGGGCTCAGTGAGCATCCTGAGGGAGGAAGAAGCGTTCTCCATTCTGCATTCAGCTGCTGACCCTCCAGGTGACACTGACCTCACTGTTCCTAAATGTTATCCCTAAAAAATGGGGCAGAAACATTTCTGAATGCTGAGATATCTTTCCAATACCTCATTGAATAGGCCCAGAGATCGTTGGTAGAATATCACTTTTGGTGAATGCAGGTGACTCACCACCCATGACTGGAGTGCAGTGGTGTGATCTCGGCTCACTGCAAGCTCCACCTCCCGGGTTCATGCAATTCTCCTGCCTCAGCCTCCCAAGTAGCTGGGACTACAGGCGCCTGCCCCCGCGACCGGCTAATTTTTTGTATTTTTAGTAGAGACGGGGTTTCTCAGTGTTAGCCAGGATGGTCTCGATCTATTGACCTCGTGATCCACCCACCTCGGCCTCCCAAAGTGCTGGGGTTACAGGCGTGAGCCACCACACCTGGCCAAGTTGATTCTATCTTAAATGAGTTGAAGGGGACTCATGGCCTCGCCATACTTGAGAATGCAGTTTGGGAGTTCAGGAAATGTGATTAATATTATATGTCTACTGGTCTCTCCCTTCAGCCATTCTTAAAGATATTATTCACATTTAAACCTCACAACAATTAAAACACATGTATCATTATCTTTGTTTGATGACTAAAGAGCTGAAGCTCTGCATGGATGAGGCCTCTAAGCTCTTGCCATTAGGAAATGGAGACACTAAAACTTAGACAATATCCAAGCCCCAAGTATATCCCACATGCCTACCTTCCACCTGCCACCATGTGCACCTTTGTGCTTCAGGGTAATTTCTAGCAGCAGAACTCTATCCTACCCACAAAGGACTGGAAGTACCTGGAGAATTAAGACACCTGAGCAGCCATTGTCAGTCAGTGACTGACAGGAGTTGGTGCATAAATACCTCAGCTCCCCTACCCTTGCGAGGGACAACTCTGAGGCACATGTTCTACTCTGGCTCCCAGAGGTCCCAGCAGAGTTAAGCACCAGTGCCCACAGTAGTAACCTGCCTGATGGCAGGCCCCTGCCTGGCTGCCTTCCCTTTCCTCTCTCACCTCATCACTCCCCTACCAGCATTTCCTGGCCAAATAACCTGCTTGCACTCAAATCTTTGCATCAGAGTGGATTTCTGGGAGAGCCAAAACTAAGACACAGAACTTTTGAGCCCAGGTTTTGTTTTCATTTTACCTGACACTTTCCTGTCTGTGTGGGTTTGGAGTTTTCTGGAGAAACCATCAGAGGCCTGATCTACCAGAGAGGTAGATCTCTCCTGCCAGAACTGAGCTGTCTCCACTGAGTGTGGAAACTGGAGGGGATGTTCCCACACCCATCCTCTCTATTGGGGTAGTGCTACAGCCTCCTGAGTTGTTGTCTCAGCTGGGCTCCAAAAAGGCAGCCTCTCAATTGGAGTTTAGCATGTGGTGTGTTTACAGTCAGTGGGGTCAATTGGCAGGGGTTGGGGAGACGGACAGAAGGCAGGAGTGAGCAGAGGGAGAATCTGGTCCCCAAAGCAGCCTTGGCCAACCGTATGGTGAGCCCCAGAGCTGGTATAGTTCTCAGAGTTATCTGAGTTTGGCCGAGATGGCCAGACCCTTGTAGACTCTCATCCAACAGGACTGGATTTGGGCCACCCTAGAAAAGACCATGACCTCAAGGGAAGTGCTCTCTGCAGTTGAGTTGACCCCTGAAAGGGCTGACAGCTGAAGGCAGCTTGTGGTCTGTACTCCCAGCAGCAGACCAACAAGCCCAGTGACACCTCAGTGTCTACTGAATAGTGATTCTGGTTTCAATCTCACTTCCCTCCACCTTACTGAGAGAGGAGCTGTTGCAAACCCATCCTGGGCTTTTCTCTCCTGCTCAGAACACTCTATGACTCCCCATTCCCAAGAGAAAAGTCCAAACCCCCTAGCCTGAAAGCTCCTCAGAACAATTCTTTCTTGTCTCTGAGCTGTTCTCGCTGCCCTTCCCAGGAAGCTCCTGCCCTAACACCCGCTGCCCAGTTGCTCCCCTGTCTTTGTGCTGGCATTGCCCCCCAACCCCAACTCCAGGAGCCCTGTGTCACTTTCGGCCTGGCAAACTTTCTTTTCCTCCAGTGTTTGGCTTAAATATCAGCCCCTCAGGCAAGAGGCAACCCTCCCTTCCAGCCAAGGAAGAGTGAATTGCTATTATCTCAGTGGTGCACAGTCTTGCTGCTGCAATAATGAATTTTGTTGTGTTCATACCTATTTCTGGTTTACTCCCAGCTGTGTGAACTCCTGGAGGACATTCATGCTGCCCCATGAGCTGCGATGTGAGCTTATGGGGCATACTAGGGATTTGGTGTTTGTCAAATGAATATTGGCTGAGCTTCTCTGGGAAACAAACAAACGTGCCTTTAAATAAGAGCTAAGGCCAACATTAGGTCACACCCCTGTCACAACTGTGGCTGCAATTAAAAAGGAGAGGGCCATCTGCTGTGGGGCTTTCAGCAAGCTTCTGCACCTGCAAGCTCTTCATCATAGACTGCTCTTGGGTGCCCAGAGCCACCTGGTATACTCTCATAGACAGCTTCACGTGCCTGGGATGTGTGAGACCCCTGCCCCCAGGAGGGCCCTTAAACCAATGATGGGTGCAGCGCTGAGCCTCACTCACACACCTGAGTCCCCTTCAGGACCAGTCTGAAGCTCCTCTCTGCTGGGCATAGCCTGAAATGGCCCACACTGGGCTTCCCTGCCTTCCCCACTCCCTTACAGAACTCTCTGGGAAGCACAGTGACTTGGTAATTCTCATGCACAGGAGTCCTCTCCTCAGGCTCTGCTTCTGGGGAACTCACCTGAGACACCAATAGTAATAGACTGACTAAAGAACTATGGAATATACACACTGCACTGCAGCTGAAAAGAAAAGGTCATTCTATACGTGTGAACCTGGGAAGACCTCAAGTCATACTTTAGTGTGTAAAAGTAAGTTGAAATCTGATAAGTGAGCTAAAGTACTATTTAAGGAAAAGAAAATACTGAGTAATGCTATTGGAAAGTTAAGAAGTGCATACTCCTTCTCAAAACCTACCTCTGTGCACTCCAGCGCTGGGTTCTGCACCCCCTGTCCAGTGACCGACCTGTCTTCTGTGTTTCCCAGCAATGAGCAAACCAGCTGCTGATTATGGGGACCTCTGCTCCCACTCGTCAACTAAGAAAGTCCCTTGGAAAATGGAGCAATATTTTTTATGAACTATGTAACTATGTTGGTGAGCTTAAAGAGTATGACTTTCTTGGTTACCTGCAATGAATCCAAGTGGCATGTTTTTAGCTGATGGGTGAAACTTGACAATGGTTCCACCCCCAGAGCAGGCCCCCAGGCTGGTCTGAAGCAGCTGGTATGGAAGAAGGTGTCAGACTGGCTCTGGCAACTGAGGGTCCTTCTAAAAAGATGGATGGAGGAGGCTTCTGCCAGATTCAGGTCACCTGGAGAACATCACTTGGAAGAAAGATGGCTTTACAGATGGGAGAGGAGGGGAAGTGCAGAGACTACTAAAGGAACAGAAAAGGAAATCAGAAAGTGGAATGGTGAACAGCATGTTACCGGGGAGGGTAAAGGGGAGGTTGCAAAAACATTTGGAACCTGAGGCTTCTAGGACCAAGTGACCTCAGGAAGAGGGCAGAGAAAAAATGAAGGCAGTGTTAGCATGTAGTAAAGAGTTTAGAAAAAAATGGAAATATGGAAAAGTTGGGAGTTATTAACAGCAGTAAAAGTGAAATGCTGACTTTAACCTTCAAACGAAGGGAAAGCCATGGAATTGAAGACAAGGTCTGGCTCTTGGCTAGGGAGAGTCACAAGTGGGTAGAACATGTTTTCCAATTCTGGAGCAGTCTTTGGCCCAGAGCTCAGCACAGCTACTATATCATGTATAGAGATGAGAAATAATCTTTTCAAATGTGTGGTGTCATTTTGAGCAAATGTGTTTATTTTTTTAAGAAGGTTGTTTTAAGTAAGAGTTGAGAGGACAAATTATAAAACATAGTATAATGCATCTCTCTGTGTAAAATGTTGAGAACTTTCTCAGCTGTAATGCTGAGAAGCTGCAGAGGATACAGGAGAGAAAAAAAAAAAAAAAAACATTGATTAAATGTTCTCAATATGCCAGACCCTGGGCTAAGCCATCACCATGAGCCTCCACTCATGTCATCCTTACCTAGTCTGAAGAGGTGGCTTCTGCTATTATCCCCCTTTTCCAGATGAGAAAACTGAAGCTTCCTTGCAAGGAGAGCTAATGGACCCTCAGCTCCCAGTGTATACGGTCGCTTAGGCTTTCTAGATGAGAACCCACAGTAAGGAATGCATTTTCCATCCTGATGCAGACACACACATTTATAACAGAAACAGAGGTTTTCCAAGACTCTGTTTACTATGTGAGATGCACTGAGAACTTCTATTCCATTATTTTATTTTCCAGTACTTGTAATGAAGTAAATTGCTGTCACACACATTAATGGGTCACAAATGGAAGTTTGAAAAGCTTCCATCTAGGATTTGTTATTATCTAATTCTATCTCTTCAAAACCAGTGCTCACAGGTAAACTGGGTTTTTAAATGCAAGTAACATAGAATCTGTGCTCTATTCTCCCATCCACCCATCCATCCACTCACACATCTACCCATCCATCCATTCAATAAACATTGATTATCACACAGACTTATAGCCCAGATTCCTCATTACAGGAACTGATGCTATCTCATCAACTCTCTGCTCTCAAAATGGAAAAACTCAAATCATCAAACCAGGCAAAAAAGTCAGTAAATGGCAGATATACATCTTAAAAACATCCACTGAGAAATTATAGATGCTTCCAGAGCTAACATCTTTGTGCATCTCCCTATCTCTCCACCCCCAGAAAAAGAAATCTTCCTTCAGACAACCAATCACAAAGACAAAGAAACATGCAAAGCATGATAAGTGAAAACAATCACCATAATGTTCCAAGATGTTGGTATTAGAGGCATCACCAGGCATAAAAAATGAAAACTGAAACCACGCATGCCCAAAGTGTGCTTGCATTTCTTGCTTCTGAATTTGTTGTGAGTCCTGCTAACCATGACCACAGGCTGTTTAAAAGTACACCATTTGCCTTATTTAATTTTCTTCTGAAGTCATAAATATTAATTAAGTGAAGCCACATAGAGCCTGCATTTCAATCCTTTCACTTCCTGAGGACCATAAGCAATTAAGAGCCACAGCAATTTAAGTACTAGCTGGTTCTTTAGGTCTGCCCCGTGACAACCACTTTTTTTTAAAATTAAGTCAGATTTATTAAGTCTTAGTGGTTTCTTTTTCCTACCTAACTTCTCCTGGCCTGTGGGTGTTCCGAATTTAATTTTTCCTCTTATAAATAGGAACTATTTTCCTGCAGGGGAGGGGGCCTGGTCATTTTCTCTAAAAGACGATGCAGAAAAGCGTCTGTTTTGATTAATAAGAACCAGAAATATTATGTGCAGCATGTCAGCTAGCTGGTGGCCAAGACCGCACTTATCAGTGTTTGTTTAGAATTATTTTATGACAAAAGCAAAAGAGATTATTGTCCAATGTAAGGAAGATATAAAGTAAAATGTGGAAATCCTCTCCCAATCCTCCTAAGTCCCACGCTCTAGGTGTATCATTATTAATAGTTTGATGTGTAAACTTCAATCCTTTTCCATGCAGTGACAGAATCAGGGTTTATTTTTATAAAACTTAAATCAAATTACTCATATCCTGCAACTATTTAGCTCATCATTATTAATATTTTGATGTGTAAACTTCAATCCTTTTCCATGCAGTGACAGAATCAGGGTTTATTTTTATAAAACTTAAATCAAATTACTCATATCCTGCAACTATTTAGCTCTTCATTATAAAATCATCATACTTTTTATATTATTTCATAGAGATATCACTGCTTATAATAGCTAGACGATACTAGGTAATAAAGTTGGGTTATTGTTTATTTAACTATATTTCACTAGCAATAAGATCTTGGGTATATTGTAGATAAACTGCGCACACACACACACATTAAATACATACACATATATGCATACACACACGTACAAATGCACACTATTCCAATAACCTGGAAACTTTACCTCTGAGTATTTTCTTTTCTCCCAGGTTTCTGATAACTTCTCCATCTAACTAAAGGAATGCCTTTTGGGAAAAAAAGAAAATTATAAAATGAAAACAGGTCAAGATTTGGGTCAGAGGGCCTAGATTGTGATCAGAAGGGTTGGGTGAGCCATCAATGTCCCTCACCCCAGTTTTCCCAAAAACAAAGTGAGCTCTCTTATGTAAAAGGCTTGCATGAATCATCAAGTCTGAAGAAAATATTAGCCTCTACCCTGACTTCTCTCTAGTCTTTGAGAGCTCAGTCATTTGGAGGAGGGTAGGTAAAGGAAACTCTTGGGTAATGTACATGAAGAAAGAATTCTGTATTTCTAAATTTAATATGTTAAGAGGGAGAAAAGAATGAAAGAAAACAGGTGAGTAGAGATAAAACAGTCTCTTTTCACTTTCTACTTAACTATGAGAATGGGGATAGTGAGTGTCAGATCAGAGCTCCCACCCCAAGGAACTCTGACCCATGTTTCTCAACATTAGCATCTACTTAGCAGTTTATTTTGAAGAATTAGGAGAATGAATTTGCCAGATTTCACACTTAAACGGCACATCTAAACTCCTAAACTTTTGAAAGGTATAGACTTATTCATGTAGACTCCTCCGGAGAATATTATGTGTCACTTACATCATAATTTTTCATATAACATAGTATAATTCATTCCCAGGCAGCATCACATATTCCAACCTTCTAGACTAACAGAGGCAACCTATG
This sequence comes from Homo sapiens, assembly GCF_000001405.40. Lineage (NCBI taxonomy): Eukaryota > Metazoa > Chordata > Mammalia > Primates > Hominidae > Homo > Homo sapiens. The sequence goes on along the minus strand of NC_000020.11, from coordinate 22,592,400 downwards.
GGGTGATTTAGTAGCCAGGTGTGAAAGGGACAACTGAAAAATAAGTTTGTGTGTTATATCTGGTTCCATCCAGGAATCTCAAAGCAGCTTAGTATAATTTTTCACCAGTTTTATTATCCCCAATCCACATTGCCTTAAAAGGACACATTGATTAATTCTTGGTCTAAATTTTTTAGTGTTTCTACATTAATTATTTATGTGCCTTTATAAATATGGTAGGAATTTTTTAAATTTGCCCACAGAAAGAAATATTTTCTGTCTCTTTTAGCAGTTCATATGTGAAGGAAAGGAACCTTTCCAGAATGAATGCTTCATTTAAATTCCCCCAAAGGGAAAAATTATCTTATCACTAATTATGAATGTATATTGCAAATTAAATAAGCATTAAGGGAATGGCCTAATTTGAAAAATTCTTCTCATCTTTGAGACACAAATTTTAATTTCTGAGCATTTTCTGTTATATATGTTGGGAAAAAATTGAGTGGTGCACTAAGGAGAACAGTTGTATTTCTTAACAAAGGGGGTAATTGTGAAATCTATGGGTTCAGTTTTAATTTTTCCTAATAATGTTATTTTCTCATGCATGGGTAGGCAATGCCAACTCAATGTCAGTCCAAATTTTGTGGAGGAAATTTCCCATTTCCAGTTGCCATCACAAGAGACTCAGGTCGTTTCCAGGAGGACCATGAAAATCTCATTTGAAACTCAATAAGCAGGAATTTCTTCCTCACTTTCCCTTCTTTTTGATCTTTCTATTTTGTTTCTTAAATGCATATTGGGATCAAGGAAGAGGTTCAGGGGATGCTTGGGAGAGGTCGGTCCTATCCCTTTTTTCTTTTGAGTGGGAAGCCCTGCATAGCCTTCAGGGCCAGCCCAGCCCCAGAGGTGGGCAACTGGACACGATCAGTCTGTGTTCTCTGGGGCCTCTTCCTTAAGGAGAAAATTTAAAAGAGTCTTGGTGAGTGTTTGCTGATGCAGTGAGGTTGCAGCTGACACTACTCAGTCTGGCTTTTATATATATATATATACTTTTAAAATGATGTTTCCACATTGTGAGCTGATAATTGCCACAGGTCCCCTTTCCTACCCTGTCAACCAGGGAGGTCCCTGTCTCCGGAAAACACAGCATAGGAGGGGGAGTGTGGGGTGAGCTAACAATGCACCACAGGGGGCATGGGGGGTGGGCAGCTCTGCTTTGCGGGAGGACCACTACATTGCTTGGGCTGCACAGACAAGTTCTGACTTCTGTGGACTGGGGACCATGAACTGTGGCTGTGAGAAGAGTTGGTGTGGCTCAGAGCAGCTGAGAGGGGAAGGACGTAGATGCACTAGGGAACCTGCAGAAGCTGAAAAGGAAGCTGTACTTCTCATTTTATCAAGTCATATATCACCACCCAGCTAGGGACAGACTACAGGATCCATGAGAGAAACAGATCTTTAAAGCTGTGCTATTCCACCTGTGGTCAGTGGACCAGACTGACAGCATCAGCATCCCTTGGAAGCTTGTTAGGAATGCAAAACTCAAGCCCCTCCCTGCGGAATCAGAATCTGCATTTTAACAAGATCACCAAGGGATTCCTATGCACATAAGGGTGTGAGGGGCCATCCCAGTCCTAGTTCATTTGCCCAGTCCTAGTGGGTCACTGTTGCTGTCATATGGTACCCCTCCCTGAAGCTCTCCTTTTTGCAGAGAACTCCACAATCCTTCCTCTGGAATTACTCTTGGGAGTAAAATTAACAAAGAGCTAAATAATGCAAATGCGTGCATTACAAAGCATTAGGAGCTATGTTTGACACAGGACGAGGCTCCCAAGCAGCATCCACCGCGTGAAGCTGTACCTCTGGCCACCTTCATCCTTCTTTCTCCTGGAAGCTAGAAACCCCTAGTTATCCCTTTGATAGGAAACTGATATTGTACAGGAATTGCCAATGGCGACAGGAGAGAATTGGGCTACTGCAGGGCTGCTTGTCTATATGACAGCTGAGCCCTTGTTTTTTCTATTGATTCTGGGTCAAACCAGGCTCTTCGCCTTGGGTTTTAGTCCATCTCTGCCCGCAGCTAGACTATTTTAGAATGGTGAAATGTATAATTTTCCCTTTGGAATAGGATTTTAGCACTTGGAAATTCCAAGGTCATGATTGGAAGAAGGCTTAAAAGTAAAGAGGCTGGGACCTGAGGCAGAAAAAGGGAGAAAAGGTGGAAGTAAAAGAGGAAAACAGACTTAGTTTCTAGAAGCCCATGGCTTTGCCTATTTGTCCACCATCTGGAATATAGTAAGTGCTCATTAAATATTTGCTGAATGAATCCAAAACATATAAACTCCCCATCCTTGTCATTGCTTAATATTAGAGCAAGTTATATATAGCTCTTTTTGTTGATTCAGAGACTGTGTACCATTTGAGATGGAAACGAGAAGCAAACAACTGCTTCCTAAGCATCAGCCAGGAAACCCAGGACTTAGTGGCTTCTTTCTGATCTCCATGTCTCTCGTATGCTGCATTGTTTCATACTTGTTGAAAGTGCATTTGTTTATCCAACTAAGTAATCAGCAGCTCATAGGCCTAATGGTATCCTAAGAAAGAATGCCTGGGTTTGGATTCTCCAGGTAGTCTATGACTGACGCCCCATGACTCTTGTCCTTCATGAAGCTTACTGCTTGCCTGTTTGGCAGGAATAACTGAGATTTCTCCCAAGAATAACATCCAAATGTATGAAATAGCTCCCAGGGCCACAAATGCAGATGCATCTAATTTAAGCATCCCTCAAAGAGAAGTTTATTCTCACTCAGGTTGGCATGTTGTTATTGCTACTAAAACTTGTCATTTTTTATTTTTATCTCTTCCAATTATTTTAATTACCTGCTATAATAGTCCCACATACCAGAAATGTGCTAAAAACACAAGAATGGTGAACAGGTTGTCAAATATATACCAGAAATATTTGTCAAACCCTGGCCCAGAATGGGCAGAGCACTGGCTTTCTTCACAGACCTCCACAGATGGGAGTGGAATCCGCAACTGCTCAATCCATCCACTGAGAAGTCCCATAAAAGATGGACAATCCATAACTGAAACCCAACCTTCGGCACAACGATCAAATTCTACATGCATAAAGCAAGAGATCTGTGTGCCAGATCCATCTTAAAGGCACCCCACCCAGAGGACAGAGTCTGTCTCCTTCCCCTAAACAATATGCAGAAACCACCCTGGTAAGTCAATACCTGTGGTTGACATGAATATTTCTTCTCTTCCTCTCTCAACTCAGGGAAAATCACAGTTCATCCCCTGATACCAGTAAGACAAAATAATAATGCCTTGTTTTTCAGAACTCAAACCTGTCGTCAGTTTGTATGGTGGCTTCTCTGATCTCCTTTCAAGGATGAGAACTGAATGAATATTTGCACAAGTTATTTTGCCAAAGTTTCCTTAACATCAGATCCAATATCCTTATTACATATTTCACCATAAAATAGTAAAAGAGAATGTAATAATAAAGTAGTGATATAAAATGATACCACCCATACTTCTAAAAACATAGATTGAAGATATAATTCTACCACCCAAACATAATCAAGGTTACTAACATCGTATTTATTTAATTCATTTTATTTTCTCATTTTAAAAATGTATGTTTCATCTTTTCCTGTGGATCTTGCGGTGGAGAGATAAATTGCATGCAGGTGCACACAGTATTAAACTTAAAATGTTGCACCTTGCCTCCCCCTTTATCAGCATTTTCCTGAGCCTTTGCTGAAGGCTGCAACATGCTGAATTTTTTTATTCTTTTACATAAATACCCTCTGATAAGGTGTTCTTAGCTAATGACCTTTTCAATTGCCCTCTCCGTAAACAACTGGTCTTTTGACCATCCAAGAACTTTGAAAGCCAACATAAGTGTTTGAAGGTGTGCTCAGTGCCAAGTAGACAAATTTTGATGGTCTAATTTTTTTTTTTTTTTTTTTTTTGAGATTGAGTTTTGCTCTTGTTGCCCAGGCTGGAGTGCAATGGTGCGATCTCAGCTTACTGCAACCTCTGCCTCCCGGGTTCAAGCGATTCTCCTGCCTCAGCCCCCGAAGTAGCTGGGATTATAGGCATGGGCCACCACATCCTGTTAATTTCGTATTTTTAATAAAGATGGGTTTTCACCATGTTTGTCAGGCTGGTCTTGAACTCCTGACCTAAGGTGATCCGCCCGCCCCGGCCTCCCAAAGTGCTGGGATTACAGGCATGAGCCATTGCGCCTGGCTGATTTTTCAGTACATTTCAGAAATAATAACCCACCCAAAGAAAGTGAAATGTTGATTATAATCTTTGACACACGATATGCCTTTTCTTCATTGAGACTTGAGATTCATCCAGAGAATGAATAAGGGGTGTTTGGACATCTGCTTTTTTACCAATTAAAAAGTTTATAAGAAAGTAAAAATGCATACTTTCCCAAGACTGTGCTGTCACTTTTCCATCCCCTCTGCCTTCATCTTGCCTACATATCTGCCTTATGTTGCCCTAAACACGCTGGGGAACTTTGAGCAAGGCCTTGCCTGGGTATTTATTCTCTGAAAGGTTTTAGGAATTGGAGTATTAATGGGACTTTTATTGTTTTTCTCCTTAGGTATTTCATGGGTTCTCACTTAGGAAAATTGAGTTCTGTTCAATGATGCCCCTTCTGCACTGGTTGGTTTCATGTGACAAAGAGAGCTCTAGGGAGGACTTTTGCTAGGGGAACGCAGATTGTTCCAGCAAGATGAAGGCCTAGGAGACCTGGATGGCCTGGGTGTTTTCTTCCCAGGGAGAGCAGAGGAGGCCTGGATTTGAACTCGAGTCTTATGACTTTGCCATTGAGGCAACATCCAAAATAAAAATAGCATGCTAACCCCAAGCACAGTCCTCAGTTATAAAGCAGCTTTATTATAGAAGCCGGCGGTGACCTAACAAAATGGAAAGGGAAGGGCTCTGTAGGTCTCGGCCCTACATGAGGGTAGACTAAAGAGGGATTGGGAGAAACATCTGCAGCCCGAGGTCCCCGCGAACTTTTTCCTGGAGAGAAACTCCGGGAGCAATCTTCAGCATTCAAGCCTGAGCCAGAACTCTGGATAGCCCTTTAGAAATCAGAACTCCGGGAAGGAGGAGCTCCAAAGACCGCTGAGCTGGAAGGGAACGCGAACCCCAGGCTGTCTGAACGTCCCTGCTTCCTTCGCAGCCCGTTGGTGTCCCGCTCCCAGCTACCTAAAGCTAACCGTAGACCCCGCTCGCATTCCCATGGGCAGGCGTGCCGGGAGGGTGCGGGAGCGGCTGCTCCGAGACTCTAGGAGGCGTCATCCAGCCCTACCCTACCGGAGCTCCCAGAACCTCGCCAGGGTGCAGGAGGCCGTTTTGGGTTCGCGCAGAACCTAGGGGTTGGGGCTCCAAAAAGGCCGAGTCCCCCCGAAGGCGTTTTCGGAGAGACTGGGAGAGCGGGGGAGAAGGTGCTCCGGTGCCGGAGCTGCGGGGTTGGGATCGCGGGGGTAAATGAGGACTCGGGTCGGTCCCGCGGGCCTGGCGGCCGACAGGGGGCGCCCTGTCACTGTGGAAGCCCCCGCCGAGCGCTCTCTGGTGTCCCTGACCCCGGCCACCAATAGTGCTGTGGTGGAGGTGGGGGCTTCCAAAGTCCGCTCCTTGGAAGTGTAGCGCCCCCTTCTCCTGCGGCCCTCCAGCTCGCTCCTTCTGTTCCTGGAATAATTTCTGGGACCAAATTTCCACCCAGGAGCAAAATAGAAAGGGAAGTGGGCACCCACATAAGCTCACAAATACTCTCATACAGCACACGCACAGACTAGGTCAACCATAACATTCTTTTGAGTTTTGGGGGTGCGGTGTGTGTGTGTGTGCGTGTGTGTCTGCCCAGGCCTGCGGAGAAAGCTTTGAAAAATTGCTCATTCTTTGAGCTCCAATGCTTACTCCTCTTTCCCTGCCCTCGGTGGAGTGATGAAGTTGCTCCCATCCACGCGCTAGGTGGGACCCCGTGGGAAATGCTGGGGATCTAGCCCCTCTGACTCCGCTGCGCACACCTCCACGTTCACTACGTAGCCGTACACACCATCAAGCTCCTTCCCTGGCGCACCGGGCTGGCCTGCCCCTCGTGGGAGCCTTCAGCACTCGGGGGACCGATAGGCACGGCTTCCGCGGAGATACAGACCTTGAATTTGTGGGAGAATCCCGCCCTGGCGCTCACTCGGCGGGCTTATTAATGCCCTCTTTATGAAGTGTCCAAACCATCTGCATTTCAGCAGCAAAAGATGCTGCCGGCGGCTTCCTTCTGTGTCCCAAACCGTGCAGACCTGAGAGTCCTGGGGTTAGGGAAGTGGTTCCCCTGTGCCTACTGCTACCTCCTCGCTTGCCTTCCAGCCTCACCCTTACTCAAGCTTCAATGCGAAGCTCCGTGTCTGCCATCTCGCCTGTCTTCTGCCACCATCGCCCCCAATTTTGGACAGGTGGGCTGGATGCCCACTAGTTCCTATGCATTCTCTGTGTCTGAGGGGGTGGGTACAGGGCTGGATCCCCAAGGTCCAGCCAGGTTTTCAGAACCAAGAAAGAGCCTCCACATCCAAACACCTGCAATATCCCCCCACTCCAAATCTGGGCTCACAGGCTAACCCAGAACAGAAGACAATTTTTGAACCCAAGAGCTGCTGGGGAAATAAAAGTATACGATTGCTGGAGTTTCTAATTTCTATTAAGCAGTCCCTCTGGAAGACAGAGAGGACAGAGACGCTCTTGAAGTCAACTCCATATGCCCCATCATTGATTCCTGGATTCTTCTCTCCTCACCCCTCCCTCCCCACCTCCTGCCCTGTTTGTTTTAGTTACGAAATGCTGTGGGCACCTCGGTTGTGACTGAAAAGTAACCTTGAAACACGCCGGCCTGAATATCAGAGACAAATCTCAGCCTCCCAACCGTCGGCCGCTGCTAGAGGGGCTGCTTGCGCCAGGCGCCGGCCGCCCCACTGCGGGTCCCTGGCGGCCGGTGTCTGAGGAGTCGGAGAGCCGAGGCGGCCAGACCGTGCGCCCCGCGCTTCTCCCGAGGCCGTTCCGGGTCTGAACTGTAACAGGGAGGGGCCTCGCAGGAGCAGCAGCGGGCGAGTTAAAGGTGTGTACGTAGTTTTTCTAAATAGGACAGCGCTTTGCAAATTGGCTGTCATGGACTTGCTGTTTTGACAGAGAATGAGCACTGAGAGCGAAGAAACCCGGCATAAATAAATCCGGCTTTCATAGGGATCTGCCGGGCACTGAGGCTGGACGCGCCCTCCGACAGGCGCACCGGGCGCCCGGCGCGATGAGACGGGGCGGGGGCTGGAGGCCGGAGCCGCCCCAGAGGGTGGTTTCCTCCCAGGTCCCTCCTTCCTCAGGGGACTCGCTGTGGACCCGGGAGGAAAGGGGGCTCGACCAGGGATCCCGCGTGCCCGATCGCCCGCCCAGCCCGCTCCCCTGGCCCGCCCAGGAGTGCGGGGCGCCGCGGCGGTGGGGCGGACGGCAGGCGCTGAGGGGCAGGTGCGGAGCGCCGGCTGCGGCTACCTCTCACCTAGGTGTGAGCTGATTATTCAAATGGGCTGCCCCGGGTCTGGGGATTGGAGGCCCGCGCCAGCGCGCCGCGCTATATCACCAGCCTCCCACGTCACTGCGGCACTTGTCCGCTCCGCGGTCCACACCTCCTCCTCCTCCTCCTCCTCCTCCTCCTCCTCCTCCTCCTCCACCACCACCACCGCCTCCTCCTCCTCCTTCCTCCTCCTCCTCCCCACCCCCCCACTAGCCCCCGCGCCGCGCGCTTCCCGCCGCCTCGGGGCAGCTCGGCACTGCCAACCTCAGCCGCCACCCGGCAGCCCGTGAGCGCGGCGGCGGCGGGTGCTCCCTACCGCGGGGCGCTGGCCTGGGCCTCCTCCGCTCCTCGCCCCCCCCCACCTCCCGCCCACTTCCAACTACCGCCTCCGGCCTGCCCAGGGAGAGAGAGGGAGTGGAGCCCAGGGAGAGGGAGCGCGAGAGAGGGAGGGAGGAGGGGACGGTGCTTTGGCTGACTTTTTTTTAAAAGAGGGTGGGGGTGGGGGGTGATTGCTGGTCGTTTGTTGTGGCTGTTAAATTTTAAACTGCCATGCACTCGGCTTCCAGTATGCTGGGAGCGGTGAAGATGGAAGGGCACGAGCCGTCCGACTGGAGCAGCTACTATGCAGAGCCCGAGGTAAGCGCTCGTCTTTTCCAGGGGGAAGTGGAGCGGCGGCGCTCGCTCCTTCCCCAACCTCAGGACCGCTTCCCTCGCTGGCACCCCCCCACCCCGCCCCACAACCCCAGCCTTTCTGGGCAGCCGCCTTTTCCGCCCTCCTTGGAATCAAATGGGTCTCTTTTTTATACGACACACTGTTAGCCTTGAGATAATATTAACTTTGTGATCAAATATTGACTTGCGGCGCCTCCAAATCCTCTTCGTGGCCGAGCCACGCACTATCCTAACAGAGTTATGTTTGGCAGCGCGCGGCTGGGGAGGGGTGGGAGGTCGGCCGGCGAGGGGGTGGGGAGCTGAGGAGGAGAAGATGGGTAGGAGTTGGGGGCTGAAGTGGAGGCAGAGTCAAAGACTAGTGGACAAAGAGAAAGAAAGTTTTTGCCTGCAAAGCTCAGCCGCGTGTGGTTCAGGTCTCGGTTCTTTCCCTATTGCCCCGTTCAGTGCCTCCAGCCGCCCCCGCACTCCGCACAGGCACTGCCTTGCAGTTTCCCTGGGACAAGGGAGGGGGTCCCTGGAGGGAGACCGGACAGAGGGGGCCCGGGACAGTCTTCGCTGGAGGCAGCCCGAGGCGCCCCGCGCGTTGTCCCGCAGGTTGCTTGCTGCGACCGGAGGTGGCGTCCGGGGACTTCGGGCCTCGGCGCCAGCTCAGTATGCTGGTGGGAGAGTTTGGGGAGACTCTGGGGTAGGGGAATGTATTTGGGGTGCTGGCTTGGGAGTACTCCATGGGACCCCTGTTCTAGAATCTGGGCGAGGTGGAGAAGGGCTAGGAACGGGCCACATGCCCAAGCAGCAATCCGCTCGCCACCTTCCCAAGGGCGATCGATCATGACTCTCCCTGAATGAAACAGACTCGGAGTCCGGAGACTGGGCCATCGGGGACGAAAGGGCTCCCCGGAGGCCTCCCCGGACGCGGAGGCCTGGGCGGTGGGTGGGAGGTCTGGGCACCCTCCAGCCGCGGTGCTAACGCTGTCGCCTCCCTCCCGGGGCTCTGTCCGCAGGGCTACTCCTCCGTGAGCAACATGAACGCCGGCCTGGGGATGAACGGCATGAACACGTACATGAGCATGTCGGCGGCCGCCATGGGCAGCGGCTCGGGCAACATGAGCGCGGGCTCCATGAACATGTCGTCGTACGTGGGCGCTGGCATGAGCCCGTCCCTGGCGGGGATGTCCCCCGGCGCGGGCGCCATGGCGGGCATGGGCGGCTCGGCCGGGGCGGCCGGCGTGGCGGGCATGGGGCCGCACTTGAGTCCCAGCCTGAGCCCGCTCGGGGGGCAGGCGGCCGGGGCCATGGGCGGCCTGGCCCCCTACGCCAACATGAACTCCATGAGCCCCATGTACGGGCAGGCGGGCCTGAGCCGCGCCCGCGACCCCAAGACCTACAGGCGCAGCTACACGCACGCAAAGCCGCCCTACTCGTACATCTCGCTCATCACCATGGCCATCCAGCAGAGCCCCAACAAGATGCTGACGCTGAGCGAGATCTACCAGTGGATCATGGACCTCTTCCCCTTCTACCGGCAGAACCAGCAGCGCTGGCAGAACTCCATCCGCCACTCGCTCTCCTTCAACGACTGTTTCCTGAAGGTGCCCCGCTCGCCCGACAAGCCCGGCAAGGGCTCCTTCTGGACCCTGCACCCTGACTCGGGCAACATGTTCGAGAACGGCTGCTACCTGCGCCGCCAGAAGCGCTTCAAGTGCGAGAAGCAGCTGGCGCTGAAGGAGGCCGCAGGCGCCGCCGGCAGCGGCAAGAAGGCGGCCGCCGGAGCCCAGGCCTCACAGGCTCAACTCGGGGAGGCCGCCGGGCCGGCCTCCGAGACTCCGGCGGGCACCGAGTCGCCTCACTCGAGCGCCTCCCCGTGCCAGGAGCACAAGCGAGGGGGCCTGGGAGAGCTGAAGGGGACGCCGGCTGCGGCGCTGAGCCCCCCAGAGCCGGCGCCCTCTCCCGGGCAGCAGCAGCAGGCCGCGGCCCACCTGCTGGGCCCGCCCCACCACCCGGGCCTGCCGCCTGAGGCCCACCTGAAGCCGGAACACCACTACGCCTTCAACCACCCGTTCTCCATCAACAACCTCATGTCCTCGGAGCAGCAGCACCACCACAGCCACCACCACCACCAACCCCACAAAATGGACCTCAAGGCCTACGAACAGGTGATGCACTACCCCGGCTACGGTTCCCCCATGCCTGGCAGCTTGGCCATGGGCCCGGTCACGAACAAAACGGGCCTGGACGCCTCGCCCCTGGCCGCAGATACCTCCTACTACCAGGGGGTGTACTCCCGGCCCATTATGAACTCCTCTTAAGAAGACGACGGCTTCAGGCCCGGCTAACTCTGGCACCCCGGATCGAGGACAAGTGAGAGAGCAAGTGGGGGTCGAGACTTTGGGGAGACGGTGTTGCAGAGACGCAAGGGAGAAGAAATCCATAACACCCCCACCCCAACACCCCCAAGACAGCAGTCTTCTTCACCCGCTGCAGCCGTTCCGTCCCAAACAGAGGGCCACACAGATACCCCACGTTCTATATAAGGAGGAAAACGGGAAAGAATATAAAGTTAAAAAAAAGCCTCCGGTTTCCACTACTGTGTAGACTCCTGCTTCTTCAAGCACCTGCAGATTCTGATTTTTTTGTTGTTGTTGTTCTCCTCCATTGCTGTTGTTGCAGGGAAGTCTTACTTAAAAAAAAAAAAAAATTTTGTGAGTGACTCGGTGTAAAACCATGTAGTTTTAACAGAACCAGAGGGTTGTACTATTGTTTAAAAACAGGAAAAAAAATAATGTAAGGGTCTGTTGTAAATGACCAAGAAAAAGAAAAAAAAAGCATTCCCAATCTTGACACGGTGAAATCCAGGTCTCGGGTCCGATTAATTTATGGTTTCTGCGTGCTTTATTTATGGCTTATAAATGTGTATTCTGGCTGCAAGGGCCAGAGTTCCACAAATCTATATTAAAGTGTTATACCCGGTTTTATCCCTTGAATCTTTTCTTCCAGATTTTTCTTTTCTTTACTTGGCTTACAAAATATACAGGCTTGGAAATTATTTCAAGAAGGAGGGAGGGATACCCTGTCTGGTTGCAGGTTGTATTTTATTTTGGCCCAGGGAGTGTTGCTGTTTTCCCAACATTTTATTAATAAAATTTTCAGACATACCAAAATTGAATGAATTTTACAGTAGGCACACAGGGACCTGCTCCCGAGATTCTGCAATTAACATTTCATTATACTTGCTTTATCACATACTTGTCCATCTATCTTCACCTCCACTGGTCAATCCATCTTATTTCTCTAAATCCACTTCAAATTTGCAGATACCAGTACACATCCCCCTAAACACTAAAGCAAGCACATTATTAAATGGAACTTGTATGGTTTATGGTTACTTTTTGAATTTGGGGGTTAACTTTACACACAATGAAATACACAGATCCCAGGAAGACCATTCCAGCAGGTTTATTTTTAAAGCCAGTAGAAGATCACTCTCCACATATCACAATTTTCCACCTTGGCTGTTTGAATGTGCCCTGTTGTTGTGGTCTCTTGGGCCCCACAGCTTGCTTCTCTTGGGGGAAGCCTCAATTTCACATGTTTTTGCTGTACTTCTGATCTTGGGCCTCCCTTCAGGTCAATGAGCCTGGATCAAACTTGCAAATTTGTGGTGCAGCACTTTGCCTGTTCACCACTGTGAACAGTGGTGGAATTGGGACTCTGCCTGGATCTTCCAGCCTCCTCTGTACACAGGGTGCCACCCTTTCCCACCCTTCTCCCTGGAGCAGGTATTGTGCACAACCATGGCAGACCTTTCTAACCCAGAAAGACCTTACTAACCCAGAAATGGCGAGACACTTGGTGTAGGGAAACATTTAGAAGATCTTCTCCTGGAATTGGTTTGAAAGGGTAAGTCAGGGTAACAATCCAAGTCTGTTTTTTAAAAATAGGGTATATTTGGGAGTGAGGAGGAGGTAAGGGGTGTCTGGCCAATGGACCATGACAGTAGTGAAGATGCCACTGTCGGCAAATTTGCTCCCCATCTCCCTCCAAAACTCAAGGCTCTTGCAAATCTTCTTGTAAGTTAGGTGAGGTTGGCAATCCAGGTTTGCAGGGTCCAGGGGTTATGCAGGTATTTTGTGAGCCTTCAAGGACTCTAAAAGTATAACGAAAAATCCCAGAGTGAATTCTTATACACCATGCTGCCTCTCCCCCCAGACGACCTCGCTGGCCTAAAAGGACGGCCAACGGCAGTGAAAACCAAGGCCGACAGCGCAAAGGGGAGTCTGGTGTTGGTTTTGCCCAGGACATCTGCTGGCTGGGCGAGGGCAGGATCAGTGTCGTCGCGGGTCAGGCAGACTTGGGAGCCACTCCCGCGCGCAGTGGCTTGCGGTGGGTAAAAACACTCCGAAAGCCTGGAGGCTAGGACTTTTTGCCTCAGGTTTCTAAGCTCAGGCTCCTTTTTTCAAGATTAGATCTTTGGGCTTCTTGACCATCCTAACCTGGAGTGTTCCAGCTACGCCCCAGACCTGGAGACTGTCTTTGAGTGCTACCTTGCTGGGGTCTCTGCCACCCCATCCCCCACCCCGCCGCCTTCCCCAACAAGCCTGGCCTTCCCACGCGCTTGAGGGGGGTTTGGCATCGCCTCCGCCTCCCACCCGCCACTGCCCCCCTCCCGCCACCAAATCCCTTTCTTAACATGCCACATTGTCCCGAAGAACACAAGGAAGAGAAATTGGGGAGGGGGGGATCCGGAGGCCACAGCCAGCAATCAGGCCGTCTCTCCTCCTAGCAAGGACACACACGTCGTGAGCCCGGCCTGAAATGTGTTTCATTATCACATAAAAGGCTCCCGTGGCGAAGGAGCCGAGAGGCAGGGCCGGGGGCCGAGTGGGGGACAATGGAGGCTGAAAGCGCTGCCCTAACCTGCTATGTTTCGTATGGCACGCCCATTGTGCGAGGGTCGTTTTAAACTACTTAGCGCGCCCCCCTTCACTGATCCCGGCCGATAAGATATAGT